>NC_000007.14:38990242-39615242 GCF_000001405.40 Homo sapiens | reverse complement strand
AAAGACCAGTGTGGCAGCTCTTGCCTATAATCCCAGCACTTTGGGAGGCTGAGGTGGGAGGATTGCTTGAGGCCAGGAGTTTGAGACCAGCCTAGGCAACTTAGCACAACGCTGTTTTGTTTTTGTTTTTGAGATGGAGTCTCACTCTGTCACCCAGGCTGGAGTGCAGTGGTGCGATCTGGGCTCACTGCAACCTCTGCCTCCTGGGTTCAAACAATTCTCCTGCCTCAGCCTCCTGAGTAGCTGGGATCACAGGCGCACGCCACCATGCCCAGGTAATTTTCATATTTTTAGTGGAGATGGGGTGTCATCATGTTGGCCAGGCTGATCTCGAACTCCTGACCTCAAGTGATCCTCCCACCTTGGCCTCCTAAAGTGATGGGATTACAGGTGTGAGCCACAGTACATGGCCTCATTTATTTAAAAAAAAAAAAAAAATTAGCCGAGCATGAGGGCCCGCAGCTGTACTCCCAGCTACTCAGGAGGCTGAGGCATGAGGGACTGGTTGAGCTCAGGAGTTTAAGGTTACAGTGAGCTATGATTGCACCACAGCACTCCAGCCTGGGCAATGGAGCAAGACACTGTCTGTTAATCAAAAGGGGGTGGGGAGGGGAATCATAAGACAGCAGATCATAAACTGAAAAAATTCAACAACTGAAAATGCAGGAGTATATCTGGGCCTCAGTGATAACTGGAACCAGGACTCTTCCTCCAAATCTTGTCTCTGTTTTGTAGGTTTGCTTCAGTCTCCTCCATTTCAGAATGACTGACTGTCCATATGGCCACTGATATCTCCCAATCCTCATACCTCATGGCTGCCACGACACTAGAGAGGGCTAGATGTCTTTCGGTTTTGTTTTTCCAGTTTCTTTAGTAAATCCTGGGTTGGGACTCTGAATGGTTTGGTGGGAGTCATGTGTCCACTATTAGACTGGTGATCTATGAGCCAGGAAACAGAGTCATGGGGCACAACCATGGTGCCTGCCACCCACCCCTCAAGGGGCCTGTGATGGTTAATTTTATGCATCAACTTGGATGGGCTGTGGTAACCAGCTATTTAATCAAACTCTAAGTATGGACGTGAAGGCATTTTGTATATGTGGTTAACACCTGCAATCAGTTCACTTTAAGTAAAGGAGAATACCCACAATAGTGTAGGTCAACCTCATCCAATCAGTTGAAGGCCTCATAAGCAAAAACGGAGGTTTCCTGGAGAAGAAGAAACTCTGCCTCAAGACTGCAGTGTCAACTCCTGCAGAGCTTCCAGCCTGCCCTGTGGATCTATGGATTTTGGATTTGCCAGTCTCCACAATTATGTGAACCAATTCATTAAAATAAATCTAGACAGCTATAGATATATCTATGTATCTGTGTCTGGAGAGCTCTGACTGATACAGAGACAATTCCAGGATATGACAGAATCATTGTAATGCGAGCCAGGTGGCTACCCCAACCGAGTATCGGTGACAGGAAGAGAGATGATACACTGAGGAATGGGAAAGAAAAAAAGGGAGGTGGGAATAAGAAAAAGTACATGTGGTAAATAACATTAGAATGTAGCTACGCATTGACTCATAGAAGACTAGCTTTAAGTTACAAAACTTTGTCCTAATGCATAGTGAGTATTCACAAAACCATGATAAATATATTGAAATTGTCATCCCTTTCTGATTTAGATTATTCCTTCATTTTGAATTACTCTGTCAGCAGATGGCATGTTTTCTATAATTCATGTCTTACCATGTTTTATTTTTCTTATTTAACATTCTACAACTGGTGGTTTTATTTTCTAAGTAAATTTATGTCACCTATTGCTGCTACAGCAAATTAATGCAAATTTAGTGGTTTAAAACTAACAAAAAAAAGTTTTATTTTACAGCTCTAGAGGCCAAAGTCTAAAATGGATTGGCAGGACTGTGTTCCTTCTGAAGGCTCTAGGGCAGGGGTCCCCAACCCCCGGGCCAGGAACTTGTACAAGTCTATGGCTTGTTAGGAGCCAGGTGGTACAGCAGGAGGTGAGCGGCGGGCTAGCCAGTATTACCACCTGCGCTCCACCTTCCATCACTTTAGCAGTGGCATTAGATTCTCATAGGAGCAAAACCCTATTGTGAACTGGGCATGCGAGGGATCTAAGTTGTGTACTCCTTGTGAGAATCTAACTAACGCCTGATGATCTAAGGTGGAACAGTTTCATCCGAAAACTATCCCTGCTAGCCACCTGTCCATGGAAAAATTTTCTTCCAAAAAACCAGTTCCTGATGCCAAAAAGGTTGGGGACGACTGCTCTAGGGGAGAATACTATTCTTTGCTTCTTCCAGCTTCTAGAGGCTGCTCAGTCCTCGACTTGTGGCCCTCTTCCATCTCCAAAGCCGGCAGTCTCATCACTCCGTCTTCTGCTTCCATCATCATATCTCCTTTCCAACTCTGACTGTCCTGCCTCCCTCATAGAAGGTCTCTTGTGATTACACAGGGTTTACCAAATGATCCAAGGGAATTTCCCCATCTCAAAATCCGTAACTTAATCACATGTGCCAAATCCTTTTGCCTTTAAAGTAATATATTCACAGGCTCTGGGGCTTAGGACATAAACATCTTTAGGTGAGGGTATTCATTGTTCAGCCTATTGTAATAAATAATTATTATCAAATTGATACACATAAATTAAAAAATCAAATAATATTGAAAAATCCCTCTCTCCAAGGCAAGTATTTTTAGCTTTTGTATCTGTTTCTTCTAGTATTTATCTTCATCGTTCTCAATAATAGGCTTACATGGTCATTTCTTATTTTACCAGTTTTATTTTATTTTTGAGACGGTCTCACTCCATTGCCCAGGATGGAGCACAGTGGTGTGATCTTGGCTCACTGCAACCTCCACATCCTGGACTCAAGCAGTCCTCCCATCCTAGCCTTCCAAGTACCTGGAACTACGGGCACACACCGCCACATCTGGCTAATTTTTTGTACTTTTTGTAGAGAGGAAGTTTAGCCATGTTGCCCAGGTTGGTCTCAAACTCCTGGGTTCAAGCAATCCACCTGCCTTGGCCTCCCACAGCGCTGGGACTGCAGGCATGCACGGTGGCACCCAGCCTATTTTATCAATTTTAGACATCATATGCTGACTTTGTTTTTTTAAGAAGACAAGGTAAACAAATAACTTAAGTAATTTATTTGTTTGCAGTGAAGCTTGTTAACACCATATAATGAAAATGTACAAAGAACCATGTTGCAATTATTGGGTAGATTTAAGTTAAAGACATTCATTAATAAGGAATCTTTGAATATGAATATTCCAGGACTATCTCTAAGCCATTTGATCAGAACATCTGTCTTTGACTATTACCTTATTTGGGAAGGTATTGGCATAAATTTGAATTAAGCTCAGAATTTTTCAAAATAAGCCCTCATTTAAAAAAACTATATTCTATATTCAAATAAAATAATATGAATAGGACTTTCCAGAAACAATAATAAAGGAAACAAGGTATCTTGTAAAATGTGGTCCTGAACAAATCATGGTAAAAAAATAAATGTATACTTAACTCCCAACTCCTCACAAAAGAGGCTACTTTCTGTGCCTCAGCTGTGGAAACAAGGGGCAGAATACCCTATTAGCAACCTTGGGCAGGGGTTTGCCAACACAAAAGCTCAAGCACTTAAACATGGCTACCTCAAAATAATTTGGGGGAACCTGACCAAAGGATTCAAATTTTGTTTTTAGTAACTGATACAAAGGTAAAGTGCTCCTGCAACTAGCAGTGCCAGGGGAGCCTGCCTCGGCCCAGCACTCACCTACCTTATGCCCCCGAGCAAACTCTGATGCTCCTGCTCCAGGGGAGACCTTTTCCCTTTAGAGGTTCAGGACCCAGTGAACTCTTGGATTGTGTGAATGAGGTAAGCACCAACTCCATTTGGGAATTTTAAGGCTTGGAGTTAAATATTTTTCTAACACAGCTAGGCAGAGTCCATGTGTCAAAGGCCAGTCTCCAGTTTGTTCTAATTTCTCACTATGTATTTGTATATCTAAGACAACAGACTTTCACTGTATTGTCATAACCACAGCCAATGGCCATCTTCACTTTTTTTTTTTTTCTTTGAGATGGAATCTTACTCTGTCACCGAGGCTAGAGTGCAGTGGCACAATCTGGGCTCACTGCAACCTCTGCCTCCCTGGTTCAAGTGATTCTCCTGCCTCAGCCTCCCGAGAAGCTGGGATTACAGGTGCTCGCCACCATGTCCACCTAATTTTTGTATTTTTAGTAGGGACAGGGTTTCTCCACGTTGGCCAGGCTGATCACGAACTCTCCTCAAGCGATCCGCCCAGCTCGGCCTCCTCCCAAAGTGCTGGGATTACAGGCATGAGCCACCATACCCAGCCTGCATCCTAATTTATGATTCCTATTTTGTGCCTGGTGAACAGTCCCCATATTTAACAATAATACCTACACATAAAACAATCCACTGTTACAATTTATATAGTCACAAAGCATTAAGTATCTTCTGTAGACCATAGTTTTTAACCATAATTTTCTGCATCAAATCCACAGCCAGAATCCCCAAGATCAAAAAAATTTGCACAATACAAACCATAATCTAAAGTACATGTACAGACACATACACACTCTCACACACACTTCTTACAGAACTGTGCTTGGGGAAACTCCATTTGTTGAGTGCCACTGAAGGCATATTTTGCTACACTGCTGCTCCAGGTATTTTTGTTTGGAAAAATCTGTCACAGTAGGGTATGACTATTTACTGGATGAACAGAAAAGAAAGATATACCTGTGGCAACCAGAAAGTTTTAAGGTCTTTCAAGTCGTATAAAATGGACCTGCAGAAACGTTGGAATGTTCTCAGGATGCAAAGTTGGAGCTGAAATGTGATATCAAACAGTTGCAAAAAATGTATAGCAACCATGCCTTGAGGTCAAACCTGGTACCGAGATCTGCAACAAAAAGCTTCAAGACACATAGTTTGTTGGGCTTGTCCCACATGGTCGCATAATCTGCTCATGTGTGAATTTCACAAACGACTCGTATTGCTCTGCTAGTTTGGTATTGAGGATTTTCTCATACTCCTCCCAAATCTTCTCTTCATAGTTTGAGAGACGTGTACATATTGTTCTAGCTTGCCGGAGGGCCAAGGTGGGCTGGTCCATCTTCACCCAGGAGAAACCTGCAGCACTGGGTGCTGGGTGCTGAGGACTGAGGCTGGCTTTCCTAAGCACAAGCTGCCCTCTGATTAAGAACAACTTCTAAATGTGTCCACCTCTGATAATGATTCTATTATATGTTGAAAAATGTGTTTCGGAGTTGGAAGGTGCCTCTGGCGGCCAGGCGGGGCAGGCTGCTGCAGGGTCGCGGTGGGGTTTGCGTCTGAAACGCCGGCGGTGGCTCGGCGTCCCAGGGCCTGGGGCCCGGAGCCGGGCGGGGAAGCGGGGAGTGGCGCGGCCGCTTTGGGGAACCAGGCTCAGCAGCGTCGCCTCGAGCTCCGTGGGCTGCTTCGGTGTCGCCCCGCTCGCCATGTGGCCGGGGACCGGGAGGGGACGCGGCAGTAGTTGCGTCCCAACCTCCGGACTCCTCAGCGGGGCTCTCAAGCCCAGTAGGCTCCAATCCGTTGAGTTCCTGTTTTGATAGACAATTGGATAGACAGAGATTTGGCTCTGTTATCACTGTCCCCACAACTTTCCCCATTCTCCCAATTCGATAACATCATCATTTTCTGATAAACTTATAACGAAGATTTGTCTCTGTTACAACCCCCCAACTTTCCCCATTCTCCCAATTTGATAACATCATTACTTTCTGATAAAATAATAACCAGTGTTCCCACATGATGGTGATGTAAATATGATTCACTGCACAGCTTAATAGAGAAGTATGACTGCATTTCCTTTTAAAGATTTTTGTTTGGCTTTGGTATCTGCCTTATTGTTTCACTTATCTAATTTTCTATCCAGATGTTCCTAATGCTTTCCAAATATTTCATCATATTATCTGTGGGGTCTCCCTTTTCCTGCAGCTCTTCCCCTGGGGGCCTCCAGTCCTCCTGATCACTGGCCTGGTTATTCTTCCTGTCTACAGCACAGTTATCCTGTGATTCTTCCTCACTGCTTTCTTGGATAGCACATTAAAGGGGCTGGCGGGCTGGAGTGCAAAGAAAAGGTGACAACTTTTCTGAAAGTGAGATTTCTGACATGTTGGACTGAAATTGTCTTTATGTTCTGCAGTGATGGGAAGGATTTTTAAATCTGACTTAATCATTAAGCTCATGTCAGGCTTGACTTTGGTATAAAATGAACCCTGACTCAGTATTTCTGACAATCAAGTAATACTCAGAATGAGTATTGGTTGTTTTAATTATATAACTTCTTCAGTTAGAAGCCCAAAGTCTTTTATGTAATGAGTGAAAGAGTAATTAAAAGTATTTGTTTACACTCCATATCTGAATGCTTTCTGAAGGAAAGCATTGGTGGATCCCTTATCAGTAGTTACTGAGAATTCATACATAATTAATAAACTTCTGTAATATAGAATGAAATCCTAGAAAATGTAAAATTTTGTTTAGACTGTAATCATGTCTAAAACGTATGTTGAATAGAATTAGCTTATTTCCTGTCTTTCCTCTTGGAAGAAATCAGAGTCCCTCAAATCAGTCATTCTGTAAATACTTGTTGGGTGCTTATTATGGTCAAGAGAGCAGATCTCCTGAGAGATCTTATCTTTGCCACATTCTCTTCCTCTCTTTGTTTTCTACCCTTTTCTTTTTCTTCTTTCCCGGAAATCATCCCTTAAACTTTCTCTATCTCCTACTCCATCTGCTCTTCACTGCCTGTCTCTCTCAATCCCTACGTCTTCTCTTGTCAGCAGTCACTTGATCAACACAGGTGCCTTCTGTGTATTCCCAAGAACTTTGCCATGTGTATTGTCCCAATTTTTAACTTCCCTAGGGTGCTGTGCTGAATATTTTATAGGCGTTAAATAAATTATTGAAAGGCTTTAGAACTATAGGCAAATGGCATTTCACTTATGTCCTTGTTTCTAAGTCAATTTTTAAAAGTTGCATACCTTTATACCTTTATAACAATGGCACCTTTGTTGATTTCAGGGTTATTCAGTAGTTTCCTTAATTAATTTTTTTGACAGAAATAAAGGAGTCAAGGGAGGGTGAACATGTTCTATGATCCTTGGATTTGGCCTGAAGGCTATTAAGGATTTCAACAGAAAAGGAATCAGTGCAGAGGAAAGGCCAAAAACAAAACAAATATATTACGGCCAGGCGCCCTGGCTCACTCCTGTAATCCCAACACTTTGGGAGGCCAAGGCAGGTGGATCACATGAGGTCAGGAGTTTGGGACCAGCCTGGTGAACATGGTAAAACCCCGTCTCTACTAAAAATACAAAAATTAGCCAGGCATGGTGGCACACGCCTGTAGTCCCAGCTACTCAGGAGGCTGAGGCAGGAGAATTGCTTGAACCCGGGAGGCAGAGGTGGCAGTGAGCCAAGATTGTGCCATTGCACTCCAGCCTGGGAAACAGGGCGAGACTACATCTTAAAAAACAAACAAACAGTAACAACAAAACCCAAATATATTAGTTTTCTATTGCTGCCGTGATCAATTACCACAAACTTAATGGCTTAAAACAACAAAAAGTGTATTATCTTAGAGTTCTTTATTGAATTCAAAAGTCCAACATGGATCTTACTGGGCTCAGATCAGTGTGAGCAGGGTGTAGCCTAGAGGCTGCCTGATTTCCTTGACTCATGGCCTCCTTCCTTCACTTTCAAATCCAGCAATACCAAGCCAAGCCCTTCCCATGCTGCAGTTTCTCTGGTTCTCCAATTCCCTCTTCCGCTTTTAAGGGTTCTTGTGATTATAGGATAATCCAGGATAACTTCCTATTTTAAAGCCAGCTGATTATCAACCTTAATTCCATTTCCAACATTCATTCCTTTCCTATATAATCTAACATAGTTTCAGGTTCCAGGGAGTAGGACATAGACAACACTGGGGAGGTCAACAGACATTATTCTATCGACCACAGTGAACAAAGGAGAGGATCCTGACAATCCCAAAGAAGGGAAAACTTATGACATTAAGTAAACCTCATGATTTGGAGATGAAGAAGACAACAGAAAAGCACTGAAGACAGTATAGCCCATTATGTAGCGAATACTTGACATTTTCATAGAGTATGAGGCTGAGAAGAACTTGGATATGTCACATAATTGTTGATAGCAAGCAAACCACTAGAGTCAATTTGCACTGGTATAAAGACCAACATTTTAGAAAGGAATAAAAATTTTATTTTTCTCTTGAAAGACTCAAAATAATGACAGTAGGCAACTCTATGCAAATCACCCTGAAACGAGAAAGTATATATTTTTAAAGCTCAATACAGTTTACAAAATGATTATATTCTGCAGTTATACAATTTGATGAAATTTGGATTTTAACTTATTCAATAGTTCATTCTGTATGGCATCTCATAAGTACTGCATAATGCTATCTTGGATTTTGATTTTTTTTTAGTGCTTTTTTGGTATTAAGTCTGGAATCTTCTAATTTGCCCTTAAACCTAGATAGAGAATTGTGGGCACACCCTTTTGTGTGTGCACAAATATAGCAACTGGAATGTTATCTGTGTACCACCATTCACCCGGTTCCACCTCCATGCTCAGCAGAAGTCATCAGGGTGGAGTAGATTTATACAGCACAGAATAATAGTTTCATTTTCTCCTTTGTTCTTGCTATGAGCCACAAACTAATCACTGTCAAAGAGAATGAGATTGGAATTATCTGTTCCTTTTGAATGTACATGAGGTTTCTCAATGTTAAACTAAAAATTTAACTACACGTAGGTGTTTAATACACTAGCATTCTTCTATTTGCTAAATTTTATTAAATGAAACTTGAAGTCAAAATCCAAAATGTCTCTGTATTTTTGAAATGGTTATTAAAAATAACCCTTTTATTGTTGTTTAAAAATACAATCTGTAACTCTGTTCCTTCTATTCTACTTCTGACTCTTTGTGCTTAAGCTTTTTTATTTTTTTTGAGCACAAAAAATACAGCTAGAAGTCACAAAGGAAGAAAAACAATTGGAAGCAATAAGTAAATGTAATAATGAGATTTCAAAGTTGTAGGAGACTTTTGAAGTGGTTTTCTGGAGAGAATTTCTAAAAAAAAAAAATTGTTTACCATGATTCTTGGGGGTAGGGCAAAAGACCTTGTAGCTTACCTGTTTCAATTTTCTAGTAAAAAGAACTCTGTGTTTCTAAACAAAACAAAACAAAACAAAAAAAAGAACTCTGATGATGAATGAAACAATAAAAATTGAAGTAGAACCATAATTCTAGTCATTCTCAAAGCCCAGCAGGAAGTAAAAACGATAATCTAGAGAACATACTCGATTTACCTATAAGAACTGAAGAAAGAACTTGCTTTGGGAGAAGTTCTCAGCCCATGTCATAGGGTTCTGCAGAGAAACAGAACCAACAGAGAGAGAGAGAAAAAAAGATTGGCTCACGCAATAATTGAGGCTGAGAAGTCCCGAGATCTGCAGGCAATGAGCTGGAGACCCAGGAGAGCCAATGTATAGTTTGTCTGAGCCTGAGAGCCTGAGAACCAGGAGAGCTGATGGTGTAAGTTCCAGTCTGAAAAACAGCTGGCTCAAGACCCCAAAACAGCCAGTGTTTCAATTCAAGACTGGAAGAGGGAAAGATTAATGTCCCAGTTCAAAGCAGTCAGACAGGAGTTCCCTCTTACTTGAGGGAGGATCAGTCTTCTGTTCTATTCAGGCCTTCAACTGTTTGGACAAGGGCTACCCATAGTAGATAGGACAACTTGCTTTATTCAATCTTCTGATTCAAATGTTAATGTCATCCAGCACCAACCTCACAGACACACCCAGAATAATAATTAACCAACTATTTGGGCACTTTATGGCTCAGCCAAGATGACACATAAAATTAACCATCACAGCTCATAGGTTAACCACAACCTACCTCATAGTAGGTTGCAGACCATGGTTACAAAGTCACTTTGACCTGGTCTGGTTTCCCACCCAAAGCAAGAATCTCTCAACAACATTGCTGCTAGATGGTCATATACGGTCTTCTTGGAAATTTCCAATGGGGAAATCAATATTTTATGAGAAAGCTCAGGGGCAGCTTTAATTATTTTAGATAGGTCTATGCTATTTTGAACTGAAGAATATCTCACTGTAATTTCCAGACATTTGTTCTTCTTCTAACCTTTGGAACTACTCAGAGTAAGTCTATATTCTATTTCACACACCAACTCTTCAAACAAATGAAGATTCTGTTATATTCTTTCAAACACTTTTTTCCCAAGTTAAACATTTCCAGCTTATTTTTCTAATCCTCATAGTATATGATTTCTGTGACACATTCTAGTTTTGTCAGTTTTCATAAAATGTGATACCTTAAACTGAACACATCTTAAATGTGTTCTAACTCCTTTATACTAGGGAAAAATCAACTTTGAGGCTCTGTTTCTCTTATTTTCATATAAAGAAAGAAGTTTTCTGTTGAAAAAACCACTGAAACCATTATTTATGACTATATAACTACTAATCAAAGTAGCCTTAATATTATTTCAAGTTGCCCAATCCAAGTAGTTTACATAAATGGTTTCCCAAACTCCTCTAAGATAAATACACAATATTTCACATATATATATTAACACAATCATTCTGCAATGTATTGTTTTCCTTGAGACTCAAATATCAGTGGAGGTCACACTACATACCTAAAACCCTGATTTTGTTAGGTATCGACTTATCCCCCTTGTGACTCAGGTAAAGGTGACACTAAGAAGTAAATCCTGATTGGTCTAAGACAATTAAGGTGTTTCAGAATAGGAGCAATCCCTCTTGCCAAAAGAATGGTTTAATGGCAGGCATGTGATATAGCTCTGGCCAATTAGATGTGTAAGAAACTCTGTTGAGTTGCTTCTTGAAAAGGTTTCCAAATTTTTCAAAAGGAGATGTTAATAAATGGCCTCTTTCCTTCCTCTGGATGTTCTGTGTGGATGTGTTGACAGGCACAGCTATAGCCACTTTGCTCTCAGCTGGAAATGTCAGAGGAACATATTGAAAGAATCTGCATCCTTGATGTCAATCAACCCTTCCTCCATATTTCCTGCCCTTCCTCCATACTTCCTGTTATGTAGATATTAAACTCTCTTATTATTTAAGTCAAGTTGAATTAAGGTTTTCTGTTACTTGCAACCAAAGTCATCTTAATTGATAGATTCTGCCCTTGAACATACCAAAAACTGAGTTAACCCTCATCTCACAGTTGGCGGAAGATCTAATATCCTCTCGATATTTCTTTGAATTTCCTCAGAATGACTTTCTCCAAATCCAACTTCCTGATACAGAACTCTTGAACACTGTGCAGATCCAGCTGTGGAACATGACTTCTTTATCTCAATTTATTTAAAAAAAATCCACTCCCATAATACACACTAAACTTTGTGTGTGTTAAATTTTATTGAAGATTCAGACTGAGGGAATAGATTTTATATTACTCTGGTGAAACATCTTAAAATGAATCATTAGATATTCTTGTTTTTGACATCCTCAGCAATTCCATCTACTGGAATTTTTTACTGGTCACCTTCCATGGTCAGCAATCTCTGGTTTCATTCTCCAGGCTAATATCTTCAGGAAAAAGCACTTCATCACAATTCCCACAGCTTAATTTTCTAATTAATTTAGTTTTCCACCTACTTAGGGACTCTGGTTTACTTTTGCATATCAAAACTCATCACATGAGCCGGGCGCGGTGGCTCACACCTGTAATCCCAGAACTTTGGGAGGCCGAGGCAGGCGGATCACGAGGTCAGAAGATTGAGACCATCCTGGCTAACACGGTGAAACCCGTCTCTACTAAAAAATTCAAAAAATTAGCCCGGCGTGGTGGTGGGCGCCTGTAGTCCCAGCTACTCGGGAGGCTGACGCAGGAGAATGGCGTGAACCCTGCAGGTGGAGCCGAGATCGCGCCACTGCACTCCAGCCTGGGTGACAGAGCGAGACTCCGTCTCAAAAACAAACAAACAAACAAATAAACAAACTCATCACATGCTCTGCTAAATTAGAGGCCATCTACTTTGGGTCTTACTTTTCTGGGGCACAGAATTATTGGCAGAAACTTTGAAATTTAGACCTAGCACAGTGGCTAACGCCTGTAATCCCAGCACTTTGGAAGGCCAAGGTAGGCAGATCATTTGAGGCCAGGAGTTTGAGACCAGCTTGACCAACATCGTGAAACCTCATGTCTATTAAAAATACAAAAATTAGCCAGGTGTGGTGGCGCACGCCTGTAATCCCAGCTACTCGGGAGATCGAGGCACGAGAATTGCTTGAACATGGGAGGCAGAGGCTGCGGTGAACTGAGATTGTGCCACGGCACTCCAGCCTGGATGACACAGTGAGACTCTGTCTCAAAACAAACAAACAAACAAACAAACAAACAAACAAAAAACCAAACTTTGAAATTTCAATCTCTGTTTTCTTCTTCTTCTACCTGCCTCTGCAAATGGAAAGAAACAACGTAGAGAGGAATTTTCCCATTGATAGAATTCAGCCACTCCACCTTAGAAGAATGAAGCAGCTGTAGTCATTCTGGGTTTTAAATAACACATTTTTTTCTATGATAGACAAGAATGCTCATATAATGAGTAATTGTGCTAAAATATTTGCAAAGTGAATCTTCTCAGAAACTTTGAATCTTTTTCTGATGCTAAAGAGTTCTACAACACGGAAATCCATCATTTCATTATGAGTTTCTGTTCATGGTAAGACTTGTTTTAAATCTCAGAAACTTATTGTCTAACTAGCTCTGCAGGTCTCTTAGATATTAAGGAAGCCACATTGTGTTACTGTGTTTGTTTCAGCAGTCTATCGGCTGCATTGGGCTGGAATATTCTACCTTTCTAGCATTAACAGTTTGATGATTTTTCAATGATAGACTCTATAGAATTAGTGCTGAATTTAATAATGCATCTCTAACCAGATGTTCTCTTAAGTTTCTTATGTTCTTTCTGACTGGCTGTCTCTTTGAGTCCTCTAGTTTTCCCTAAAAAGGATGGAAATAACAAACATGATTCCAGGACAATTATTACTCCACAAAAATTCCTGTTAATTACTCCTAGGTAACACAATTTTTTCTAAAGTAATCTGCTCTCTTAATCCATTCATTTTTTTTCATGCATCCATTCAGTACCTATTGACTGTCTTCTATAGATAACCACTTGCTGGGCACTCTTCGGCATTATGCCCCTTGAAGTTAGAATATTCATGAAAATACTTTAACTTTTCTAATTTCATATCAATGTCAAATCTATATAATGCTCTACCCAAGCATCTGCTTAATTCAAATGCGATTCAATGCAACAAAAGGATTAAGTCAAAGAAGTTGGACTGTTCTTTATAGTTTTTTTTTTTTTTTTTTGAGACAGAGTCTGGCTCTGTCATCCAGGCTGGAGTGCAGTGGCTCCATCTCGGCTCACTGAAACCTCTGCCTCCTGGGTTCAAGTGATTCTCCTGCCTCAGCCTCCCGAGCAGCTGGACTACAGGCGCCCGCCACCATGCCCGACTAATTTTTGTATTTTTAGTAGAGATGGGGTTTCACCATGTTGGCCAAGCTGATCTCGAACTCCTGACCTCAGGTGATCCACCCATCTCGGCCTCCCAAAGTGCTGGGATTACAGGCGTGAACCACCGTGCCCGGCCCTTTATAGTTTATTGTTACATTTATAGTCTGTTATTCTTAAGAATTAAAAGGAAATACTGCCATAATCAGAAGCTTTGTTTACTTGTGTTAGCTGCCCTGTAAACCTTTTACAATGTTTTTGTAATAGTATTAAAGGTGGTTACAGAATTTTGACTTGAGTAAAATTAAACAATGAAAACTGTTCTGCTGTTGTTCTCAGTCTGCTTACTGTATCAACCAATTTAGCATTTATGTCAGGAATTAAGCATGTTCCTGGCACAGAACTTAGTAATATGATGCTGGTCCCCAAAAACCTTACTTAGATATCTTTTTAGAATTGTGCCTAACCAAAGAGCATTTTCGCTTTGTGCTTGCTTTTGTTTGGTTTGAATAATGCCTGCTTACATAAAATAATACAGACAAAATCTTCTCTTTCAGACTAGATTTAAACCAGTCAAAATCACAGCATATGAAGATGATGATAGTACTGACTTGTTGTCTTAGTTTGGTAGGGTTGCCATAACAAAGTATCACAAACTGGGTGGCTTAAACGACAGAAATAGTTTGTCTCATAGTTCTGGAGGCTAGAAGTTCAAGATCAAGGTATTGACAGGGTTTGTTTCTTCTGAGAGCTGTGAGAAAGAATTTGCTTCATGCCTCTCCCTTAGCTCCTTGTGCTTTGTTGACAATCTTTCCCATTTCTTGGCTTGCAAATGCATTACCTTCTGCCTCCATCTTCACGTGGCGTTCTCCCTAGTGTGCATGTTTGTCCCCAAATTTCCCCTTTTAATAAAAACAGCAGGCCAGGGGCGGTGGCTCACACCTGTAATCCCAACATTTTGGGAGGCCGAGGCGGGTGGATCACCTGAGGTCAGGAGTTCGAGACCAGCCTGACCAACATGGCGAAACCCTGTCTCTACTAAAAACACAAAATTAGCCAGGTGTGGCAGCACATGCCTGTAATCCCAGCTACTTAGGAGGCTGAGGCAGGAGAATCGCTTGAACCTGTGAGGTGGAGGTTGTGGTGAGCTGAGATAGTGCCACTGCACTCCAGCCTGGACGACAGAGGGAGACTCCATCCCAAAAATAAATAAATAAATAAATACAAAATAAATAAAATAAATAAAAACACCAGTCATATTAGATTAGGGGCCCATCCCATTCTAGCATGACCTTACCTTAATTATATCAATAACCCTATTTCCAAACAAGGTCACATTCTGAAGTACTGGGGGCAAGAACTTCAACATGGGAATTTGACAGGACACAATTCAACCATAACACTTATAATCAAAGTTATGTTTTATATTAGTGGTTCTTCTATTTCCTTAACAAATATTTACTGTCTGCTAAGCACTATGCTAGGTAGTGGAAATACAGTAATAAATTGGATACGGTCCTTACTCTCGAGAAACTTCATTTCATGGATTTGTGCCTCTTCCTTTACAATCTTTTCACTTCCAAGGAAATGAAATAAAAAGGGGACTATCAATGTTTAAGGACCACATGGCAGAATACCTAAAAACAATAATAATGGCCAATATTTGTTGAATACTATGCAAATATCATCATGTAAATTATCTCATTTAATCTTTAAAACAACACTTCAGGCCGGGCACGGTGGCTGACGCCTGTAATCCCAGCACTTTGGGAGGCCGAGGTGGGTGGATCACCTGAGGTCAGGAGTCCAAGACCAGCCTGGCCAACATGCACTCCAGCCTGGACGACAGAGGGAGACTCCATCCCAAAAATAAATAAATAAATAAATACAAAATAAATAAAATAAATAAAAACAATAAAAAATAAATAAATAAAAACACCAGTGTCTACTGGTCTCTACTAACTTACTATGAGAGTTAATTAACTTACTATAATTCTATAATTATAGGAGGTAATAACTTCTTATAATTACTAACTTAATATAAGAGCAACCCGTCTCTACTAAAAATACAAAAACTGGCCAGGCGTGGTGGCACATGCCTATAGTCCCAGCTCTCAAGAGGCTGAGGCAGGAGAATCTCTTGAACTTGGGAGGCGGAGGTTGCAGTGAGCTGAGATTGCGCCACTGCATTCCAGCCTGGGCAACAGAGCGAGACTCCATTTCAAACAAAAACAAAAACAAAAAAACAAAACAAAAAAACACTTCAACATAGAAACTACTATTATCACCTCATTTACGAATGAAGAAACTGAGGCTCTGAGAAGCCTAGCAAGTGGCAGAGTGAGGATTTATTTATTTATTTATTATTATTACTTTTTTGAGACCATGTCTCTCTGTCATCCAGGCTGGAGGGTAATGGCATGATCTTGGCTCACTGCAACCTGTGCCTCCTGGGTTCAAGTGATTTTCGAGCCTCAGCCTCTCTAGGAGCTGGGATTATAGCCATGCACCACCTCGCCTCGCCAGTTTTTGTATTTTTAGTAGAGACGGGGTTTCACCATGTTGGCCAGGCTGGTCTCAAACTCCTGTCAAGTGAACTGCCTGCCTTGGCCTCCCAACAGAGTGAGAATTTAAACCTAAGATGGCCTGGCACCTGAGCTAGATACCATTGCTATAGAATCCCTACGTTATACATCTTCTAATGGTGGGGAGAACTGAAAAAAAAAAGTCTTTCCTTTATCTTTAAACAGTTTATGTAACATAATACCTATCGTCTAATTTCTTCTCCTTCTCTTTGTTGCCTTCTTCTTCTTCTTCTTTTTTTTTTTTTTTGAGACAGGACCTCAGGGTCTCACTTTGTCACCTAGGCTGGAGTGCTGTGGCATGGTCATAGCTCACTGCAGCCTTGACCTCCTGGGTTCAAGCGATCCTCCTGCCTTAGCCCCACAAGTAGCTGGGACTACAGGCATGAGCCACCACACCCGGCTAATTTTTGTATTTTTGGTAGAGATAGAGTTTTGCCATGTTGCCCAGGCTGGTTTCACACTCCTGAGCTCAAGTGATCCACCCTTCTTGGCCTACCGAAGGGCTGGGATTATAGGTGTGAGCCACTGCACCTTGCCTGTTGCTTTCTTTTTTACTTGCCAATATTTACAACTTCATTTATTTCTTCCATCAACACTTCCTTAAAAAAAAAAAAAAAAACTTGGCCCAGGTGCGGTGGCTTATGCCTGTAATCCTAGTACTCTGGAAGGCGAGGCAGGTGGATCACTTGAGGTCGGGAGTTTGAGACCAGCCTGGCCAACATAGTGAAACCCCATCTCTACTAAAAATACAAAAATTAGCTTGGCATGGTGGCTTGCACATGTAATTCCAGCTACTCTGGAGGCTGAGGCAGGAGAATCGCTTGAACCTGGGAGGCGGAAGTTGCAGTGAGCTAAGATCGTGCCACTGTACTCCAGCCTGGGTGACAGAGTGAGGCTCTGTCACAAACAAACAAACAAACTTGGCAGGGCATGGTGGCTCATGCCTGTAATCCCAGGACTTTAGGACACCAAGGAAGGAGGATCCCCTGAGCCTAGGAGTTTGAGACCAGTCTGGGCAACATAGTGAGTCCCTGTCCCTATTTAATAAAAAAAAGAAAAAAGAAAAAAAAGAAAAATTTTTCTTATCTCACTTCTTTCCTCCCCATTTCCTTAGAGGACTTCCCTTTCTACCCAGAAACTGAATTTCCTCCACAGAACATGCTGGTAATACAGAATTATCTGCTGGGAAATTGAGTGGGAAGTAGTTGGCTTACTATTCTGGGACAAAAACCAGCATCTCACTTTTAAATGTAAATCTTTTGGGAAGTGAAAGGATGGGGTTAAGTTCTTTCCAGAAAAGAAAATAATCCTACTTTCGGGCCGTATCTATTGGCCCCACCACTACCGCTACTATTAAAAACCCAGCTTCTCGGCCCTGCTGCTAACACTGGTTTTACATTGACTTGGTGACAGTGGATAAAGGTTTGCTAGATGATCAGAAGTATATTTTTCCCCAGAGTCTAAAGCAAAACATAACTTAGGAATGGCACTGCTATGAGGAAAAGTGAGATGTAATAACTGAGACCAGCGAATTATCAGAACTAAGTATCCAATATTAACCTCATAGTAAGTTAAACAGGTTCCCAGTCATACATTCCAACTCCTCTTAAAAAAATTTTTTTTTAATAGAGATGGAATCTCACTATGTTGCCCAGGCTGGTCTCAAACTCTTGGGCTCAAGCAGTCCTCTCACTTCCACCTCCCAAAGTGCTGGGATTACAGGTGTGAGCCACTGTGCCTGGCCTCAACCTCTCTCTTTTCTAATCAGTCACAAGACTCTGAGAGAGAAATGAATAGAGTTGATTATGTAGCACATCATGAATAATGAGAGAAAGCGTTACTAGGCTAAATATTTTCTTTTACATTTCTAAAGATTTTAGTAGAATCTTTTTTTACTATGAAGAAGCCACAGTTCAAAAATGATTTCCTTTAAGGGACAAGCCTTGTATTTCTAATCTGTTAAATGATGGCAAATGCCATAGTCATCATGACTTATCACAGAAATGTCTTTTAAAAGTCCAGGTACAAATTTAAATTGCAAGCACAAATTACAAGAGAAAGAAAGTCAGTTTCAGAGATGTCAAATCATATTTGCTTCTAAAATCTTTCCCTTGAAATTTTTGTGGACATGGCCTGTTTACTTAACATGTTAGTTATTTTTCCTATATTAGTTGTGTCTTGTATTCATTTATTTATTCAACAAGCATGTGTTGAGTATCTATTTTATTCTAGGTACTGACCTAAGGGCCAAGATACAAAGTCAAGTGAGAGACAGAGCATATCCTCAAGGAGCAGATTGTCTAACGGGGAAGAGAGGTAAGTAAATAGGCACTTTTCACGTAACGTCATAAGTAATTTAATGTAAATATGCACAGGGAGCACAGAAAATGGTGCCTGAGTCAGGGAGTGAGGTAAACAGGGTTAGGAAAGTTGTTAAGGAGAAGTAAACATTTAAGCTACATAATGAGGAATAATTATTATTGGAAGTGACTTAAAGCCGGGCATGGTGGCTCATGCCTGTAATCCTAGCACTTTGGGAGGCTGAGGCGAGGCTGAGGCTGAGGTTAGGAGTTCAAGACCAGCCTGGCCAACATGGTGAAACTTCGTCTCTACTAAAAATACAAAAATTAGCTGGGTGTGGTGACGGGCGCCTGTAATCCCAGCTATTTGGGAGGCTGGGAGGCTGAGGCAGGAGAACTGGGAGGCTGAGGCAGGAGAATTGTTTGAACCAAATTGGTTCAATTGGTAGGCGGAGGTTGCAGTGAGCCGAGATCACGCCATTGCGCCCCAGCCTGCGTGACAGAGTGAGACTCCGCCTCCAAAAAAAGAAAAAAAAATAAGTGACTTACAGATTGCCAAATCTGGTAAGATTTTATTTTGTTACTTTTCAACTGTTCCACGTGATAAATGCCTCTCTTTTGCAAACTCTAAAATAAAATTAGTTTGATGATGGAGAATTCAACCATGTGCGACTGCCTTTGTCTCTTGTAGCTCTATTGTTAAGACCAGATATCAAGAAAAAGGCATAGCCAATGGAGAAAATTAATGATTAGGTCTGAAATTTAGCTGCTGGAATTAGAGAAAGAAATAACTGCTGTATATATCTGCTGTATATAGACTTGACCAGAAAAAAAGCAGAGATGATTTCTTCTCATCTCAAGAAGGCTTGATGAAGGACAGCTTCCAAATGAGTTCCTTGAGTGCTGAATCTCTATTCTTTTCATTTTTAAACTCATCATTCTAGGCTTGAAA
This sequence comes from Homo sapiens, assembly GCF_000001405.40. Classification (NCBI taxonomy): domain Eukaryota; kingdom Metazoa; phylum Chordata; class Mammalia; order Primates; family Hominidae; genus Homo; species Homo sapiens. The sequence goes on along the minus strand of NC_000007.14, from coordinate 39,595,779 downwards.
CTCACCCATGTTGTATGCCACCACAGAGTTTGAATATGTACAAGGGCATCTCCAGTCATTGTACTTGGGAGGAGGAGATGAAGGCACCATTTCCCTCTTTATCTGCAATTGAGTAGTTACTGAGAGAGTTGTTTACAGAGCTCTTTATTCATTCATTCAGATATTATTCATTGTTAAAAATACATAATTTGATATGTAAATTATATCTTAATAAAATTGTTTTTTAAAAGCCATTTGTAGTATACTTTAATGTCTTTTCCCCTAGGCCAGCATAGTTTGGCACATAAAGCCTTCTTGACTGAGTTGACTGTGTGGCCTGTTTGGGTCTCTCTGCAGTGTTTACCAGCTCTTCTGGCATACGTCCCAGAATGACAATCCTTTTTCCTTTCAGATTATGACACTGGATGTGAACTCAAATCCCCTTAACTCAGAAACTTACTGTTCAAACCTCCAGAAAAACGCTGGACAAAATCCTCATCAATAAAAACAGAATAATTGAATGTGATGCTTGGAAATGTTCCCAGCAATGTCCTTAACCTTGGAAAAAAAAATCCCTAGTCTATAATGTTTCTACTCACTTATCCACGGAAATAGAATTGAAGGGTAAATCAGAACAAGCAGAAGTCCTATTAGTGTGGAGGTTCTGGAGAAGAGGTTGCCTGGTTACTTTTTTCAGCGGAGAAGTTAGAAAAGAACACCACAACATGAGGGGGAACATAGTCCTCCTTTCAAAAAGTTTATCTCTAAAAGATTAAAAACAAAAACAAAAACAAACCAAAGCGTAACATCATAACCTGGAGCAATCAGGTTTATTTAAATATATAAATATGATACAAATGTCTAAATATGGAGCAGATTTTTCTTGGTTAAAAAAACGAGGTTCTGGCTGGGCACGGTGGCTGACACCTGTAATCCCAGCACTTTGGGAGGCCAAGGCAGGTGGATTGCTTGAGCTCAGAAGTTTGAGATCAGCCTGGCCCACATGGTGAAAGCCCATCTCTACTAAAAATACAAAAAATTAGCCAGGCATGGTGGCGGGCACATGTAATCCTAGCTACTTGGAAGGCTGAGGAGGGAGAATTGCTTGAACCCAGGAGGTTTCAGTGAACCAAGGTCACGCCATTGTACTCCAGCCTGGGCAACAAGAGTGAGACTGTCTCAAAAAAAAAAAATGAGGTTCTACTTCCATTAATGGGAGAGTAGCATGTATCAGACCAACCATTCCACAAGTAATACTTATAAACTCTGAACAAAGCAATAAAAAAAAAATGAAGGCATTGAGAAGGGACCAAAGTAGGCAGAAAATGGAAAGGAATCAAATTTAGAGGAAAAGAAAGGCATTGGGTGAGTTTTTCCATTTCTTATGACTCTTTACCTGAGGGTGGGCTCCAGCAAGGCTTGCACCGGGTAGCTAATACTCACAGACTCATAATCATACAGGTTATGTATTAAGAGTCAGAGTTTGGAGCAACCACAGCTGGAATGTGAGGGAGAAGATTCTAGAAAGGAGAAAGCCACAGATGAGGAGCCCCAGTTTGTGAATATAAAATCTACTTGGAAATCTGGCTGATTCCTGCACTATCCCTGTGCAGGGCAGAACCTGAGAAGCCCATACATGGCTAAAAGAATGGAACAAAGATTTCAGCTACTGCCCAACATAGAGGGGGTAGAGTTTGGAGTTTGAGTTCTGAAAAGTTATCTGTCTACTACAACAAAAATTAATACTCTTGAGAAGAACATAACAGAGTTCAGAGTTTCTCCAATTTATCATTCACTGACCATGTCCAGGATACAACCCCAAATTACTAGACATAAGAAGAAACAGGAAAATGTGATCAACCAACACTCTAAGGAAAAGACAATCACTAGAGACCAACCACAGAATGCTTCATATATTGTAATTAGCAAAGATTTTAAGGCAGTTATCGTAACTATACCTAAGGATGTAAAAGAAAACATAATTTAAATGAATGAACATATAGGAAATCTCAGCAGAGAAACAAACCGTAAAGAAATAACCAGGCTGGATGCGGTGGCTCATGCCTGTAATTTCCAGTATTTTGGGCGGCTGGGGTGGGCAGATTGCTTAAGCTCAGAAGTTTGAGACCAGACTGGGCAATGTGGCAAAACCCTGTCTCTTTAGATACAAAAAATTAGCTGGCCATGGTGGTGCGTGACTGTAGTCCCAGCTACTTGGGGGCTGAGGCAGGAGGATTTCTTGCACCCATAAAAGGCCAGGCACAGTGGCTCATGCCTGTAAACCCAGCACCTTGAGAGGCCAGGGCAGGCGGATCACTTGAGGCCAGGAGTTCAAGACCAGACTGCCCTACATGGTGAAACTCCATCTCTACTAAAAATACAAAAATTAGCTGGGCGTGGTGGCACTGGCCTACATGGTAAAACCCCATCTCTACTAAAAATACAACAATTAGCTGGGCATGGTGGCAGGCACCTGCAATTCCAGCTACTCGGAAGGCTGAGGCACATGAATAACTCGAACCCAGGACTTAGAGGTGGCAGTGAGCCAAGATTGTGCCACTGCACTGCAGCCTGGGTGACAAAGCGAGACTCTGTCTCAAAAAAAAAAAAAAAAAAAAAAAAAGAAATAACCAAATGGAAATTATAGAGCTAGATATTAAAGTATCTGATATTTAAAAATTCACTAGATAGGCTTAACTGTAGATTGGAGATAAAAGGAGAAAGAACTAGTACCCTTGAAAATAGATCAATAGAAATTATCCAATCTGAAAAAAACAGAGAAGAAAGCCTGGGAGAAAATGAGCAGAGTCCCAGTGACTTGTTAAACAGCATTAAGAGGTTTAAATATGTGTAACTGGAGTCCCAGTAGAGAGAGAATGACCAAAAATTTAAAGAAATAATGGCCAAAGTGTTTCCGAATTTGGTGAAATATATGATTTTGGCAAGCTCTAAGCAGGATAAGTGCAAAGAGAACTACATCTAGGCACGTTGTAATGAAACTACTGAAAACAAAAGTAAAAAAGTATTTAAAAGAGCCAGAAAAAGCAGCACATTGTAGACAGGATAACAATGACACATAAACAGCTGACTTCTTACTAGAAGCCACAAGGTAATGAATCATATGTTTAAAGCACTAAAAGGATAAAACTTAGAATTCTGTATCTATTTCATATCTAGTAAAATTACATATGGTTGCCTACATATGATGCTTCAACTTGTGATTTTTTGACTTTACTACGGCTTTATTGGGTGGTAGTATGTGCATTTTTGACTTGTGATATTTTTGATTTGTAATGGGTTTGCCATGGGTTAAATCCATCACAGATAAATTTATCATGGGTTTATAACGCCATGGTAAGTTGAGGAGCATCTGTATCTCACATTTTACATATAGCAAAAATATCCCTAAGGAAATGCCAATTAAAACAGTGAATTACTACTACAAATAGATGACACTAAATACTGATGAGGATATGAAGCCACAGGAACTTTCATTTATTGCTTGTAAGAATGCAAAATGGTAGAGCAACTCTGGAAGATAGTTTGGTGGTTTCTTTAAGGACTAAACATACTCTTACCATATGATCCAGCAATTGTACTTTTTGATATTTACCCAAAGGAGTTGAAAACTATGTTCATGCAAAAACATGCACAAAGATGTTTATTGCAGCTTTACTCATAATTGCTGAAAACTGGAAGAAACCAAGAAGTCCTTTAGTAGGTGAATGGATAAAATGACTGTGAAATATCAACTATGAAATATTCAGTGCTAAAAAGAAATGAGCTATCAAGCCATATAAAGATATGGAGAAAACTTAAATGCATATTGCCAAGTGAAAGAAGCTAATCTGAAAAGGCTACATAATGTATGATTCCAACTACAGTATGTGACATTCCGGAAAAGGCAAAAATACATAAGTGTAAAAAGATCAGTGGTTGCCAGGAATTAGGTAGGGAGAGAGGGATGAATAGGTAGAACACAGAGCATTTTTTAGGGCAGTGGAAATACTCTGTGTGATACTATAATGGTAGATACATGTCATTATACATTTGTCAAAACCTATAGAATGTACAACACCAAGTGAATGCTAATGTAAACTGTGGACTGTCGGAGATAATAACGTATCAATGTAAGTTTGGTAATTGTAACATATGTACCAATCCGGTGGTGGACGTTGATAATGGGGGAGTCTATGCATGTGTGGGGGCAGGAGGTATCTGGGAACTGTCTGAATCTTCTGTTCAATTTTGCTGTGAACTTAAACTTCTCCAAAAAATAAAGTCTATTTTAAAAAATCCTTCAAGAACAAAAGGGAATAAAAAAAGAATAAAAGGGAAATAAAAGGCATTTTAAGATAAATGAAAACTAAGAGAATACATTGTCAGTGGACCAGACCCATAAAAAATGCTTAAAAAGTATTTAGTACTATGTGTCGAACAGTATCCTCCATGTTTTATCTTGTGTTTCCCAGGCCAATGCTGAAACAAAATTTCAAGTGAGGTGGTTTATTTGATAGGTGTTTTGCACTGAATTGTGTCCCCCCCACCAATAAATTGAAGACCCAAAGGTATTCTAAAAGGTTACTAAGTTAAAATGAGGTCCTTAGGGTGGGCCTTAATCCGGTCTGACTGGTATTCTTGTAAGAAGAGGAGTTTGGACACAGAAAGAGACACCCCAACACATGTGCACACAAAGAGATGACCATGTGAAGACACAAGAAGGCAGCCGTCTGTAAGTCAAGGAGAGAGGCCTCAGAAGGAACCAAGCCTGCCAACACCTTCATCTTGGACTTCCCAGCCTCCAGAACTGTGAGAAAATAAATGTCTATTGTTTAAGCCACCCAGCCACCCAGTCTGCAGTTTCTGTTATGACAGCCCTAGCAAACTAATACAGTAGGTGATCTCAGGAAATGTGATAGAGAAGTGGGAAAGGAAGAAAGGGAAAGAAGGGCAGCCAAGGTAAGATATTATTACAGGTTGAGTGTCCCTAATCCAAAAATCTGAAATCCAAAATTCTCCAAAATCTGAAAGCTTTTCAGTGCCAATATGATGCCACAGGTGGAAAGTTCCAGATCTGACTTCATGTGATGGGTGGCAGTCAAAACTTTTTTTCATGCACAAAATTATTTAAAATAGTGTATAAAATGGCCTTAAAGCTATGTGTATAAGGCACATATGAAACATAAATGAATGTCATGTTTAGACTTGGGTCCTACATAATGAAATATCTTTATCTCATTATGTTTATGCAAATATCCCTAAATTAAAAAAACATCTGAATTCTGAATTTCTGGTCCTAAGCATTTTGGATAAGTGATACTCAACAGCATTGGAGTCAGGCAGATGTGGGTTTATCCTCTTAGCTCTTTATCTGTAAAATAGGGATCATATTGCCACTTTATGAGAATAAAATAACATAGTCCATATAAAACCCTTAGCAATTATCTGACATATCTTAAGTACTCAATAAGCATCTTTAAAAAAATAATTTAATTTCATGACAACTCTAAGATTAAATGATTATCTGTTTTAAAATATCTCCATTAATTAAAAAGATTACCATTTAAGTTGTGTTGGGAATCTTAACGGTATTATTTTGTGTATTATGTTTAGTGCAATGGCTTAGTAAATACTTAATGTACTAAATACTTAATATATAGCATGCATTCAGTAATGACTTATGTATACACTCTTATGATTTTCCTATTGATATGGCTGGGCTGTACTCAAATTACATTCCCTTGTGTTCTGTATTTTGCTATTTCTGCAATCACACACTGTAAACCATAACACGTACATATTTTATTATGACACATGTCAGTTGTTTTCTTCCTCTAAGTCCCAAGGTTTTTGGAAAGGGACTTTCGGTGAGTCATAGTCTCCGTCTCTTGTGGTGAAGTGTGTGACCTTATCATCTGTCTACCGCCTCTAAGCATTGTTTCTTGAAATAAGACCACAGTTTCCTAAATGCGACTGCCTGCAGCTCCTTTGGTCTTGCTGCAGCTGCATTCCTGGAATTGCCCTTCATAAGTCTCCTGGGGCCTCCTGGGAACTGGAGAGCATTTTGTAATGGAGATGTCAGATACTTAAGCAAATTACCTTTAATTACGGAAAGCACAAAAGCTCAGAACAGAATTAGTGATCAAAATGGATTAATGGATTATCTTTCTATTAGTAATAGTTATGAGAAATACAAATTTAAATACAGAACTCCTACCTTCACATTTAAAAATACAGTCTCAGGCTGGGTGCAGTGGCTCACACCTGTAATCCCAGCTCTGTGAGAGGCCAAGGTAGGAGGATTGCTTGAGCTCAGGAGTTTGAGACCAGCCTAGTGAAACCCTGTCTCTACAAAAATTAAAAAAATTAGCCAGGCGTGGTGGTGCATGCCTGTAGTCCCAGCTACTTGGGAGGCTGAGGTGGGAGAAATGCTCAAGCATTTCTTCATACCCAGCCAATGAAGCTTTTTAAACTTTAACTTTAGAGTTCATATTCTAAAACACATGTGTTCATGGGGGCACTGAAATAGCTATACAGAAAACTACATAGTAAAAATTTTTATTTGTTAACATTGTTTTTCAAAACTTCATCAATCTGTAAGGTAAATGAATAATTTCTAAAGTTAGTATGTGACTTATTTTATAATAAAAAGCCTTTGTTTTAAATTGAAACTAAAATTAGCCAGGTGTGGTGGCTCACACCTGTAATCCCAGCACTTTGGGAGGTCAAGGCAGGTGGATGGCTTGAGGCCACGAGTTCGAGACCAGCCTGGCTAACATGGCAAAACCTGTCTCTACTAAAAATACAAAAATAATCCGGGTGTGGTAATGCATGCCTGTAATCCAAGCTATTCAGGAGGCTGAGGCAGGAGAATTGTTGAACCCGGAAGACGGAGGTTGCAGTGAGCCAAGATCATGCCACTGCACTCCAGCTTGGGCGACAGATAAAGACTCTGTCTCCAAAAAAAAGAAAAAAAAAACCTAAAATTATATATTGTTTACATTTTTAAAGTAAATTCTAAAATCAAGTGTGATTTCTTTAAAACTCAGAAGGAAGCAGGCAAGGGAATAAACAGGAAGCTTTGCTTAATCTGTTAATAAGACCAAGTAAGTGGATGTAAACAACGTTAGTACTAAGCAAATATCCACATACTTGATACATGTATCAAAGTCTTCTCCTTTGAGACGGAACTTCCATTATTAGGAAAGAAACACTGTGGTGTTTCCTGCGACTACTGTGCAGTGTGTGGGGGGTAGCTCCCATTTTTTCCTTCTTGTTATTCTTTTTTTTTTTTTTTTTGAGATGGAGTCTCCCTCTTGTTGCCCACGCTGGAGTACAATGATGAATGATGAGATCTGGTTTCACTGCAACAAGCGATCTCCTGCCTCAGCCACCTGAGTAGCTGGGATTACAGGCACACGCCACCAAGCCCAGCTAATTTTTGTATTTTTAGTAGAAACGGGGTTTCACCATGTTGGCCAGGCTGTTCTTGAACTCCTGACCTCAGGTGATCCACCCGCCTCAGCCTCCTAAAGTGTTGGGATTACAGGCGTGAGCCACCACGTCCGGCCCATTTTTCCTTCTTCTAAACTTTGTCAAGCTTTCAAGCCTACAACATGTACAAAGAAGGACTAAGTAATACTAGCTTTTCAGAACTAAATAGTCCACAGAAATATGTTAATTAAAAGTTTAGGCTGGAGCAAAAGGAAGACTGGAGAAATTTTAACACCTCAGAGTGACAACTATATAGGGGTTGGGAGCGACTGTTATTAACAAGTCCCGGAAACCAGATGAGACTAAGAATGAATTGGAGCCAATTGGCCAAGAAAACTAAATGAGATTAAATCGTGATTTTAAAAAACTAAAAAGTAGTAAGGATATATACAAAAGTTTTTGTTTTCTAAATTTTATTCTAAGTTATCTTTAAAGCAGGGTTTTTAGACACAGCACCCCTTTTCATAACGAATATATTGTAATGCTCCCTGTACTGCCTTGAAGTTTATAGACAATATAACTTACCTACACACATGATTTTTAAAAAGTTATAAGGCCTTGATTGTAATATAGAAAATAAAAGGAAGATACTCCACAGCAAAATATGTATTTTGATACATAAGTGTTTGTGCACAACTCCATTAAGGCATCATAAAGGAGCCCAAAGCAGGGGATGTGGCAGATGTGTTGCATGGGTGACTCAGGACCCAGAGCAGTGCTGCTGTCAGTTGGTAAATTCCAAATACAACATGGTACAACAGGGTGCAACATTCCTTCTGTTTAGACATTAGTCATACCCCTGGAAAATTCAGTGTATATTAAACTGTACCTAAAATTATATATACATATATAGGTGTAATAGTACAAGGGTGGTAAAGATTAACTGAAAGTCAGGACACTTGATTTCTTTTTTTCTTTTTCTTTTTTTTTTGAGCCAGAGTCTCGCTCTGTTGCCCAGGCTGGAGCAACAGCCTGTAATCCCAGCACATTGGGAGGCTGAGAGGGGTGGATCACTTGAAGTCAGGAGTTCGAGACCAGCCTGGGCAACACGGCGAAACCCCATTTCTACTAAAAATACAAAAATTAGTTGGGTGTGATGGTGCATGCCTGTAATAACAGCTGCTTGGGACGCTGAGGTGGGAGAATCACTTCAACCTGGGAGGCGGAGGTTGCAGTGAGCCAAGATCACACCACTGCACTCCAGTCTGGGCCACAGAGTGGAATTCCATCTGAAAAAGAAAGAAAGAAAGAGAAAGAAAGAAAAGAAAGAAAGAGAAAGAGAAAGAAAAGAAAAGAAAAGAAAGACTCTTTCCAGGCTTTAGGCTGGTGGTGAACCCATGACCTGCAGCTGTGGGGAGAAACCCCTTTGTATTTCACTTGAGTTTTAGTGTTCCCACAAGGCTTGCACGTCTATCATCTCATCTGTAAGATAAGTACTCCAAGACAACGTAAGCAAAGTGTTTATCCCAGTCCCTGGAACATACAAAGCCCTCAAGAAATCATAGTTATCGGCCGACTGCAGTGGCTCACGCCTGTAATCCCAGCACTTTGGGAGGCCGAGGTGAGCGGATCACGAGGTCAGGAGATGGAGGCCATCCTGGCTAACACGGTGAAACCCCGTCTCTACTAAAAATACAAAAAAATAGCTGGGCATGGTGGCTGGCGCCTGTAGTCCCAGCTACTTGGGAGGCTGAGGCAGGAGAATGGCATCAACCTGGGAGGCGGAGCTTGCAGTGAGCCGAGACTGCGCCACTGCACTCCAGCCTGGGCGACAGAGCAAGACTTCTTAAAAAAAAAAGAAAGAAAGAAAGAGAGAAATGATAGTTATCATTACTGGCCGGGCGCGGTGGCTCACCCCTGTAATCCCAGCACTTTGGGAGGCTGAGGCGGGCGGATCACCAGGTCAGGAGATTGAGACCATCCTGACTAACACGGTGAAACCCCGTCTCTATTAAAAATACAAAAAATTAGCCGGGCATGGTGGCAGGCGCCTGTAGTCCCAGCTACTCGGGAGACTGAGGCAGGAGAATGGCGTGAACCCGGGAGGTGGAGGTTGCAGTGAGCAGAGTTCGCACCACTGCACTCCAGCCTGGGCGACAGAATGAGACTCCATCTCTAAAAAAAAAAAAAGAGGAAAAAAAGAAGAAAAAGAGGTGGTAGTTATCATTACTGACATAGACTGATACCTAGGATATATATATTTCTTTGAGATAGGGTCTTGCTCTGTCACCCAGGCTGGAGTGCGGTGGTGCGATCGCGGCTTACAGCAGCCTTGACCTCCAAAGTTACAGTGATCCTTCCACCTCGGCTTCCCAAGTGGCTGGGACCACAGGTGCACATCACCATGCCTAATTTTTGTATTTTTTTGTAGAGATGAGGTTTTGCCATCTTGCCCGGGCTGGTCTCGAATTCTGAGCTCAAGTGATCCACCTGCCTTGGCCTCCCAAAGTGTTGGGATTACAGGCATGAGCCACCGCTCCCATCAAGATATATTTTTTAAGTGAAAAGAGCAAGCAGTTTTTGTACATTTGGTATGATTTCATTTCAGTAGGAACTTTTTGTTCACCAATGTATCTATTCCCTGAAGATAGTAGGTATTTAATAAATATCTGTTGAAGAAATACATTTCTATAAAAGGAAGTTGTGCCATTTGCTAGTCTGCACATAGAAAAAATCTGGAAGAATCTGGAGGAGTAGTGTATGAGCTTGCCAGGGCTGCAATAACGAGGTACCACAGAACGGGTGGGTTGAACAGACATTTATTTTCTCACAGATCTGGAGGCGAGAAGTCCAAGATCAAGGTGTCAGCTGGTTTGTTTTTTTCTGAGGCCCCTCTCCTTGGCTTGCAGATGGCCGCTTTCCCTGTGTTCTCACGTGGTTTTTTCCTCCGTATATGAGCATCCCTGGTATTTCTTTGTGTGTCCAAATTTCCTCTTCTTATAAGGATACTGGTCAGACTGGGTTAGGGCACACTTCTATCTCCAAATACAGTCACCTTCTGAGGTACTGAGGACTGGGGCTTCAACATGGATTTTGAGAGGACACAATTCAGTCCATAAAATATGGGATTATGAAATATTCATTTTTCCTAAATAATATTTTCTACAATGTTTCTGAATATCTAAATATTTTACTAGAAGCCCATATGGCAGACGTACCTGATAGTAATAACTGAAGCACAGCCTGAGATACTCTATGGTCTAAGAACAATGTGTTGGTCAGAATCTCCACATAAGAAATTGCAAGTGGCCAACCTGGAGACTCGCTCCTTATCTATGAAGGACATTTGAACCTCTGGGCCATTCCCTGTAATGCAGGACATGCAAGGAACTGAGGCACTTTGTTTTGGGTTAAATGGAGTTTTGCTAGGTGGAGGCTGCTAAGTGGAGGTTATGAGGTGGAGGGTGCTAAGTGAAAATGCTATATAAATTGCATGATTTTTGTTGTTGTTGTTGAGATGGGGTCTTACTTTGTTGCCCATGCTGGTCTCAAACTCCTGGCATCAAACGATCCTCCCAACCCGGCCTCCCATAGTGCTGGGATTACTGGCCAGAGTCACCATGCCTGACCATACTACATGCTTTTTACAAATGATAGCAGTGTTCCTGTCCAGCCCACTGCCACTGGACCATCCCTGTATAAAAGTCCTCAATAAACTCTACATCTCGTTTGCTGGCACCAGGTCTCTTCTTTGGCCTCTTGGACACAGTGCCATCCCCACAGGAGTCAATCGGGGTCAGCACAATAGGCCCTAATTGTTTTATAATATAGAAAGGCAATAAATTAGGATAAGGGAAAAAATACTGTGTTTACATTTAAAATATAGTTAATTACAGGCTTTGATACTTATAAACAGATTTTTCATTTATATGAACATCTCCTGGGGCATTTGAAAGTCATGAAGGATGCAGGGCAATTCTTTTTTGTGCACTATTGACCTGGACATTGCAGGACATACAGCATCTCCTCCCCATAACTATTGCTAGTAGTACCCCCTTTCCATCACTCTGGCGAACAAACAAAAAATATGCCCTGAGAGTTTCCAAAAACTTTCTTATTGATCACCCCCACTTTAAAGTATAATTTTATATGAACTTTGCAAATGTTTAAAAGGTTTTCTTATTTTTCCTCCTTCCTTAGTTTTCTTTTAAAATAATAATGGGGTGGGGGGTGGTGAGGAGAAATCATGCTAATTACCTTTAGTTCTGCCAGAGGGAAGCTTGGCTGTGTCTGAGTCATGGCAGAGTTTCATGATAGCGGTTGTGTAAAGACAGTTAAACCTCTTGCAGCTTATTCAAATTCTTACAATTTATTCAAATTGCAGGTATGATGTTCAGGAGAAAATACAATAATAATAGCTAATGTCTAGTGAGTTGTGAACATGTAGCAGGCAGTGTCCTAAGTGCTCCATATATGCAGATTCTTTACAATAACCCTAGGAGGTAGGTCTGACAGATGAAGAAACAGGCACAGGAAAGTGAACTGACCTGTAAACGATGAAGCTGTGCTTCAAAGCAATCACCAAACAAGGGCTTTACATACATAATTGCACGTAATCCCCACAGAAACAATGATGTCACTACCATTACCTCCATTTTATAGATCTTACACATTTGGAAAGTAGGAGGCTCAGATCTCCTGGGAAATACATGGCTTATAGGCACACTGTTATTAACATGTACAAAATAATGGCAAAGAAGGCCAAAGTTATTGCCACAATCAAATCAATGTGGAGAACCAAATAAATTCTGTAAATATCATATTCTCTTTCAAATCTATGTTAAGTTAAAGATCAGTCACTTCTCATAGAATTTTCTGAGGTCCTGCCTGAGTATCTTATTGGATATTGTGGAGAAGTGACTTATGAGTATGATTTTGATTTTCCCCTGGAGTTAATGAAAAATAACTCAATTGGGCTAAGAGTTACCCCTGTTTTGTAAACTGGTCTTTCTCTTTTAAAACAGAAGCAATATTGTGACAAATGCAATAAAGAACTTTATTTTGTTAAGAGCAGGCACTCCCAGAGTTTTATCTGCAAAATATACATTTTTGTATAATATGTCCACATGTATACATTTTATGACTTTCACTTAAAAATATAACATATTCCTTGTTTCTATAGTTCTCATAATGATAACTTTTAATGGGTGCATAACATTTCTTTGAGTGGATGTTATAATAATTTACTCAATTTTTAAAATTGTTGATCATTTGGGTTATTCTAATTTTTCTCTACTCTAGATTGAATGCAGCAACCAATAGCTTTGCGCTGCAAGTTTTTAAAATCACCTTTATAATTCCTTTAACTAAATTCCTAGAAGTGGGATTTTTACGTAAATGTATATAAATGGCTTTGATTTGATACATCTTCTGCTATACCAAATGGAAAGCTATACCGATCTTTGGCATCTTTCTCTGTCAGCTTCTCCATTCATTCTTTCTATCAGCTGAACACCATCTGTCAATGGCAACTTACTTTGCCTGACTTTCTCAAGTTGTCCCTGGTTACTTCCTTGGAGACAAAGCAACCTGTGATGAGGTCAGAAGTATCATGTTCACACTAAAGAGGCAAGGTCTCTGATGAGTAGCTGAGTGAAATCCCATCTCTGACCTCAGTGCTTCTGCTACCTTTCATGAAGGCCATCCTTTGTTCCAGCACACTGACAGAAATAAAAAACGCTCTCTAAGCTGACAAATGGGGTGGGTCATAAGTGAACATTGTGACAGATTTCAGACATCATACAGACCTCATATTGGCCTATAAGATAAAAATCACAGACTAATAATATATCGTTTGGCAGCTTGAATGACAAAACAATGTGATTTTAAATGAAAATACTTTTAATTGGCTTCTACAAATGAATTAAATGAGTTTTCCTTCTACATTCAATTCTATTGCAGTCATTTCTAAACAGCTGATAGGTTAAAATTATATGGTTAGTTAAAATAACTATTTTTAACTAATTTTTTTTTTGGCTGGGCATGGTGGCTCATGCCTAGAATTCAAGCACTTTGGGAGGCCGAGGGAGGAGGATCACTTGAGCCCAGGAGTTCTAGACTAGCCCAGGCAACACAGTGAGGCCCTATCTCAACAATGACAACAACAAAAATGACAACAACAAAATTAGCCCGGCATGGTATAGTCCTATCAATAGTCTGATCTTTCCAGAAAGAATATCACCAAAGTACTAATCAGAACTACCTACAGACACAGTTCTCAGAAGCTGGTGTAGTGCCTGTAGTCCCAGCTACTTGGGAGGCTGAGGCAGGAGGATTGCTTGAGCCCAGGAGATTGAGGCTGCCATAAGCTGTAATTGTACCACTGCACTCCAACCTTAGTGACAGAGTGAGACTCCATCTCTTAAAAAAAAAATTAACTTTTACTTTTTAAAAAGCTATTTTTATGGTTATTTTCTTGTTTTTTATTTTTTTTTTGAGACTGGGTCTCACTCTGTTACCCAGGCTGAAGTGCAGTGGCAGGATCACGGCTCACTGCAGCCTTGAACTCCTGGGCTTAAGCCATCCTTCTGCCTCAGCCTTCCCAAGTAGTTGGGACCATAGGTGTGCACTACCATGCCCGGTTGATTTTGTATTTTTTGTAGAGATGCGGTCTCCCTATGTTTCCCAGGCTGGTCTTGAACTCTTGGGTTCAAGTGATCCACCTGTCTCAGCTTCCCAAAGTGCTGGGATTATAGGCATGAGCCACCGTGCCAGGGTGGTTAGTTGTTAATAATAATTTGCTGTTCCATGGTGTAATTTTTAATTACAGGTTAGAGAGTTTTTGGTTATTTCAGAATCTGATTTTGGAAGAAAGGTGTTTTGCAATGCCTCCAAATAAGAAAAAGAAGATATTTTATTTTCAGGTTATTTACATTATACCCCAATTTCAGTCATTTTGCTTTATTGGCAAAAGCTATCATTATACTATTGTCAAATCTCTCATATTTCATTATTACAAGCAATTTGACAACTCATTTGTTTTGTGTTTAAAAATCTATCTAGAACCATATATTTCTTTTATAAATAACAAAGCCATGTTACATAGATAACGATGACTATGTCATTAATAAGGAAACAGGCTTAACTATTCTAGAGTTGTATTTGATGAGAGGAAAACCTAGTTGGTTGTCGATTTGTTGACTAAAAAGAGAAGAGTTGTGATATATTTGAGTAGGTTAACAAAGTTGTTGTCTCTCCCTATGTTTACATCCTGAAAAGTTGTGTTTGTGTGTGTGAGAGAAAAAGAGAGAGTGAGATCAAGAGATGAACTGCAAGTGTTGTTTGAAACAGTTTAGGTGCAGTCCTGCTTGGCAAGTAGAGATGCTTCCTGCAGGTGAGGTTAGAATTTTACATTGCTTCTGATTGAAGGCTGCATGCTTTGGGTTCTAGGTGTTTACTTTTAGGCCTCAGAGCTTTGGAAAAAAGGTGCTTTTTTCTTTTGAACAGGTTTTCTTATGATCAGTTATTTTGATTTAGAAAAATTCTCAGCCTAGAATTTAAACAAGAACAGGAGGATCCTAATTTCTTATTTGTCGACATACCCCAAAAGCCCTCCTCATCCACCCAACTTCACAAATGGCTCAATCTGTCTGGTATAGCTTTAGGGATAATCACTAGCTTCTTGTACTTGTGACCATGAGGTCTAAGCAAAGGGCACATTACCAAGGAATGAAACACGTGCTAACTTATCAGGGTGCACGAGCACCACCTAGTGGCCTTGAACTAACTCAACAGCTTCTTCGAAAGAAAGAGGATCCAAAGGTCCAAGGCCTCTCTCAGTGGTGAGTTGCATACACATGCATGAAAGCACCAGGATTCAACTTCCGCAGAACTCAATCTGTAGGTAGTTCTGATTAGTACTTTGATCTTCTTTTTGGAAAGAGCAGACTATTTATAGGGCAAGAAAACGGAGTGTTACACACTGAGGACTCTTGGCTCTTTTTGGCAGATCTGCAGCAGTATGCACATATGTGAGTGGTGAGCTAACACCCTTCCTTTCAGTTGAATAGGAATATGTAAAAGCTAGACACATCATCACAAAATGAGTGACATAAACTATCTTCCCGTTTGGAGGATAGAAAGTCTAAGAAGTCCGAGGAGAATTTAGTTTCTCCTTTAGTATATGTGCTAAACCACTTTCTACATAATATTCTCCCCTCGAGTAGGCAGGGACCATCTCTTTTTCTACATGTATAGCAAACAAATCTGGTAAATTTTTTGTTCCTTATAACTGTTGGTTATTATGCTTTTTTTGTTTTTTTAGACACAGGGTCTCACTCTGTTGCCTAGGCTAGAGTGCAGTGGTGCGATCACAGCTCACTGCAGCCTCAAGCTCCTGGGCTCAGGTGATCCTCCCACTTCAGCTTCCCAGGAGGCTGGGACTACAGGTTGCATGCCACCATGCCTGGCTATTATTATTTTGGTAGTGACAGGCTTTTGCCATGTTGCCCAGGCTGGTGTGGTCTCAAACTCCTGGGCTCAAGTGATCCTTCCAACTCAGCCTCCCAAAGTGCTGCGATTGTAGGTGTGAGCTATAGACACGTAGCTCGGCTATTACATACATTTTTAAAATAAAAATAATACTTGCTGACTGGGGAAGACTTGAAAAATGCAGAAAAGCAGGATTTTTTTTTTTTTTTGAGACAGAGTCTCACTCTGTTGTCCAGGCTGGAGTGCAGTGGCGTGATCTCAGCTCACTGCACCCCCACCTCCTGGGTTCAAGCGATTCTCCTGCCTCAGCCTCCTGAGTAGCTGGGATTACAGGTGCCTGCCATCACACAAGACTAATTTTTGTATTTTTAGTAGAGATGGGTTTTTGCCATGTTGGCCAGGCTGGTCTCGAACTCCTGACCTCAAGTGACCTGTCCACCTCGGCCTCTCATAGAAAAATAGAAATTAACAGCAAAGTAAACACATAGCTCACAGTCCCCCTACTAAACACAGTCACTGCTACCATGTTATTATTTAGTAAGCATCCACCCTGAGTACACACTCTGGAACCAGGCTTGCCTTGGTTTAAATCTCAAGTGGGCCATTTAGTAGCTACAAACTGGACACATTACTTAGCCTTCTTGGTGCCTCGATTTCCTAATCTCTAAGATGGGCATAAAAGCAGCTCTGCAGGAGAGGGCTATTATGAGGATTAAAGAAATTAATATATGTAAAGCTTTTAGAATATAGTGCCTACATATAGTAAACACTGCCTGCGTTAACCATTACTTCCCCTCTCTTTTTCCTCCAGCTCCTTACTGTTATTAGAACTATGCACCAGGGATCCTGCTAGAAACTAACATCTTGGTTTGTTTTCACCTAGTTTTTGCCTTTGTGTAGTTTCTTTCTGCACTTTCTTAGTAGCGGAAACTATACTAAAACATAATTTTGTATTTTTTAAAGTTTTGCTATATTGTAATATTAACTTATTCATTGTAAAATTTGTAATGACTGGTAAATGCTATTATATTAACGTAACTGTTTAGCCTGGTGTATGACGATGTAGTCTCCGGAATTGGTGGATTCTTGGTCTCACTGACTTCAAGAATGAAGCTGCAGACCCTCGCGGTGAGTGTTACAGTTCTTAAAGGTGGTGTGTCCGGAGGTTGTTCCTTCTGATATTCAGACGTGTTCGGAGTTTCTTTCTTCTGGCGGGTTCATGGTCTCACTGGCTTCAGGAGTGAAGCTACAGACCTTCGCGGTGAGTGTTGCAGCTCATAAGGCAGCGCGTCTGGAGTTGTTCATTCTTCCAATGGGTTCGTGGTCTCGCTGGCCTCAGGAGCGAAGCTGCAGCCCGTTGCAGTGAGTGTTACAGCTCACAAAGACAACACAAACCCAAACAGTGAACAGCAGAAAGATTTATTGCAAACAGCAAAAGAACAAAGCTTCCACAACATGGAACTAGACCCTTGGGCAGCCTGCAACTAGACCCTTGGGCAGCCTGCTTTTATTCCCTTATCTGGCCCCACCCACATCTTGCTGATTGGTCCATTTTACAGAGAGCTGATCGGTCTGTTTTACAGACAGCTTATTGGTCCGTTTTGACAGAGTGCTGATTGGTGTATTTACAATCCCTTAGCTAGACATAAAGGTTCTCCAACTCCCTACCAGATTAGCTAGACACAGAGCGCTGCTTGAACTAGACACAGAGTGCTGATTGGTGCATTTACAATCCTCCAGCTAGACATAGAAGTTCTCCAAGTCCCCACCAGATTAGCTAGACACAGAGCACTGATTGGTGTATTCACAAACCTCGAGCTAGACACCAAGTGCTGACTGGTGTATTCACAATCCCTTAGCTAGACATAAAGGTTCTCCAAGTCCCCACCAGATTAGCTAGACACAGAGCACTGATTGGTGTGTTTACAAACCTCGAGCTAGACACAGAGTGCTGACTGGTGTATTCACAATCCCTTAGCTAGACATAAAGGTTCTCCAAGTCCCAACTAGACTCACGAGCCCAGCTGGCTTCACCTCGTGGATCCTGCACTGGGCCGCAGGCGGAGCTGCCTCCCAGTCCCGCACCGTGCACCCGCACTCCTCAGCCCTTGGGCAGTCCATGGGACCGGGCGCAGCAGAGCAGGGGGTGGTGCTCGTTGGGGAGGCTTGGGCTGCGCAGGAGCCCACAGTGGGGGTGAGGCTAGGGCATGACAGGCTGCAGGTTCTGAGCCGTGCCCACCGGGGAGGCAGCTGAGGCCTGGCGAGAATTTGAGCGCAGTGCCGGCAGGCTGGCACTGCTGGGGGACCTGGTGCACCCTCTGCAGCTGCTGGCCCGGGTGCTAAACCCCTCCCTCCCTGCTGGCCGGCCACTCCAAGTGCAGGGCCTGCCAAGCCCACCTCCCACCAGAAGCTCACGCTGGCTCGCCACTCTCACTCCACACCTCCCTGGGAGGGGAGGGAGCCGGTTCCGGCCTCGGCCAGCCCAGAGAGGGGCTCCCACAGCGCAGCAGCGGGCTGAAGGGCTCCTCAAGCGCAGCCAGAGTGGGTGCTGAGGCCAAGGAGGCACCTAGAGTGAGAGAGGGCTGCCAGCACTTCGTCACCTCTCAATGACACAGTTTGGATATGTGGATTTTTATTAACATGCAAAATGAAGATAAACATTTTTTAGAAAGGCAAACATAAGGCAGGTGTGGTGGCTCACGTCTGTAATCCCAGCACTTTGGGAGGCCAAGGCGGGTGGATCACCTGAGGTCAGGAGTTTGAGACCAGCCTGGCCAACATGATGAAACCCCATCTCTACTAAAAATACAAAAAATTAGCTGGGTGTGGTGGCAGGCCCCTGTAATCCCAGCTACTTAGGAGGCTGAAGCAGGAGAATCACTTGAACCCAGGAGGTGGAGGTTGTAGTGAGCCGAGATTGCGCCATTGCACTCCAGCTTGGGCAACAGGAGTAAAACTCCATCTCAAAAAAGAAAAGCTAACATAAAGATTTACAAAAGAATGTAACACGATGTATTTTGGAATCCTGTTCTCCTGTTCTGGTTATATTTCCATGTTGGCTAGTAGATTCATTTTTTTTTTCTCTCATCAAGCACCACCTATGCATCTATGTACAGGGTGTGATGCTGAATGCTGGGACTATAACACTAAATAAGGGATTTTCCTGGAGAAACGTGAAGAGACACTCAAAGTGATGCAGGGGAAACATTGGGAAGAGCAATCACCTCTGCCTGATGAAGCTGAAATTTAAGCTGGTATTGGAGGGTGACAGGAATTTGCTGGGAAAGGACGTGGAATAAAGTATTCTAGGCAGAAGAGTCAGCAATGAGTAAAAATCTAAGTTGGGAATAAGCCTAGTGTGTCCATAAAGCATTGTAGTAATGCCTGTAAAGAAGTGTAGTGTGCATGGTGAATGGAAAGAGGCAGGTGGGAAAAGAAGACTGACAACACTCTTTTGGGCCCAACACTTCAACAGGTTTGGGCCAAGACCTGAAAAACAAAAACAGAAACAAAAGGGAATAAATCTAGGTTTTAAGTCAGGGAAGTAAACTGTTTTGGAAAGATAATATTGGTAAGAGACAGAATGGACAGGAAGACAGCTAGATTGTAGGTACTGACATTAGTGATGAGGCTGGTACATAAATTAATTAAAATCTGGGTGATTAGAATGAAAGGAGGCCAGACTCAAACTGTTTGAAAGATGTAAAGCAACTCAGTTAGAAGTAGGGTATGATGGCACAGGAAGGGCAGAGGAAGACTTAATGTTTCCAGCTATGGATGAACAGGGATGACATTAATAGGTGAGATCATCTGGTCAGAATATAAAAACAAAGAGGTCCAACAGTGAAACTCTGGGGAATCCCTACATCTAAGCAGCAGTCAGAGTCGGGGAGAGTTAGCAAAATGATAGGGAATAGTAATGAGCGGACAAGAAAAAGTGCTGTTGGAGAAGGCAAGGAGAAGGGATTGTATAAGCAGTGAATTGTTCATGTCCAATGATGGAGAGGAGACAAATGATAGGACTGAAAACAAGTCAGTGATGGACAGTTGTGTGACTGGCTATCAGTGACTTTAGCAAAAAGTAGTTTAAAGGTGGAGAGTGCATGAGAAATTAAGAATTTGAGACAGTGATGGCAGACTCGTGCTCCAGCATGTTTGTTCAGAAAAGGCATTACGTAGGGGCAAAATCAAGAAAGGCAACTGTTGCGGTAAAGTATCTTCATGACAGAGATTTGAGAATTTCTGTAGAACAAGAAGCCTGATTGGTGAATCACTCTCTATACACACACACACACTCACTCTCTCTCTCTCTCTCTCTCTCTCTCTCTCTCTCTCTCTCCTGTATCTTAGACTGGAAACTTAGTTCTAAGAACTAAGCTCTAACCTTAGTTGGAAGAGGGTAGAATCACAACTTAGACTGGGCTGAAGGCTTTTATTTTGGTTTCCCACAAAGCAGTTAATAAGTAGTGTAAAGGATATATATTAGGTAAGGACGCAGGTATATGCATTCAGCTGCCCACTCCCTTTACATATCACAACATTTTTGGTGGCCTCAGCAGTTCTAGTAACTAAAATGTCAGAAAAGTGTGGTTCTGTGGGCTTCCTTATCACCCTTTTTAAAAACCTCAGATATATTAGCACCCAGAAGTAACTTATTTTAGATGAAATTTGTTTCTAAGGAAGCCACACCACTCAGTCTAATGTCTGGGTTCTGGGCCTTGAAACTCTGGCTGTGCCAGCTCTGGGGCAATCTTGCTTTACCATTTTTCATTTATGCTCATGCAGGGTATTCTCATGGGAAGACCTGGCAGACCTACAACATGTGAGGCAAGGCAAGAGACCCAAGGCCAGTAAGCTCTTTCCCTTCATTCTTGGTTCTAGTACAGAGGCTCATGTTCATGGAACACAGGTAGAATCAGCATGCCATTAACATTCCTCTGCAGTCCAGGAACTTCTGTATTTCATGTTTTTAGAGACAGGGTATTGCTCTGTTACTCAGGCTGAAGTAGAGTGGGGTGATCTTATCTCACTGCAGCCTCAACCTTCTGCACTCAAGTGATCCTCCCAGCTCAGCTTCCCAAGTAGCGAAGACTACAGGGACTTAACACCATGGCTGTCGGATTTTTTTTTTTTTTTTTTTTTTGGAGACAGAGTCTTGCTCTGTCACCCAGGCTGGAGAGTAGTGGCACAATCTTGGCTCACTGCAACCTCCGCTTCCTAGGCTCAAGCAATCCTTGTGCCTCAGCCTCCCCAGTAGCTGGGATTACAGGCATGCACCACCATGCCTGGCTCATTTTTTGTATTTTAGCAGAGACGGGGTTTCACCATGTTGCCCAGGCTGGTCTTGAACTCCTGAGGTCAGGCAATCCACCTGCTTTGGCCTCCCAGAGTGTTAGGATTACAGGCATGAGCCACTGCACCCAGCGGATTTTTTTCATTTTACTAGAGACAAAGTCTCACTATGTTGCCCAGCCTGGTCTTGAACTCTTGGACTCAAGTGATCCTCCTGTCTTCACCTCCCAAAGTGTTGAGATTACAGGTGTGAGCCACTGTGCCTGGCCCCTTCTGTACTTTTTAAAAGGCAAAACAAGTTCGAGAGATGTTTTCAATCCAATAGTCTCAACTAGCTAATTCTCCTGATTTCATTTTCGACAAAAATCTGTACAAACACACCATATGTAGCCAATGGTGGCAATGGGTGTTATCTTCAGGGAATCTTATCAGGAAAAGCCTAGATAAAAATCTCAAGATTTACCACACCCATGACATTTTTACTTAGGGTGGCCTTGAGATGCATCCTTAGAGGTATTTCATATGTATATGCACGGCACAGCAACATTAAAAAGACTTTAGAGGCTGCTTATAATACCCATATTCCATGTGGAGTTGAGATTTGGGCTGTGTCCATAAACATGGAAACATATATTAACAAGACAAACTAGTAAATCTCTGAAAAACAGTCTTCACACCTGGAGAGATCGAAGAGCTTTTTTTAGCCAGCTGTCAAATGGCACTGGTATCTTCAGCGGGGGTTTTAATAAATCCTGAAACTCAATATGGCTTTCTGATTTTAAATCTGTTGCTTCAATTTCTTAATGTTCTTCTGTGAACTTTGAGGAGGGTCATAGTACAGTGTACATTTTTAATCTCTTGAAAAGATATACTTTGTCAGATTCTTCATCTCAATATGCCTGTCTTTCAGCTTAGATGGTAGGTATAAATAGGGGTGAAAGAGCAATTAAGGCTACCAATGAGGGACAATTATTTCAGTGCCTTTGAAGTCAGGTATCTCATATAAACTTGTGTTTCAGGTGAATAAAAGTGCTGAGAAATCCTCTCCTGATTCTGAGTTTAGATCCTGGAGTAAAAATTTGAATCTAATTTTGTCCATGCTAGACTAAGAATATTACCTCAAGGTAATATAGAAGTCAGTGGTTTCAGTGTTTTACTCCTATGTGAATATGAAATATACTGCAGTTTAAAATAATCTGGCACACTGTTAGGCAATATTACTAACTCCTTACTACTTAGAAAAACTAAGTAGGCATTTTCCTTAGACTTTAGCATAAAATATATTTTCTATGTTTTTCATAAAACTGAATGTCCTTACTTTTAATTAACACAAAACTAAAACACATTTTAGTATTTTGCTGTTAACCATTTAATCAACAGCATAAACACTGCTTCAGTTTCTCACAGTCTCTTAATTTCAATATATATCTACATATCTATATCTATATATCTGTCTGTGTGTCTATATTTACGTTAACTATTAAGTTATTTTTATAACTTTGGTTTGGTGAGGTCCTGACCACCTAATAGTGACAGGAGGTAGAAGTAGGGGTAGGTCCTTACAAAATATGTTTAATTCTTGTTCACTTTTGCTAATGAGTCTGAAAACACTTCATTTTGACCACAAGTTTGGAAATGTCAATGACAGTAGAAATTTCTGACCATATCTTAAAACTACATAAAAATTACCAGTGACAAAGAAAAAAGGCTTATATTACATTTAATAGTGTTAATTTTGAAGACAATAGTGTTAATTTCAAACTTCCATAAAGGGTAACCCTACAGTTGAGGTGTTTGATGCAGAAACCAGTACAAATTTCGATTGTTAGGAAACCAAATGTTCTGAACATTATTTTCATTAGAAAAGGGAAGGTAATTTTATAGTTGTTTGAGGTGTTGTAATACATCTACTGATAGGCCCAGCTGTTTAACTAAACTGGCTGTCTGTTCCAAAATCCATGTGGGGCTTGGGTTTTCTGAATGTGCATGCTCCTGTGTTCTACAACATTCTACATATGAACAATCTATCCCACTATGGCTCTTGCTACAGTTTTTGTTAAACTCAGCATTATTTTCACAGAGTCTTTCATCTTTAGCTTCATCAATCTTTTTCTCAGCTGGAACTACATGACAAAGGTCCATATCCTCAATGGAGTCCAATAAATCTACAACATGGGACGGTGGAGTGATTGATTTCAGATGTTTGAGCACATACTCTTCACACTGGCCAACTGCATCCAGAAGATTGTTTATTTTATTGATCAAAGTTGAATTATTATTATGAAGGTGACACCAGGAGAGCAAAGCACTGAACAAAAGTATAAACAAGGGTTAAATAGCAAAATAGGACTTAAAAATATAAGACTATCTTTCAATAACAATTAAACGATTGGACTTAATCATAAAACTGTTTATAATTCATAACCCCTCTTTCATAACTCTATATACGCTTTTCCTGATTTTATATTTTTCTCTTATGACTATGTAATATCTGTTGAAGATGAATACAACTCCGAGAAAGAAAAATTAGTTTCTTCTTTAAGGACATTAAACAGCTTCTTAACTAGCAATTCTCAATCATGGATGCACATTAGAATCACCTGAAGAGCTCTGACCCCTATCAAGGCCCAGATTATACTCCACACCAATTAAATCAGAATCTCAGGGGGTATCTTTTTTTTAAGTTTCAGAGTTAAGGTGCAACCAAAGTTGAAAACCATCGTTCTAAGCACATAGTTGCTTGCCATCAAGAATGAAGGTTAGAGAAAAGAAGTTTTCAAGAGACTTCACTTTCCTGGGCTTATGTCACAGAGTAGAAACTGTTTGCTGAACTACTAACAATTTCCTTGAAAAAGGTAAAAATTCTTCTAGTCCTAACAGATTTAATATTATAGTCATGTCATAAAATAATGATTATTATGAAAAGTATTTAAAAATAGAATCCATTGATATAAAAGATTCAGCAGTAGCTTTCTAAGGTTATGTAACATCAACTTGATGATGTGAATATTCACATTGTTTTCCTACTGTAGCAGACTAAATTCTGGTTCCTAATAGTTGGATTTTCTAAAATCCCAAATACAATAAATTTTTCGGTTTGTTTTGGTAACTTTTATCATCTACTCTTCTTTAAAATTAGCGATTCTTTGAAGCATTTTTTTTTTCTCTACCAAGGACAGTGTAAAGGGTATAAAGCAGGGGTGTCCAATCTTTTGGCTTTCCTGGGCCACATTGGAAGAACTGTCTTGGGCCACACATAAAATACATTAACACTAATGATAGCTGATGAGTTAAAAAAAAAAAAAAAAGAAAAAAGAAAAAATATCATGAAAAAAATTTCATAATGCTCATATTGTTTTAAGAAAGTTTATGAATTTGTGTTGGGCCATATTCAAAGCCGTCCTGGGCCACATGTGATATGCAGGCCACTGGTTGGACAAGCTTGGTATAGAGCATCAAACTGGACAAGGCTGCTAGGCTCCTGGCTCTGTGTATCATTTGACCATTTGGCTCCGATATATGCCATTATTGCAATGGCATCCTGACAAGTATTCAATGTTCAGGACTAAAGTAAATTAAATCAATTTTATCTTAATTACCAACTATTTTCATCATGTACTTCTAGTCTAGAGGTCTGTCATACTGTGTGGAAGTACTACAAGTTTTATTCAAAATCTGAAGACCTTTCAATGAGATAGATAATTGTTCAGGTAGCAGAAGTATACATCTTCTTACCATTTCTTTGCACGAAAAGACAATATGTAGTTCACACATTAAAGTAGATGAGCTGATAAAGATTTTGACTTTTTGAAGGCAATATAATTCTATGATCTGCGACACGCTTTAGTGTATTTAGCACCAGGAAAAGCATTTCAGTTTAAACACTTTATTTATACAGAAACATCCTCCAGTAGTATTGAGGTTAAAATGATTCAGCATTTAGACTTTAAAAATTACCTCAATGTTCCTCGGAGTCGTCCATAGTTTAAAATGACTTCTGCACCTTTCTTATAACCTTGATTGAAGCCCTGTTGAAGAGTAACTGCTTTGCCAGCATCTATTCCATCTCTATAACCTTCCTAAAAATAAGTAATGGAGAAGTGCAGCTGTAACTAAGTATATACATGTAGGCTTTTCTAGAAAAGTACAGAACCAATTTAGAAAGCAGATGAATTAGGCCTTTACTGTGTTACTGACCATAATATGGCATAACAATATAACTAAAGCAGACTATGCTTCTCCTAAGTTTATTATTGGTTTATCATTACTTATCCCACTTTTGAAGTCTAGAGTTACCGGGCAATTTTTAAAACACTGATAGTCACAGTTTTTAAAAAACCTAGTGTTGGGCCGCCACGCTTGCTGTGAGGTGGGCAAGCGGCAGACATGGCACCCTCCAGGAGTCTTGCAGTTCCGCTGGCAGTCCTGGTACTGTTGCTTGGGGGTGCTCCCTGGACCCACAGGCGGCAGAGCAACGTACGCATCATCACAGACAAGAACTGGAGAGAGCTGCTGGAAGGAGGCTGGATGATACAATTTTATGCCCCGTGGTGCCCTGCTTGTCAAAACCATTAACCGGAATGGGAAAGTTTTGCTGAATGGGGAGAAGATCTGAGGTTAATGTTGTGAAAGTAGATGTCACAGAGCAGCCAGGACTGACTGGACAGTTTACAATAACTGTTCTTCCTACTATTTATCATTGTAAAGATGGTGAATTTAGGCATCCTCAGGGTCCAAGGACTCAGAAGGACTTCATAAACTTTATAAGTGATAAAGAGTGGAAGAGTATTGAACCCGTTTCATCATGGTTTGTTTCAGGTTCTGTTCAGATGAGTAGTACGTCAGCACTCTTTCAGCTATCTACGTGGATCAGGACTTGCCATAACTACTTTATTGAAGACATTGGATTGCCAGTGTGGGGATCATATGCTGTTTTTCCTTTAGCAACTCTGCATTCTGGACTGTTACTAGGACTCTGTATGATATTTGTGGCAGGTTGCCTTTGTCCTTCAGAAAGGCACACACCACAGCCATACCCTTCAAAAAAATTATCAGAATCTGCTCAACCTTTGAAAAAACTGGAGGAAGAACAAGAGGCGGATAAAGAAGATGTTTCAGAAGAAGAAGCCAAAAGTAAAGAAGGAACAAAGACTTTCCACAGAATGCCATAACACAACACTCTCTGGGTCCATCACTGGTCACAGATAAATTGTATAGTTATCTTAATATCATGATTTTGATAAAAACAGAAGACTGATTATTTCTTTTGGTTTGAAGTGAACTGTGACTTGCTTGTATATTACAGCATTCAGTCTAGATTGTCATTAAATTGAAGACTCTACATTCAGAACATAAAAGCACTAGGTATGTAAGTTTGAAATATGATTTAAGGACAGTATGGTGGTTTAACTAGTTCTCTAATTTTTGAAAAATCTTGCCAAACAATAAGATTTATGTATATTTGTTTAATAATAACCTGTTTCAAATCTGAGTTTTGAAAATTTACATTTCCCCAGTATTGCATTATTGGGGTACTTAAGATTATTTTAGAGAAAAATATTTCTCATTTGATATAATTTTTCTCAGTTTCATGTGTGTGAAAAAAGGAAAGTATTTCCCATAAATGGGAACTTTGCCCACTGTCTCAAGAAATATATATTTCAGTGACAATTCCGTGGTTTTAGAGATATATTCCAAAATTTCCTCATATTTTTAAGTTATGCAACTAATAAAAACTACCTTACATTAATTAGTTGCAGTTTTCTACACATGGTAATATAGGATAAGCTACTGATTTAGGAAGTTTTAAAGTCCATGGTATTCTCTCGATTCCAATAAAGGTTGATTTTCTCTTGTATTTTTCTTATTTATTACGGGTTACATTTTTTATTTTTCAAATTGGATAATATCCTGGAATTATCTTTTATGATTTAGTAAACAGCATTTTTTGTTGTTGTTTCAAACTGAAGTTTACTGAGAGATCCATCAAATTGAACTGTCTGTTGATAATTTAAAATTTTGGCCATTCATTTCAGATTTTAAATCATTCTTGCTGAACTACTTGAAATTGTCTTTTAAAATTTTTCTTTTTGGATGTGAAGGTGAACATTCCTGATTTTTGTCTGATGTGGAAAAGTCCTGGTATTTTACATTTTGAAAATTCACAGAAGGTTAATATAAAACAAAGTTTGCATTCTACTCAGGAAAAAGCATCTTCTTGTATATGTTTTAAATGTATCTTTGGCATCATATACAGAAAGTTCTTAATTAATTTTACAGTCTGTAATGCTTGATGTTTCAAAATCATTAACTATATATATATATATTTATTATTATCATTATTTTTTGAGATGGAGTCGCGCTCTGTCACCCAGGCTGGAGTGCAGTGGCATGACCTCAGCTCACTGCAACCTCTGCCTCCCGGATTCAAGTGATTCTTCTGCCTCAGCCTCCCAAGTAGCTGGGACTATAGGTGCACGCCACTATACCCGGCTAATTTTTGTATTTTTAGTAGAGATGGGGTTTCGCCACACATTTTTATATTTTAAGATACAAACTTCATATTTTCCTGTTCTTTCCTAACTGCTAATATTGTGTGGTATCTTACAGGTAGAAATCAACAGGATGGTACACTTAGTGTATTTTTACTCCTTAAAGAGCATACTCCTTAAAGGGCATACATAGTTTTCACCTTACAAGAAGGGGGAAAACCATAAATACAATGAATCAACTGACCATTATGTAGTAGACAATTTCTGTAATGTCCCCTTCTTTCTAGGCTCTGCGGATAGGAGAATCCACTAGACTTATAGTAGCATAATGTACAAGTTTTCTTTAAAGGTCTCTCCTTTAGAATATAAAATATTATACCATTGAAGAGTTTGGATGTGTAACCTGTGATGCCTTAGAAAAATATCCTAAGCACAAAATAAACTTTTCTAATCACTTCAAAAGATTAAAAAAACCAAAAAACAAAAAACAAAACCCAGCATTAGCAATGTCTTCACAAAAAGGATATATGGAAAATTACACATCTGGGCTCTTGCCAACTGATTGGAATGGTGTGGGTGGGTGAGGAGACAGGGCAAAGCAGAGAGAGGAAATTGTTTAAAAAAAAAAGGATGATGAGAAGTCTGGTTTCAGAAATTTTGCATAATACCTAAATTCAACTAACCTGCAAAAGCTCTGTGGGTAGTGATTTCGTTCTGCATCTCTCACGGTGCCACAGCATTTAAAAGATGCTCAATACTTATTAGTGTGGCCCCAGTCTCACATAAAGCATTTTTGTAATTGACAACATGGTTTTTGGGCTAAGCAAATACCACTCTACTGAAATATTAAACAGGGCAGATTCCCAACTGCAGCTTTAGCGGCAATTTAATGGTTGGCAAATATATTAAGTGGATGTGGACCTCACTATTTGGTCCTCACCCAGAAATACTGTAGGCTGCACACAGAAATTAAGCTTAGTTTCAATGAATAGTGAGACAAATTAGAGATGAAAAAGTTACATCTAACAAATAAAAAAGAAACCAACTTTAATATTCCCTTACCTAGACACCAGTATTCCACATTAGCTTTCCCTTATTGTCCTCTGACAGCATGCTTTAGTTCATCTTTTCAATATGTCTTGATTAACACTACTCCTTAACTTTAGGCTCCCTACCCATTCAAGCCACCCATATAAACTGCGTACACGTCCTTTGACAGCCATAATAAGTATAGTGTATGTTTCTCTCCAGCTCCTTTCCCTGTGATCCTCAACAAACTGCAAACTGTTCAAAGTCTACACATAGTTAATTTTGGTCGGTCCTCAGTTTCTAACGCATCCCGTAGGCGCTCAAAGAATGCGTCTTGTTGTTTTACACGCTTTCAAGTAACCATCGAGAAATCCTAGCAAGACGCGGGTCGGACCGGGTCCCTAGGGATAAAGAGAGCAGCGCCGGGCCAGGCTGGGGCCACTCTGGACCCAGCTTCTTCACAACTCCGCGCCTCTTCCCACAACCCAGCACCCCGCGCCGTCCACACCACGTTTACTTTGACTCGTCTTTGCATGTTACTCTGCCATTCCCGCTGCGCCAGGAGCGACTCGTCTGCTTCTTCGTCAAACACGTCCCCTTTGTCTCCAGGGCCCTGGATCAAGGAGGCTGCTTGAACCCACGACATCACCGAGGCAATTACGGGGTCGCAGGCCACCGGAAGCGCCAACAACTCCTTCCGGTCCGAAGGCGGGGCGAAGACGGCGAGTGGAGGCTCGGGAGGGGCTGCGTGTGCGCGGAGGCGGGCTGTGGCCCGTGGCCGCCGCCGGAGCCTTTCGCTTGCGGTGATTTTGGGCTCCCTCGGTTGGCAGTGTTGATGTGTGCCTGTGAGTTGTGAGCGAGGCAGATTTCCTCGCGTGGCCGGCACGACCTTCACCTTTGCAGAAGGCAACCGGGACCCTCAGTGAGACACCTTCCATTTCCACCGTAGTCTTACCATGGTCTGGGTTTTACATTCGCGCGCTTTGGTAAACTATTAAAGGTAGTAAAGTCGATGGGCGATTACCACCCAAATACTTTGTCTCTTTTGGAATCTCCTCTGCATTTAAAGGATTTGACAAGCCGACATTTTAAACTGTTAGGATTGTGGAGTAAAGGAAAATAGGATCGAAAAGCGAGGTACTGTAGCCAATTTGAGATTAGTAAGAAATATAGAGTACATTTGTAAAGCCAATATATTTTTTCATTGATTCACGATATCCTTCTGCCTCCCATTCCTGTTCATATGCCCTAAAGTAAACAGTTGGTTTGGTAAGGGTGGGGACTTGTGTCAACACCAGGACAGTTCTGACACATAGTAAATGCTGAACTCTATTTTGGTGAATGAATGAATACCTGTAGTATTCCTGTTTTGCCCTTTGCCTGGGTAAAATGAGTCATGTGATTATGATTTATTTATCTAACAATTTATTGAACACCTACCTTGTGTCAGGTACCATTCCAGGCTTTGGGATACATCAATGAACAGACGGAAGTTCCCAACCCTTGTCGACTTTATAGTCATGTAAAATTGACAGGATAAACAATAAGCAATATATAAGTAGCATAAGGTTTGTTAGAAGATCATAAATAAATGCTATGAAAAAAATTTTTAAATAAGCACAGTAAGAACCATAAGTGTGTGGGAGTGGGTGGTTGGTTCATGTTACAATTTTAAATCTCCAGAGAGAATTTGGCATCCCACAAATAAAAAATATATAAACTACAAATATGTATATTTTATTAATGTAAATATATTAAGATATATGTATATATCTTTATTAGGAACAAAATGGTAGTAAGCAATAAAGATAACAATAAAATAGAAAACCTCAAAACTTGAATAAGTAAGTCCAATTCTTTTTTGTATTATTTGAAAACACCAATAAGATAGATAATCCTGTCATGACCCAGATTTTTAAAGAGAACAAAATTATACAAGAATGAGAAATGAGATAACCACTGATGCAGAAGGAGATTAAAATATTAATTACCAACTAAAACTCAAAAGCAACACATTCGAAAACCTGAGAGATATGAATGACTTTCTAAGAAAATTGACCCAAGAAGTAGGGTCATGAAGAGACTAATTACCATAGAAAAATTGGACATTAAATATCTACTATTAAAAATGTCATGGAGACTTGGGAGTTTCACATTAAGTCCTTTGCAATCTTTAAGGAATGATGGAGTCTTAAACTATTTTTACCATTTTAGGGGAGAGAAAAAGAAGAAACTCCTTAAATCATTTCATGAAGCCAGCCTTACTGTAACTTCATAAAGATAGTACCAGAAAAACCCCAAAGTTCAAGTTAGCTTGTGAATATATATCCAAAAGAGAATCTAGTAGGTTGGTGCAAAATTAATTGGGGTTTACTTTTGCACCAACCTGGTAGTACTTTATCAAAAGAATAATTTAAGAGGTTTTGTACCAGGAAAGCAAACTTTTGCAATATTAGGACATCAATAATATTTCATTGCATTGACTATTTTTTTTTTTTTTAAAACAGCGTCTTGCTCTGTCACCCAGGCTGGAGTGCAGTGGTGAGATCACAACTCACTGCATCCTTGATCTCCTGGGCTTGAGCTATCCTCCTGCCTCAACCTCTTGAGTAGCTAGGACTACAGGCATGTACCACTGCACCTGGCTAATTTTTTGATTTTTTTGTAGAGACAGGAGTCTCACTATGTTGCCTAGGCTGGTCTCCAACTTCTGAGCTCAAGCTATCCTCCTGTGTCAGCCTCCCAAAGTGCTGGGATTACAGGCATGAGCCACTGTGCCTAGCCTGCATCAACAATATAAAAGGGAAAAAACATGTTATATTAATAAATGCTAAAAAGTTATTTGAAAAAATTTAAAAATCATTTCTAACAAAATAAAGTAGAAATAGAAACTACAAATTGGTAAAGACTTTACAAAAATTCCAACGAGTAGTATTTTAAACACTTAGATGTTCAGATATTTCCTTTAACATATAGAAAGGAGAGGGCATCTGGTAGTCACTATTATTACTTAATATTCTTTTAGAGACTAGCACACTAGCACTTGCAATAAGAGAAGTAAACAAAATAACATGTATAAATGTTGGATAATAAAAGATGAAGATATTCCTTTTTAAAAAATGAGACGGGATCTTGTTCTGCCACCAAAGCTGGAATGCAGTGGTGCAATCATAGCTCACTGCAACCTCAAACACCTGGGTTCAAGCAATCCTCCTGCCTCAGTTTCCCAGGTAGTTGGGACTACAGGCACGCACCACAATGCCCAGCTAATTTTTAAATTATTTTTAGTAGAGACGGGGGTCTCGCTTTGTTGCCCAGGCTGGTTTTGAACTCCTGGCCTTAAGTGATCCTTCTGCCTCAGCCTTTCAAAGTGCTGTGATTATAGGCATGAACCACCATGCCCAGCCTAAGATATTCCTTTTGGTCATTATATGATTATATACCTAGAAAACCCAAAAGACTTTGCTTAAAAAATAACAGAATAAAGAAATTTGATAAAGTCTGTGAATATAAGAAAAATAAACACACCAATAGCCTCTTCTAGTAATAATCATCTAGAAATGTAAATGAGATAAATATTCCACTTGAAATACCAACAAATATTATTAAATATAGTAATGACATGTTTGTTTAGTATTTAGTGTTTATTTAGTACTATATTTGTAAATGTCAGGAACACATTTTTAAAATCATGCAGTAACATGCATACATTTTGAGTGTAAACACCACCTATGAAGATATAGAAAATTTCCATCACCCCAGAGAATTTCCTCGTGCTCCTTTGTGGTCAGTCTCTCATCCCTGGCAACCCTTGATCCAATTTTTATCACTAGATTAGTTTTGCCAGTTTAGAATTTCATAGAAATGGAATTGTATATGTCCTTTAATATATTTGGCTTCTTTGACTCAACATGTTTTTGAGATTCATTTATTTGGTTGCATGTACCAGTAGATTGATCTATTTTATTGCTAAGTACTATTTTCATTATAGGGCTATACCATGATTTGTTCATGTAGTCATTTTTGGACATTTGGATTGTTTCCAGTTTTTGGCTATTATGAATAAAGCTGCTGTGGACATTTTTGTACATGCCATTTTGTGTACACGTTTTCATTTCTCTTGGGTAAATATCTAGAAGTGGAATTGCTGGTCATATAGTAAGTATACATTTAACATTATAAGTGGTATGGGCCGGGCACGGTGGCTCACACCTGTAATCCCAGCACTTTGGGAGGCCGAGGCGGGCAGATCATGAGATCAGGAGTTTGAGACCAGCCTGACCAACATGGTGAAACCCCATCTCTACTAAAAATACAAAAATTAGCTGAGCGTGGTGGCACACGCCTGTAATCCCAGCTACTCAGGAGGCTGAGTCAGGAGAATCGCTTGAACCTGGGAGGTGGAGGTTGCAGTGAGCTGAGATCGCACCAGTGCACTCTAGCCTGGGCGACAGAGCGAGACTCTGTCTCAAAAGAAAAAAAAACAAAAAAACAAGTGGTATGGTTTGGCTGTGTCCCCGCCGAAATCTCATCTCATCTTGAATTGTAGTTCACAATCCCCACGTGTCATGAGAGGGACCTGGTGGGAGTTAATTGGATCATAGGGGCAGTTACCCTCATGCTGCTGTTCTTGTCATGGTGAGTGAGTTCTCATGAGATCTGATGGTTTTATAAGGGCCTTTTCCCCCTCTTGCTTGGCACTTCTCCTTCCTGACGTCATGTGAAGAGGGATGTGTTTGCTTCCCCTTCCACCATGATTTTAAGTTTCCTGAGGCCTCCCCAGCCCTGCGGAACTGTGAGTCAATTAAACTTTTTTTCCTTTATAAATTAGCCAGTCTGGAGCGGTCCTCTGTGGCAGCATGAGAATGGACTAATACAATAAGAAACTGTAAGCTGTGTTTCCAAAGAGATAGTACCACTTTACACTTCCACCATCAATGTTTGAGTGTCAGTTGATCCACATCCTCTGCCTCACTTGGAATTGACAGTATTTTTAACATTAGCTATTCTAATGAGTGTGTAGTAGTATCTATTACTGTGGCTTTAATTTGCATTTTCCAGATGACTTATGATATTGAACACATTTTCATGTGCTTATTTGTTATTTGTATATGTATTTCTTTTTTTTTGGAGATGGAGTCTTGCTCTCTTTCCCAGTCTGGAGTGCAGTGGCGTAATCTCGGCTCACTGCAACCCCTGCTTTTCAGGTTCAAGCGATTCTCCTGCCTCAGCCTCCCGAGAAGCTGAGATTACAGGCGCCTGCTACCATGCCCGGCTAATTTTTGTATTTTTAGCAGAGATGAGGTTTCACCATATTGGCCAGGCTGGTCTTGAACTCCTGACCTCAGATGATCCACCCGCCTCGGCCTCTCAACGTGCTGGGATTACAGGCATGAGCCACCGCGCCTGGCCAATTTGTATATTTTTTAAATGAAATCTTTGTCTATAAAAAATTAGGTTGTTTTCTTATTGTGTTTAAAGGTTCTTTGTATATTCTGGACATAAGTCTTTTGTTGGTTACATGTTTTATGACTATGTTCTTTGCATTTATTATATCCAGCAGGAGACAGATATGGAGATAGAGTCAGGAGTGCATGAGGTCTATAGGTGGGTGGGGAGTATAATGTCTGTGAAAGATAAAAAGAGGAGGAACATGATTAGGCAGGGAAAGCCTTCAGAAAGTGATGTTGATCTGATTCCTGTAATAGGGAAGGGAGGAAGAAGCAGGATAGGGCAAAGAGAGCCTCAGATTGCTGTGTAGATCCAACAAAGCTTTAGCCAACATAAAAAGGAACTCTGGAGCAAAGAACAAAAGGATTCCTGCATTAGGCACACACAGCCAGACCTTGATATTCCTGCTATGCTCAATCATTGGCTGGGGGTTGCCCTGGAAGACTATGGCCTTAGCTAGAAATCGAAGGCAGATCCTGTAGGTGCTTACAGCTGGAGGCTGACAGCTAACCAAGCCTTCAAGGACCAGATGATCTTTCAAGGTCTTTTCAAGTGTGTGATTCTATTGTTTCCAAAACAGCATTTCCCCTCCTTTTTAAAAAAGTGAACTGTAAATAACAATGACATCCCCTGCGTAAATTTTGATGTCACAACGTGAATTCACTCCCGGGTATTTAGTAAACTTATCTTACACCTCAGTATCTCTTATATAAATACTCTGATCAGGTCAACCTTTAGAATTCACTGTATCTCCTTCCCATTCTTCTGCTTATCGTTCATCCTTGTCTTTTCCTTCAAAGCCTTCAACAATTCTTTTTTATGTCCTTCTATTTCTAATCTCCTGCTAAGTTTTATTCTTTATCTCAGTCTTCAGAACTTTATTTGTGACTTTTGCAAACTGCTCTTTTGTAGTTGATATAATAAACTCTAAGAGGGCACAGACCTTTTCTATACTTCTCTTCAAAGTTTCTAGCACACTAGGGCTTTAATCATTCTGTCTTTGGCAACCAGCCAGCAGGACTGATTTCCATATGCCAAGTGAAGTCATTTTCCCACTTTTCCTTGTCCCTTCTAAACTTTCGTATGTTCTATCCTTAGTGGCATTCAGCAACTAACTCCTTGGTTGCTGTCTTTTAATTACTTATATCAGGTTTGCAAGACTGTGTAATATGTATTAGAAAAAATAAAATTCTTGCTGGTGGTGAAAATAGATGGGAAATTATTCAAAAAACAGCTTCTAAGAGAGGACCTTGGAATAAGAATAGTAGGTTGATTCTGAGCAGACTTGCCTCCTTTCTTTTAAAGTCTGTAGATGACTCCAGTTCCAATATAGAATGTTTGTTGAATATTACAAAGTATGAAGTAGAAATGTCAGACAGGTGATCTGTCTTCCTCTTTTTTTCTTTGAGACAGGTCTCACCCTGTCGCCCAGGCTGGAGTACAGTGGCACAATCACAGCTCACTGCAGCCTTGACCTCCTGGGCTCAAGTGATCCTCCCTCCTTAGCCTCCTGAGTAACTAGCACACCACCACATCTGCTAATTACACTTTTTTTTGTAGAGACAAGGGTCTCGCTATGTTGGCCAGGCTGGTCTTGAACTCCTGGGTTCAAGTGATCCTCTCACTTTGGCCTCCCAGCGTATTGGGATTACAGGTGTGAGCCACTGCACCCAGCCAATTTAATACTTTGAAATTGTTTTTATTCTTTGTAAATTTTCCTTGACATTGTTAAGTTCGATTTAGCTGAAGAATATTTCATACTCTTGCCAAAGATCAAAACTTTTTTTGGTGGAGTTTTACTTGCATAATTCAACAATTATTTGTTGAACTTTAGCTATTGCACTAGAAGCTGGGGGAGCACGTGTATGTTGCCTACTATTTCTTCTACAAGGTCAATGGTGGTGTGTCCCCTTACAAGGTCAGTAAGTGTTGTGCCCACCCAAGAGCAATTTGCAGCAGTTAATGCTTCTGCCAAGAATGCTTTATTCCAGATATTAGCATGATTGACTCCTTTTTTTTTTTTTTTTTGTCTCGCTGTGTTACCCAGACGGAAGTACAGTGGTGTGATCACAGCTCACTGCAGCCTCAGATGCTTGGACTCAAGTGATCCTACTGCCTCAGTCTCCCAAGTAGCTGAGATTACAGGTGTGAGCCACAGTGCCCAGCGATTGGCTCCTTTTAATCATGTGGATTTTAATACATTTAGTACAAATCCTGTCTCCTTGAAGAGGGCTTCCCTTTCTACTCAGCCTAAAGGAGCATCTCCATTAATAGGTACCTTTATTTTTTATGTGTATAATGATACTTAGAGAAATATTTAAAAGGATTTTGCTGGCTGGGCATGGTGGCTCATGCCTGTAATCTCAACACTTTGGGAGGCCAAGGCAGGCGGATAGCTTGAGGTCAGGAGGTCGAGACCAGACCTGCCAACATGGTGAAATGCCATCTCAACACACACACACACACACACACACACACACACACACACACACACACACACAGATTAGCTGGGCGTGGTGGCGGGTGCCTGTAATCCCAGCATTTTGGGAGGCTGAGGCAGGAGAGAATTGCTTGAACCCGGGAGGCAGAGGTTGCAGTGAGCTGAGATCGTGCCACAGCACTCTAGCCTGGGCAACAAAGCGAGACTCCATCTCAAAAAACAAACAAACAAAAGGATCTTGCTAATATTTTTGTTTATATTTTTAAAAATTGCTCCTGTGCCTCCCTGACTGTCTTGCTTACTTCTATAACCCTAGTTCCCAGCATAGTCCCTGCCACATAGTGAACACCCAATAAATATTTCTTTTTTTGGTGATTTTTTCCCTTTATTTTATTTTATTTATATTTATTATTGTTATTTTTTGAGACAAGGTCTCGCTCTGTTGCCCAGGCCAGAGTGCAGTGGCATGATCATAGCTCACTGTAGCCTCTACCTCCTAGGCTCAAATGATCCTCCTGCCTCAGCCTCCTAAGTAGCTGGGACTACAGGTGCATGTCACAATGTCTAGCTAGTTAAAAAATTTTTGCTGTTGTTGTTGAAATGAGATAATGAGATCTCAGTATGTTGCCTAGGCTGGTATCAAACTCCTGGACTCAAGCAATCCTCCTGCCTCAGCCTCCCAAAGTGCTGGAATTACAGGTATGAACCACTGGGCCCAGCCCCTTTTATTTTTGGTTGACACGTAATAATTGTACACATTGATGGGATATCGAGTGATATTTCCATGTGTGTATAGGTTAATTAGTATATCCATCACCTCAAGCATTTATCATTTGTGTTGTGAACATTCAAAAGCTTCTCTTCTACCTTTTTGAAAATGTACAATAAATTATGGCTAACCATATTCACTCTACAGTACTGTAGAACACCAGAATTCATTCTTATCTAGCTGTAATTTTATCTCTTAACTAATCTCACCCTATCTTCCCCTCCTCCCTACCCTTCTCAGTCTCTAATAGCCACAATCCTACACTCTACTTCCAAAAGCTCAAAATTTTTTTCTTAGCTCTCACATGAGTGAAAACATGTGGTTCTTATCTTTTGGTGCCTGACTTATTTTGCTTAACATAATGTCCTCCAAGCTCACTCATGTTACTGCAAAATGAAGGATTTCATTCTTTTTAAATGGCTGAATAGTATTTCATTGTGTATACAACATTTCTTTATCTCTTTGTCTGTTGATGGGACATTTAGGTTGATTCCATTATCTTTGCTATTGTGAATAGTGCTATGATAAACATGGGAATGCAAGCATCCCTTTGAATATACTGACTTCTTTTCTTTGGATAAATATCCAGTAGTGGGATTGGTGGATCATATGGTAGATCTATTTTTAGTTTTCTTGAGAAACCCCTATTTTGTTTTCCATAATGGCTGTACTAATTTACATTCCCACTAACAGTATGTAAGGTTCCCTTTTCTCTAAATTCTCACCAGCATTTGTTATTTTGTGTCTTTTCGGTAACAGCCATTCTAACTGGGTGAAGTGACATCTCATTGTGGCTTTGATTTGTATTTCTCTGATGGTTAGTTATGTTGAACATTTAAAAATATATCTGTTGGCTCAATAAACATTTCTTGCATGACAGATTCTGCATGCCAGATCTTCTCTTCATTACTTAGGAACCTCAGGGAAACCCCACCTCTGTTGGAGGAGGAGGATTTTTGTGACTATTCCTTTGCCTGCCTTTCTGCAGAGACTGAGCCACTCCCTACTCCCCCATACGGGTTCCTGCTTCTGTGGTTGCATCTGCTTACTAACATTCTCCCATAACTCTATTTTACCTACCTAGTAATCTACTCACTTATGGCCTCTTAGTGGTCAGGGACAGTATTATTTTCATCTCACATTTATTTGGAAACATTATTATCTGGTAAGGAATGCTCTAAGTAGAGCCCAGTGGTTAGGAACAAGGGCTCTGGGGTCAAATTTATAGATTTGAACGTTTATTTTGCCACTTACTGACTGTGTAGTCTTGGGTGTGTTACTTGATCTGTCTGTGCCTCAGTTTCCTCATCTGTAACATTGAATATTACTAATACTACCTTCATATAGATATCAGAAGATTAAAAGAATAACCACACAAAAGCAGTGCTCAATAAATGTTAGCAATTATGTTTATTTCTTTTATCTGAGCTGAGATCAGATGCTTCAAGGATTTTCAGAGTCCTCTCCGAGATTTTTTGACTCCGGAATAACTTAACCACTTTCCCTTTCACCCCCTGCATTTGTCATCCCTTTCCTTCCCCTACATCTCCATTTCTGCCCACCCCAATAATTTCTTAATTGTCTCAGTTACCTCTATTTGAATTAGAACCTAAACATTCCACACATATGGAGCTGACATGTCTTTTTAGTTTCTTTTATTCTATTGTCTTTCCTCCTCACTTCCTTCTCCCCAGTTACACTTGCCTCCTTGCTGACTTTGAACATATTGAGCACACTCTTGCCCTAGGGTCTTTGTACTTCTCTCTTTGTGGAACAATTTTTCTCTCCTCCCATGGCTTGCTCCCTCACATCCTTCAGGTCTCTGTTCAAATGTTGCCTTATTGGAGAGACCTTTACCTATTTTAATATAAAGTAGAACCCCCAATCACTCTCCCTTTTCAATCCTGCCTTATTTTTTTTAATCATTGCACTAATGACATATTATCCATTTGCTTATTTATTGTCTGTCTTCATCATTAGGATGTAAAATCTATGACAGTAGAGATGCTATGTGTTTCGTTCATTGCTGTATCCCCAATGTCTAGAACAATACATAGGACATAGGCACTCAAATAAATATTTGTTGAATGAATTAATGGATTGACGGATTAGATGACTTAGTTTTCACTCTACTTAACTCTTTTAAAAAAGTTGTTCTGACTATGCTTGTGATTAGTGAATCCTTTTTGCTAACAGCAATTATATTAGGACACATAGTCTATATATATGAAATATAGTTGAGTGACATACAATTACTCATATATAGATCTTAATACATATTAGTTGACCAATTGGCTTACTTATTAACAGAGTATTTAATTCTGGCTTGAAAGGCCAGGGCATGATTATCTAGGCCAACTTTATCCAGACTGAGAGTTAGCATACAATATTTAAGTAAGCTCAGGTTTTAGTAAGCTCTACATTTTCAAATCTTATTTTTACCATTTCTTAGCATTTTGTGGCTGGGCAAGTGATCCAGCCTCTTTGAATGTGCTTATCTCTAATGTGGGAATAATTGTTCTTTTCTTGTAGAGTTAATACTAAGATTTAGTGAAATCACATAGCAAGTGCCTACTCAGTTTCTGGGGCTTTTCTCAATAAATGCTGCTTTCATTCCCTTTCCACTATCTTCTGAATCCTGTGGTTAAATTATTTTTTCTATTCTAGGGACAGTCATTTTCTACAAAAGAGCATCTTTTATCTGAAAGATGAGTGCAGACAATTCCATTTCATTAAAGAGCTGACGATTTAATAATTTACTTAGAAGCAAGCTATGGCTTCCATTATGAAACTCATCTGGCATATGTGCAAAGAACCACTATTATTTTTCTACTGACAAGAAAGCTGATGGAATATAAATACTTTACAAATGTGCACAGAACAGGTTACCCTTGTGCAATGTCTGTACCTGAAGAAATATCATATGATGCTTTGCAGTAGATGTGGCTCAACATAAAATTTGTCATTTC
This sequence comes from Homo sapiens, assembly GCF_000001405.40. NCBI lineage: Eukaryota > Metazoa > Chordata > Mammalia > Primates > Hominidae > Homo > Homo sapiens. Next base: position 39,555,435 of record NC_000007.14, on the reverse strand, counting down.
GTGAGTGCTTGAAATATTGCTCTGTTTCTTATACCCTGTACTGCACGTGCTTATTTGATAATGTTGGTCTGCCTCCTTATTTCAGTTGCTGAAGTGACATAGCCCTGTTTTATAATTTGCCAAATGATTGAAGGTGCCAGACAGCTTGCTATTACCCCAGTAACATCACTGATTCTTAGTTCTTAAAGAAGAAGGGAGGACAGTGAGCATTTAGCTTGAGGGTGATGTATTCTGTGGGAATGTATATTCTCAGCAAGTTGTTTGTGATTTTTTTTCCTTCTGTACAGCCAGAGGAGCAGAGGGACATATTTCAAATTCCCATTGGCAAGAAGGGCCCCTGGTTCTTTTATAAGGATTTGTAAAATTCCGTCCCTTTGAATCTTGTCAGCAATCTCTGGATATCCTCCAGCCTTTCTTTCATAAAGCTTTCAACATACAGAGCTGAGTGGGCCGGGCAGGGAAAGTGTATGTGAGTGTGTGATTGCCTGAGCCTGCGTCTGTGCTTTGTGCCTATCTGGAGCTGCCTTGATTGAAATGCCAATGTTCTGCCACTTTCTGGTCTGAATTTACTATGGCAATAAAATGGAAGCGTCCGCCTGCATAGCGAAGTGAAGTGTAACAGTGGAACCTCGCCATTTATTTAGTTGAGTCAGCTTAATGGAGATCAGTGCTCAATTCTTCCTTTTGGTTCCTTTCTTGTTTCTCATCTCTAGTTTCTCATCAGCTGTTGAGTTTGGGGGAAAGTATTTCCCTGGAGCTGTAACAGCTCTCCATGTGGGGAAAGGGAGTGGTTACCTTCAATCTCCAAGAATGATAGGTGTGAGCAGAACTTGTCAAGAGTTTTATTGTTTGAAAGCACCTACATTTTTCTATTTTCAACTTCTTTTGGAGAGAATAAATCACAAAATATTGGCAAGGCAAAGTTTTTATTTCTTACCAAATCATTAGATATCGGATAATGGAAGCTGTTAAATTGCACAAGTTGGTTTGTGGTTTGCAGGTACAAGAAAACACTTCATGATTACTCTCAGAATTCTGAATGGCCTGAAGCTGTTTGTTTATTTATTTATTTATTTATTTACATACTTATTTATTTGAGAAAGGGTCTGGCTCTGTCACCCAGGCTGGAGTGCAGTGGAACAAACACGTTTCACTGCAGCCTTGACCTCCCAGGCCCAAGTGATCTTCCCACCTCAGCCTCCTGTGTAGCTGGGACCACAGGCATGTGCCACCATGCCCGGCTAATTGTTTGATTTTTTTTTTTCTGTAGAGAATAGGGTCTCACTTTGTTGCCCAGGCTGGTCTTGAACTCCTGGGCTCAAGCAATCCTCCTACCTCTGAATCCCAAAGTACTGGGATTACAGGCATGAACCACTGCACCTGGCAGCCTGAGGCTTTTGAGGTTTGGGAGTAAATGGCAGGAAAGCAGTATTAAACAATATTCATCTTATTAGTAGGAAAGACCCCAGCTATTTATTTTATTCTTTGTAGGTTGATTCCAGTTCAAAAGTTGCTGTGGTCCTGGAAATGAGGATTCTGGGCAAAACAAGAAATTGGGTGGTAAGCACAGTCAAATACATTCGATTTCCCCCATGACCTCATGTGTAGAAAAGAACGGAGCTGCTCTACTTCACTGAGCAGATTCTGCACATGTTCACTTAAGGGATTAATTTTGCTCTTAAGGTTGGTAGGTTTCACATAGCACTGTAGCGGGACTGCTTGATTCATTCATGTATTCATTCTGTAAATACCATGCCAGGTTGTGAATACAAAGATAATTCAAACATGGATCACAACATATTTCTCTAATTTGACTGTGACCTCCTTGCCAGCAAAGAGTTTAGAGTCTAGTAGGGAAAATGCATTATGAACACGAGAGTAAAGTGTGGATAGAAACTGAAATGCCATAAAGCATACAGATAAAGAGAAGTAGAGATGAACTGTTCTAAACAGGGATAAATGAGGTTTGGTGGAGAGATTAGAGAAGACTTTGAGAAGGCATTTGAGCTTAACTTTAACTTTATAGGAACAGAAGGCAAACACTTTCCAGGTGGACAAAGACATAAACATGACAAAGCACTGGACAAAGAAGGTTTATATTTCTTGTGGTGGTGGGTGGAGGAGATGGGAGAACGAGCAAGGGACAATTCTGTAGTTTAAGGCCCATTTTGGAACCAGGACTTATGGGATTTATGAACTACTTTTGGGGCTCCAAGGAGCACAATAAGGATAGATGGCACTTTGGGGGCAGGGGGGAGGGGGTAGGGGGAGGAGGAGGGAGTCTGGGGCTGTGTAGTGTTTTCTGATACCACTTCTGACACCAAATGCGTGTCTATTATTGACACCGAATATTTTTCACACCAATTCTCTGACACCAACTGGGTGTCCAATAGTTCAGTTCAATTCTGACACTATCTACCTGGAGTTAGTGTCAGATCCCACAAGTTAAAGGGCTCAGTCCCAAAAGACTGCCCCTATTTCAGCTGCTAGCCACCAGTGTGGTCCCCAGTGAACCACACTTCTGTCTAACTGACAACAAAGTTGGGGATTCCTATGATCCTCACCCTTGCCTTAGTGTGGCCCAAGTTAACTAGATAATTTGTTAGAATGAACTCAAGAAAATACTCTACTTACTATTACAGTTTATTATAAAGGATACAACTAGGCCGGGCGCGGTGGCTCACGCCTGTAATCCCAGCACTTTGGGAGGCCGAGGCGGGCGGATCACAAGGTCAGGAGATCGAGACCATCCCGGCTAAAACGGTGAAACCCCGTCTCTACTAAAAATACAAAAAATTAGCCGGGCGTAGTGGTGGGCGCCTGTAGTCCCAGCTACTTGGGAGGCTGAGGCAGGAGAATGGCGTGAACCCGGGAGGCGGAGCTTGCAGTGAGCCGAGATCCCGCCACTGCACTCCAGCCTGGGCGACAGAGCGAGACTCCGTCTCAAAAAAAAAAAAAAAAAAAAAAGGATACAACTTAGGGCCAGGTGGAAGAGATCCCTAAGTCAAGGTTTGGGGCTGGAGGGTACAGAGCTTCCACATCCTTTCCAGGTACTACCCTCCCAGCACACCTGTGTGCTCACCAACCTGGAAGATCCTCAAATCTTGTCATTTAGTGGTTTTTGTGGAAGTTTCATTGCCAATGCATAGGCATGATTGATTAAATCATTTGCCATGGGTGATCGAACTCAATCTCCAGCCTTCCTCCACTCCCCAGAATGAGGTGGGGGAGGGAGACTGAAATTTCTAACCCTCCATTCATGTGGCTGGTTTTTCTGGTGACCAGCTTTCAGTGAGTCAGCTCATGAGTATATGAAAGACAATAAATTTCAGGGATTTTTGGAGTTCTATGCCAGGAACAGGGTATAAAGACCAAATACAGTTTACCCTTGAACAATGCAAGGGTTAGGAGCACTGACCCCTTGTGCAGTCAAAAATCTGAGTATAACATTTAACTCCCCCAAAACTTAACCACCAATAGGCGCCTATTGACCTGAAGCCTTACTGATAACATAATAGTTGATTAACATATGTTTTTTTGTGTGTTTTCTTTTCTTTTCTTTCTTTCTTTTCTTTTCTTCTCCTTTCTTTCTTTCTCTCTCTCTTTTTCTTTCTTTCCTTCCTTTCTCTTTCTTTCTTTCTTTCTTTCTTTCTTTCTTTCTTTCTTTCTTTCTTTCTTTCTTTCTTTCTTTCTTTCTTTCTTTCTTTCTCCTTCCTTCCTTCCTTCCTTCCTTCCTTCCTTCCTTCTTTCTTTCTTTCTGAGACAGAATGTCTCTCTGTCACTCAGGCTGGAGTACAGTGGTGTGATCTTGGCTTACTGCAACCTCGGCCTCCTGGGTTCAAACAATTCTCCTGCCTCAGCCTCCTGAGTAGCTGGAATTACAGGCACGCACCACCACGCCTGGATAATTTTCATGTTTTTAGTAGAGACAGGGTTTCACCGTGTTGGCCAGGCTGGTCTCGGACTCCTGACCTCAGGTGATCCACCCGCCTCAGCCTCCCAAAGTGCTGGGATTACAGGTGTGAGCCACCTCGCCCAGCCAATATTTTGTATGTTAAATACATTATGTGCTTCATTCTTACAATAAAGTCAGCTAGAGAAAGAAAATGTTACTAAGAAAATCATAAGGAAGAGGAAATGACTTTACTCTTCATTAAGTGGAAGTGGATCATCATAAAGGTTTTCATCCTCATCCCCTTCACATTGAGTAGGCTGAAGAGGAGGAAGCGGGGGTTGGGGGTTTATTGGTCTTGCATCTTAGGGTTGGCAGAGGTGGAAGAAAATCCGTGTATCAGTGGACCTGCACAGGTCAGACCCATGTAGTTCGAAGGTCAATTGTATTTATGTTTTACTATGCCACAGAGGCAGACACCATTTACTTCACAATTTTGCCAAGGAGGACAGCAGTGAGCACAGGCATGGGTGATGGTGGTGGGAGCGACATGGAGCAGTAAGGTAGCCATAGATAACACACTGGGTTAAGGTTGAATGGGTTGGTGGCTGTTTTGGAACAGGATGAGGACTTAGGCCAGGGATGGTGAGGTGGGGCAGGGTTGATGTGACTTTGTTGAAGACTGCTTCACAACGTTGGCCCCGCTTAGAGGCGTCTGGGCTTTAACTGAAGGCAAGTTAGGAGAGAAAACCACTTTACCATATATATCTATCTTGTTCTTTTTAACAGATAATTTCTATTGTTGGAGTGATGCTAAGTCCAAGCTAGTGTCAATTCTGGGATAATCATCTAGAGTAATTGCTTTCTCTGCCTGGCCAAGGATGATCCATCTTGTTAACAGTCAAAGTGTAAATATATGTGTAGGAAGATTTGAAGAATATGCTGACAAGCTGGCTTGAATCATTTAAAATGTTCACACTTTTCTCTTTGCTGCTGGCAGAGAAATCTTTGAAGGCAAAAACTTAGCTGAATGCTCCCGACAGTCAAATAAAGACGCCAACTCAGGACTCCACAAAACTAAAGGTTAACCTTTTCCTTTCCTCTTACAGAGGACTAAGAGGCCAGTCAGTGAGACATCCCTTGAAGCCCCAAGGAATTAACCTTAGAATCTATTTTGCAAAGATACCCTAATGCCTTCAAAGATGCAGTTCAGGACTGAAAGCTGCCTGAAAGGGAAAAGGCTTGGGTGATAACATTTAAAGAACACCAAGTCGGGTGCAGTGGCTCAAGCCTGTAATCCCAGCACTTTGGGAGGCCTAGGCAGGCAGATCACCTGAGGTCAGGAGTTTGAGACCAGCCTGGCAAACATGGCAAAACCCTGTCTCTACTGAATATACGAAAATTAGCTGGGTGTGGTGGTGGGCGCCTGTAATCCCAGCTACTTGGGAGGCTGAGGCAGGAGAATCACTTGAACCTGGGAAGTAGGTGATGCAGCGAGCGGAGATCGTGCAACTGCACTCCAGCCTGGGTGACAGAGCGAGATTCCGTCTCAGAAAAAAACAAACAACAAAACAAACAAAAAACAAGAACACTGTATGGGCCCCATCATGGGTGCTTTACCTCCATTATTTCTTTGAATTTTCCTGACAGCCCTGTGAGGTTGGATTTACCCTCTCCATTTTATAGATAAGGAAGGTACGGTTCATAAAAGTCAGACTACTTCCTTAAGGTCATTTGACTAATTGGTCAGTGTATTAGTCTATCTGACCACTAACCTCTGCTCTCTCTAGTACAGAACAAAATAGTTGTGGGTAATAATGTTTCAAGGAACTCTGCTTTTATTTATTTTATTTTGAGACAGAGTCTCACTCTGTTGCCCAGACTGGAATGCAATGGCATGATCATAGCCCACTGTAGCCTCAAACTCCTGGGTTCAAGTGATCGTCCTGTGCAGCCACTTTTTTTTTTTTTTGAGACAGAGTCTCACTTACTCTGTCGCCCAGGCTGGAGTGCAGCAGTGCGATCTTAGCTCATTGCAACCTCCGCCTCCTGAGTTCAAGCGATTCTCTGGGTGCCTCAGCCACCTGAGTATCTGGGATTGCAGGCATGAGCCACCATGCCCGGCTAATTTTTGTATTTATTTATTTATTTTTTGAGATGGAGTCTTACTCTGTTGCTCAGGCTGGAGTGCAGTGGCGTGATCTCGGTTCACTGCAATCTCCACCTCCCAGGTTCAAGTGATTCTCCTGCCTCAGCCGCCTGAGTAGCTGGGACTACAGGCTTGTGCCACCATGCGTGGCTAATTTTTGTATCTTTAGTAAAGACAGGGTTTCACTATGTTGGCCAGGCTGGTCTTGAACTCCTGACCTCAGATGATCTGGCACCTCGGCCTCCCAAAGTGCTGGGATTATAGGCATAAGCCACCATGCCCAGCTAATTTTTGTATTTTTAGTAGAGACAGAGTTTTGCCGTGTTGGCCAGGGTGGTCTTGAACTCCTGAGCTCAAGTGATCCTCCTGCCTTGGCCTCCCAAAGTGTAGTGATTACAGGGGTGAGCCATTTTGCCTGGCCAAGAATCTAATTGTAGAGTTAGAAGGAACCTTGGAGTCAATAGACAACTAGTATTCAAGGAAACTTTAGAATTATTTTTAGTGATTCTCCACTCCCATCTTCCTACCAAGTGGTTACCTGGTTTAGGCTTTATTTCCAGTCAAGGGGAAATAACTACTACTACTACTAAGGCAGAACCCAAAAGGGCAGCAAGTCGAGAACTGCTCCTTTGGTTCTAAAGCTTGCCTGCAAAAATAGAAAAATGGGAAAAAGAGTGGGCAGAGTATGAAGAGAAGATTAATGGAAGGAGAAGGGCCAATTCTATGGGATATTTAGAATACAATAATTAGTTAATGTGGCTTAAGAATAGATCCATAGATCAATGGAAAGGAATATATTTCCTAGAAGCAAACTTTAAAACTTAACATATGATAAAGGAAATATCACATATCATTAAGAAAGATTAATTAATGGTTTTGGGAAATTTATCTAGCTCTGTGGAAAAAAATCAATACAGATCATGAGTTCCTATTATATGCTAAAATAAATTCCAGGTACGTTAATGAGTTATGTTTAAAAAATGAAAATACTAGAAAAAAAGTGAAGTGCAAAAGCAGTATGGAAAGTCTTTAGGTTTCAGAGGTGGGTAAGGGGCCCACAGTAGTAAACGGCAGAAGAAACTGTGAGGTGCACAGGGACCTGGACTAAATGTAGGCCCCAGGGGTTGAAGTTTCAACACAAAGGCAAGGATCAAAAGAGAGGATATAGGGCCTGCACAGAATGAGCAGAAGTGGATTTCCCTAATGGAACCAGGGGGCAGAAATGTGTTATCTTTTGTGAAAAGGCATCTGAATATCCTGCCCACCGGCACTGAGTTATGACCAGAAGATTGCTGTCTGTCTTGAGACATGGATGGAAAAAGTCATTTGAAAGATTGGAACCCTGAGTCCTCACTGGTGCAATGTGGAAATCCCAAGCTGAAGGATAGATTAAAAACCAAATCTGGCCAGGCCCAGTGGTTCATGCCTGTAATCCCAGCACACTGGGAGGCTGAGGCAGGTAGGTTGCTTGAGCCCAGGAGTTTGAGACCAGCCTGAGCAACATGGTGAAACCCTGTCTCTACTAAAAATACAAAAATTAGCCAGGCATGGTGGTGTGTGCTTGTAGTCCCAGCTACATGGGTGGCTGAGATGGGAGGACTGACTGAGTCTAGGAGGTCAAGGCTGAAGTGAGCCATGGTCATGCCAGTGCACTCTAGCCTGGGTAACAGAGCAAGACCTTGTCTCAAAAATCCTCTAGGGCCCAGACAGAGGAAACTCAGAATCCTTCTGCCTCTCTCATGGCTTCTACAGTCTAAGGCACTCAAGAAGAAAGCTTCTGCAGATCAACATTTTCATGGAAGACAAATTCACAGACAAAACATACAGGATAAGAAGCTCCAACATACGTCTAATAGGAGTTTCAGAGTGAGATTGTCAAGAGAATGGCAGAAGAACTGTTCAAAGATATAATAGCTGAGCGTTTTCAAGAAAGGAAAAAAAAAGGTATTTAAAAGGCCTGTGGGTGCTGAGTAGGATTTGAAAATCCACAGGGCATATCACAATGAAACTGCAGGGTGAGATGGCAGGGAATTAAGGATGAAGAGAAACTCCTGAAAGTCACCAGAGAGAAAAATCAAATTACCTACAAAGAACAACAGAGACTTAGGGGGATTTTTATTGGCAATTATACATTATTGAGACATTGGAAATATTTTTAAAGTTAGGGAAAATAATGCTGAAACCAGCTTTTATACCCAAGGAGATTTAAAACACACACACACATAAGTTGGAGTCAGAGAGACGTGGCTCAAATTCTGATTTTGTCATTCAGTAGTTATTTAATCTCTTCCTGCCTTAGTTTGCTGATTTATGGAGTGTGGTAAGAACACCATCTCAACTGTTGTATATGGATGCCAAATGTTAGGTAACTGGACTGGGAACTCTTTCAATGTAATTTTTTTTTTTTTTTTTTTTGAGACAGAGTCTCATTCTGTCGCCCAGGCTGGAGTATAGTGGCATGATCTCGGCTCACTGCAACCTCTGTCCCCCAGGTTCAAGTGATTCTCCTGCCTCAGCCTCCCAAGTAGCTGGGACTACAGTGATGCACCACCATGCCCAGCTAATTTTTTTGTATTTTTAGTAGAGATGGGGTTTCACTGTGTTGGCCAGTCTGGTCTCAAACTCCTGACCTCAAATATCTACCTGCCGCAGTCTCCCAAAGTGCTGGGATTACCGGCATGAGCCACAGTGCCTGGCCTCAGTGTACTTTTAAAAAGCCTATCTGTGGCCGGGCACTGTGGCTCATGCCTGTAATCCCAGCACTTTGGGAGGCCGAGGCGGGCAGATCACGAGGTCAGGAGTTTGAGACCAGTCTGGCCAACATAGTGAAACCCCGTCTCTACTAAAAATACAAAAAATTAGTCAGGTGTGGTGGTGTGCACCTGTAATTCCAGCTACTCAGGAGGCTGAGGCAGGAGAATAGTGTGAACCCGGGAGGTGGAGGTTGCAGTGAGCCAAGATTGCGCCATTGCACTCCAGTCCAGGTGACAGTGCAAGACTTTGTCTCAAAAAAAAAAAAAAAGGCCTATTTATATATGACTTTGGTGAAGAATCCTTTCAAACAGAGACAACGTCAGGCTCAGAGTCAAAGCAAAAAGAAAGGAGGCTGATGGCACAGAATTATTGATGTCTGCCAAAGGAGGAAATGTGATAGACAAGCTTACTTTTACTTTAGAAGTAACAAAAGTAGGTCTTATTTTAAATTATTTAGAATGTTCTGGCAAGTAATTTCAAAATTAAATAGCTATATTTTGCTTTCAAAAGGAATTTGAGAATTATGCCTCACTATTTTGATGAATAATTAAATGTCCCTTCTGGTTTTGCATTCGCTTCCTCGCCTTTACATTTCAATATTGAAGACCTGTGGGCCAATATTGGCGACAGGTGGGCCATGTCTCTACCTGCTGTAATCAGTTTGAACTGGAAGGGGACCCACTTCACTAGATGTTGAGCTTGTGTAGGTATGGATCTCTAACCTTAACCCCCAATCCTTTCTTCCAGATTATGCATTCAAGATCTAAAGATGCTTTCCTTTCATCATCTAGAATGAATTTGTTCATTTATCCTGATGAAAGGTTAAAGAAGATATTGCCAAGTGTGAACAATAACCTTCGATGGAAATGATATCATCAATTCCTGAAAGTGCAGAACAATCTATTTTTAGGAAGGGATGTGCTCCATTGAGCTCCTGATTTTGAGACCACTTTTATTTATTTATTTTTAAACTTAATTTAGTTTGATATTTAAAATTATTCAGCTCATGTTTCAATTCTTTGCTTCCTATGGAATAATGTTTAATTTTCCCTCTTTTGTTAGTTAAGGCACACTGAAGCTAGGCATAGAACCCCATAAAATCCAATTGACAGCTTCCCAAATGTAAGTTTCATCAAAAATAACCTTTCGATAAATTAAACAAATAAAAAGGCTGAGGAAAGTGTAGTTTTCAAACTGAACCAGTAAGTTGGTTTGAAAGAACACAGGAACTCATTTGGAAAGGTCTTAGCACAAGCTAAGAGAAGTGAGGGCCAGCACGTGTCATCGGGGAGGGAGGGTGAGGCCTGGAGGCAGAAGGCAGCAGCTGAGGTCTTGGTGCTCATCTGATCATCATTTGCTTTGGGCACCCCACTCACCTTAGTTCTGCCCCAGTTTTCTCTACTCTGAAGTATCTGCTCCGAAGTACCTGCTCCCCTCGTAGGGTTGTTGGGAAGATCTTTCAAGATAGCAAGGGTAAAAATGCTCTGTGAACCTGAAAAAAAGATTATAATTTAGGTATGATGGTTAATATTGAGTGTTAACTCGATTGGATTAAAGGATGCAAAGTATTGTTCCTGGGTGTATCTGTGAGAGTGTTGCCAAGGAGATTAACATTTGAGTCAGTGGACTGGGAGAGACAGACCCACCCTTAATTGGGTGGGCACCGCCTAATCAGCTGCCAGCACAGCTAGGATAAAAGCAGGCAGGGGAACATGGAAGGACTACACTGGCTGAGTCTTCTGGCCTCCATTTTTCTCCCATGCTGGATGCTTCCTGCCCTTGAACATCAGACTCCATGTTCTTTAGCTTTTGGACTTTTGGACCTACACCAGTGGTTTGCCAGGGGCTCTTGGGCCTTAGGCCACAGACTAAAGGTTGCACTGTTGGCTTCCTTACTTTTGAGATTTTGGGACTGGGACTGGCTTCCTTGCTCCTCAGCTCATAGACAGTCTATTGTGGGACTTCACCTTGTGATCTTGTGAATCAATAGTCCTTATAAACTCCCCTTCATATATTCATCTATCCTATTAGTCCTGTCCCTCTAGAGAGCCCTGACTGATACATTAGGTCATGGCATAACTTTTGCGTTATTATTCTGTTGAAAGTTTTTTCTTCTCCCTTTTGAATCAGGTAGGTATTTATCTCAGTTCTTTAGTTCGGTTGGTGTCATAGCATAAGTATGGAAGAGATCTCAGCAGGAACAGTCTCCCAGAGAAATCCTATCTGAGCACCCAGATCATTTGGGAAAGCAAAAAGAAATATATTTTTTAAGGTTTTATGTAAGAACAAAAAAGACCTTCAAAACATTAATTCAATTATTGAACAATTTGATATTTGATATTATTTATATTTACACTGTCCAAAATGGTACCCACTAGTCACATTTGGACATTTAACTTTAACTTAATTAAAATTAAATGACATTAGAAGTTTAATTCTTCATTTGCACTGGCCATGTTGCAAATGCTTGATAGCCACACGTGGTGAGTGGCTATCACAATGAATGGCACAGATGTGAACTTTTCCACCACGGCAGAAAGTTCTGCTGGAGAGCACTGGTGCAGAACAGAACACCTGGATACATGAATACTTCTGGAGGCAGGTGATGGGAAAATACACAGAATAGATGGTCACTTCCTGAGATCAACAGTCCACACACCTCTCCCCTGTTGCTTAGTGATTTACGTAAACCTGAGATGTCTTTACATCCAATCTTAGGAAATGTCAATGCTACCTTCAAAACATCTCCGACCTCTTGTCACACCCCTTGTGCGAGCTCTCACCATGTGCGCTCTGATTCTGGCAAATGCTTTTTACTTAACTGGGTTCCCTGATGTAAAATTGTCCTATGCGCACAACCTTTCCAGGAGTTCTCATCATTCTGAGTAAAAGCCAACATCTTTCAATGCCTGGCCAGATCTACCCCAGCCTCCACCTACCCAGCTTCTATGAGTCTTCCCCTTACTCGCTCAGCACCACCCATGCTGACCTCCTTGCTTTTTAGAACATACGATACCTACTCCCACCCCAGGGCCTTTGCTTGTGCTGTTCCCCAAGCTCAGAGCACCCTTCCCTCTCATCTCATTCAGGTTTCTGCTCAAGATCGCTTCAACTGAGAAGGCTTCATTTACATTCTCTACCAAATAACTGTGCCCCTCCCCATCATCGTCTAGCCTCATCTCCCGCTCTCTTCATAGCACTTACTGCTACTTGATATTCTATCATAAATTGACATGTGTGTTATGTTTTGTGTGTCTCTCCATGAGTGCGGGAGCTGTGTAATACACTCTTGTGGTGGTTAAGAACACGACTCTGGAGTCAGATTGCCTGGGATCAAATTCTAGCTTTGTCACTTATTGGCTGTGTGACCTTTGCCAAGTTTGTTAGCTTCCCTTGGGCCAATAATAGTATGCACCTCATAAAGCAGATGCTAGAATTAAATGAGTTTCATCTATATAAAGTGCTTAGAATAGTGTGTGGCACATGGTAAGTGCCATTTAAATACTTGACATGTTGTTGGTAGTTTTGTATTGTGTCAACTTAGCTAGGCTGAAGGTGGGTCCCTTCCCTATGTAATTCTAGGTCTGTATTGGCCACAAGGGACATATTACCCAGCATTTGGATGGTAGAATTGGGGTAGCAGCTGTGCTTTTCTTTTCTCTCTGAAGATGGGTGCAAGGGACCAGGGCTGTGACGGCTTGTACAAGTTGTCTCTGTCCTGTGAGCTCACTTTATTTGTGCTAGGCGTACCTGCAGCTCCTGAAGCTCCTGCTGGATCTCTAGGTGTGTGGCCAGCTCTGTGTTGACCTCCTGCAACTCACCCATGACATCAGGATGGGCTGAGAGGCAGATGTGGGTTCCACCAAATACTGTCTTCTCAGAAAGGCTTTTATTTTTGGCATATGTAATATAGGATTCTCACCACTTTCTATTATTTTACCCTGCTTTATTTTTCTCCATAGTACTCATTATGTCCAGATACTGGATTTATTACTTTTTTTTGGATTGAGAGTAGGAGCTTTATATTTTTTGTCCAAGGATATCTGTCTCTGGCCATTAGGTTGTTTGATACATGGTAGATGCCCAATATGTATTCTTTAAATGAATGGGCAAAATGAAATTACAGGTCATAGTGTTGTTCCACGGGTGCAGAGGCAGAGTAAAGGCATTGGAGGGCTCACATGACATTTCCATGTGAACATGGAAGCCTGGCGGATTACCCAGCTCTCCTGCTGGTCTTTGAACTATATTGGAGAACCAAGAACTTTGCCAACCTAGTGCTAACCTAGTTAATGGAAACTCAAGGGAGGTAGATAGAGACTCATGAGGCTATACACAGCAAATATGGACTGTTTTTTTGGTCTCTGGCTTGTATTATAATTTGACTTTTGAAAAAATATTCCTTGCATCAGGTTAATATATAATCTACTTCATAGTTACTTCTGAGGTGGGCATAATGAAACTGTTCATTAAACAAATCTTTAATAGCATCCTACTGTGTGTGGAGCATTGTACTAGGTGCTGGGATATATAGCAGTGTACAGATCAAACTCCTCAATTTCATGGAACTTACACTCTAGAGGGGAATACAGACAGTAAGGTAAATATGTAAAATTCATAATATGTCAGTGATAACTGCTTAGGAGACAAAGGAGGGGAGAGAGGAGAAGTGTTGTTTCATTTTGCTTTTTAACAATTTTTAAATAAGGTCAGGCCAAGGTGATATTTTATTAAATAATGAAGGAGGTGAAGGAGTAAGCCATAGAGATATTTGGAGAAAGAACAGTTCAAGCAGAGAAAACAGCACATACACTGACCATGAGGCAGGAATGGGCTGGGTGTGTTGGAGACCCGATGTAGTTGTTAGCAACTCCCTGCCAGCTCTAGCCCTGTGGGACTTCACTGTCCTTGTCAAGTTCCCTGAACTCTGTGCACGCCTTTGTAAATAGTCCCCCCAAAAAACTCTTCTCAACCCTTTTGAGAGTGCCATCTGTTTCCTGCAGGGACCTGATGGATGTGAGTGAGCTCCGTCCTGTCTGGGAGTGTTTTGTAGTTTGTATAAAGAAATGCTGAAGGAGTTCAGAGCAGGAGAAAATCATTGTAAGAGGAAACATGTGAATCTTTGTTTTGACCTTGAAGAAAATAGAACAGAACCAAGTTATTTCTTTGATTGGGCCTCTGATTAATGGTAACATGGTAACTCTTCCACCTATGGCTTCAACCAGAAATCTTTTTTTTTTTTTAGACAGGCCTTTTTTGTCACCCAGGCTGGAGTAGAGTGGAGTGATCTCACTGCGAACTTCACCTCCGAGGTTGAAGCGATTCTCCTGCCTCAGCCTCCCGAATACCTGGGATTACAGGCGCATGCCACCATTCCTGGCTAGTTTTTGCATATATATACACACATATACGTATGTGTGTATATATACATATACATATATGTATGTGTGTATATATACATATATGTATATGTGTATATATACACGTATATGTGTATATATACACGTATATGTGTATATACATATATGTATGTGTATATACATATATGTGTGTGTATATACATATATGTATATGTGTATATATACATATATGTATATATACACATATATATGTATATACACACGTGTGTGTGTGTGTGTATATATATGTATATATATATATATATATATTTTTTTTTTTTAAGCGAAGACAGGGTTTTACCATGTTGGCCAGGCTGGTTTTGAACTCCTGACCTAAGGTGATCTGCCCGCCTCGACCTCCCAGAGTGCTGGGATTATAGGCATAAGCTACCATGCCTGGCCAAGTCAGAAATTTCTCTAGGTGTTATCATGGATTCTTCCTTCTTTCTCCACCACTCCCCACAACATCTAATTGATCACTAAATCAAATTGGAGTATACAAATTGGACTATACAAATTGGACTATATTGCTGCTTCCCTTAAAACCATTCCTCTACAGGAGAGTGTCCACACTCTTTGACAGGCATTTCCGGCCTCATCACCCACCATCCGTCCTTTTGTGTGTTACGTCCAAGCGATATGGAAGAACTCAGGGCTCCCGTATGGTCATGCTTCCAGGTGTTTGCATAAGCTTCACCAGATGGCATCATGGCCACTCCTCTGCTTTTGTTAGTTAACTCCTGCCTATCCCTTGGGACTTAGCTCAAGGGTCACCTCCTCAGGAAGCCCGGCTTTCCACAAATATTTGCTGAGCTAGACTTTGCAGGCCGTGAGCTAGGTGTTTTGTGTATAAAATGTACAAAATCCTTGTCCTTGTGGAGCCTATGTCTAGTAGTAAGTGCTAATGTTTGGAAGGGCAGACACTAGATATGAAAATACCCAAACAAATATATAGCAAAAATCGTGGGAAGTGCCTTGAAGGAAAAAACCAGAGAACAACAAAAACGGCTGAAGGGTAGTGATGGGGGATGGGGTGGGAAACGGGTCTACTGTAAGGAGGAGGCTGAGGAGGTGACAATTAAACAGATACCTGAAGAATGACAATAGCTAGTCAGGTAAACTAGGTGATGCGGTGGGAAGTCGCAGAGAGGATGGTGCTGGGGAGAGCATTTCGGACAGAGGGAACCAAGGGACTGAGCACACAGAAAGGGCCTGAGCAGGGAAGAATCACTGGTGCATTGTAGGACCGGAATGCAGGTTAGTGGAGCTGGAATTGATGGGCTATGGAGAGAGTGACAGGAGGTGGAGCTGCAGAGGACAGAAGGCTAGCTCCTGTGTGACTGTGTATGCCCCAATACAAAGTTTGGATTTTATTTGAATGCATAGGAAGTCCCTGAAGCTTTCTGAGGAGAGGAATGACTTGATTTCCTTCACATTTTAAAAAGACCATTCTGGCTACAACTTGGAGAATGTCTTGCAGGGAAGCCAACAGTGAAAAGAAATGATGGTGCCTCATTCTGTCTTAGGAGTCTCCCTGACACATTCCTGAAGCACCTGGTGCTTATTTAAGCATAGCGCTTTTAATCATGGTCGCAATTTTCTGTTTACTTGTCTGTTGCTTCCACCAGTCTGAGAGCTCCTTGAGGGTGGGGATTGTGCCTCTTTTTTTCTTTTCTTTTTTTTTTTGAGACAGAGCCTCGCTTTGTCACCCAGGCTGGAGTGCAGTGGTATGGTCTTGGCTCACTGAAACCTCTGCCTCCCGGGTTCAAGCGATTCTCCTGCTTTAGCCTCCCCTGTAGGTGGGATTACAGGCATCTGCCACCACGCCCGGCTAATTTTCGTATTTTTAGTAGAGTTGGGGTTTCATCATGTTGGCCAGGCTGGTCTTGAACTCCTGACCTCAAGTGATCCACCCATCTTGGCCTCCCACAGTGGAGACTGTATCTTTTATCTCCATTTCATATAATAGGTGTTCAATAAATGTACTTTTTAAAGAATGAAAAAACATGCCTTGAAGTAAATATCGGATCCAACTTTTTTCTCTAGGTCTCTAGTTATCTCATCTGGCAAATAAAAAGTCCCCATTAAGTAGACTATAAAATTCTTTTTTTTTTTTTTTTTTTTTTTTTTTTTTTTTTGAGACAGAATCTTGCTTTGTCGCCCAAGCTGGAGTACAGTGGGGTGATCTTGGCTCACCACAACCTCTGCCTCTCAGGTTCAAGTGGTTCTCCTGCCTCAGCCTCCCGAGTAGCTGGGATTACAGGCGCCCGTCACAATGCCCTGCTAATTTATTTGTATTTTTAGTAGAGATGGGGTTTCACAATGTTGGTCAGGCAGGTCTTGAACTCCTGACCTCAGGTGATCCTCCTGCCTTGGCCTCCCAAAGTGCTGGGATTACAGGTGTGAGCCACTGTGCCCGGCCTAGACTATAAAATTCTGTAAGCCATGTTTGTTGGAGTAGAAAGAGCATTTTAGAGGTCTAAGTAGGAGGTCTGAAGGAGAGTGGGGTGAGCAGACTGTGTTGTTGCTGGAGCCATGTGGACAGTAGACAAAGGGAGAATTGCTTGACTGGAGCTAGTTGGTTCAATAGCAATTTTTATTTATTTATTATTATTATTTTTTTTTGAGACAGGGTCTCATTTTTTCACCCAGGCTTGAGTGTGGAGGTGTGATTATGGCACCCTGGAGCCTCGACTTTCCTGGCTCAAGCGATCCTCCCACTTCAGCCTCCCAAGTAGCTGGGACTACAGGTGTGCACCACCATGCATGGTTGATTTTTTAATTTTAATTTTGTAAAGATGGGGTTTTTCCATGTTGCCCAGGCTGGTCTTAAGCTATGGGGACCAAGTGATCCTCCCATCTTGGACTCTTGAAGTGTTGAGATTACAGGCGTGAGCCACCATGCCTGGCCCACAATTTTTCATTAGTGGAGTTTTTTTTTTTTTTCTGGGCCATGAAAGAAGGTTCTACGTGTAGGGAGAAAATAGCTGAATCTGCCACATTCATCAGTATAAAAACAAAGCAAATGCCTTTTGGGCAGCACCACTCTCAGAGCCCCATTTGAATCCTCCCCCTAAAGTTAGGAGCTGGCAAGCTCTCAGCTCTTTTTTTTTTTTTTTTTTTTTTTGAGACAGAGTCTCGCTGTCACCCAGTCTGGAGTGCAGTGGCGCGATCTTGGCTCACTGCAGTCTCTGCCCCCCAGGGTTCACGCCATTCTCCTACCTCAGCCTCCCGCGTAGCTGGGACTACTGGCGCCCGCCACCTCGCCCGGCTAATTTTTTGTATTTTTAGTACAGACGGGGTTTCACCGTGTTAGCCAGGATGGTCTCGATCTCCTGACCTCGTGATCCGCCTGCCTCGGCCTTCCAAAGTGCTGGGATTACAGGCGTGAGCCACCGCGCCCGGCCAAGCTCTCAACTCTTAAAAGGTTGTACAATGAGAATTTAGACACCAGGCACCCGTTTCTGCACAGTACCGCAATAAGATACAAAATACAACAAGTTGGGTAAATGAAATTAAAGATACATATGATAAAATAAATTTGGCGTTTCAGAAAATCATTTTGGGGGCAGGAAAACTCATTAGGTTGTGAAGATGAATCAACGTGAGAACAGTGTCCCATTGGCAGAGCATCACTCACGGCCCAGTAATTCCGCCGTTGTTGTAGGGCTCTGTGGGGAGGGTGGATTGATGATGATCCCTTCTTTATTGAGATTTTGGGCTCACATCTCATTTATGTTTATGCCTGCCAGATGGCAGAGCCTTTATTTGTCATTGTATTTCTCAGATATTTCTTGATCTCTGCAGCTCCAGTGCATGGATGCTGAAGTGGTACCGTAAGTGTGCATAGGAAACCCATCAGTAAACACTGAGAAAAAAAGACAATGCTGAGGGCAGGAGTTTATTCTGCAGGATAACAGAGATGAAGCTAAGAAAAAGCAAGATGAATGTTCAATATCAGGAAAAGTATGCTGGCCATTCAGCTTTAAGAATAACTTCCCAAGGGAAGCTGTGAAAATCCCACTACTTGAGGCATTTGAGAACAGATTGGATGATGTACTGGAGATTATCCTGCAGGGAGTCAAATGTACTCTGGTCCAGGGAGTGAACTAAAATAGCCACAAAAACCACAAAACGGTCTTTTGTGGTTATGATTCTGGGAGTCCAGTCAGGTATTGCTTTATTGAATCCTTTGCTACAACCAGTATGAATTTCCCTAAGCTGAACTGAAGAATTGTACTTTAGAGTATGAGCCTTGGTGGGACTGCATCCCTGTGGCCTGGCCAGCTAAGAGGCTAATCAGATGTAGCATCTGTCTTACAGAATTCTACAGGTTTATGGTGCAATCTCCCCCCTCCTCTCCCCTCCCCCTCCTCTCCCCTCCCCCTCCTCTCCCATCCTCAGGAAGAGAAGGAGTCACCTTGGTCTTCCTGTTGCAGTGCCTACTCTCTGCTGCTCACTGCACCGTGGTTTGGCATTTGAAGGAGAATATGGCTTTAAGACCACCAGGCAACATGAGACACGGAATTGCTGAGGGCTGCCAACCATTGCACAAGTGGACAGGCCCTGCAAAGCCTGCTGAGTTGCTATGGAAAACCCCTCCCTGTTCCTGCTCTGGGATGCCCAGAGATGTGCTGGGGGTTCTGGGTCTTCTCTGTTTTACAGCTATTGTTAAGGATTTGATGGTGGTAGAGGGAAGGGAGGTTTTAATTCCCTAAGGACAGACCAAATCTGTCATTCAAGTTCAGCTCTGAGACTCCAGAGTGAACTGTTGAAGACCTGCTGCTGCTCATTCTTCTTTCTTCTCCTAATTAATGGCAATTGATCTAAAAATATATTCGGGGACAGTCTCTGAAGCTGTAGCTGGGACAAGTTGTTGATATAGTTACAGAACTGGGTCTGAGACAAGCACAGAGGCCTGGGCAAGTTGAGAGGCTGAGGGGATCTCGTAAGTGAGTTCCTGGGGAGTTTTCTCATCATTACTTGAGTGTATGTCACACTTTCTCAGTTGATTGGGATGTGCTGTAATTTTCCCACATAGTAGACTCTGGCCATTTATGACTGTAACATTTAAAGTTTCAGCCACTTGAACATGAACTAGAAGTCCATTCTATAAGGTAAGATGCATAACTTTGCCAAGGCATGAATTTGAATCACAACATTGCTGAGTAGTTGTGCGTGAGAGTCCATTACGTAGTGACCAAACCAGACCAGCTGGTGCTTAGCCTCAATGTCTTACAGAAGCCCTTTTTGTTCTTTCTTCCTTGTTCTGTGTGAGAAGTTTGGGAGACATATCCTTGGTGAATGCCATGATTCTTAATTGCCTCATGACTACGAGCTGAGCCCAGCCCAGCCCAGCCTTCCTAAACATGCACCATCATAAAGAAGACCCAAGGAGGAGTCAAAACAGGACACAAACTTGTTCAGCCACATTTACTACTCATTTATTATAAGCCAGGCCCTGTGCTGGGTGCCATAAGAATCACAAAGATTAGTACAACCTGGTTCTTGCCCTCAAAGAAAATACAACCAATAGGAGGGTGGGAGGGGAAAAACAAGGATAAAAAAGAACGTACTATAGGCCAACGCCAGGTAACCACTCTGGGGTGTTTTTCAACACCAATAACCAATTCTCTGGATACCAGCTAGGAGTTCAATAACTCAATTCTGTCCCATGGAGTTAGAGTGCATCACCCTCCTGGCACATGGATGCATTTGTCAATCCAGAAGTTCTCTGAACCCTGGAGGTTCTACTATCTAGGCATGACTGATGAAATCACTGGCCCTTGGTGATTAACTCAATCTCCAGCCCTCTCCCTTTTCTTGAGGTTGGGGAGTAGGACTGAAAGCTTTAAGCTTCTAATCAAGACTTGATCTTTCTGGCAACCAATCCACATCCCAAAGCTATCTGGGGTGCCCAGCTACCAGTCATCTCATTAGCACACACAAGACACTCATCACTCTGGAGGCTCCAAAGGTTGTAGGAGCTGTGTACCAAGAACCAGGAGTAAAGATCAAATACTTATTTCTTTATTACACCCCAACCACCATAAGGAAGTTACAATGAAAGTGTTATGTGGCTTCAAAGAGAAGAAAGATCACATCCATTTGTTAAGTCCTCATATTGCAATATCTTGTGATGGTAAAGAACTTTGACTCTGCCAACACTGGGTTTGACTCATGGGGCAAATCTCATAGTTACCCTTCTGCTTCTTTATCAGTATCCTCAGTCCATGAAATGGAGCAAAATCAATTCCCCTGGAAAGAGTGTAAAGTACCTCAGAACTCTTACAGGACTGAGGCTTCTTGCCATAGAGTGTTATTTTATTTGCCTGTCTGTTCTGTCCACTACAGAGCTTAGCTACAATGCCATTTTTTTGTTATTGTTGTTTCCAGGAACCACAATAGATGAGGAGATTATGGCTTAAAACCCGCAGTCCCATTATCTGTCAGCCTGTGAAAGATAAAAAGTGCTACCAGTGTATCCAGAAAGTCATTTTTCAGTAGCCATAGGTGACAAGAATTACATTTCTTTACCAGGACATCTTGATGTGTCACATCATAAATATTCAGGTTCTGTAGACTTTTAAAAAAGATATGTTATCTCCTTTCTTGTATAACACTAGCTTCAAGGTCAGATTCAGGATGGCTCAAAACCAGGAAGTAGGAATTCTTACACTTGAGAGAAAAGGGGCAGCTGGGGAGTGGGCTGAGGAAGCAGAAACTGAAAAGCAGGACTTGGTTTTGGAAATCATCGGGTGAGGTGTGGCATCCTTAAACCCAGGCTGGCAGGGCCTCTGCTCTGGGCCCGTGCTTTCCAGAGCCCGGCTCTGGCTCTCCTCTGGCTGTGCCTTCCCCATGGGATGAGAAGTTCAGGAGACCAGGATTATGCCCACCTGGAGCCCATGCCCCCACTACTTCTAGACAAAGCTTGACCAACCCGCGGGCCGCAGGCGGCCCAGAATGGCTTTTAATGTGGTCCAATACAAATTTGTAAACTTTCTAAAAATATTATGAGATTTTTTTGATTTTTTTTTTTTTTTTAGCTCATCAGCTATTTTTAGTGTTAGTGTATTTTATGTGTGGCTCAAGACAATTCTTTTTCTTCCAGTGTGGCCCAGGGAAGACAAAAGATTGGACACTGCTGTTCTAGACCATCCTTCAGTGTCAGGGACACTGGGATTCCCTGCCCAAACACTAAGGTTTGCCCTTTTGAGGGCTAATAGTGCCATCTGTGTGCCTAGAGGGTGGCCGACAAGTGGTTGTTTGGCAGGGACCGTGGTTGCAGGGAGACAGAGATGTACACATGTATATGGAAGAGGTCTTTATGATCTGGGCAGAACTAGAAGAGGCATGAGAGAAAGGCATGAGAGGTGGGTTGTGGGCCAGGGGCCTCCATTTGTATTACTGCCCCAGGGCTGTAAATGTTAGGGGTAGGCCCGAATGGGAGTCCAAGCTTAGAAATTTTCAAGCAAAAACACTGGATTTGCAAATAGTTCCTAATAAGATTGAGCTGGCTTGCCCTTTTGCTAGATTCAGCCCCAATTGCTTTTACTTCTATCTGCCAGGTCACTAATAGTTCACAGCAAATAGTTCACAGTGATAGCACTTGTCCTCTTAGTCCATAGCTATAGTCCTTGAGATGCTGGGGTAACAAAAGAAGAGAAAGACTGTCTGGCATAGAATTTAGAATTTTAGCCTGACTCTGAGAGGCACACTTTCATGGAGGCTTTGGAATCAGAGTTCTGTCCTGAGACCTGGATAAATTGGGCTCCTGGCATGGGCTTGCACTTCAGGGGGCTCTACTTTTTGGAGTGACTCCCTTGAACTTTTCTATTAAATAACTTCCCTTTAATGCCTGGGACAGGCAGGAGTTAGCAGAACCAACCAGGTGGGATTCCTTGGCTCTGTCTCAGGGCCCATGTTATTCCTGGTGCCCATTTCTCCCTTTTTGGGCATTCTCCCATTCTCTACCATTGGATCTGGGGTTAACCAGATGGCCCAGGACCACTGAGGCTTGTGTCAATCACGTTGTCTTGACATGGACATGGACTAGGACTAGGAATCCAGTTCCAGGGGGGCAGCCTGGAGAGCAGATAGTTCCTGCTGGCCAGCTAGTATTTCTTTTGTAGGATCACATAGAATTGGGCTGCCAGGTGGTGTGGATATGCTGATTTGGTGACTCAAATAGTTTATGTAGATAAGGGCTTTGCAAAAAAAAATATTTGCCTGGGCCCCACACACCCTAGGAGCAGCCCTGGTCAAGCGCTTGTGCAAACGGCAGTTGCTTCCCCCACAATTCCTTCTAAATCTGCGGTCTCCCAAACCCCATAACAAGGACTCACATTCTATAAAGAGCAGGAACCAAGAGGCAGAGGGGGAAGTCCTGGGTATTTAATTCCTCTGCCTTTGATGTAGATGGTCCAGTCCTGACTTTCCAGCTGAGTGGAGACTTGCTCTTGGTTTCCACATGCAACAGTGACCTGCTTGAACCCCACAGGGAGGAAGATGGAGGATGCCTCACGAGTATTGAGGGTAATTGGTAGTGGCTTTGAGGAAGATAATGTCCAATCTCTGGCAGAGGCTAGGGAAAGGGGTAACTTGAAAAGGTGAAAAGGTGTGACTTTCATTATTCTGTCAGTAAAACTGAGTTTCCAGCACAGTCTGTAGGTCCAAAATAAACCCCCTCTTCATCCAATCTTCTGTTGTGTCTGCCCTAAGAAGGGTCTTGTGGAAGAGAGAAGATGAGCACACGACCGAAGGGCAGCACACAGCTGCTGCTCATAATGTGGAGAGTTGCAGTGCACGTTTGCTGGGCACATTACATCCATTATCTGGTTTAATACAATGATGAAATTTGGGGTGAGTACTGTTATTGTCTCCATTTCACAGACAAGGGAATAGAGATTAGAGTGGTGAAATAATTTGCTCAAGATCACGTAGCTAGTAAGTGGTGAAGTCAGGATTTGAACACAGGTTTCAAAACAGGCTGGAGGCCTGTTTGTGACCTGAGGGCCAAACTTCTATTGTGGGGTGAGGATAATCTATCCTGCAAAGGAAAATTTGGGGCCTTGAGGGCCTCACTGGGACTCAGGAGAGAGCTCTTAGATGGGCTCTGTTAGCTGATTTTAAAGAGCCTAAAGTACTTGCTGTGACCGATTTCTCTTTCTGCGATCAGCAGCTTCAGAGCATAGCACGCTTCAGCTGCTCTTAAAAGGTTACTGAAAAGTGGGTGTGAGGTATTGACATTAAAAAAAAAAGATCGTATTGTGGTTCTCTTCACCCAAGCACTTCAAAAACCTTTCTAAAACACCTCATGGAAAATCCCATTGTCACACTTTACAGAGTAACAACTGACCACACTCATTCAGAAAATCAATGGCAGAGTAAGTTTGATTTGAAGAAATGGAGCCGAACTCAAGACCCCTCTCGCAGGTCAGACCCAAATCACAATCAACTGTCGTTATAGTTGGGTCACCCTGGTCCTAGGTGATTTGGAATCTATATTGTGTTGGCACATTTTTAAAAAAACTAACTTGTTTATATGTGGCTTTTTTTCTTCTTTTTTATTGGGGGCTGGGAGGATGAAGTCTCACTGTGTTGTCAGGCTGGAGTGCAGGGGCATGATCTCGGCTCACCGTAACGTCTGCCTCCTGGGTTCAAATGATTCTCCTGCCTCAGCCTCCCGAGTAGCTGAGATTACAGGCATGCACCACCACGCCTGGCTAATGTTTGCATTTTAGTTCAAAATAGAGATGGGGTTTCACCATGTTGGCCAGGCTGGTCTTGAACTCCTGACTTCAAGTGATCTGCCCGCCTCAGCCTCCCAAAGTGTTGGGATTACAGGCGTGAGCCACACCTGGCCTCTACGTAGCTTTTCTAAGGAGGCTTTTTAAACTGGAGATTTACGGAGGCTTAAAAGAACACTTGGAATTTGGCCGGACAGCACAGGAACATGGGAAAGAAGAAAACAAGAGGGGATCAAAACGGAGTCAGCAACGAGGCAAACACAAGCAAGGATGGACTTGGGAATTTGCCACCCTTTGACGAGGTGCCAGAGAGGCCAGACCCGTCTAACTTCTTTCAGGGAGTGCCATGTTCAGCAGCAATCTCTACATTCAGAAAAAATTAACTCAGTTGCTCCTATGGGCCCCCTCTCCCCTCACACGAGTCTCTTATCTCCATATTCAGAGGCAGGTTTGTCTGGTTTAAATCTGGGTTCTGATGTAACTGTGAACTTTGGGACAAGTTATTGAACAATTCTGGGCCTCAGTTTCCTTATTTTCAAAAGAGGATAATAAAATCCACCTCCTTATATTGTTTTGAGGAAAAATGAGAGGGTCTGCATGAAACGCTGAGCACAGCAGGTACCCATTACAGGCTCTTTGTGAGGGCTGCGTGCTTCTCTCCCTCCCTCCTTTTTACTCTCTCCCCACTGCTTTCTTTCCTTTTATTTTTTGAAAAGTGATTGATCATTTTGATTTTTTTTTTTCTGGTAGGAATCTTAAACTGCTCTTCTAGGGGGAGTATACAGGACAAAAATATTTTCCTGGGGCAGGTATGGGAAGGTATGGGAATTCCAAGGCACTGGGTGCAGTTTCAGAGGAAGACAAGGCTCCGGGCGGACTACTGTAGGGAAAGCAGGGGGCCATGGGTGCTTAAAGGGGTGGGTTCCAGGGTTGCCCAAAGTAGAGGGTGAGTGTGCATGTGCATGTGTTCGTATGCAGGTGTGGGTGTGCATACCTGTGTATGCATGGTGGCACGTGTGTGCACATATGTGTGTGTAGGATCAGAGAGAGGGCTGCTTATAGCATAAAACTCACTGCTCACTCCAGAGGTTAAGAAACTCATTAAGAGAGTCCCTCTCAAACTTTTGGTGCTCATTGAAGACTGGAAGATTTTTTCCCTCTCAGAAATCGCTTGCGGGAAATGAAGACATTAGAGAAAAAGTGTAAAGGCTTCTTTGAGAAAGGCCCTCTTTCTTCCAGTGTGAAGGGGCTCTCCGGGAGTTCCAGCAAGAACTCAAGGGCTCTCTCTCATTTTCCTCCCCACCTCTTCTCCTTCCTTTCTCCTTGATCTTTGTTCTTGCTTTCTCTAGCCTCCTCCACCCACCCGCCACATCCCTCCCTCCCTGCCCATCCCTTCTCCGTCCTCCTCACTACTCTCCTTCCCTCCTTTTGTTCTTTGTTTTTCATCCAGTTGAGGGATGCTTGGTAGAACACATTTCTACTTCTCTTTTACTCATATTCCAGTACAACATCCCTGCGAGCACTGAGAAACATCTGTTTCTAGCTTTCCTTTTTCTGGAAATCATTATTTATTTAATGTTTTTCTTTTTTTCTATGGTTTAATGAGGCTCCTCTTCTCTGGGATATTCCCACAGATAGAACTTTGGCACCTGCTGTTTGGAGGTGCTGCAATTTCCTCCTCTTTTATCACCAAACAGTTGCCAACCTCCTTCACATTAGTGAAAGTGGGGGAAAAAAAACCAGAATGACAAACCCACAACCAACCCACCACCCTCTGCTGCTGGGTTCGAACCTCGCTGGCCACAGTGCAAGTTTGGTTTTCAAACTGAAGAAATGTTCACCTGAGGTATTACTTTTTTCCTGTGTCTTAGCCTTTATAATAAACACATTTCTTCATTTTAATGAATATAGGAGGAATTTGAGTCCAACTGGTTTCCGGTAGTAAGGATAGACAGGGTTTATACTTTTAAAATTATTTACAGCCTGTCAGTGCTCATAGCTTTGAATGATTAATGCCATGATAGCTACTGCCAGTGAGACAAAGCCTTCCAGAGGGTCGTGGCACTAGGAGCAGCTGGAGTACTGAAGGTGGGATCCAGCCCCACAAACCTTCTCAGGAAGGGAGCAGGTGTCATGTTGCCTTCTACATCCCTACCCTTTCCTGGGAGAGGTGCTCATATAGCCAGCTGCTAGAGGGGTTCTTCTGTTTCTTTTGTCAGAAGTAGGTTCAGGGCCAAGCTTAGCTATTAACTAGTTGTGACACTTCTGGCCAGTAATGTAGCCTCTCTAAAGACCAGTTTTCTCTTCTCTAAAATATGGAAGGAACACTTACACAAAAAGTTGTAAGGAATAACTGAGCTAACATACTTAAGTATGGAGCTCAGTGCTGATGCCTAGAAACTGTGTAATAAACTGTGGCTATGCAACAGATGGAATATATTTGAAGCCTCCATCTGGCCCTGGGCTATGATAATAGGAGTTAAGGCAAGTGTTCCTAAGATGGTACTCTTTCATCCTTCTTAAGAAATGAGAGAACTTTCTTTTGAGGTTTGGCCTAGTGGCTGAAGAGGCTCTTCATGGTCCTGAGGGTGGTTGGATAAACATCTTAGTAGTGGAGAGTGGGCATTCTTGCCTGAATAGTAGGCACATGCATCCACACTTTTCTTATTTTGAGACAGATTCTGGCTCTGTCGCCCAGGCTGGAGTGCAATGGCGTGATCTCAGCTCACTGCAACCTCCGCCTCCCTGGTTCAAGCAATTCTCCTGCCTCAGCCTCCTGAATAGCTGGGATTACAGGCATGCGCCACCTCGCCTGGGTAACTTTTGTATTTTTAGTAGAGATGGGGTTTCACCATGTCGGCCAGGCTGGTCTCAAACTCCTGACCTCAAGTGATCCACCTGCCTTGGCCTCCCAAAGTGCTGGGGTTACAGGCGTGAGCCACTGCATCTGGTGCATCCATGCTTTATTTTATTTTATTTATTTTATTTTTTTGAAACAGAGTCTCTCTCTGTTGCCCAGGCTGGAGTGCAGTGGTATGATCTTGGCTCACTGCAACCTCCGCCTCCTAGCTTCAAGCAATTATCTGCCTTAGCCTCCTGAGTAGCTGGGATTACAGGTGACTGCCACCACGCCTGGCTAATTTTTGTATTTTTAGTAGAGAAGAGTTTTCACCATCTTGGCCAGGCTGGTTTTGAACTCCTGACCTTGCGATCCCCTCACCTCAGCCTCCCAAGAATCCACACTTTTAAATCACAGAATGGAGTGACTAAACTGCAGTCACTGAGAACTGTGTAGACCCAGCTTTTCCTCCTGTTTCTTCATCTCCTGTATGAGGTCACCCATCAGTCCTCCTTTTCTCTTCTTTCAGAACATTGCATATATTCTCTTTTTTCACACTGTTCTTGCATCTGGTGCAAGGCTTCATCTCATGTCTGAGTCATTGTCAAAACCTTTCCCTACCTTGTACTATATTTATTCTATAAAAAATTAAAAGTAACTCGAATTGCTTTTTAATACAGAAACAAAAAATAGTCATTGTAGAAAATTAGAAAAATAAAGTTAAAAAAAGCAAATAGTTACTTCACCTAGAGATAGCAATATCTGTGATTTTTTTCTACACAGGCACAGATATATTTTAAATAAAAAAGAAATCAGTGTGCATAATGTTTTGCTACGTGCTTTTTTACTTAAGAGTATGTCTATTGTGGTAAAACAAATTACCCTGAATCTTAGCAATTTAGAGAAACAAACATTTATTATCTCACACAGTCTGAAGGTCAGGAATACCGAGGAGTAGCTTAGCTGGTGGTTCTGGCTTAGGGTCTCTCATGGCAGTATAGTCAAGATGTTGGCTGGGACTGCAATCATCTGAAGTGTTGGCTGGGAAGGAAGGATCTTGATGTAGTTTGGATATTTGTTCCCTCCAAATCTCATGTTGAAATTTGATCTCCATTGTTGGAGGTAGGGCCTGATGGGAGGTACTTGGGTCATGGGAACGGATATCTCATGAATGGCTTGGAACCTTGCCTGTAGTAATGAGTGAGTATTCTGCTCTATTAGTTGCCTTAAGAACTGATTGTTAAAAAGAACCTGGCACCTCCTTCCCTTCCCTTTTTTCTTTCCTCTCTTGCCATGTGATGCCTGCTACCCTTCGCCTTTTGCCATGAGTGGATGCAGCTCAAGGTCCTCACCAGAAGCAGATGCAGATGCCATGGTCCTTGGACAGCCTGCAGAACCATCAGCCAAATAAGCCTCTTCTCTTTAGGAATTACCCAGCCACAGGTCTTTCTTTCTTTCTTTCTTTTTTAATTTTACTTTACGTTCTGGAATACATATGCAGAATGTGCATATATATGGCATAGGTATACATGTGCCATGGTGGTTTGCTGCACCTCAACCCATTGTCTAGGTTTTAAGCCCCGCATGCATTAGGTATTTGTCCTAATGCTCTCCCTCCCCAGATATTTCTTTATAGCAACACAAATAGACAAAGACAGATCTGTTTTCAAGATGGTTCCCTGACATGGCTTTTGCCTGGAGGCCTCAGTTCCTCACCATGTGGACTTATTCCAACATGGCAGCTGGCTTCCCCCAGAGCAAGTGATCCAGGAGAAAGGAGGAACAAGGCAAACACCACATTGTCTTTTTTTTCCAGACATGTTTTGAGATATGATTCACAGGACATGCAGTTCACCCATTGAAAGTATACAATCTAGTGTTTTTTTTTTAAAGTATATTCATAGGGTTGTACAACCATCACTACTGTCTATTAATAGTTCCAGAATTTTTTTTGTCACTCCAAAATGCAAAGCAGTCACTCCTCATTCCCTCCTCCCTTCACCCCTGGCTACTTTCTGTCCCTATAGATTTGCCTATTTTGGACATTTCATATAAATGGAATCACATATGTGGCCTTTTGTGTCTGGCTTCTTTTACTTAGCCTAAAGTTTTCAAGGGTCATCCATGTTGTAGCATATATTGATTTTATTTTTTGTTGCTGAACAGCATTCCATTGTATGGATATACCACATTTTGCTTATCCATCAGCTGATGGACATTTGGGTTGTTTCCACTTTTTGGCTAATAGGAATAATTCTGCTTATAAACATTCATGTACAAGTTTTTGTGTGGACATTTGTTTTCATTTCTCTTGGGTATATACATAAAAGTAAAATTTCTCAGTCGTAAGGTAACTTTGTGTTTAACATTTTGAGAAACTGCCTGTTTTCCAAAGGAGTTGTGCCATTTTACATTCCCACTAGTAGTGTATGAGGGTTCCAATTTTTCCATATCTTTATCAACACTTGTTAACTGTTTTTTTGATTATAGCCATCCTAGTGAAGTGGAATCTCACTGTGGTTTTGATTTGCATTTCCCTAGTGACTAATGATGTTGAGCAACTTTTTAATGTGCTTACTGGTCCCTTGTAGATATTTTGAGAAATGTTTATTTAATTCTTTGCCCATTAAAAAATTGGGTTGTCTTTTTATTACTGAGTTGTATGAGTTCTTCATGTATTCTGGATACAAGTTCCTTATCATATATATGATTTACAAGTATTTTATTCCATTTGTGTGTTGGCTTTACACTTTCTTGGTAGTTTCTTGTTTGCAGGAACAATGTTTCTAATTTTGATGTAGCCCAAGCCACACTGTCTTCTTTGTTGCTGTGGAACAGTCTCCTTACCTATTCTACTTGTCAGAATGAGTTATTAAATTTGGCGTGCACTCAAAGGGGGTACTGAGGATTAAGCTCTATTTCTTTTTGCTTTTTAAAAAAATTATAGTACAAAACACATAATAGGAAATCTACCCTGTTAACAAACTTTTAAGCTGTACAGTACACTATTGTTAACTATCATACATGTGCATTGTTGTACAGCTGATCTCTAGAACTTTTTCATCTTGAGTGATTGAAACTCTGTACCCATTGAACAGAAACTCTCTATTTCTCCCTTCCTCCAGCTTCTGGCAACCACCATTCTCCTTTCTGCTTCTGTGAGTTTGACTGCTTTGGATACCTCATTTAAGTGGGGTCTTGCAGTATGTGTCCTTCTGTGACTGGCTTATTTCACTTAGTATCATGTCCTCAAGGTTCATCCATGTTGTCAAAAATGGCAGGATTTCCTTCTTTTTAAGGGCTGAATAATATTCTGTTGAATGTATATACCACATTTGGCTTACTCATTCATCTGTCAATGGACATTTGGGTTGTTTCTACCTCTTGGCTACTGTGAATAGTGCTGCAATGAGCGTGGAAGCGCAAATATCTCTTCAAGATCCTGTTTTCAGTTCTCTTGGCTGAATACCCAGAAGTGGGATCGCTGGATCATATGGTAGTTCCATTTTCAATTTTTTGAGGACCCTGCATACTGCTTTTTATAGGAGCTGTGTCATTTTATATTCTGCCCATAATGTACAAGGGTTCCAATTTCTCTACATCCTCACCAACACTTGCTGTTTTCTTTTTCTTTTTCTTTCTTTAAATAATGGCTATCTTAACAGGTATATTAGTTCATTTTCACACTGCTATAAAGAACTGTTAGAGACTGGGTAATTTATAAAGAAAAGAGGTTTAATTGACTTATAATTCTGCATGGCCAGGAGGCCTCAGGAAACTTACAATCATGATGGAAAGCGAAGGGGAAACAGAGACCTTCTTCACATGTAGCAGGAAAGAGAGTAGTAGCAAGAGCAGGGGAAAGTGCCTCATAAAACCATCAGATCTTGTGACAACTCACTCAGTACCATGAGAACAGCATGGAGGAAACCATCCCCCTGATCCAATCACTTTCTACCTGGTACTTCCCTCAACACTTGGGGATTATGGAGATTACAATTCAGGATGAGATTTAGGTGGGGACACAGCCAAACCATACCAATAGTTATAAAGTAATATCTCATTGTGGTTTAGATTTGCATTTTTCTGATGATTCGTGATGTTGAGCATCTTTTCACATACCTGTTGGCCACTTATATGGGTTCTTTGGGGGGAAATATCTATAGAAGTCCTTTGCTCATTTTTAAATTGAGTTATTTGGTTTTTTTCTTGAGCTGAAGAAGTCCCATATATATGTATTTCAGATATTAACACTTTATCAAAAACATGGCTTGCCAATATTTTCTCTTATTCTGTGTGTTGCCTTTTCACTCTGTTGATTGTTTCCTTTGCTGTGCAGAAGCTTTTAAATTTGATATAGTCCACTTGTTCTATTTTTCCATTTCTTGCCTGTGCTTTTGGGGTCATATCCAGGAAATCATGGCTAAGGCCAATGTTAGGAAGTGGATCTACCTTTTGAAGGGAGAAGAGTCAAAGCATTTGTGGACACATTTAAAAACTTCCAGATATGTTAATATTCATTTAAAATATCATATTAGTCCATCAGAAGGCAGAATCTGAAGGCAAAGTGTATTAAAATTATGGTTTCATTATTTAATTGCTGTGTAGCATTAGAAAGATCACTTAATTCTTGGTGCCTGTTTTCTTAGCTGTAAAATGGGGATGATGACATACATTTCTGTTATATATAACATCATATAACATCTATTCATCCCTGAAAAAAATGTGTTCTGCCTTAAACAAGTTTTCAAGAAAAAAACAACCCCATCAAAAAGTGGGCAAAGGATATGAACAGACACTACTCAAAAGAAGACATTTACGCAGCCAAAAGACACATGAAAAAATGTTCATCATCACGGGTCATCAGAGAAATGCAAATCAAAACCACAATGAGGTCCCATCTTACACCAGTTAGAATGGCGATCATTAAAAAGTCAGGAAACAACAGATGCTGGAGAGGATGTGGAGAAATAGGAACGCTTTTACACTGTTGGTGGGAGTGTAAATTAGTTCAACTGTTGTGGAAGACAGTGTGGCGATTCCTCAAGGATCTAGAACTAGAAATATCATTTGACCCAGTGATCCCATTACTGGGTATATACCCAAAAGATTATAAATCATGCTGCTATAAAGACACATGCACACATATGTTTATTGCGGCACTGTTCACAATAGCAAAGACTTGGAACCAACCCAAATGCCCATCAATGATGTACTGGATTAAGAAAATGTGGCACATATACACCATAGAATACTATGCAGCCATAAAAAAGGATGAGTTCATGTCCTTTGCAGGGACACGGATGAAGCTGGAAACCATTATTCTGAGCAAACTATCACGAGGACAGAAAACCAAACACTGCATGTTCTCACTCATTGGTGGGAATTGAACAAGAACACTTGGACACAAGGGAGGGGAACATCACACACCAGGGCCTGTCATGTGGTGGGGGGCTGGGGGAGGGATAGCATTAGGAGAAATACCCAATGTAAATGACGAGTTAATGGCTGCAGCAAACTAACATGGCACATGTATACCTATGTAACAAACCTGTACGTTGTGCACATGTACCCTAGAACTTAAAGTATAATTAAAAAAAATTATTATTTTTTAATTATAAAAACATCATGCACTAAAAATAACAGGACCAATGGGAAAAATAGTGCTGGGAAAACCACACGAAACCTGTGGAACTGTGTAATCAGAGTACTCACAGAAACAGTAACACTCCTGATGAAAGTACTTGCACGGTTCTATGCAGGAATTGGCAGCTGGAATCTCAGGCAATCAACCGTTTGCAGCCTTCACCACTGGGCTTGTGCCTCAGTTGAAGGTGCTGGAGGGCATGCTTCTAATCATCACTAATCTACCACTTTAATACGGAAGCTAACTTTTTCACAGCTTTTTCATCAACACTTGTAGCTTTGCCAAATGGATATACATAACAGAAAACTCAGTGGTTCTCTTTTCCTTCCTGCCTCCCTCCCTCCGTCCCCCCCTTTCTCTTTTCTTTTCTTTCTTTCTTCCTCCCCATCCCTTCCCTTCCCTCCCTTCCCTTCCTTCTTTTTTTTTTTGAAACAGGGTTTTACTGTCACCTAGGCTGGAGTGACATCATCAGAGTTCACTGCAGCCTCGATCTGCTGGGCTCAAGCCATCCTCCCACCTAAGCCTCCCGAAGAGCTAAGACCACAGGTGTGCACCACCACCCCAAGCTAATTTTTGTATTTTTAGTAGAGACAGGGTCTTGCCATGTTGGCCAGGCTGGTCTCAAACTCCTGGGCTCAAGTGATCTGCCCGCCTCAGCCTCCCAAAATGCTGGGATTACAGGCATGAGCCACCATGCCTGGCCATGACCTAGTGGTTCTTGAAGTCTTTAAACCAGCCTTCACTTGCACTAAGAAAAAGTACTTCGATGCACTTTTAATTTTTTTTAAGTCTTCATTTATTATCATGCCTCTTCTTCTTTCATTGTGAGAAAACTTGTGAGATCTTTTTTTTTTCTTTTTTTTTTCTGAGATGGAGTTTTGCTCTTGTTGCCCAGGCTGGAGTGCGGTGGCGCAATCTCGGCTCACTACAACCTCCGCCTCCTGGGTTCCGGCAATTCTCCTGCCTCATCCTGCCTCAGCCTCTCAAGTGGCTGGGATTACAGGCGTCCACCAGCACACCTGGCTAATTTTTTTTTTTTAAGTAGAGACGGGGTTTCACCATGTTGGCCAGGCTGGTCTTGAACTCCTGACCTCAGGTGATCCACCCGCCTCAACCTCCCAAAATGCTGGGATTACAGGCATGAGACACTGCGCCTGGCCATGAGATCATTTTAAAACATTAATGTACTGGGAAGAATCAAATATGAACTACAAGATGTGTTATAAACATCACTCCCTTGTTTACTAACCGTGTATGAGCTAATTTGCAGCAAGGATCAGGCATTGTAACAGCCTCATGAAGTTGTGAAGATTAAACGAAGTGACACATGTGAATCATTGAGGACAATGCTGGGCAAATAGTAAGTGCTTAAAAAGTTATTTTGATTATAATCATATTTGTTTAACCAATCCCCTCTTAGTTTTCCTGCTCCATTTGGAACTACACACCACTCTAGAACCTATTTTTCGAGTTTTTCCTATTTTCACAGTGGTTAGCTCAGATCAGAGCCTTCAGTAATTTCTCTCAGGCCTGGAGTTCCTGGGACTGATTATGTGTGAGAATTTACAAATATGGATTCACTTACAAAGTCCATTCCTGTGTAGCATAGTTTGGCTTTAATTTAGAAACATTTCGCTCATTTAATTTTAGGAACAAGTATAATGATAAAACAAATACATCTCGAATAGGTGCAGCCCTTCAGACTATATACTTTTATTTTCAGAATGATAACTTCAAGGCACCTAGATAATTACGAAACAATAAAAAGTTATATTATTTATTGTGTTTTCTCAGGGAAGGATGGGCATTGACTGTCTTATAGGAATATTCTTTTTTTTTGAGACAGAGTCTTGCTCTGTCACCTAGGCTGGAGTGCAGTGGCATGATCTCGGCTCACTGCAACCTCTGCCTCCGGGTGCAAGTGATTCTCCTGCTTCAGCCTCCAGAGTAGCTGGGATTACAGGCGCGCCCTACCACGCCCTGCTAATTTTTGTATTTTTAATAGAGAAGGGGTTTCACCATGTTGGCCAGGCTGGTCTCGAACTCCTGACCTCATGATCCGCCTGCCTTGGCCTCCCAAAGTGCTGGGATTACAGGCGTGAGCCACCATGTCTGGCAGGAATATTCTAAAATATAAAAAGAAACAAACTGGGCATATTGGTTAACCCTGAGTTATGGATAAAGTTCAAGTTGAGAAATCTTGCCTTTCTTCAAGCAGTTTAATTACTCAAGGTAGAATCTCTTTAATAAGTAACACTATATTTATTAGATTTTCAAGGAAATATTACTTGTGCCGCATAAACGGCACTTCATTGATATTTTGAAAAAGCTACTATATCTTAAACACTATAAATTTTCCTAAATTCCCCTCTTTTGAATTCTTTTGGTAACAACAGCCATGACAATAGAGATAACTAAGATTGCTCTCATGTTTGCTGTGTGCCAAGGCCCTGTGATTCACTAAATGAACTCAATGCTAAAATTGTCCTTTAATCTGGACTTTGCCTACGTATGTGAACTTGGCACTGTGTTAAAATCAAACATTTGTGTCGTTAGGACTTTTTTTTTTTTTTTTTTTTGAGACAAAGTCTTGCTCTGTCACCCAGGCTGGAGTGCAGCGGCATGATCTCGGCTCACTGCAACCTCTGCCTTCTGGGTTCAAGTAATTCTCCTGCCTCAGCCTCCTGAATAGCTGGGATTACAGGCGCGCGCCACCACACCCGGCTAATTTTTGTATTTTTAGTAGAGACAGGGTTTCACCATGTTGGTCAAGCTGGTCTCGAACTCCTGACCCCTCACAAAGTGCTGGGATTACAAGCGTGAGCCACCGCGCCCGGCCAGAACTTTTGAAAGGAAATTTACAAAGGTAGTTATTGGATAAAAGCGTGATAGAGTAGTTAGCACCAGGTGGCGCTAAAGGACTGAAATTGGAAACGGCTACGGTATTTGGTCCTCTTACCTGAGGGCCGGGGAAGGGCGATGCTCCTGGTTTAATGGCTGTGTTACAGGAAGGAAGGACAAGCATTTGCCTTCCTATGCCCTGTTACGAACAGATGCTAGGATTGCGCCTGTCACATTGTCTAGTTTCCCTCCCTGGAAAGTTGAACTCCCTAAAGGTAGACACAGTAACCTTACTGTGGTCTCAAGTGAACAAAAGGCCCCATAGTTTTTCTAAAGAAAAGTGAAAACAAATATCACATGAAATTGCTTTTTGGAATGCGTTTAGTCTTGCTCTCACCTTTGTAGGTATCCAGGAATGGAGACTGGACAAAGGTAGCCAAACGAGAAAACATCTCCCAGAATTCCTTGCCTCGGGAGTAGACAGTGCAAAATCCTTCCCACCAGTTTGGGGTTTATTATTTAATGCACTTCCCCTTTCCTAGACATTTCCAATGTGCTCGTAAGTGTTTTTCTCTCTGGCTGTTACCAGGAGGATAAAATCTCAGAATGGAGACCATAGATATAAGAATAAAAATAAAATCCTTCCACCGGCTTTCTAAGGGGATAGCAGGAGAAAGAACAGGAAGTGAAGTAAAAAGCCTCGCTGCAAGTAAACGTAAAACCCCGGGAGCCTGGGAAACAGAAGCTGCCAAATTAAAGAATGGCAACAGTTCCTGCAAGGAGTCAGGCACAGGGGAGGCTCCTTCCTTGGGCAGAGTTACTGGGACATTGAGAGGGAGGCTTTATGGAAAGCGACTTTCGGAGGTAGATTGAGAAAGAAAAGATGTTTAAAAAAGTGCCTGAGATTTCTACCATCAGCTCTTTCTTTTCTGAAAGTCAAGTCTACTAAAAAACCAGACCAATAGCTAAGTATCTTGCTCAATTTACATAAATCTCTTGCAATACGCATCACTACGGGCCATTTGTGATACAAGGTTTGCGCCAAGTAATTCACTTATGTCAGCAATCCACCAGCCAGTCTAACCCAGTCTGACCCAGGCATCCACATAGAGCGAGATGTTGCTGCCATTCCCTGTTTATGGAATTTTTCTGCTGTCTTAGGGAGGCTGATCATGGAAACTCCTGAGTGCAGTATTCCAAGTACAGTAGCACCAGGAATTGCATTGTGGGCTTAGAATGAAGCAATTTATCCCTTCTGTCCCCACTCCATTCCCTCCTTATTTCAAGGACCTCCATGAGACAAGGGAGAGAAGAAGGCGGTGGGAATGGCTAAGTGTCCCAATGTCTCTGGCTTAGTTCTAAGCATTTTGCTTCACGTAACCTGGAGATCAGGTCGTTCCTTGGCCAACCGGGAGAGGCTTTCTCCTCCTAGGCCTTCTGTGTTTGTTTCATTTATTTCAACATTCTCATGTGAAACCATTAAGATATTTTGCTGCTAAATGGAATTCATTCAGCCTGTAAGAACTGTAAGATCAAAGAAGGGGTATTATTAGTTTTTCAACAGTTGATCCTAAGGTTGGAAATGTGGTGATGAGGCTGGGTGTAATGGCTCATGCCTGTAATCTCAGTGCTTTGGGAGGCTGAGGTGGGAGAATCACTTGAGGCCAGGAGTAACGAACATAGTGAGACTCTGTCTCTCAAAAGAAAAAATATGCAAAAATTATCTGGACATGGTGGCACACAGCTGTATTCCTAGCTACTCAGGAGGTTGAGGCAGGAAAATCGCTTGAGTCTAGGAGTTTGAGGCTGCAGCGAGCTATGACCATGTCACTGCACTCTGGCCTAAGTGACAAAGCGAGACCCTGTCTGAGGGAAAAAAAAAAAGTGTTAAAGAATATCTCTTCTTCCCACAGATAGCCAGTGATTCTACAGGAAAACATACTCCACCTTTCTAGGTTTTCATTTATTCAAGCCCTCAAAAGGATTCTATAAACATGGGCTCATCTAGACTGAAGTATAAATAGGTTTAAGATGGGAAAATCACATGGAAAAATGAACATGGTATTAGGAGACCAAACGTGAGTCTTGGTGTCGCCGCTGATGTGCTGTGGTGTAAACGGTTTGGGTGTCAGTTTCTCAGCAGCAAAATGAATGTAATGCAAGGCAGATGTTGCCCCCACCTTAGTCAGCACTGGGAAAGAGGGATCACTTGCCTATATTGACAGCCCCTTACTTACTGTCCTCAGATCCAGCCTTTCTAATGGACAGGGGACTTTGCATTCACCATGTGGTATGTGTACTTCTACTCATTGGAACTGAGCTTGCAAGCTCTTCCCTTTGGGTCTGGAGAGCCCCTGGCACTCTTTGTTTATTATGAGGAGCAGAATGACTGGACAACACCAGCTCAGTTCCAATGAGTAGAAGTACACATACCACACGGTGAATGCACCGTAGGCGAAGCCGTTTCCCTCATGGTGGTCGTGTCTGCTAGGTTATTATTTTAGCAGCCAGTCCCTTCACACTTTTGCACAATGGTTCCCTTTGAGGCAACTTGCTATTAGATGGTTACAAAGAGACAGCATCACACTAGGGTGGCAGGTCCAGAAAAGCACTCTGAGTATGTCGTCCTGAAGTGGTTGTGATCAGCTGCCCTCTCTAAGTCTATTGGGTTAAATAGCCAGGGTGAGGTAGCATAGGCACTCCGGAAGAGGTGAGGTGATCTGGACTTTGTGTCGTGTCTTGGCAAAGCTGCTGCAGACAGTGTTGAAAGGCATGTCTTTTATTCTCCTTTCAAAGGCAACTTCCTTCTGTGTCAGTCACCTCTCTGACAAGGGCCTTGATCTTTGTGGGCACTTCTCCCAGAGTAGATTTTGGGAAAGATTTTGAGTGGCACCAACCCTTATGAATTAATATTGTTCTATAGACTACCACCATCTGGGAGGAGATCTGGGGCTGGAAATTGGGCAGGGGCATCCCAAGGACCCCCAGGAACTCATGCCTCACTTCTGTCTGCACAGAGTCCTGTAGAGTGGAAGCAGTTACTGTTCTCAGGGGATGGCACAGGTGGCACCATCCATGTGGGATTAAAGGGTTCTTAGAAAACATCGAAGACATTAAAGGGATCACTACAATTTAAAATGGCATTTTGATAGTTTGATAGATATATTCTCTGGTTCTGTTAATAACTGTAAAGTCTTAAACATAATGTGCTATTTAAAAATTGCCACATTCAAGCTGTTGTCTGTGTGTGTGTGTGTGTGCATGTGTGTGAGCGAGAGCAGGCTTGCACATGCACGCACGTGCTTAATGCTCACTTAGTATTGTCAAGCTGTTTGTATTTTAATGAATGTATTTGTAATGGCAAGGGACATATTACAGATGCATTTTTCCTTCAGTTACCAGAAGCTTTTAAGGAGTCAGAAAATTTGAACTAATAGAGGTAATGTTTTATGTAGTCCCTCAGTGCATCTGTTGAACATGTAGTCAAAGGAGTTCATTGAAATAAATGCTGCGGTTGAATTTTTAACAGCGGCTGCATAAATATGCAGCCATCTATAACCTTTATGCCCGTGGGAGCCAGGAAAATGATCTGTATAATTAACCCCCTGATTGATCTGGTCTTTCAGCTGTCGGGGGGGAGGGCTGAATTCCCACACACAGCAGGATGTACCCATAAACTCAAGGTGGCTGAATATTTTTTGGGGGAGAAGTTTCTTTGGAAGCACTAAGTGAGCATTCATTTGACCGATCTTTAAATGTTTCTGTCTCCCTCAGTTTCTCAGTCTCTGCTGAAGGGTTGGGAAGAATGGGGAAATCATCTGGGATCTCTGATTGGTCACTCGAATTCAGTAGGTGTGGCAGGTAGAGTTCTGAGATGGCCCCCACGATTCCTACCCCCTGGTGTACACACCCAGTGTGGTCTCCTCTCCTGAGGGTTAGCAGGGCCTGGGAATGGGATGGGACGTCACTTTCTTGATTAGGTTATATGACAAAGGTGATAAGAGCATCAGCATTATGTTAAGTTACGTTACATTACTTTATGGCTCCATCTTAGCAGAGTGGAGAGATTCAGAGCAGGAAAAACTTCCTACTGGCCTTGAAGGAGCAAATGGCCAGATTATGAAGAAGACCACGTGACAGGGAGTGGCAGGTGGCCGCTAGGAGCTGAGAATAGGCCCTGGCTGCCAGTCAGCAAGAAAGTGAGGACCTCAGTCCTATAACCACAAGGAGCTAAGTTTTTCCCATGGCCAGGGAATATGGAACCTGAAGCCTCTGGGGAGATTGCAGCCCTACCTTGATTTCAGCCTGAGGACATCCCAAGTAGAGGATCCAGTAACTGTATCCTGACTCCTGATCCATGGAAACTGTGAGATAATGCATGTGCGTGTTTCGTGGTAACCTATGCAGAGATAAAAAACTGAAGCAGTAGGTCTGGGGTGGGACCTTAGAATTTGTGTTTGTAATAAATCTTCAAGTGAGGCTGAGCTGCTAGTTCGGGGCCACACTTTGAGAACTGCTATTATAGTTTAACTTCCCCTGGCAGTTGATTTTATCTGTGATATCATAAATGAACATGCATTGTATGATTCTGGAATGTAACAAACGTTAACCAAAAGGGATTTAGCAATATGTTTTAAGCCACAGCTAAATATAAGCCATATGGTTTAAGCCTTTAAAAATTATTTTAAATGTGGTGAACAAAATTAAATACAATATATAATATTAGAAAAAGCAATTAGAGGCCAGGCTTGGTGGCTCATGCCTGTAATCCTAGCACTTTGGGAGGCTGAGGTGGATGGATTGCTTGAGCCCAGGAGTCCAAGACCAGCCTGGGCACCACAGTGAGATCCTCTCTCTACTTCTTGTGAAAAAGTGTGAAAAAAAAAAAAAAAAGAAAAAGCAATTGGAATCAGGGCTTACAAAATGAGAACAGGAAAATAACAAAGTGAGGTGTGAAGCTAGCATGCAAAATGCAAAAATCACTCTTAGTTCTCACCTACGTAAGCAAAAGAGACTTAATGATTAATTGCCATTTTCTTTGTGAGAATCAAACCCCATTTATACTGCTTATGAATAAACTTTATATTGTAAACATACCTTGATTAAAAATTAAGTGATGATTTAGAACACCACATAAACTTTCTAATTTCCACCGTGATAGAGTGAGAAAGATGGGACACCCTTTTGTGATTATCCAAAATATTGGCAAATTCTCTGGCATTGCTGAATATATATGGGTAATAACAGCACTTCATTTGTAGGTAGAAGAATGGGTCCTGTGCCTCTAATTCTGTGCAACTATCTTCAACAATTTTTCCAACTCTTTTTGTGATCAAATTCTGTCTGTCTCCCTCTCTCCCCACTCTCTCTCCCTTCATCCTTACTTGTTTTTGTTGAGTAATTTTTGAAGTTAAAACATGCAGCTCCAT
This sequence comes from Homo sapiens, assembly GCF_000001405.40. Classification (NCBI taxonomy): domain Eukaryota; kingdom Metazoa; phylum Chordata; class Mammalia; order Primates; family Hominidae; genus Homo; species Homo sapiens. The sequence continues at coordinate 39,514,736 of NC_000007.14, read as the reverse complement.
TGAGATTTTCCTAGCAGAACGAAACAACTAGAGCTTTGCTTAATCCTGAGGCATTTTACTTCTCTCTTAGTAATCTTAGTCCCCTCTGGTATGATATGGGCTTACTGTTGTGACTCTATTAGCTGAACCATCTGGATTGTTGTTTTTTTTAAATTTAATACTGTACCTATCATCACCCAAATATGAAAGTTCTGCTCTCTCCAGGCACCTCCATATCCGTATAAGGTATTTTATGTAGCCATGCCAGGGGGATCCAAGGAAAAAGATATGAAGCTTGATTTTGAAGCTATTTCTGAATGTTGCTTGGTCTAATGACTACCCTGCTCAGGTCTTTTGGAATAGAAAGTGTGAGTATGAGTGTGAGTGTGAGTGTGAGTGTGGTGGGTGGGACTGGGGCAGCTGTGAAGTGAAGGGTAGTCATAATCACTTGCAATGGGAGAGAGGGCCCAAGCCAGCACTGTGGAGTTGTTTCTACTGCTGGGATATATATTGCATTCTTTTATTCGGAGCCAGAGGCAGGTACCCGACTAGGATATTTGTTCAGCCCTCTTGTAATGGTGGCTTTATTTTTATAACTCTTTTTTTTTTCTTTTTGGAGATGCAGAGATTCTTTTCTGCAGCTCAGACACCAGCCAGAAGGTAAGCATCCCTGGACCTTTAATTCCATGGTGGCACCCTTGCTAGATGCTGTTTCATTAGCAAATGAGACTTTGCATGCGCCTGCAGTCTTTTCAGAGCCACATATCTCAGTCTGGGTGTTAAATTAGTAATTAAATATTTTATTCTTCTGGGTAAGATTGGGAAATAAGAAGTATGATGTTTTTTATTATTTTATTATTTTTATTATTTATTATTATTATTTATAATTTCCTTCTGTTTTAACTTTCACTATTCTCCCTCATTAGCAAAGCTTTTTTTATTTTGTTTTCTTCTTCTTCTTTTTTTTTTTTTTGTGGGGGTGGTGGGGACAGAGTCTTACTGTTTCCCAGGCTGGAGTGCAGTGAGTGGCGCGATCTCGGCTCACTGTCACTTCTGCCTCCCAGGTTCAAGTGATTCTCATGCCTCAGCCTCCCGAGTAGCTGGGATTACAGGCACGCACCCCACGACAGGCTAATTTTTTGTATTTTTAGCAGACAGAGTTTTGCTATGTTCGCCAGGTTGGTCTCCAACTTCTGTCCCCAAGTGATCCGCTCGGCTCGGCCTCCCAAAGTGCTGGGATTACAGGTGTGAGCCACTGTACCTGGCCTCATTAGCAAAGCTTTCAAACAAATAAAAACTTTGTGTTTGGGACAACTCTTAGGGGCTGGGGAATCACAGATAAACTTGACCGACTTGTGTATGATTATTCTGTGTAGAACCTGTAAGGTGGTTGGAGCGCTTGTGATGCTCTCTGTTTTGTGGATTAGAAGATGGAGGTACAGAGGCTTGTCATTTTCCCAGGTTAGTGATGACGACATTGGTCTACATTGCTAGTCTTCAGCTGTGCAGCCACCTTAGACAAAATTATAACCCAAATACTGTATTTCTGCTTTTCCTTGTGAATGTCAGTATAAGCATACTAGGTGAAAGACTTACCCTAATATTTATGGCTTAAGAATCTGAATTGCATTTCCACTCTGAAGCAATTGTGGGCCCTTAATAGTCATGCTCTTTCACAGTGAAATATTTCTGGAAAGTCTATATTCAAATTGTAAAATATAGGCCAGGTATAGTGGCTCACACCTATAATCTCAGCACTTTGGGAGGCCATGGCCAGAGGACTGCTGGAGTGGAGTTGGAGGTTGCAGTGAGCTATGATTGCACCACTGCACTCCAGCCTGGGCAACAGAACAAGAACCTGCCTCAAACAAAAACAAAAATTAAAAATATTGTGTCCCGGCCAGGCACGGTGGCTCATGCCTGTAATCCTAGCACTTTGGGAGGCTGAGGCAGGCAGATCACGAAATCAGGAGTTCGAGACCAGCCTGACCAAAATGGTGAAACCCGTCTTTACTAAAAATACAAACATTAGCCAGGTATGGTGGCACGCGCCTGTAATCCCAGCTACTCAGGAGGCTGAGGCAGGAGAATCACTTGAACCCAGGAGGCGGAGGTTGCAGTGAGCGGAGATCACGCCACTGCACTCCAGCCTGGGTGACAGAGGGAGACTCCTTCTCAAGAAAAAAAAAGAAAATATTGTGTCCCAAGAAATTTATTTATTAAACAATGGTGTTTTGGGTTTTTGTTGTTGTGGTGGTGGTTTTGTTGTTGTGGTGGTGGTGGTGTGAGCAGTGGTGCAATCTCAGCTCACTGCAACCTCCAGCTCCTGGTTTCAAGCAATTCTTGTACTTCAGCCTCCAGAGTAGCTGGGACTACAGGCACCCACCACCATAACTGCTATTTTTTTTTTTTTGTATTTTTAGTAGAGATGGGGTTTTGCCATGTTGGCCAGGCTGGTCTCAAACACCTGACCTCCAGTGATCCACCTGCCTCCCCAAAGTGCTGGGATTACAGGTGTGAACCACTGCGCTGGCCAACAATGGTGCTTTGAAGGCAAGTAGTGTTAGGTCTATAGATGGCGGTTAATAGAGATTGTAAGCTCTACTGATAAGTTTTGGGTTCTGATAAGCCCAACTCATCTAATGGATGGAGACACATTCTCTGTTAGAGGGACTTCTCTGATAATCTCTCTTGTCAGCACTGCTCCAGGCTTGCCAGGTTGTTACCACTGGAAACATAGAATTGGCTGGTGAAGAAGGTTGGGGTGGGATATCGGAGTTGTGAGTTGCCTTTGGAGTGTAGCTCTGAGGTTTGGAATGAATTCATTAATTAGTCTTATAAATGGCCTGTTTATCCATGGGCACATTCTATTTTTAACCTTCAGCCCAGTGTGAAATGATTTTGGAACATTTATCCAGGAACAGCTTTAAGAGCTTTGCTATAAGGAGACTGCCTGTGGCTTGGCGGTGGTTCGGCCTGGAGACCAGCACTGTCTAGAATACTTCTGAGCTCCTTCTGAATGAGTATTTGACTACATGGATCGAAACAAGCCAGCTCAGTGGCTCCTATGCAGGGATGGAGATGATCCAGGCTGGACCAATCAGCTGGGAACTAAGGGGAAAGGAAAGGTTATATCCAGGAAAACAACTTGGAAACAGGTAGGGAGATGTAACTTCATGAAACCAGCCAGAGATTTCAGCTCTTAGCCCATGCTGGCATTGAATAGGTGTGAGGGAGAGACTATGTATGAGAAGCGACATCTCAATTTAATCTCTCCAGGGCAAGGTTTCCTGAATTGTGTTGTGCCAAACATTAGAGTTTCTCAAGCTATTAAGACTGTTCCAAGATCAAGTAAGCTTGACAAACTCTCTATATGATGTTCCTGTTTGGAAATCAAAATTCTTCTGAATAGAAATCTAATTACTTTGCTTAACTGACCATTTACTTCACTAAGTTGACCAAGAAAATACCTTTAGCTCTTAGTTAGCCTGCATACCAAGAAGATGTATGGATGTTCGATGGGTGACTCATCCTGTAATCTTGTGTTTTACTTCTCCTTGTCTCTAGATGAGTCTGGTGATAATAGGAGCATGGGCTATTGATATGGTTTGGCTCTGTGTCCCCATCCAAATCTTATCTTGAATTGTTATCCCCATGTGTCGAAGGAGGGGCCTGGTGGGAAGTGATTGGATCACAGGGCAGATTTCCCCCTTGCTGTTCTTGTAATGGTGAGTGAGACCACTCACTCACAAGATTTCACAAGATCTGCTGGTTTTAAAGTGTGGTACTTCCCCCTTTGCCCACGCTCTCTCTCCTGCCACCATGAAAGATGTGCTTTCTTTCTCCTTCATCTTCCACCACAACTGTAAGTTTCCTGAGGCTTCCCCAGTCATGTGGAACTGTGAGTCAATTAAACCTCATTTTCTTTTTAAATAACCCAGTCTCAGTTCTTTATAGCAGTGTGAAAATGGACTAATACAGCTATGTTACATTTTTGCAAGAGCCAAATACATTAATGGTGGCAGTCACTGTTCTCTCTTTGCCCTTTCATGTTTTTGTTTTTTTTTTAAATTTCTTTTTATTATTATACTTTAAATTCTAGGGTACATGTGCACAACGTGCAGGTTTGTTACATATGTATACATGTGCCATGTTGGTGTGCTGCACCCATTAACTCGTCATTTAACATTAGGTATATCTCCTAACGCTACCCCCCCCCACCTCCCCCACAACAGGCCCCGGTGTGTGATGTCCCCCTTCCTGTGTCCAGGTGTTCTCATCGTTCAATTCCCACCTATGAGTGAGAACACGCTATGTTTGTTTTTTTGTCCTTGTGATAGTTTACTGAGAATGATGGTTTTCAGCTTCATCCATTAAATAAGATCCAATGAATCTTATTTATAGTGTTTGTTTTTCTAAAACAATGATTACTGGTTAATTTTTTATTAGTTGGGGAATTTCAAATTAATGATACTGTGATGCTTCTGTCAACTGATAGATGTTCCACTTTTGTCACTAAATATTCAGTACTGTGGCAGGGCATGTTAGTTTAAGGTGCTTTGAGAGGCAGATGCGAAGTAAGCACTAAAAGTGTAATGACTTATCAGGAGGAAACACCTGTGTGAGGGAAAACAGAAGGCTCTGAATAAAGCCGGGAGAACCATCAGACCACAAAGCAAGTCTGATCCTGTGTGAAGAAGGGAAGGAAAGGAGGAAGGGAGGGTGAAAATGTTCAGCACAGTTGTTTGGGTGTCTTTGAGGCAAAGTTGTTTGTTAGGGGAGCTCCATGTCTCCCAGGAACAGGCCTACCTTAGTATTTCTGTTGCATGGAGTTGTTGGCTATAGCAAGCCCATAGGAAGTATGACTTTGGCCATAGCCTTGAAGTCATGAAGGATTTCAGAGCACAGCAGCTGGGGTCCTTATGGTTAAGTAAGCTCCCTATATGAAGATCTGTGAGGTATAACTGATGCCTGAGTTGTCTTCACCAATGGGTGACTCTTCTAGTGGAGCAGGCTTGCTAGAATACTATTTGTAGGAGGGACTAAAGAGCCTCTTAAGGAAGAACTCATCAAAGGAAGGGATGGTCCGGCCCAATGAGCCAGACACAGACACACTCGTGATGGGGGAGCAGTTCTGAGTAGGGCTTCCTACCTAGCCCTCAGCTCCGCCTCCTGGCCCAGTCCCAGGGAGGAACGAGGAGACCAGAAAGCCACAAGTAACAAACAAAAGAGCTGATTAATCTAAAATTCCTGGAAGACACAAGCAGCACCATTTTCATATTCTTCTTCTTTTTTTTGAGATGGAGTCTCACTCTGTCATTCAGGCCATAGCACAGTGGCGCAATCTCAGCTCACTGCAACCTCCGCCTCCCAGGTTTAAGCAATGCTCCTGCCTCAGCCTCCTGAGTAGAATACCTGGAACTACAGGTGTGCACCACCATGCCTGGCTGATTTTTGTATTTTTAGTAGAGACAGGGTTTCGCCATGTTGGCCAGGCTGGTCTCGAACTCCTGACCTCAGGTGATCTGACCGTGTCTGCCTCCCAAACTGCTGGGATTATAGGTGTGAGCCACCATGACTGGCCTCATATTCTTTCTAATAGAGACAACACAAAAAGAGAGAGAAAGATGCTGTATTCTTCCTACCTGTGTCCCAGAATCCTGAACAGCCGCCGGTGTGCAGGGCCTGGTGGGAAGTGACGTTGCTGCAGAAGCTGCAGTGCTGACGAGGAGGGCAGCATCCCTCAGAGAGAAGGTAGAGGGAGTCTGTGAGAGAGACGGCAAGGGGGCTGGGGGGTGGGGGTGCAGTTCGGGGTGGTGTGGTAACTGCCTCATAATAGGACTTCTTGATGGGCGACATGTGATATTCCCTCTCAGAGATAATTGTGGCTGGAGGGCGAGAGTTCTGAGGGGCCAGTGGGGTAAATGCTTTTATTTAGAATTAAAATCAGTTTAGGGTATTGCTCAAGGACTCTGTATTATCAGGTTGGGAGAAGTTATGTCACAATAACAAATAACCCCCAAACACAGTGGTTAAAACAACAAAGGCTTATTTCTGGTTCACATTACTTCCATGGTGGGTTGGCTAAGGGCTTTGTTCCACTTCATTCCCTTCTTCACATCAGGACCCAGTCCAATAGAGCAGACACTTTCTGGAACATTGCTGATGACCTGGCAGAGGGGAAAGAGAAAGAACCTGAGGAAGCAGAATTCGACTGTAAAACTTTTACCTGGAAATGACACATGTTGCACATCATTGGCCCTAACAAGTTACATGGTGGCACCTGAGTTGAGTGGGGTGGGTAGTTTAGTCCCCCTGTAGGGTGCGGCAGAGAACATTGGTAAAGAGTAGTAAGGTCTACTCCAGCCCCTCCTTTGCGGGCTCCACCTCAGCTTCCGGGCATTGACAGGAGGAGGTGAAAGAGGGAAGTGGTGCATGCTCAGCCCTCTAACCATGTGGCGTCCTTTGCTTCCTCAGGACACCACAGAGAGTCCCTACCAGCCAGGAGGCTCTCACCAGATGCGCCCCCTTGACCTTGGACCTCCTAGCTTCAAAAACTGTCATACAAGACACTCTGTCTTGCTCTCTTGAATTGCCTGCTCTGGTGGAAGCCAGCCAGCTTCTGCCATGTCATGAGAACACTCATGCAGCCCTGGGAAGAGTCCACGTGGTGAGGAACTGAGGCCTCCTGCCAACAGCCAAGTGAAAGCACCATCCTGGAAGAGGACCCTCCAGCCCTCATTAAGTCTGTCAAGCCTTGAGATGAATGAACCAACACTATGAATGTAACTTCACGAGAGGCTCTGAGCCAGAACCACTCAGCTAAGCCACAGTAACTGTGAAATAATCATGTATTACTGTTTTAGGCCAGCAAGTTTTGAGAGAATTTATTATGTGGTAATAGATAACTAATACAGTTGTGCTTGTTATGTTTGGTACTTAATCATTTTTACCACCACCACATCAGCACACTGTAGTAGAAAACAAATTGTATGCATTAAACCGTTTCTTTTTCCCTGATGAATTAGGCTGGCTGTCAAGGGGAAAAGTGACCATCAGAGATTTTTAAATGATCCGAATGATTCCATTAAACATCACTTAGTAGTCTGCTAGGACTGCCATAACAAAATAGCACATACTGGGTGGCTTAAACAACAGAACTTCATGTTCTCACAATTCTGGAAGCTGCAAGTTCAAGATCAAGGCATCAGCAGGGTTGGTTTCTTCTGTGGCCCTGGTTTGCAGATGGCCATCTTGCTATGTTCTTACATGATCTTTCCTCTGTGTGTGTCTGTGTCCTAATCTCCAGTACACCAGCCATATTGGATTAGGGCCTACCCATATGACCTCATTTTACCTTAATTGCCCCTTTAAAGGCCCTATCTATAAATCTATAAATACAGTAACATTCTGAGGTTACTGGGGGCTAGGACTTCAACACGTAAATTTTTGGGGCCACAATTTAGCCAAGAACACAGCACTACCACATTTCCTTCTCTCCCTCCCTTCCTTTCTCCCTTTCTCTTTTCTTTTTTCTTTTCCTTTCCTTTCTTTTCTTTTTCCTCTTTTCTTTTCTCTCTCTTTCTTTTCTTCCTTCTTTCTTTTTCTTTCTTTCTTTCTTTCTTTCTTTCTTTCTTTCTTTCTTTCTTTCTTTCTTTCTTTCTTTCTCTCTTTCTCTCTCTTTCCTTCCCTCCCTTCCTTCCTCTCTTCTCTCTCTCTCTCTTTCTCTCTTTCCTTCTTTCTGAAGGAGTTTTGCTCTTGTTGCCCAGGCTGGAGTGCAATGGCACGATCTTGGCTCGCTGCAACCTTTGCCTCCCAGGTTCAAGTGATTCTCTTGCCTCAGCCTCCATAGTAGCTGGGACTACAGGCGTGCACCACCACATTTGGTTAATATTTTTGTATTTTTAGTAGAGGCAGGGTTTCACCATGTAGGTCAGGCTGGTCTCGAACTCCTGACCTCAAGTGATCCACCCACCTCGTCTCCCAAAGTGCTGAGATTACAGGTGTGAGCCACTGCTCCCAGCCTATCATTTCATGCAGAGCATTCAACTGGAAAAACCCAGTAATATATCTTATATTATAGACTGTCCTAATTGTTCACCTAAAGGTCTGAACACCTTTTTTATTTAATCATATTAAACCAGGTTCTCTTTAGAAGACTAAAAAAAAGAAGAAGGCAGTTCTACCAAATTGTTTCAGGCATCTCTCTCCTCTTCTGCTATGTGAGTATAATCATGCTAAGCTTATTTCTACTTTAAGCACATTACCCTAGCTGTTCCTTTTTCCTAGGGAACTTTTCTCCCAGATATTTGCAAGACTAGCCTTCTCCTGTCACGTAGATGTCAGCTTTCAAATCCCGTCCTCAGAAATGTCTTTCCTGTTTCTAATCTGCAGTGGCCTTGTCCCCCCACTCCCAGCTCTCTTGTTTCACCATCTTCTGTTTTCTTTGTGGCACCATGTCTATCAGAAAACATATTCTATCTGATAATTCTGGTTTACTGCTTATGTATTTATTGTCTGTGTTCCTTCACTAGAACACAAGTTTTGTATTTATCACTCTAGGCTTTTATTGTCAACCATGTTCGCAGGCTTTAGTGATAGGGTAGGTGGATTGGAGACGGGGAAGGAAAAGGGGAGGGGAACAAAAACCAAAACTGCCTGGACAGGGCAGATGCCAAGAACACCTGGGGCATGGAATTAGGAAAGGGAGGTTTGTAGGTTTGTAGAGGAAACACTTCTGAAGGGCCACAAGATGTGTGACAATAAGAGGGGAAAAGAACAACACTTTTAAAGAAGTGCTATTGGGTGTGTTTATGTTCCTTGAGAGATTCAGGAAAAGACGAAAGTACTCTTTAATTATTTTGATTGCAGTAATGTGTATATATGACCATGATGCCCTATGTAAAAAGTAGCCTGGATTTCACAATCCAAGAGGTAGGCCTTGTTAGAACACCGTCCTCTGCTGAAATTCTGGTTTTGTGTATCAGTCTCCATAAAGGTAGTCCCTAGAATAATACAGAATTACTTTTGGGTCTCTATAACTAAGGATTCTGGAACAGCCCCTCACTCTGCTGCCAGTGGGGCTAGACAGTACTCAGCACATAATGAGAACTGAAGAAATGTTATCTCCTAGGGAGACTGCAGTGTTCATGAGCCAGGCAGAAGGAAGATGGTATAGATGGTGCTGGGGAGGCAAACTGAGGCTCTCCCCCAATCGTAGGTCAATGGGGGAAATACTGGGGGGGAAAGAGAGGGAGGGAGGGACAGGGAGAGGGGGAGAGAGAGAGAGAGAGGGAGAGAGAGAGAGAGAGAGAGAGAGAGAGAGAGAGAGAGGTGGCTCTTATTTGAATAAAGTATTATTATTGGACTTGATCTTTTGGGAGAATACAGTGAGAAGAGAACATTCTAGAAAATGGCTGCTTGTTGAAATAGGGGCAGAAAGACCTGGTACTACTCGTTCCCCAACCTTTTAACTTGTAAAGAGTCATGGGTTAATATGCTGCCCTAGGCATCGTAAGTGTACCCAGGGCATTTTGGTAGTTAAGTGTCAAGTAAACTGTCTGAAGGTCCGCAAATGGGATATTTAGAATGCCTGACTGAACAGATAGACCTCTGCCCAAGAGCCTGATGATGAGTAAGCAGCCACTTTGGCAGATGGCCAGGGCAAAGGGTTCCAAGTCTGAGTACCACTGATGAGAATGTCTCATCATTTGAGATTTGAGATTAAAACTCTAAAGACTCAAACTTCTTGGTGCACCTGTTTGCATCCCTGGTGGGGACAGGCCTGGAGGAGAGGGGGTCTGTCTAACACACTTAAGTCCCAGCCACCTTTCCAAGTGGTCTTGACCAAGGACAGCACACGCATTCTTGACATGTTCACTTGTGGACCACCTTGGTGTAAGGAAATCAGGACTGGGGGGACAAACTCGGATATAGCTTTCAAGATATGATCAGGCATGAAAATGAAAGTAACATGTTGAATAGGTGAAAGAAAATTTTATTTTAAATTCTTTTTGAATAATAGCACATTCTCAAGAAATCCCTAGAATTAAGTATTTTTGTCAATTATTTAGTAAGTGCCTAATTTGCTCTTGCTAGGGAAGAAAATTACATGGTTGTTCCTAAATTATTAAACAATATTTTCATGGCATTGACAGAGCAAGTAGCAAGGTATTGACCAGTCACCCTGCTATAGGAAAACTCTTGGGCAGCTCTGTTTTATCTTGCTAGGTGAAATTGAAGAGAAAAAGTAATTAACTCCCATGAGCTACATCTGCAAACTCTGATGGAAAGTCACACATAAAGTTCACTGTCTTTTATAAGACAAAGTAGAAAAGCTCACAAACTAATTCTTTTAAAAAATGCCTTAAATGAACTTCAAGGCTGAAATCTTATTATCATCCAAAGTTTCATTGGTCTGGCTTTGGAGAGGAAATGTAGTTTGGGGGTGAGATTTACTCAAGCTTTTCTTTATGGAATTTCATAATCCAGCCAATCTTCTTTTCTTGCTTTTGTAATTCATCTGTATATCCCTTTCAACACTTAGAACAGTGAATGAGTGAATGGACTTTTTCTTAAGGTTGACTTCTTGCTACATCCGTAAAGATGACTCTGGGGAGAAAAGAAAGGGAGAAATTGGAGTGAAAGATAAATACTAAAAATAGCTGTCTTTTGATTCAATGAATTGGGTTTAGACTGCTGTATGCTTCGTCCAGTTGCTCTTCTCTGGGCCAGGGACCTGCAATGATCGAGGAATGGGGAGATATCATATTTTGGGAGAACTTTTAATCACAAACTCAAAAGTGAATTTCATCCTTCTTGGTATTGAGGGGCTGCCAGAAATTAACTTTTTCTTTTCCTTCCTTCCTTCCTTCCTTCCTTCCTTCCTTCCTTCCTTTCTTTCTTTCTTTCTTTCTTTCTTTCTTTCTTTCTTTCTTTCTTTCTTTCTTTCTTTCTCTCTCCTTCCTTCCTTTCCTTCTTTCCTTCCTTCCTTTCTTTTCTCTTTTCTTTTCTTTTCTCTTCCTTTCTTTCTTTCCCTCTCTCTCTCTCTCTCTCTCTCTCTCTCTCTTTCATTTTTGAGACAGAGTCTCACTCTGTTGCCGAGGCTGGAATGCAGTGGCACAGTCTTGGCTCACTGCAACCTCCACCTCCCAGGTTCAAGCGATTCTCATGCCTCAGCCTCCTGAGTAGCTGAGACTACAGGCGCCCATGACCATGCCTGGCTAACTTTTGTATTTTTAGTGGATGGGGTTTTACCATGTTGATCAGGCTGGTCTTGAACTCCTGACCTCAAGTGATCCACTCACCTCAGACTCCAAAAGTGCTGAGATTACTGGTGTGAGCCACCACACCTGGCCCAGAAACATTATTTAGATACAGTTTATAAAATGAAAGAACATTTATTAGGAAAAAGATGATTCTTTTATGGGCCACCTACTCAGTGCCCTTAATGTGCTAGGTACTCATGTCATGGATTTTTCACATCAACCCTTTGAATGATGATTATTTCATCCCCAGTTGATAAGGAATTTGGTACTTCAAGAGGTCAAATAACTCGTTCCAACTTTCACAGGAAGGGCAGAGAATGGCAGCTGGGATCTGGACCCATTTATCTTTAACATCAAACCATGCCGTGCTCACTTAGAAGCGCCTGGTAACAGAAGTGGTCACTCCATTGGAGTTGCTCACACTATAGTTGGAAAGACAAGGAGTAGGCACATGGAGAAGGGTCCAGAGTGCAGGGGGAGGGTTAAGATGCATTGAGCACCTGTTATGAAGCAGTGCTAAAGACCATCTTTGGAAAAAGGCCTCTCTCTCAGATGGCTAATGGGCCAGTAAGTTAAGCTGAGCAAGTTTAAGTAATTTTTCCAAGGGTCTCCCAATCAGAGCTTGATTCAGGTTCAGTCTGATGTCAAATCTTATATCTCCTGAGATGCTTCATGCTTCAACTTACAGCAAAGACCTCCAAAAAATATTGTCAAGGAACAATGTTTGTCTGTGTGCCTGGTAAGTGCTGTTGAGGTGGAAAGAAGGGAAAGGACATTGAGTCAAGTTAATTAGGAAAAGTAGAACTGTGTGAGCCAAAGTGGAGGCGGGAGCGATATAGCCGGGGTTGAACTGAGCTCTGACGCCAACGGCATGGCTATCCTTTCCATAGCCGAGAAAGCATCTCAGAAGGAGAGAGAGAGAGAGAGAGAGAGAGAGAGAGCGTGTGTGTGTGTGTGTATATAGTGATTTGTGCACCTAGAGTGGACTCTGTGGCAGCTCCCCTCACAGCTCTCTAGTGGCCTCCATGACCCCCAGCCTTTTGAGTGTGACTGGGAAGCCAGAGGACAAAGAAAAGGTGGCAGGAGAGCAGGTTCTCCTCATGGAGCTCTGGGCTGTCTGCAATTCTGCCTGTGCTAACCCTCTAGGGGTTACATCTCTTTAACCCCTCACTAAACAATGCTAAGGACAAAACATTCCAGACCAGAAAATGGCCCACCTGGGGGATTATGGCTGCCTTACTAAGTTTTACTGCCTCCCTGTGGATTCTGTTATTTGGGCAGAAGTTGGTCATTCAAAAGATTGAATACAAGTGATTCAAATAAGTCAGTGATTTTTCAGAGGGTACATATGGATATTACTTAAGAGTGGGTAAGACCTTTCTCTAGAAACCATCTTTTCATCTTCCAGTCCTAAAACTTCCACATTTTCACTGTATAGTTTGGCGAGAAGAATAACCAAGAGCTCTATGCTTTCAGAATGTTTAAGGAGACTCTTTTTTTTTTTTTTTTTCTGAGACAGAGTTTTGCTCTGTCACCCAGGCTGGAGTGCAATGGCGCAATCTTGGCTCACTGCAACCTCTGCCTCCCAGGTTCAAGTGATTCTCCTGCCTCAGCCTCCCAAGTAGCTGGGATTACAGGTGTCTGCCATCATGCACAGCTAATTTTTGTATTTTAGTAGAGACAGGATTTCACCATGTTGGCCAGGCTGGTCTTGAACTCCTGACCTCAGGTGATCCACCCACCTCAGCCTCCAAAAGTGCGCTATAACAGGTGTGAGCCACTGAACCCAGCCTAAGGAGACTCTTTTGAATTAGTTGCAGCTGCATCTCGAATATCTTCTTTCCCTTTCAACAGAGTTTCAAGGCTGGTTTGGTTCAGGTTTATCTGAGTATAAACAAAGGATATGCACAGTCACTGTTATTTAAGCTCTGCCATGAAACATTATTCATCAGTCAAACATTGTGGCATCAAGTTGCCTTAGAGTTGAAAAGGTCAGAGGGGACCTAATCATCATTTTCAGTAATCATTTTACCATTCACACATTTGGAGATACCACAGCACTTACTTCAAATGCTTCTTCCTCAACGCATAAATTACCACATCCCCAACTTGTGTGTACACACACACACACACGTGTGTGTGTTCTTCAATGTGTGTGCAAAAGAGAATACGAGGAGTTCTGAGAACATGATCTGAAAATCTTTCCAATTGTCTATGATTTAGGAAAGTCTTGTACTTTGTAGAAGATCCTAAAATTCTGAGCTCATGGAAGACTTGGCCAAAGGAGCCAAGTTTCTGGATTTCTTATCTGGCATTCCAGTCCCTATGTTCTGCTGTGCAAAGGCTGGGTGTGTTTCTAGTCTATGAGATTGTGATGTTCAAAAATAGAAATAAGAGAGAGAGATTTTCAGCAACTGAGCATTAATATTTAAGATCCTTGTGGGAAAGGGGAAATGTTATGGTGTAGTCAATTATAACGCCAACTTCTTCAATCTCTATTTACTTGGGAAAGGTTTCAGAGATGTGGTCTTAATTCCAGTTGAAACTGATCTTTTCATGTTTAGAGGGGACTGGATATTGACAGTTTTCTTTCCATTTGTTCAGAAGTTTTATTTTTGGCTTATGATAATCCTAGCGTATCAGTAACCATGCAAAAGAATAAACATGATTATTATGTGTTACTAGAACATATTGGTGTTTAATGTGACTTCGATACTTTCTTCTTCCCATTTACAAGCAACTGTGAGAAAACCTTCTGATAGAACTGTTTAGTCATTTACTTTATTTATTTCATTTCACAATAATTCACACATTTTTAAAGAGCGAAGATTCATGCTACTGTAATTGCACCCTGGGGCCACTAATTCGGGTGCCTAAAGGCTCAGGCTGGTCTGGCAAATTGAAGTCTTGAAATTACATGCCTTATGTTGGCTGATATGCCATCTTTGGTTGTTGGCATCTGTTTTCTTCTGTAAGGTTCGTTTTCCCCCCTGAACATGGAATATTGTCAACACAGACTATAGTCCAGAGGGCCAACTGTTAAGCTGGGATAACAAGGAGTTCTCTGGAGTACCAGTGCCTCTGCAGTAATGCTGAAGCTTTTCTTTTTTAAATGCTGGTTTTGAGACAATCTCCTGCCATCTTCATTTACTCCGAGTGAAGGATTCTAATGAAGTCACCATGAGTAATGAGGCTCAGTCCCGTAAGTCCTCTCCTGAGGGGACTGTTTCTGCCACCTGGTTGTTAGCTGTGTGATTTCTGTCTTTGTCTTTGGTATTTGCAGGGAAAGGGCTCTGAGAAGGAGGTGAGCTTCACCTTGGCAAATTCTCTCCCAGCGAAATGAATACAAACAGCTGATGTCGTGACCCCCCTCTGGTTCCACACATTCAGCATGTTTGACACTGTTAGCAGCCATGGTGCAGGCCCAGAGGACATCAGCAAGTAGATTAAAATGCCCTTTTCTCCCAGGAGATGAGGCCTGTGTCTCAGTGGGCAGAGGCAGGGACAGCCTGGGAAGCTTTGATGGAGATGCTGCAGAACTCGCCTTTCAGGGTGTGTCTGTAGATATATGAATTATTAATATATTAAGTGGGTTTCGTCTTCCTTTAATTTCCCCCTCCCAAATTCCAAAAAGCAAACAAGGAATTTGTGCTCACTTGCAAAAAGGCCAGATAACTTGGTGTTGGAAAACAACTTCTTTTTCTTCTGTTAGTTTTTGCAATGATGAGCTTATTGAGGAGACTGGAGGAGGAGAAACAGGAGAGAGACATGTGTGTCTTTTAGAGCAGTTGGTGGGTGTGTGGAAGTGGAGAGGAGAGAGAAGTCTGAATCTAGGTGCCAGAACTCCAAGGTTGACAAGGTTTTCTGTGCCTGAGTAAAATAGTAGGACCACGTGCCTTCAAGAGACTGCAGGCTTGGACCACGAGACCATCAGTGGTGACTGGAATAGATAGAAGAAGAGAAGGTGTGTGGCCGGGTGCAGTGGCTCATGCCTGTAATCCCAGCACTTTGGGAGGCCGAGGCAGGTAGATTGCTTGAGGTCAGGAGTTCGAGACCAGCCTGGCCAACATGGTGAAACCCCATGTCTACTAAAAACACAAAAATTAGCCAGGAACGGTGGTGTGTGCCTTTGGTCCCAGCTACTCAGGAGACTGAGGTAGGAGAATCGCTTGAACCCGGGAGGTGGAGGTTGCAGTGAGCTGAGATTGTGCTACTGCCCTCCAGCCTGGGTGACAGAGGGAGACTCTGTCTCAAAAAATAAATAAATAAAATAAATAAATAAGTAAATAATGAGAAGGGTGAAGGGTGTCCCTGAACCATTTGTTCTGTCAAAGCTCCTGGGGCCTTTTCATCATTGTGGGGAGGAAGAAACACTCCTAATGATGACTGATAGCTTCAGAATCAGATTGAGTTTGATTTAAAGGAGATAAAGAGAGTGACTTTTACATGTGTTAAAGTCTGTGGAATCACATTCATCCCTGCTGCCCATCTCACTGCACAAGGAGAGGCCCTGAAGACCTGTGACATTAGCCCAACTGAAGAGCTGTAACTTGCTTCTTCCAAAAAGTTTTTAGTTGAAGAAGCCTAACAGACAAGGAGTGTGAGGAGTGTTACTTTATATATGACAAAGAAATTGCATTGTCATTAATATTGCAGGTCACTGCTTTGAGGGGGAAAATCCTTGTTTTATTTTCAGATTCTTAGCAGGGTTGATTCTGAGGCATAGAAAACTCAGGAGAGTTGGGCCTTCCAGACAAATGCATTTGCCTTGATGAAACACATTTGCAATAGCTCTCCAACAATGGCCTAGAGACTACTCACAATTCACATTGGACTTTAAAAAAATATATTTTTTATCCTGTTTTGAAAATGGACCAGGTTTGGGGCACTAATTCACACAGCTACCACACCCACTCTTTCTGCCCAGAGAGTGAAGAGAAAGAATGGGTCAATCAGCTGACATATTTCCATCCAATTTCAAGGATAGAATGTGTTCATTTTCTGACTAATGGCATGTCATTTTGCAGAAGCCTTTGGTCGCGAATTAATCCTGGAATCAAAACAGATTTTCCGGGGAGCAATCTTCCATCAAGTATTGATTTTTTTACACTCATGGAGTCTGTACTCCCTAATTTAACCTGACAATGATTCTGCACAATGGCCTGGGAGCACCTTGGCAGCTTGCTGAAGGAACTTTTACTGTCTTTTCTTTCCGCGAAGTAGAAGGGAAAAAAACAGCCTGGCTAGCTCAGTCAGTCACTGGGGGGCATTTATGACTTGATACTTTACTTTTGGTGATTTGGAATGGGCAGAAAGCTGCCTCCTAACTTTTAAAGCAGTGCTGGGAGGGAAAGCTTCGCTTTGCTGAGATTCTGTTCAAAGGAACATTTTTAAAGAACTGCCAATATTAAACAAATCTGTAATATATTGTTCAGTTATGGCCAATGTTTTCAAGTGATGCCGTCTTGTTCTACCCACCAAACATGAGAAAATGGGGAAGCGTTTTCTAAAGAGAGGCTTTTGCCTTTGAATTTCAATAAATGTTGTTCTTTTTCTTGTTTCTGTTTTCTCAGAGACACTTTTGGATCCATTCTGATTGTTGTGAACCCAATAAGCATTCTTAAGCTGTGCTGGATATGACAAAGCCCCTACTTCAAGGAACGTAGGGTTAGGAAAGTATGGATAAAACAAGCACATTCCATCTATGACAGAACATAGATAACGGAAAACATGGGCATGAGCCAGTGGGGTGGTGAGAACTGGGAGCATTTCCTAATTTCCCTTGCAAGCAGGTTGGGACCATGTGACCAGCTTTGGCCAATTGACGAACTATGAATGGAAGACATAGGAGTCATTTTTAGGTGGAAGCAGTTGTCCTTTCATCTGCTGTCTTCCCCTGCCACAGTGACTAGATGGAGGACAACCTTGTTCTCCGAAGTCCAAACTGGACTTTGCGTAAGCTAAACAAATTTTCATGCTACAAAACTCCTAAGAAGGCTGTGTGTGGTGGCTCATGTCTGTAATCCCAGCAGTTTGGGGGGCTGAGGTGGGTAGATCACCTGGGGTCAGGAGAAACCCTGTCTCTACTAAACCTGTCTCTACTAAAAATACAATAATTAGCTGGGCATCTGTAATCCCAGTTACTGAGGAGGCTGAGGCAGGAGAATCGCTTGAACCCGGGAAGCGGAGGTTGTAGTGAGCCGAAATCGTGCCATTGCACTCCAGCCTGGGTGACAAGAGCAAAACTCAGTCTCAAAACAAAAAACAAAAAGCAAAAAAGAACTCCTAAGAAATCTAGGCCTGCTTAATATCACAGCATTGGTTAGCCAAACTAATACAGATGGGTAGGATTACATAATGAGGAGTGACGCCAAAATCCAGAGAGACGTAATTAAGAAGGCTCATTCACAGACAAGAATTTTGATGAACCCAGGAGCACTGAGCTCATAAAAAGTAGTGCTTAAGCAGCTCATGAAACCAGTGGCGGGTTTTAACTGAAGTTGAATTATCTCATACTTACTGAGATATTGTTTGGAAACAGGGCATGTACATTTATTACTGATGGAAAACAGAATCAATACTCTGGCTGAATAATGCATTAAGCAGTCTGAGTGAGTCCCTGAGTCATGGGCACCCTAACAGATTAGCTTGGTTTAGAGATCGTATCCTCTGGGTTCTGAATCTTCAACCATTAGGTTGAAGAATAAAATTAATATTAATGCATTAATTTAGTAGGCACTTGGAGAGACAGGAGAAGTGGGAGTAGAATTTTGGCCCTTGAAGAACTTGTGGGCGGGGAAGGAAGATTGCAAGCACTGTACAGAGTGAGGAAAGAAGGCAACTGAGGAGTGATCAGTTTGGGCAGTGGCAGGTCAGAGGAGGCTTTCTGAGACCTGAGAGCTGGGTCCCAGAGGGAGCAAGAGACTGGTAAAGAGGAGGTAGACAGGTCATCCCACTGAAGTGAGCAAAGGGCTGAATGGTCTGAGTTGCTGATGAAGAAAACTCATGAAGAGTTTCTGTAAAAGCATTCCCAAATGTCCTCATCAAAGGGAAGGGAGTAGATCTAAGGGAGGGAAGAGTGGCAAACTCTCCCAACATTTTCCTTTATTAGTCGTTCCGTGTTGACCAAGGGCTCTTATGAAACATGACATGTGGTTGGCCATGGCTATGCTGCACTCTGAAGAGTGGCCATCCTGCCCTTTAGATTTGAGCCTTTTTTCTTTCTCTGCATTGGTCGTGCATCAGGTTGTTATTGTCGGGGACAATCACAAAATTACTCCATTAGGCCAACTACACATCTTAACCAAGCCAAAAAGATGGCCTTACAAACACACTGGGTTGCCGCCTGGTGCTGTGACCCCATGAGCATTAGTTTCTTCATATGTAAAGTGAGAATTAAATTAAATGAGATAATTTTTATAATACAATTAGTATGTAATTGGCCTTTGGTAGATTCTTAATCATCAGTAACATTATTATTACCAACCTATGGTTTTTATCACTAAATCAGAATGTATTTTTGATTATATAAAAAGCTCTTTTGGTGGATGCTAAAAAATGAAAACTGACTTTGTTTTAAGCTATTTCAGATCATGTTTATTTGCCCTGTTTGAAATCCAAAGCTCCAAATGGTTGAGGACAAACTCATCGCTAATATTGAGATTGTTTTTTAACAATTCACTTTCATTTTTTTCTTTGCTTTCTTCTATCATCAAAATAAAGAAGTTATCCACATTTTCCACAAATGAGCAATGAATATACAAGTTTATGTTTAATAATTTTTTGGAAATTACAGATTTTCAAAAATGGGCAAAACACATCAATTATTGTTTCGAAAATTCTTGGAAATCTTCATCTTCCTGTCTTAGTGCCTTCAGGGTGGGAGACTGTTTGGCTTTTTCACCTGTAGGGGAAAGCTGCAATTATTATGCCTGATTCTCATTCTCTTGTTTTCTAAAATTTCAGTTTAATAGCAAAATGTTTAATTAAAAACACAGATCAAATGTCATTTGAACAAGTGAACAGTATAGAATGGGTTTTGAGAAAGTTAAACTATAAGTTGTAACTAATGGCTATATAAAATCCCTTGTGTTTCAGGGAGGAAAACAGCACACACCAGGGCCTGTTGTGGCGGGCAAAGGGAGGAAGGGCATTAGGACAAATACCTAATGCATGTGGGGCTCAAAACCTAGATGATGGGTTGATAGGTGCAGCAAACCACCATGGCACATGTATAGCTATGTAACAAACCTGTACGCTCTGCACATGTATCCCAGAACTGAAAGTAAAATGAAAAAAAAAAAATATATTTTGTGTGTGTGTGTGTGTGTGTGTGTGTTTTTGAGATGGAGTCTTGCTCTGTCACCCAGGCTGGAGTTCAGTGGTGCAATCTCGGCTTACTGCAAGCTCCGCCACCCGGTTTCAAGCCATTCTCCTGCCTCAGCCTCCTGAGTAGCTGGGAGCCTGGCTAATTTTTTGTATTTTTAGTAGAGATGGGGTTTCACCATGTTAGCCAGGATGGTCTTGATCTCTTGACCTTGCGATCCACCCGCCTCGGCCTCCCAAAGTGCTGAGATTACAGGTGTGAGAATAATTTTTTTTTAAAAAGGAGGAACTGTTAGGAAAAGAAAATCCCTTGTGTTTGAAACAGTGATTGAAATAGCGTATTTCAACAGCTTTATGCAGGATATCATTCTAGAATGAACTCTTTTTTTCTTTACAAATTAAAGAAAACTTCTGTTCAGTTGAAAGAGTGCCACCTTTTTTCTTTTTTTCCATCAAAGTGCATCTGTACATTAGTGAAGTGCTTTAATGATCTTCACTGTGCACGATTACAAAGTGCTCTATTATATGCAAGTACCATGGAGGTAAATAGCAGGTTTCATGATTGTAAATTTCAAACTTTCTCCCTTTAAAAAACATATCAGTGATTCTACTGCACATCAAGATATTTAGATTTGAGTGAAACCACTTTCTGATTCTCAAAAGATAGTAACATTTTGTTATATTTGTGATTTGAGCTACTTTTGGAACCACTCTTCAAAACAGCTAGAGCAGCTAATTATTCCTCTGAGCCTACGGGGTGGGAGAAGTTTGCAGGGAGATAAACACAGGTTATTATTATTTTATTTCTTTTCCCCTGACTACCAGGTATGAGTGATTGCCAGAGAACACATATGATATGTCATCTTCATTGCCCATGCATATCTACATTTTTGGAAACGCTAGAAGTTTCTGAAAGCTCAAAATTTGGAGAAGTTTTGCTCTGGGTTTCAAGTGGATTAGAGACCTTACACCAGTGATTCTGGGATTAGAAGCCTATGTTCTTGGATGACAAGCATTTTAGGAATGAAGAATATACAATGAATACCATATGGCCTTTAGCAGAGAGATTCAGGTCATGAACTCTAATCAGACAGGCATGGCTTTAATTTCTACCTCTGATATTTTCTTGGGTAAGTTATTTAAGCTTTCTAAACTTTATTTTCCTCATCTTTATAATGGAGGTAATAAGATCTCCTTCATGGGGTTGTTGTGAAAATTAAATACATACAAATGCATGTGTATACATACACACATAATTTTTTTGGTGATATTAGTTCAGTTCCTGGCAGGAAGCTTAATAAGTGGCAGTTATTATTCTTATTAAAGCTAAATAGCTTTGCTCAAATGTCTATAGTGGCCCAGATAAAATAATGTTATACTCAAATAGAATATAAAAATCCAAACAAAAAAATATGATTGCCTAAGGTGTAATCCTCAGTTAAAGCGAAATGGAGGAAAAACAACACTTCAGATCCTCTTGGTCAGGTTCCTTCTGTAGGCCTAATAAAATGTGAGCTGATTTGTCTTTCCTATCTGGGCATTTAGGAAAAAGATCTGACTCTAGAAGAGTTTTCTTAATTTTTTTTTTCTTTCCAAACACCTGCATCAAATACTGCTCATTGGTCGTTGGTAGAATCTAATTGTATTTAGATTGCTGAATAAAAACCAGGTAGAAAAAAATGACATTCTGGATGAAAGCATAGGATCAATTGGATTGTTTCAATGAGTTTCATCTATTGTCAGAGGAATAAGTGAAGGGTTCTAGCTGCAGTTGTGAGACTGTAAAAACCATTTAAAGCACATCAACATGTTAGAATTGATTTGCATAGTTTAGAGAAGGGGAAAAAAGGAAGAATTAAAGCTTAGTATTGTACTGTGACTTGGCTATTTTTTTATGGTCTGAAAATAAGATGCAGAGTTTTTTTGTTTTTGAGGTCTATTTCTTTCACCTTTTTCTAAAAGACGCACCCATGCTCACTAAGTGGTAGGCAATGATCATTTGAGATGAGATTTAAATTCTCATGTAAAAAACTATGTAGCCCCACAATAGTAAATAACATTTAAGGAAATGTTGCAGATGTCTTTATTGAAACAAAGAGAGATGGGAATCCAGAAAATACACCTAAAGAAAACAAAACAGAAAATACAATATCAGCAGATCTGGTTTTCATTCTATCAATATGCAAAGACCTGTAGTAATTACACAGTAAAACATTTGCCATTGGCACGCCCCTAAGATGTTTGCATCTGAATTTGGGACTTTTGGATCCTGTCTTATCAAATAAAATTTCCTAACAAAATCTGGTTGACTTGAGCGAAACGTCTGCTGTACAATGGGAAAGCAAGAATCTCAAATGTTAGAAAGAAATCATCTTTGTGGATTTAATTGCCATTGACAGAAAAAGGCCATTGGGCTGGAAAGATAATCACCATTCAGTCAGAAAGCATTATGTAGTTTGAAATTAAGGAAAAAAATTCTATTACGTTAAAACAGCTGGAAAATGAAATCTAATAAAGAAAATATTTAATTTAAATGATTTACTTTGTTTCATTTTATCTTTTTGGTCAGTGAACTTTTTCACTGCAAATGTGACATGTATGACTAAATATCACATGTCTGGACCAGGTAGAAGCTGATATTTATTGATAAATGTCAATCTTGGGAGAAAAACATAACAGATACACTGCTTTTAAGTTTATTGCCTTTCCATACCAATCTAAGTTTTTTTTTTTGATGTGACATAAGAGGAACTCTAGTTCATCTTACCTATACGCCAGGGAAAGTTATTCTCTGGGAGGGCATTTTGATGCAACAGTCCACTGGCAAAGATATTCAGACGAGATTTCAATGGGTGGCACCACTTCTTCCTTCCTGAGTTAGACTTCAGCCTCCTCCCAAACTAAAGCTGCCATGGTGGCTTGGTTTTGTGTTTGTGAAGCCTGCTGTTTCTTCCATTTTCTTTGTTCCTTCTTCTTCCTTCACTAACTTTTCAAAGCCCAGCCCACTGCCCCCTGGCAGACCGTTCCCTCCCAACCCTCAACCCTTATGCCGGAGGACTGTGGCAAGTAAGATTTTTCCTGGTGGGTATATGATTTTAAAATATTGTGAAGTATTGATGTAGACATAGTCCAGATCTGAGTGAGCTTTTCTTCCTTCCCAAGAGTCTGGGGTTCTGCACTGAAGACCAGGCTGTATCTCTTGTATTCATATTCATAGAACTAAATGAAGTCCCTGGGTGAATATTATTTTAGCTATTGTCTTACTCTGTTTGTGCTGCTATAATCAAATACCAGAGACTAGGTCATTCATAAATAATAGAAATGTATTTCTCACAGTTCTAAAGACCGAGAAGTCCAAGATCAAGGCACCAGCAAATTTGGAGGCTGGTAAGGGGTGCTTTCTGCTTTCAAGACAGCGCCTTGGATGGTGAAGGGGCAAATGCTTCCTTGCACCTCTTTTATAAGGTCACTAGTCTCATTCAAAAGAACTCTGCCCTCATGATTTAATTATCTCCTAAAGGCTTTACCTCTTAATACTGTCACATTGGTAATAAAGTTTCAACACATGAATTTTGGGGGACATTCAGATTGTTGCAGCTATGAAAGCTATTATTCTTAAATTTCTTTTCTGTAGGAAACATCAAGTCATCCTAGTTAGGGGGTTCCTTAATTCCTCTACTTATTCATTCATTTATCCATCTTGCTTTTACTAGGTGCCAGAACTTGTATTTGTCACTGGCAATACAAAGATTACTAAGACATGTCTCCTCCTTTCAAGAAGGAACTATTCTTAACGGATTCAGTGGTGCTATAGAACGAAGTTTAGATTTTCTTTAGAATTTCCCTGAGACCATCTGCCCTAGCCTCAGACATGTTCACTACACTTTTCTTCTTCCCATCAGCATTGCCCCTCACTCCCCTGTGGGAGCTCCACTGTGCTCTTTCTCTCTCTCCTAATGGTCATCACTCCTGTCACAGTGATGCAGACAAGGATTTAGGCTTAGGTATTTGGAGAGGAGATAAGAAATTGTAGGCCCGTCACAGTGGCTCACCCCTGTAATCCCAGCACTTTGGGAGGCCAAGGCGGGTGGATCACCTGAGGTCAGGAGTTTGAGACCAGCCTGGGCAACATGGTGAAACCCCATCTCCACTAAAAATACAAAAATTAGCTGGGCATGGTGGTGGGTGCCTGTAATCCCACCTACTTGGGAGGCTGAGGCAGGAGAATTTCTTGAACCTGGGATATGGAGATTGCAGTGAGCTGAGATCACACCACTGCACTCCAACCTGGACAACAGAGTGAGACTCTGTCTCAAAAAAAAAAAAAAAAAAAAGAAAGAAAAGAAATCGTAGAAGCCTACATCTAATGGCCTTTATTTGCTCTGTGAAGTAGGAGGCAAATTCAGTGCAAAGATTAAGAAAAGTAGTAAACTGTAACCGAGGTCACTCTAGCTCAGTATCTCCTTTTTCACTAGGCTCATCAGCCCCTCAAAAAGCCCCACAGGTGTTTCAGGGGTTACTAGAATGTCTTTACATGCTTAGAGATACATGCATACCCCCTTCCGCCTCTGGTGTCAGGGCGTCCATGAGGCCCACTGGGCACCCACCATGGGTTTCTCCCAGTGGCCTGCATGGGTGGCTGCTGCATGACCAGGTACAGAGGTCACTCCTCTGATGCTATTCAGCTCCTCTGGGCCACAGTCCTTCCCACTGCTCCTTCTGGCCTGCAGCCACCTGGCCCCTCTGAGTTTCTGTGTTGGCATGGTCCAATGCTGTGTTACCCAGGCCTTGATGGGCTGCAATATGAAGAGAAACTGCTCCTTCAGTTTTTACTCATAGCATCTTTCTCTCTTATATACAGACAAGCACCCAGAGACTGGCTTAGGGATAATAGCCACCTGCTATTCTTGGAATCCCTGAGAATGCTCCAATGATTAAGCCTCTGTTATTAGCTCAACATCGCTGTGCCTTACAATAATTCTTCTTGAAGGGATCTGCAGATTCCCTCATTCCCCTCACTATGCAGTCTAAACCCCAGCTATGGACACAATTCAAGCCACCATATCAGCAGATTTCAGAGGACCCTTTCTTAATAGCTCTATCAACATTTCCAGACAGATGGGATCATGACAGCAGCAAACTAAGACTTAAGTTAAACTCTATGCTAGGAAAGTTTTAGAATAACTGCTTAGGGGATGGAAAATGTACCAGACTAGAGAAAGTTATAAAATTGCTAAACTCCACTCATTGCTCCTTAGAGACTGGAGCCCTTCGATTGGAATGGTACCGTCCAGCATCTGTGTGCAATTTGTCCAGCAGCGTTGGGCGGCCCAGGAAGAAAAGAGAGGTTTGAATTGAATCAGGGATGAGGATGAGCAGGGCTGGTAAGGCATAGTAATACAGAGTGTGAGGGGATTGAAAAAGTTTCTAACATTGTTGTTGGAATGATTGATTTTGAAGCTCAGCTGGTGGTGCAGAGAAGGAAGGGGAGGGTGGGGGAGTTGAGAGAGTCATTTGTTTAGCAAGTATTTATTGATCACTGACAATGTGCTGGGCAGGCACAGGCATAGGTTCTGGGAAAACTGTCTTTGAGACGTTTGCAGGCAGGTTGGAGAGGTAGGTAAATCATACTATAGAGTGCTAACTGCTGCAATAGTCTAGGGAGCTGTAGAAGTAGACAAGAGAAGCAGCTGACTTTTCCAAGACTGCTGAAGGAAATGCATCTTGGAAAAGCACCTGAGTTTTCCAAGACTTCTGGAAACAAGCATCTGACTTTTCCAAGACAGCACCTACATGGGGACCTGGGAGGCAAGAAGGAGTTAGCCAGGGGAAGGGGGAAGCAAGTGTGCTCCCAGGCAGAAGGACCAGCTTGGGTAAAGTCTTTGAGGTAAGAGAGAAAGAATGGCAAGGCCAGCTTAAGGTGACTGGAGTGTAG
This sequence comes from Homo sapiens, assembly GCF_000001405.40. Taxonomy (NCBI): domain Eukaryota; kingdom Metazoa; phylum Chordata; class Mammalia; order Primates; family Hominidae; genus Homo; species Homo sapiens. The sequence goes on along the minus strand of NC_000007.14, from coordinate 39,489,230 downwards.
TGGACTGCAGAGGAGCAGGGAAGGAGGGCTGGCCAGGTTGGCAAAGGCTATGTCAGGAAGGGCCATGGGGTATTATAGGATATGTTCACAGTTCTCTACCCAGCTCAGTCCCTGCTGGCCACCACGAAACTGCCTCACCATCAAGGGGAGAGCCCAGAGTCCAAGTTCGTGTCATGTTGACTGTGCTTTGCCAGTCACAGCTGATCAGACCTAAGGATCATGGTCCATAATATTCACATAAGGGCAAAGAAAGCTGTTGCATAGAGGCAGAACTGAATCAGCATGTGCAGAGAGAAGGGGAGGGAGAGATAGGGCCAGGGGAGAGGGAGTGAGAAATGTATGAAGATCCTAACTCCCTTTAGCTCTTGAGCTCTGGGGCATTCCCCTGTGTCCTTGTAATTAATTCTTCCTTTTTGCATCCAATCGAGCTCAAGTGGGTTCTGTTTCTTGCAACCAAAGGAGCTTTGATGAAGCTCACCAGGGAGAGAACACACAATGAGAGCAGAACTCTGTGGAGCAGCAGTGCAGGTAGAGTTGCTTTATGTCTCAAATTGTTAGTCACAGACGTTTCTAGTCTGGGCTGTGGTTTCCTTGGCTGTACCGGTGCCCTCAAAGCTTACTAGGCTTTTTAAAAATCTAGTTCAGGAGTCAGCAAACTACAGCGGGTGTGCCAAATCCAGGCCGACACTTATTTTTGTAAATAAAGTTTTTATTGCAACACAGAGATGTCCATTTCTCACATGTTGATTTATGTCAGTTCCATGTTGCCATACCCACGATTCCTTTCTAGACACATTTCTTAGATTTTCCATAATCCTTTGCATTATTGTGCCTATGCCAGCTCTTTCTTTCTTACTGCAGTTGTCCAGTATCTTGAGCGTGTCAGGTTTAGATGGAAGTGTCAGAATCTACCTCCCACCAAGACCTAAACAGTGAGGAGAAATTCCTCAAAGAGGAAAAATTTCTGAATTGGAGTGTCAAGAAATGACAAATATCCACTACTGAGGGCTGAGGTGGACTTTTCAGAGCCCTGGAGCTTTGGAAGAGGCAGCACGGAGTAGTGGGAGTTAGGAGGTCTGTCTCTTCATGCACACCGTCTTACTAACGGGCTGGGGACCTTCGTGGTCACTCAGCCTTCTGGAGCTTCAGTTTTCCTATCTACAAAATCTAGCGGTTTCTAGAGTTTGAATTTCATTGACCAATAACATTTCAAAGGGAATTTTGGGAATTAACATAGATATCTTGCCAATTTGTTGCTTTGTTAAGTAAAGATATTATTTAAAATAACTACCAACTACTATCACCATCATTTTATGCAATAAAATATATTTTAATACCAAAATTAGGAAGGATATTATCTCAGAATAATAATTAATTCCTTAAATTGAGTTAACTTTTAAGAAAACTTGCTATGTTGGCTTTTTTCTGTTTTCTAACTTCATGTGGACCAGTGAAAACCGTCACTACACCACGAGTGTAGTGGGAACTGTCAGTAATGGTTTTTAAGGTCTTTCCCAAGATCATGATTCTTTGATTTTCTGAAGGCTGGAGAGAGGGCTTTTTGTCTAAGCTTGTTATGACATCGGAAACTTTTTCCTTTTGATCCCTTAGCAAACCTTTTTTGGATGACCTTCGGTGCATGGCAGAAAGTCTACCTTTTAACGTGCATTTAAAAAACTCTTGAAGGGTAAGAGGAAGCCTTTGGGACAAGGAATGTCCACCTCTTTATGTTGCTTAATGTTACTGTCGTAGAGGTGCCCAGAGAACTTGGCAGTGAGTGCATTTCTATAAATCTTAAAAATCAATCAACTAATCAATGTGCAGGGAAGGCTGATAGATGTGCCCACTTAGGGGACTAAATGCCTGGTCCAGGTTGGCCTTTCTCATTATTGAGGAGACATTGATGGCTGGGGATATGCAAAGTTTCATAAAGATAACCTTTGTTTCTCTCTCCTTCCCACACTTTTCAAAATCATACATTTTGAAGGCAGCTGGGATCGAGGGAATTGAATATGCACATTTTGAAGGGAAGAAACCATTGATGCATCTATAAATACTGAGGAATAATAACGGAAGGGAAAGGGACACGTTATTGACTGTGGTTAAAAGTACAGCAAGGGATAATGAGCCTTGTCAGACCCAGGGAAACTTTTCAGCTCTAAGGATCCAATTCTAACACTGGGGAGTGTGGAGAGGTTTGTAGATAGAGGCCTTTTCTGGGTGTTCAGAGCCAAACAGATGAAAAATGGAAGGGTTTAGTGCAGTGAGCAGTACCGCCTTCACCAGGGGCTTTCTATGGCCCTAGGGGGTTGTGTTTTTTTCAGCCGTAAGATCTATAATTCTGCTTTTCTTTGTAGATTTTGTGTTGACTCATTTTGATTGCTCCATTTCTTTCCTCTCCTTGCCATCCTATGCCTATGGTTGTCTCTTCTTAAAATTTTGTCTTGCAAGTCCAGTTTGTCTTCCTCTTTGTGTAGATCCTTTTGGTTCATTGCATACATGCCCATGTTATTTATTCTGATGTTTTTCCTTGAAACTCTCTCTTGCTGGCTTGGACACTCAGCTATTTGAACACAATAACTACCCTGTGAAAGAGACCTTTCTTTTACTCACTTTCCTATCCCAAGTTACCTGTTGCTGTTCTTAGAAAAGTTCATGTCTAGGAGCAGTTATTTTGTCTTTGTACATGAAGGATGGTTTGTTGTATGTGGTACATTTTGGGACTGTGAGGTAAAAAGACTGATTCCTAAACGAATATGTCAGCATTTACAGACAACAACAACAAAAACCAAAACCAAGCTGTCCATCACCATAGCCTCTTTATTCCAATGCTACTGCCAACGGTAAAAAAAAAAAAAAAAAAAAAAAAAAAAAAAAAAAAAAAAAAAAATTCTGGGCCAGGTGCAGTGGCTCATGCCTGTAATCCCAGGACTTTGGGAGGGACAGGTGGGCAGATCACCTGAGGTCAGGACTTCGAGACCAGCCTGGCCAACATGGTGAAACCCCATCTCTACTAAAAATACAAACATTAGCTGGGCGTGATGTTGCACATCTGTAGTCCCAGCTACTTGGGAGGCTGAGGCAGAAGAATCACTTGAACCTGTGAGGCAGAGGTTGCAGTGAACCGAGATCGTGTCATTGAACTCCAGTCTTGGCAACTGAGCCAGACTCCATCTCAAAACAAACAAACAAACAACAACAACAAAATTCTGGACTCATCTGTTGAAATTACCCTTACAGCTTATTCATAAATCACACCAGAAAATTGGTCTCATTGCTTCATAATCCCACTTTTTTATTTGACACAAGATTATATTACCACTTTCATCCATATTATTTAATTAAATCTGCTTCTTATGCATTTAAATGCAGGTTGATAGTGAAAATATTTTATAACACAGGCCAGTCAAAACAGATGATAGTTATAACCAACAGATATACCTGTAGCAATATATAGCCTCCGAATATCAATTTTGCTTTATGCTATTCCAAAACATTTTGAAAAATAAAAATGCCCCCCCCTTATGGTGAACTATGATCTTTTTTGACTTTCCAGTGTTCAACTTTAGCTGCTCTTTTAGGAGACTTCCCCATCATGTGTGGTTTTCATGATATAGTGGGTAGCATCCAGCCTCTCACTACTCATGGTGAGAGGTTATCAGAAGAGTTTTTTCTTTCCCTACTTTCTGAGTTCCAAGAATGTGGCAGAGTCTTGGCCTATCAGATGCTCTCTTGAGCAAATCCAAACAAGGCAAAGAGATTTTAGTGTCGATTCAAGATGGAGGCAGTATCAATATCTTGGGGCAAGGGCAGTAGCATGGGATGATGGTGGTGAAAGTATCTTAAATTGACTATTTCTACTGAAAGATACTTGTGTTTCCTGTACTTCCCAATTCCCTCTCAATACATTTTCCCTTTTTACTCAAGAGAGTCAGAAATGATTTCTGTAACTTGTGCCTGAAGGCATCTACTTAGGATCTACAAAAAGTTGGTCTCTGGTTCAATGAGGGGCCATGTGATAAAAGCACCAATGACTGCCTTCTCTAGCCTTGAGCACAGCTTGACTTCCTCACCTTGGTCTCCTCTAGGGCTGGAAAGCAGACTATGAACTCACTCTGGTATTCCAGCCATCCCTTGGGGTCTTCCTACCCTACTCCTGAACAATTCTAACCTAGATTAAATTGTTTTTTCTGTTTTGAAAAAAAAAAAAAAAAAAAAAAAGTTGGCCTCAAACTTTAAGAGCAAGCAGGTGTTTTTGTTAATTGACAAAACCATTACTGAGAAATACCTTGGCAGGCTAGGATATGGACCGAAACCAACTAAAATCTGCATTTGGATTAAACACATACATCAATTTCATGAGGTAGTGAGCTGACTAGCAGCAGTTCATGTGACAGTGTTCTATGGTTTTATTTTGACCAAAGCTCATTGAGGGCATCCCTAGAGGTGACATGACTACTATCCTTGGGGAAAAGGTAGTCCCAGGAGTCTTTTATTTGGTTCTGCGTATTTTTTCCTTGCGGACCTAAATTAATTTTTAGAAAGTTCAACTATCTTCCCTTCTATTGTGGTTTTTCTAGCTCTAATATTCTGTGCAATTTTTTTTTTGAAAAAAGAATTGTGTTTCTTGGACACAGGGTGGGGAACATCACACACTGGGGCCTGTCATGGTGGTCTTGCGGGAGGGATAGCATGGGGGAAATATTTAATGTAAATGATCGGTTGATGGGTGCAGTGGGCCAGCATGGCACATGTATACCTATGTAATGAGCCTGCACGCTGTGCACATGTACCCTAGAACTTAAAGTATAATAGTAAAAAAAAAACAAAAGAAAAAAGAACCGTGTTTAAATCCCTTGACAGTATTTAATGCCGCTCCGTATATCTACCTTTGTGAGATTAAAGAGACATTACAAAGAGGATTACGAATAAGGAAGAAAACTCCTTATTTCTATTAATTAGATATTTATAGGAGAGTACTTCATTTTTATATATTGATTTTATGTGAATTTTATTATTTTATCATCTGTAAAGCTACTGTTTATTGGCTCTACTTAACAGATTGGGAAATAAACTCAGTGAGCTAGGATACTTGCCCAAGGTAACACAGCTCATATGTGACAAAGCCAGGATTTGAACTCAAGCCTTCTGACTTCAAACCTTATATTATCCCACAACATCATCCTTTGATTTGAAATTAAGGTATATGTATCAACCATACGGGATTTATTGAACTCAGGAATTGATGTTTGAATGCTGGATCTTGTCAATGACATTAATATATTTGAATGAGTATAAATTGATGTCAAAATACTGTCCTGGGTTTATCTGAAACTTCTACTGATTTTTAGTAAGAAGTGTGCTGATTTCTAGTTTCCAGTTCTACATGTAAAGAGCTTGGAACTTGTTACTCTCATTTTTATAAGAAAAATGCTGAAGAAACTGAAAATTAGCAACTCTCCCAAGAACCATCAGAGAGTTGAGGTCACAGGGAAAATTGTTGCCCTGAGAACTGGAGAGACAGGTGGATACAGAGAATTACCAGAGCAGAGCCTGCAGTGGAACCAGTATCAGTGAGAACACTTTAAACTGTAATAGATAAATTGCTGGAGGCTCAGTATGGAGGAGCTTGAGAGTTAAAAAATTCCCAATCTTGTGGGGACATACTATCTTGAGTTTTACCTCCAGGATCCCCAGTAGACTCCTACTGTGAAGATTGGAGAAAAATCCCTTATGCTTCTTGCTGGGAGAGGGGGAGAGCAATCATTTGGAAATAGCTCAGACATCTTTGTTCTCCTTAACAATGCGTACCCTCAAGGGAAACTGTTTTACCAGACCCTAACCAACTAGGGGAAAAGGAAGGCAAATACCCAATTCCAGCCTCCTCTAGCCTTTAATGTGGGACAAGGGATAAACTCAACTTTGGCTCACTAAAAGCCTGAGATCTAATCGTAGGATTAAAGAACACTTTTCCAACAGGCCCCTGTATAATAACAAGCGATCATAATGGAAAGAACTACAAATCTCAGACTTTATTTAAGAGACAGTCTCCAGGAAAACATAAAGACAACAGGAGAGACAAAAACGGGGACATCAGGGGAAATTTTGGCCTCTGACACCACAGCTATGGCAAACAGTCAATACTGCCTATACTCTAGCCAGAAAAACACAAAACCTCACACTAAAGGCCCATTTACCTCAGTTCTTTTTATGTGATACATCATGTCTGGCTTTCAACAAAAGATTACAAGCCATGGTGAAAGGCAACAAAACAAAACAAAGAAGACACACAGTAAGTATGAGAACGAAATTTACTTATGGCAGATATTTTAGAATTATCAGATCTGGAATTTAAAATAATCATAATGAATATGCTAAGGGCGCTAATAAAAATTGTGGATAACTTGCAAGAAGAGATGGGTTATGTAAGCAAAAATGGAAACACAAAGAAAGAATCAATAGAAAATGATAGAAATAAAACATATTGTAACAGAAATGAAGAATGCCTTTGATGGGCTAGTCAGTAGACTGGACATGGCTGAGGAAAGAATTAGTGAGTTTGAAGATGTGTCAACAGACACTTTTCAAACTGAAAGGTAAAGAGAAAAAGGAACAAAAAAAAATGGAACAGAGGATCCAAGAACTGTAGGACAATGACAAAAGGTGCAACCCATGTGTAATGGGAATATCAGAAGGAAAGAAAGAAAGGAACAAAAAAAATCTGAAGTAAGAATAGCTGAAAAATTTCCAAAATTAATGACAAACAGAACACCACAGATCCATGAAACTACAAACATAAGGAGGATAAATACTAAAAATCTGTAGGCATAATCAATTGCCCTTGACATTGTGGCCATAATCATATTCAAACTTCAGAAAATCAGTGAGAGAAAATCTTGAAAGCAACCAGAGGAAAAAACACCTTACTTAGAGAGGAGCAAACATAAGGATTATATCAAACGTCTCATCAGAATTGAAGCAAGTGAAAAGAGAGTGAAATGAATATTTTAAGAGTCAAAAGAGAAAACCACCAACATGGAATTCTTGATGCAGTGAAATTATCCTTTGAGAGTGAAGAAGAAATAAACTTTCTCAGACAAACAAAAATTTAAGGAATTTGTCACCAGCAGACCTGCCTTGCAAGAAATGTTGAAATAATTCTTCAGAGACAAGAAAAATAACATAGGTCAGAAACTCCACTCTATGTAACAAAAGAGCATTAGAAAATGAAAAAAATGAAGGAAAAATAAAATATTTTTCTTATTCTTAATTGATCTAACAATAATTTCCTCAAAATAATAATAACAATGTAGCCAGTTATTATATTATGTTGGTGCACAAGTGATTGCTTTTAGTTAATTACTTTTATAATTAAAAGTAATGGCAAAAACAACAATCACTTTTGCAGCAAACTATAGCTTATGAATAAGTGAAATGACTGATAGCAATGTTATAAGGGAGGGAAGGGAAGAGTTGGGAATACCCAGTTATAAGGCGCTTGGACTATTTGTAAAGCAGTATTATTTGAAAGTAGACTTGCATTAATTGTAAATATATATTATAAACTCTAGGGAAAACACTAAATAAATTACAAAGAAGTATAATTCGTATGCTAAGACAGGAGAGAAAATGGAATTGTATAAAATGGTCACTTAAAACTAGAGGAGGCAGAAAAAGAGGGGAAGACAAAAAAAAAAAAAGAAAAGAAACAAAGAACAAGAGTAATATAGAAAACAGTTACCAAAAACAGTTAGAAATGTGGTCAATACTAATCCACCTGTCAATAATAACTTTAAATGTGAATGGCCTAAATATACCAAAAAGTGTATCAATGTGTATTAGTAAATGTTTCTAATCTGTCAATAATAAGATATCCAGGTCTTCCCTTTTCCTCTTCTTGATAAAGGCTCTGATAATTATGCAAGACTGATGTCACTGATATTAGAAGTTGTGGGTAAGGGGGTTAAATTGGAAAGAGTTAGAGAAGATCCTGAGCTGGAATTGAGATGCCACTTAAGCTCCCCTGGGGTGGTGGTGTGCATCATGAGGTCAGCAGATTTTCCCACATATCTGGAGTCCATGCCCATGGGTTTTTTCCTAGTAGTCCCCAAGAACCACAGGCACTAAAGGACCAACCCTGATGATTGTATTGTACTTCAACTCAGTTAGCATTTGTTAATCATTAGCATATACCCAGTGTAGGTGCTGGACAGTAAAAAATGAATAAGACATGGTCTCTGCCACCACAGAGTTGAGCCCATGGACATATAAACAAATTACTTAAAGGATGCTGGATGTCATGATTTATGAATTGTCTAGTTTTTATATTCAGAGGTTACAAACCAGTAGTGTTTAGATAGATTTTCTTCTGTTTATTTAAATTTAAAAAACTGTTGCCAATATTTATAAATTAGGAGAATTCACACAAAAATAAAGATTTTCAGCCTCTCTGGGAAAACTAAAAGGTCTGACAGCACTGGCTCTACCTTCCCACACAGCAACAATAGGTCAGAGCTGAGCCACGGCTATGTCCTTTCGATAAGGCATGCATTCTCCTGTTCACTACATTCTCCACCACTCCCTATTGTCTCTGACATTGAGGCCAAGTGTCAGGTACTTTTTATCCTTGTGTTTATAGTGTTCTCCTGGGTCCATTTTTCTCATATACATTACTTTCCAGCCTTGTGAGCGTTTGAGTTTATAATCACTATTAAACTTTACTTTTCACAAAAAGCAATATATAAATAAGAGTCAAATGAGTAACATGTTACTCGAGTAACATAAAATACTCATAAATAATTATAAATACTGATAAATCATAAATTTATTTTTATTAATTAAACAATCAATTAATACATATTTACTTAAATAATTAATGAATAATTAAATTTTATTTATCTATTGATTTTTTTAAAACTTATACTTTAGGTTCTGGGGTACATGTGCAGAACATGCACATTTGTTACATAGGTATATACGTGCCATGATGATTTGTTGCACTCATCAACCTGTCATCTACATTAGGTATTTCTCCTAATGCTATGCCTCCCCCAGCCCCCACACCCCGACAGGCCCCAGTGTGTGATATCCCCCGCCCCGTATCCATGTGTTCTAGTTGTTCAACTCCCACTTATGAGTGAGAGCATGCAGTGTTTGGTTTTCTGTTCTTGTGTTAGTCTGCTGAGAATGATGGTTTCCAGCTTCATCTATGTCCCTGCAAAGGACATGAACTCATCCCTATTTATGGCTATATAGTATTCTATGGTGAGTATGTGCCACATTTTCTTTATCTAGTCTATCATTGATGGGCATTTGGGTTGGTTCCAAGTCTTTGCTATTGTGAACAGTGCTGCAATAAACACATACGTGCATGTGTCTTTATAGTAGAATTATTTATAATCCTTTGGGTATATACCCAGTAATGGGATTGCTGGGTCAAATGGTATTTCTAGTTCTAGATACTTGAGGAATCGCCATACTGTCCTCCACAATGGTGAGCTAATTTACACTCACACCAACAGTATAAAAGTGTTCCTATTTCTCCACATCCTCTCCAGCATCTGTTGTTTCCTGACTTTTTAATGATTGCCATTCTAACTGGCGTGAGATGGTATCTCATTGTGGTTTTGATTTGCATTTCTCTAATGGCCAGTGATGATGAGCTATTTTTTCACGTTTGTTGGCTGCATAAATGTCTTCTTTTGAGAAATGTCTGTTCATAGCCTTCACCCACATTTTGATGGGTTTTTTTTTCTTGTACATTTGTTTAAGTTCTTTGTAGATTCTGGATATTAGCCCTTTGTCAGATGGATAGATTGCAAAAATTATCTCCCATTCTGTAGGTTGCCTGTTCACTTTGATGGTAGTTTCTTTTGCTGTGCAGAAGCTCTTTAGTTTAATTAGATCCCATTTATCAATTTTGGCATTTCTTGCCATTGCTTTTGGTGTTTTAATCATGAAGTCCTTGCCCATGCCTATGTCCTGAATGGTATTGCCTAGGTTTTCTTCTAGGGTTTTTATGGTTTTAGGTCTTATGTTGAAGTCTTTAATCCATCTTGAGTTAATTTTTGTATAAGGTGTAAGGAAGGGATCCAGTTTCAGCTTTCTGCATATGGCTAGCCAGTTTTCCCAACACCATTTATTAAATAGGGAATCCTTTCCCCATTGTTTTTGTCAGATTTGTCAAAGATCAGATGGTTGTAGATGTGTGGTGTTATTTCTGAGGCCTCTGTTCTGTTCCATTGGTCTATATATCTGTTTTGGTACCAGTACCATGCTGTTTTAGTTACTGTAGCCTTGTAGTATAGTTTGAAGTCAGGTGGCGTGATGCCTCCAGCTTTGTTCTTTTTGCTTAGGATTGTCTTGGCTATGTGGGTTCTTTTTTGGTTCCATATGAAATTTAAAGGAGTATTTTTCCAATTCTGTGAAGAAAGTCAATGGTAGCTTGATGGGGATAACATTGAATCTATAAATTACTTTGGGCAGTATGGCCATTTTCACGATATTGATTCTTTCTATCCATGAGCATGGAATGTTTTTCCATTTGTTTGTGTCCTCTCTTATTTCCTTGAGCAAAGGTTTGTAGTTCTCCTTGAAGAGGTCCTTCACATCTCTTGTAAGTTGTATTCCTAGGTATTTTATTTTCTTTGTAGCAATTGTGAATGGGAGTTCACTCATGATTTGGCTGTTTGTCTGTTATTGGTGTATAGGAATGCTTGTGATTTTTGCACATTGATTTTGTAACCTGAGACTTTGCTGAAGTTGCTTATCAGCTTAAGGAGATTTTGGGCTGAAACGATGGGGTTTTCTAAATATACAATCATGTCATCTGCAAACAGAGACAATTTGACTTCCTTTTTTCCTAATTTAATACCCTTTATTTCTTTTTTTAAATTTTTTTTCTTTTTTGAGATGGAGTTTCGTTCTTGTTACCCAGGCTGGAGTGCAATGGTGCGATCTTGGCTCACTGCAACTTCTGCCTCCTGGGTTCAAGCAATTCTCCCACCTCAGCCTCCTGAGTAGCTGGGATTACAGGCATGCGCCACCATTCCTGGCTAATTTTGTATTTTTAGTAGAGATGGGGTTTCTCCATGTCGGTCAGGCTGGTCTCGAACTCCCGACCTCAGGTAATCTGCCTGCCTCAGTCTCCCAAAGTGCTGGGATTACAGGCGTGAGCTACCACACCCAGCCTCCTTTATTTCTTTCTCTTGCCTGATTGCCCTGGCCAGAACTTCCAATACTATGTTGAATAGGAGTGGTGAGAGAGGGCATCCTTGTCTTGTGCTGGTTTTTAAAGGGAATGCTTTCAGTTTTTGCCCATTCAGTATGATATTGGCTGTGGGTTTGTTATAAATAGCTCTTATTATTTTGAGATATGTCCCATCAATACTTAGTTTATTGAGAGTTTTTAGCATGAAGAGCTGTTGAATTTTGTCAAAGGCCTTTTCTGCATCTATTGAGATAATCATATGGTTTTTGTCATTGGTTCTGTTTACGTGATGGATTACATTTATTGATTTGCGTATGTTGAACCAGCCTTGCATCCCAGGGATGAAGCCGACTTCATGGTGGATAAGCTTTTTGATGTGCTGCTGGATTCGGTTTGCCAATATTTTATTGAGGATTTTTGCATCAATGAATAATTAAATTTTAATTTTTTATTTATTGATATTTAATGGAAGTCAAGTCTGTTCCTATTGTCCTTAACAACACCTCATCCAAAGTGTACCAAAATAGACATTTCATCTCACATTGAGACAGCCAGGTGGAAAGGGCTCCCTGGCAGAGCCTCTGACCAACCTGCGCACTGGGAGGAATGCACACTGGCATAGAGCCACAGAAGTTCATGCCATTTGCAGCGGGGAGGAGCTGGGCCCCTCCTCTTCCTGGGTGGTACCTGGAATTCAATCTGTGAGGCAGGAAGCCTACACTAGCAGGAACTCTGGCCTTGCAGAGAGTCCCTGTTCCCCCTTTTTTCCTTTTTGCCTAATAAATCCCATTATTCTCACCCTTCAAATCATCTGTGAGCCTAAATTTTCATGGCCATGGGACAAGGACCCAGTCTTCAGCTGAAGTAAAGTCTTGCAACAACATGGAGAGCCTCCAAATCACAGACAAGGGATCAAAATTTCCTTCTCACTCTCTTTGGTTTAGAGAGAAAGGCTGAACCATTTTGGTATCATTTATGATAGTTTTTCTGAGAAAAATTGTCATCATTTGGATTCTGGACATTCATCATCTCTCAAGCTGGCCAGGTGCCTCCTTTCTCTTAGAGGTCTGGGCAAGGAGGGACTGGCCATGAGCATCTGCAGCTGAAGGAAGCACGGTGGCAGCTCCAGGGTTTCCACTTATAATTTGGGTTCTCATGCTTTGTTCCACTGGGATTAGACTAGAAGGGTAAAAAGCCACTGTGGCAGGTGCTGGGAGAAACACAGTGATGCTGGGAAGAAAGAGGGAGAAGTGTCACAAGAGGAGTGCCTGGGCAATGCCACGGGCACTTAGATCCAGGAGAAACTGCTCTTAGGCCTTGCAGCCCAGACAGACCTGGTCTTGTATCTTCATTCACCCTCTTGCTAGCTGTGAGACTTTGGGCTAGGAACTTACACTCACTCTGCTTCAGTTGCCTTTTCTGCAAAAGAAAGAAGCTAGTATCTTCTGGAGTTGTTTTATAGATTAAATGTGGGCAATACCCTTTACACAGTGCCTGGCCTGTTGCAATTGTGCAGTCAACAAATGGTAACTATTATTGTTGTAGTTGCAACCAGCATAGGGTTGCCAGGTAAAAAACAAGATTCCCAATTATATTTGAATTTCAGATGAACAATGAAACATTTTTATTATAAATATGCCTGAAATATTGCATGAAATATTCATCTGAAATTCAAATTCAGCTGGGTGTCCAGTGTTTTTATTTGCTAAATCTGGCAACCCTACACCAGTATGTTCCAAAACTGCATTCATTCATTCATTCATTCATTCAGGCAACAAATGTTTATTGGGCCAGGCACTGTTTTGGGGCTTATGAAAAATAAATCAAACAAGGATTGCTGACTTTGAGGGGGTTATATTCTAATTAGGAAGAGGCAGATAATAAACAACAAATATATTAAATAGTTAAACTACGTAGCGTATAAGATGATTACAAGTGCTATAAAAATGTTGAGTAGGTTATAGGTTTAGGAAGTGCTAGGAGGTGGTGGTGCAGATAGCAATATTAATTAAGGTGGCCCTCGTAAGCCACTTAAAAGATGAGGTTTGAGCAAAAACTTCAAGAAGGCCAGGGAGTAGGAACTTTCTGGGCAAAGGATACAGTTCAAGAAAAGCTGATGACCCAGGAAGGGCACCAGGAAAAGCCAGGAGGTGAATCCACTAGCATCCCATGAGGGGCACAACCAGATGAGCAGCCTTTTCCCAAGAGCCACTGCCCTTGCTGTTACTTTCAAGCTGCCAACTTCTGCCAGGCAGCTGACTTTCTGGAGCTCTTCTCTGGCCAGGAGGAAGTCTCCTTCCCCATTTTGGAACCAGCCCCTGGAGAAGGGCCGTGACAAGGGAGAGGTGCTAGGATGTCATATTTAAATTTTATGCATATCTGAGTGACTCCTTAAAAAATTTTGTCCCTTGTGGGCCTTGCTTGCATCACCCAGGCCTGGCTCTGCTTCTAAGGGTGCTGAACTATTTAATCTGGAATGCCCCAGCTCTCTCCTTCCTCTTCCCTTCTCAGCACTCACAGGATCTCCCAGTCATGGCTGCCCAGGGCTCTCTCTGCTGATCCCCCGACTCAGAGCCATCTTCCCTCAAAAGCCCCTCTCCCTCTAATCTGTGTCCCTGAGGGGAACTCTAATCTCAACCTTCTGCAAGTGTTTGAACCTCAATTGAGGGCCGGGTTTGAGGTCTTTCCCACAGGGTTCCTGGGCCCCGGATAAATCTAGGGATGTGTTTGAGCATCTGTTCCAGGATCTTCAAACACTTCAGGGAGGCAAGAAAGAGGTTTTTAGAACATTTTGAGACGGTGCCGGAGGTCAGCTTCCCCACAGATGAGGATTTGGGTGTAAGCGATTTATTAAGGAAGGACTTTGGGAAAACCTGGGAAGGGAGTGGAGATGCAAGGTAAGTGAGGGAGCAATTCCAGGTCATTTTCCAGGGTGGGCGGCTGCAGCCTGGTCCCTCCATCTGGAATATGCATGAGCCTTGGAAGTAAGTACCCAGGCCAGGAGCTGTGGGGGCCGGGGAAGTCATCCTCCCAGCTCTGGGGGGTAGGGATTTGGGGACATAAACTTCCAGGCACCTGGGGCTCTGTGCTCTTGCAGACCAAAGTGACTTGGTAGCTGGAGGAAGTCCTCCAGAAGGTGCAAAATGTGTGGGGGCCAAACCTTTTTGAAGCAGGTGGCAGGGTACACAGAAGTGGGGTGAAAGAATCCTAGGGGTTCTGGGTGGAGCCCAGACAGCATCACTATGGACGGCTAGGAGGTGGGCCCATGCCCAGAGTCCATGGAAGACTTATGGGGACTGTGTGGCCCCAAACCAGCTTAGCCCAATAGAGCAGGGGTCTATAAACTATAGTCTCTGGGCCAAATTCAGCCAACTGTCAGTTTTTGTTATTAAAGTTTTATTGGAACACAGCTACTACCATTTTTTACACGCTGCCTATGGCTGTTTTTGTGCTACAACAGCAGAGTATGGTCCTCAAAGTCTGAAATACTTACTATTTGCCAGTCCCTGTGATAGATCTTCATCCTGACCTCAACTCTAAACAGTGTTTCACTGTTATGCTTTCAGGTCTTAGGCCTTTCATCTGGATCTTGGAGGCTGATCAGAGTTTGGAGGTCAGGAAAAGGAGGAGCAACAGGCCAAGAGAACACAAAATGTAAGTAGAGTTTCCTGGCTGAGGAAGTTGAGGGGGTGCACCCACAAAATATTGAATGGTCTTGTCTGGCTAACTTGACGATGCTTCTCACCCTTCCAGTTTTGAGGAAAATAAGGGCAAAGTAAGTTTAAAGGAGAGAATCAGAAAATAAAGGACTTGGAGGAGGAGAATAAGGGATGGGGCCGTTGCTTTGCCAAGGGACGGGCAGGTGGCACTGATGTGTCCCCAAGTATTTTGCTCTCTTCAGGAAGTTTAAATGGACCCCTTCAGAGTTGAATGCTTCCTCTGAAGAGAAAAAATGGAGAAACAGGCTCTTATACTCTTGGGAGACTGCAGATATATTAATTTTTCTGATTTTTGTTCCTCCTGGGGAGTCTGATGGTTCTAGAAGCAGAAATAAAGAATACACATGCAAGTGCTTGAGCACACATTATGTTTTTCAAGGACTGGTTGCATTGTGACCTCCCAGGAACAGAACCAAGAGCCTGTGTGGACTCTTCCCCTCTATTCAAAGCGGCAAAAAACCCAAAAGTAAGTATTTGAACACTCAGGACACAGTAGGAGTGTGTTAAAAAGTAAGAGTGAAGCTTGTGCTGTTGGAAAGAAGCAATACAAATGTTCAATGTGTGTGTATGTCAGGGTGTGTTTTATCAAATTGGATGGCAGAGAATGATTTTGATGGGTTTAAGTCATTTCCCCAAGCCTTTGTATCACAGACTGGCTCCCCAAAAGGACATGTGTACAATGCTCACTGTGTGCATGGTATTGGCTATTGAAGGCCTTGATACGGTTTGGACTTATATGAAGATAAAACCATTCTTTGAATGTAAAGTGGAGAGGCTTACTTTAAGTAAGAGATCATCATGCCAGCCAGTATGAGCCTGCCAGTACCTAGGGGTGCATGTTTCCATGACTGAAATCCACTTTTCTTCACTCATACCTCTTGATTGGTTAGCAAAGCCTGTGTGGAAATGATCTCGGGCCTTGTGTCTCCCCCACAGACAACCAGGGGCTATTGTGTTTTCTTCCAGGATTAGCTGCATGGTGGGTCAAGTTAAGATTCTGGGTAAATAATGACTGAGTTTTGGCAACCCAAACAGCTGTGGCATTTCACAGAAATGGGATTTCAAGATATGTGAGTTCTATTTTTGGTTTTCTAATTTACCCTCTGTCTCTGAAGTTCAAGACAAACAATTAAAGCAGCCCATGAATGTTAAAAGAGCAATATAAAGAAAAACAGCTGAATTATAATAATTTATAATGAAAATATCTTGTTTCTTTGTATATTCTGATTTTTCTATAATAAAAATAGATTACTTATACAATAAAAGATTTCAACAATAACAAAAACTGGAAGGTAAAAGAAGCAAAACTGTTTCCCAAATGATCTCTTTTCCTTCATCTGTAGTCACAGATGTGGCCCAAGTGGTGACCAGATCCATGGATCAAAAATCCATTGTCTGAGGTCCAGTGATCCACTTCAATGATGCATTAGTTCAGGAGTTTAGTCAGTCTAAATGTAGGTAAGTCTTAGTGAATCTTCCTTTATGAGAACATTTATTAGTAGCATAAGTATATCTAAGCAGGCCTCAAATCTCAGAAAATAGTGCAGGATTTGAAAATGAGGACAGTAATACCTACATATGGTAGGTATCCAGGAAATGCCAGCCTCTTTTCTGCTTCTTTTATCTAGCATATTAATAAGAGCATCTGCAAAGGAGTTCAATATTATAGTTCACCATGAGTGTTATTATTGCATATGAGTTTCTTGCTCTTTGACTGAAGTTCGTTGTTTGGAACTACTTCAGTTCTGGATCTTTTTTGTTATATTGGCTCTCCTACCATTGCATATGTGCAAATAGTCAAACACCCTGGAAACGTCCCCTCTTTTAGAGGTGATGCCCCAGTGACCTCAGTAACAAAGCCCATTAACCCATACAGATCCTTTTACACAGATCCCAGACTTCAGTGATATAGAAAAGGCAATGGGAAGAGTGTGATTTCTTCCCGAATGACCATCTCAGGTCTGGCAAATGGTCAGGAGCACAACTAAACCTCTTTTTTTTTTTTTTTTTTTTTGAGACAGAGTCTTGCTCTGTCGCCCAGGCTGGAGTTCAGTGGCGCGATCTTGGCTCACTGCAACCTCTACCTCCTGGGGTTCAAGCGATTCCCCTGCCTCAGCCTCCCAAGTAGCTGGGATTACGGGAGCCTGCCACCACACCTGGCTAATTTTTGTATTTTTAGTAGAGACGGGGTTTCACTGTTTTGGCCAGGCTGGTCTCGAACTCCTGACCTCAGGTGATCCACCTGCCTTGGCCTCCCAAAGTGCTGAGATTACAGGCATGAGCTACCATTCCCAGCCAACTAAAACTCTTAAAAGTGACGTAAGAGTATCAAAGAAAGTTCTGGAATGGACCTTCCAGCCCAGGTCCCAGGCCAGCTTCCTATTTCCACATGCATCGCATGGTCTTTACTTGCTAGTGGGATTAGTGACTAGGGCCCACTGATTTTCTCTTTCACTTTCAACTGGTTTTAACTCATTTACCTTTGGAATCATTGGAATTGTTTTCTTATGTGGAGACCCTAAATCTCAGTGATAATAAAAGAATACAATGTATATAGACATTTCTAATTTCCCTTTATGTGTCCTTTACTATTTCTGCCAAGCAGTAAGCATTCAGACTAAGTTCACCCAAATCACAGTGGACTTGCTAATTAGATAACTGGTAATTATCCACAGCAGTAAGCCTTTCCTGAACTGCTACCATATATCAGATACTGTAGTTTTCACTGACACTTCAAAGACATGGCTGTATCAGAGTTTACTGTGTTTCAATGTATCCTCACCTTGGTGAATATTCTAGTTCCTAGTGTATTGAAGAACCAGCTCTATCTATGAACTCTGGGATCTTGGTGAAGACTATTAACTTTTATGATTCTTAGTTCTCATGTATAAAACAGGAATCACCACACTTCTTTGGGTTTATGTTAGGAGCGAATAAAATAATGTATACGAGAGAGCTTTGAAAAGGATACAAATATGACTGTTACTCTTATTAGACAAGGAAGATCTGTCACATGCAAATGACAACTAGTTAAAAGAACTTATTGCCAACTACACTTACCCGTAAGCCAAGTCCACAGGCCACTCAGAGATCAATGGCAGTCATTTTTTAATATTTCAGAGGTGGCTAATAAACATGCAAACTTGATAAATGTTCTGATGAAGGAAGCACAATGCCCGGCACATAACTATTTGTGGAATTGAACATAATTGAGGCTTAAAGAATGAATAGAAATTAGATAGGTCAACAATACTGTGGATGGACATTCCAAGCAGAGGGTATTGCATCAAAAGTACTTTGGGCATTGGAGAAATTTTAGGAAGTTTGGTGTGGCAAGGACATAACTCTATGAACTGGGAATTGATGAGAGATCAGGCTAAAGAAGTAGGCAAGGACCAGGTTGCAAAAGGTATTGTGTTCTGTGCTGGAGTCTGTTTCTCTTTCTGAAGGTAACGTAGGAAAGGTTTTAAACAAAAGAGAAATTTATTTATACTGGCCTTTTGACTACTCTGGGGTAAACATATGATGGATGTAGAGGCTAGGAGGAGCATATCATGGTGATCCAGGTGAGAGGCAGGTGGGTCTGAACTAAGTAGTGGAAGTGGGTGATGGAGAGTGGGAGACAGATTCAAAAGGAATTCATGAGGCAGAATTGCCAGAACTTTAGTGACTTAGGGTGTGTGTGTGTGTGTGTGTGTGTGTGTGTGTGTGTGTGTGTATAAAGGGGTTGGGATGACTTCTAGACTTCTGCTTTGGGTGGCTGATGGATAGAGCCATTAACAAGGATAAAGCAAATAGGAGAAAGGCCCTGAAGAGGATAAGTGATGTTAATAATTGTTTTAAGAAAACAGGGAAATATTTCACATGTTTTAGAAAGGTTTTCATGCAGTGCACTGAAGTTCTCCTTAGGTGTCATCTTCTTCCCTTGACCATGGCTTTCCTCAATGTCTGGTAGGTAAGACAAATGGGTGCATTTGGTTGGACTCCTTTCGAAGTGCAGAACAATGGATGAGGAGCTCAGACTTGTCTTTGTTACGTGTTAGTTTTATCTACATGTTGCTTCTGAACTCTTTCCAAGCATAGATTCTTTATTAAACTCATCACCCATTGTCCTGCTACACTGAATATATTGTGTGCATATGGTTGGTTTAGTAGAAAATTGTTATCGGAACAGCTTTTGGAATCATTTAAAAGATACTTGTGATTGTATTCTAAGCTTAGGCTGTTCCTACCCATCCATTTTCAGTTTTGAAGTCAGCCTCAGAATTGCTTCCTATCATTTTAGTTTTGAAATTTATTTTTGAAATATTATACTATAAGAAACATGGAATTATTTTACTTTTTGGAGAAATATCACTGGTTTTTGCACAATGAATATGAGTTTACTGAAGGCAAAGATTCTTTTTGTTTATTTCTGAGTCCTCAGCACACAGGATTTTCTGACACATTAAATGCTTAGCAGATATTTGTGGAATATGGAATGATTAAATGTAAATGATGTCTGTCCTTTTTAAAGAAGACATTTTAGAGTTTCCTAGGTCAAACATATTTCATAATAGGCATAATCATAGGCAGGACCTTTGCCAATAATATTTGTAGAATATTAAATATGGAAAGAAAGCCATTGAAAATGACTTTATTTTTTGTTTTTTCCCCACCCTTCAAGGCAGAAGTATCAGCATTTTTTTTTCTTTTGCCCCTTTTAAAGTCAGGCTTGGAGCTCCCTGGCCCCTTCATGGCTCATTTATAATGCATGGTCATTTGGATTTTTGGTTTTGTTGCTCACTCCAAAGCACTTCTTATCAATCACAGTATGAAGTTGATACACAGATTTCCATGTAGCATAAAAAATGTTTGCTAAAGGTCACTGAAAGTATGGCGATTATGACTCTAAATTTTTTTTACTGGTATTTTAGCAAGATGATCCTATTTTCTGAATTAGTGAATTATATAACAACATTCACTCTCCCCTCCTACCCACACTAAACTTCAAGCAGGAACATATGCCAAATGTCCAATTTTCCAGAACATGCCATTACAGACATTACTTAGACTAGCAGATCACTCTTCACCAACAGAACTCTCTACGACACCTGGCACACAGCTGGGTGTTAGTCGTAGAATGTGGTGGCTCTGGGTTTTGTCTGCTCATTACCATGGCTCTATTTTTTTGTCTTCCGGTTCTTATGTGTACTCCTCTTTCAATCCTTGTGGTCCCACAGGGTCGTCAGAGTGAGGCCCCACCCTCCCCCCACAGACAGGAATGAGCCTGTGACCATGAATTTATGTGCATCACCCCGCAGCACCAGTGCTTAGTTTAGAGAAGGGCGCAATGATTCAAAGCCTTAGAGTCAATGGTTAGAGAATCCATCTGAGAAGGAAGCCAAGCAGGACAGGCTGATGACATCTTTGAAACCACTGAATCCAGCTGTGCTTCAGGTCCACAACGGAACTTCCCATTAAGTCAAACAACACAGTACCTTTATGTGTAGGCAAGTTTCAGTTGAATTCCTATAACTTGCAACCAAAAGAGTCCCAATGAATACAATATGTCATTTGAAAAGTTAAAATAATCATGATATTAACCAATCTGTCTTGAACCCCTTCCTTTCCTTAACATTTGGGGTTTTAATGTACAGTTTTTAAAATGCTGACAACTTAAATGACATATCTGAGTGTGAGACACACTTAGCCTAGAAGCTCATGTCAAACAATTATTTATTTTTTATGGTACAAATTAAAAGTGACAGATCTGAAGCTGTTAAGAAATACACAAAGTGCAGCTTTACTGACCATACAGATATTGCTCTAGATTAAGTACAGTTTTTTTTTTTTTTAAATATTAAGCAACCTGTGCAGATAAAATCAGCTTTGGTTTCAATGTCAGAGCAAGTAAGGAGCTTTTAAATATTCAGTTTGGCTTCTTGGTCACAAGTCTATCATGTCAACTTCTTGTCATGATGATTTTTCCAAAGCAACCCAGTCCTGTTTCCTGCCCTCCCTCCTGCTGCCTGCTCCGGGCACGGAGAAGCAGATCTCTTTGTGGTGCCTCATAAGTGACCCCGGTGACCAGTCTAGATCACAGCACATAGGACAAAAAAAAAAAAAAATCACTTTCTTAACAACAAATAAACAAATGTGCCTCACATAATTTCAAGTTGAAGACAAGCAAATCACATGACAAAAAGCTCATTACAAAATGTTATCCAAACAGATTTTACAGTCAAACATTGAAATGAAAATCAATTTCCTTTATCTCAATTTTTTTTTAAGCTTGGTCATTAACTGGGTACAAGTAGAGTGCTGAGGTAAAACATTGATGAACAGTTTGTATTTCTTTTTTTTTTCTTAAAATAGGAACAGTTTAGTATTGCGAGATTGTCAGCAACATTTAGCCATATCTATACAATGTGCATATACCTACAAATATTGAGCTTTGGTCCAGCGTAGAGAAACGAGCAAAGGCATTTTACGATTTCTTTTTGGTTATAGCTTGAGTTCTTTGATACACCTCTACTTGTTTTGTTTTGTTTTTTTCCTAGCTCCTTTTGCTTTTTTGTTCTCTCTTTTGTGTTGTATGTGTATGTGTGTGTGCATCTGTGTGATGACAACATAAAGAAGCCAAAACCTTGCAAATGCAATTAAAAGTTTCAATTGTTCAAAATATTTTCTTGGTTGAAAAAGAAAGAAAATCTATAAACAAGTGTAAAATGTAATATCCACTGTCATTTTTTCATGAAGTAATGAAAATGCAGATAACAATAATTAAAAATTATGTGAGAAAAATACTGAAGCTTGAAATACAATCACATATGCCCAAAGTGGCTTTTATTTTTTGTGGGTGGCAACCTTAACCTTCAGTTCATGGAAACATAAAAGACACTTAAACGCCATTGGCATATGAAGTTGTTTACAAGTAGACATGAGAAATGTCATCATAAAATTAAGCATTAGGTGTGGTCCCAAAGACTTATGAGTTACACAGTATAATTTATATTCCTAAGAATCGGTTCAGGCACCTTTTTATGCCTTGTAGCAAAAAATTTATCTGTAAAAAATTAATATAAGAAGCATTACAACACCTTATAAATAATTTATAAAACAATACAAAATTATAAAACTATAAAAAAATCACTGCACATGAATGGTGTTACGACTGTCGGATGAATATATTTCTTTTTTGTTCCACTCTGGAAGATTACTTTTATTTTATATTTTCCCTGTCCTAGTTAGACCCTCCCAATTATAGATCTCAGAACTGAGCAGGCCTTATGTAACCGCTGCCGGCATATATTTAAATATTTAGCATCCATCATATGTTATCTTGTTAACTTCTCTTCGCAGGGAGCTTTTCTTGATGGAATTTGGAGCAGGTCCTAGGAGAATCCAAAATCTGTTTTAATCAATAAAGTTTTGGGTTTCTGGGTTGTCCATGTTTGTGCAGTTTTTGAGGTGGCGAAAGGGGCTCTGTGATGTTGGCATTGAAGATCAAGTTAGCTGTGGTCCAGTTAGCATTGACTGGTAAAATGGAAACACCTTTACGAGTGACTTGTTCCACTTCCAGGATTCCTTTTAGAGTTTCCTTGCTGGTAGTCTCTTGATTGCTGCATGAATCATTGGAGGGGACAATTATACTGTAGCATTTACACAAACAGCAAAGGAGCCAACAGAAGAAACTCAAACTCCCCAGGGAGAGGGAGTGTATTAGGGGAAGGAGATGGCATTTCTAATCAGTTGGGCAACTTGAGATTGGGTTTCTCTTTTTTCTTTCACAACTTACTTCTAGATAATACATTAGCATGATTATAAATTATGCATAAATATGTACATTTCAACAGCAAGCAAATTGACAGCTCTCTTTTGCCTGCTCCTTTAATGGAACACCGTCTGCCTGTACCTGGGTGAAAACACCAGTGGCAGCTGCCAAGTGCTCACCTGCACAGCCGTCCTCACATCCCAACATGTCCTTGCTTATTAGGTTATTGTGGCCCACAGATCTTTTAAGTTATTTTTTTTAAAGGAAATAATCCTCTAGTTCTCATATTGCAGGCTATTCTGATTGTTAGATAAGCCCCTTCTATATTTTTTTCTTTTGGTGAAAGCTTCTTCAAACTTCCTTTCCCCTGAAGAACCTGGCCCCCAATTCCAGTTGTTTAAATTTGCCCGCCACCTTTCTGCTCCATTTATATATCCCGAAGAGTAATTATTCCCCCTGAAAAAAGTCTGCCATCGCTATTGGAATGAAAGAAGTAGCAGAAAAGATGAGATTAACAGGATACACGATGGCCTTTAATGATCCAGTTGCTATCACTTTCTTTTTAGCCTGTTTCTTTGTGTGTGTGTTTATGGGTGTGTGCATGTCATGTGTGTATTTGACTGAAATCTTGAGACATTTCTTTGGCTATCAGACTTCTGAGAGAAATTGCTTTGCACAGAAGCATAACATAGATGTAAGTATTGAACCAAATGTGCAGCTTATGTTTATATTACAAAATTAGTTTTGGTCAGCTCTCCATGTACGTGGCCAACAGACTGAGAAAAATCCCAAGCTCTGGTGTGGACAGTGAGCACAATTACAGCTTATGCCAGTGTTGACAGTTCATCGAGCAAAGCCCTAGTTATTTTGGAGTCTCTCCTGCATTTCACTAGGATCTGAGTGGAAAAGACACTGCTTCTCCCCACTTCTGTGGCCTTCCAGCAGACCCCAGGAGCCACGCGCGAGGGAGATGGAGAAATGGAGGAAAAGAGAGAAATGCGAGCTCCATTTTCTTTTCTCAAACCCACAAGTCATAGTGAGAAAAAAGCAACAAATGCTTTGGCACACGATCCAGGATGCCCTCCCGTCAAAAAGAAAGACAAAGAAAAAAGACCACCCTCCCTACCACCCCCACAAAAAAACCCAATAGTGAGCCTCACAGAATGGCTTCAACAATGGTACCCACCCCATGGGTGGAGACAGTAGATGGGAAAGATGGGAGAAATCAGGCTTCCTATTGTTCTGTTAGTACAAATGTAAAAATTCGTAACACAACTTTACGTGCGGAGAAGCGTAGACGAACGATCGCGTTGCAATGCCATGTTTCTGACTTTGGTTAATAGGTTTCATAGTGAATCAGCACTTAGTACCTGAAGGGGTGCAGTCCTTCCTCCAGGTGGCAGGCTTGTATTCGCTTTGAACAGATCAAAGTTTTTGTTCCTTCGTTGTTGGTTTTTGGTTTAGTTTTTTTTTTTCTTTTTCCTTAAAATGTGTTCACATTTTCATAATATACAGAAAAAAGTACGTGGTTATTTGGTTTGCTTTAAGTCCATTAAAAAACTGGCTTTGGGGGAGACAGGTGGGGGAAGGGAACTATCCTACCACACACACCTTCAGTGTGGTGTATTCCTTGTTTAAAAATTTTCTAAAAATTTTCTTCTTTCCTTTTTGGAAAACCAACGGACATGTAGAAACCATTCTGTCCACTTGGTAGTTTTCTTAGTCATTTACTTACAAGGGTGATGACGACTGGGGCTATTTTTAAATTAAATTAAATTTTGTTGTTGTTGTTGTTGTGGAGTCCCAAGGGTGGAGTTTAGTTTCTGTGAATTTTGCTTCTGATTATGGGTGGGCATCTCTTTAGGAGTTTTCTTCCAGAGAGTCTGTTAAGGGCTCCAAAGGGACTGCCGTGGCCGGCTCGTGCTGTTTTAAGCGTTTAATTGTGTTCTTCAGGGCTTGCCTCTTATTGCAGAACCAAACTCTAACTACTTCTCGGTCATAGTTCAGCTTCTCAGCAATTTCGGTCATTTCCTGCCCAGAAGGGTGTGTGTTCTTCTCAAAGTGGGCATTGAGGATCTCAAGGGCCTGGGGTGTGAAGGAGGTGCGCCGCTTGCGCTTTTTGGATGGTTCACTCCCGATAAACTCGGTCAGGTTCTGCATACCTGCTCGATGGCGGGCCTCAGCCTCAGCCATCCACCGCTCAAGCACCGGCTTGATCTTCTGGGCACTTTTAGGGGTGATGTCCAGCTTTTCAAACCTGGCAGGATACAAAAGGCCAGGGTTCAGTTTGGCTGTCAGACTGCTAGCTATAGTGTTCTCTTGGGCTTCCTGTGGTAGGAAAAAGTGGCTTCTCAGGATGGTGTGTCTGGGGGGGAAAATTGAGAAAGAACAGTCTTACACTGAGTCCTCTGCCAGGGTGGGCCTCCTGCCTGCCTGCCTGACTGCCTGGCAGGGCGAATTTACTGCAGGTTAATAGCCAGCTGCAAGGTAGCCAGCCCTGCCCAAGCCAGCGCCCACCCTCCCAGCGTGCTCCATGCCAGACCATGCAAACCACACAGGTGCACAGACAGGGGTGATGAGAAGCAGAGACAGCAGGATGCATGAGCTATCATAACATATCATAGGCATGCAAACAACTCACAGGCCTTTTCCCTATAAACTCTGAGATCTAAGCATTTATTTGAATAGTACCAGCTCCATTTCTCAGTCCTCAGACTCATGAAGGCAAAAATTAACGCTAAGAAGTGACATCAAAGATGACAGTTGTCACATTCTTTCATTTAAAATGATTCTTTACGTGTTTTACATTTGGTTTTCTTTAAATTACCCCCATTGACTTGGTTATAAAAATGTTATTGCTATTATCATAGTCACTGATGGCCATTGGGACTTTTATATGGCTCTCTTTTTATCTCTCTTTTGTGTCTCATTTTGACTTCTCTCTCTTTTTCTCTCCCTGGGAACAAACAATTTTCACCGTATGTAAGTTAACAACATGCCCTTTTTCCAGGTAAAACATTACCCATTGCTACTTTCCTGTTCTGGCTCAAACAGCTGGACACATTGTAATTACTATAAAACACCCCACCTCTGGGTGTACTAAGGCCACCTCCTGCCTTCCAAACACCAGCCGGTGTAATGGTGTACTTTTGCACCAGGGCACCAAGCTGTGTTTAATGTGTGATATCTGCAAACTGTACTTGAATGATATCATTTTCTGTAAATGAGGTCTTCTATATATCAACTGCCATCAGCAATTCTTTGCTACATTGACTTTAAAAAATATGAAGCGTCTTGGACAAAATTATATAGAGTGTTTTAAGAAGTCGCCCTGGTACCAAACTCACACTCACTCTCAATGAAGTACAAAAAAAGTAGGAATTCCTTTTATTCGTTTGTTTGTTTATTCTAAATCCAAATTCACAACTCTCCAGTATGACAGCTTTGGATACACAGAATTCTCCTCTCCCTTTTACAGTGTCCCATGCTGTTGAAAAACTTCTGACTACAGAGTGTATTTTATTTCAATGGTCTGTTCTCATAGAGCTAAACTGAGCCCATGTTACTCAGAATATGTTTTGTAAGGATGCTTGCAAAAGGACAGAAAAGGATAGGCTTTCTTTATGTGCCACAATCTTATTTTTGGCAGCACATTTTAGATCTCTTATAATGTGATAAGCAGCACAAACAGAACCAAATTTTAATGCAATTTCCATAGCATTCCCTTCCATGTAGAACTCAAGGGTTATTTGTTTATTTTTGAAAAACCCAGCTTCCAGTACTGGTCAAGGACGGAAGGAGTACATTTACTTTCAATACAGAGTGAACTGATCATTTAATGTTATTTAATGAACTTGTCCTTTATGGCAAGCTCCTCAAAAGCTCTCATTGTTGTGCTAATTTGCCACATACCACATTTTGCCATCGTTTGCCATAAAATCCCCAAAGCTTAAATATTTGATAGCGTCACAACAGGCTTTACAGTGTCAAGGCACGAGGGGACAGAGGTTGTGATAGGGCTGATCAGTGTATTGGTAATGCTTTTTTCTCTGTGCCTCTGATAAGGAGGGATTTAAAGCAGCTCCTAGGAGTCACTGCAGCTCATGAGGGACAAGCGATGCCTGAGTGTGCAGCCTCCAAAGCAGGTTCCTCACCACCCTTTGAATTCACTTAAATTGTTCCAATATAAGATCTCGGTCTTTCTTTCTTTTCTTGGTAGATAGCTCCTAAAACGATCTCACTGAAATACTGGAAGCTAGAGAAAGGCCCAAAAGTCAAGGCATCAGACATGTTCTATTATACTAGAAATTCCCAAAGTCTCCACATTTCAGCCACAGCTTTTTTGACCTCTCTCTGGGGGTAGACTTTAGAAATCAACATACTTTATTGGGAATGCCCAAGAAGTGCTAAGTGTATGAGTTAAACATTAGCCAGCACTTGTATCAATAAAAGAAAATCACGTTTTAGGACTAAAAATAAGCAAAACAGGAATTTAGCACCAATAGAAAATTGGCAACAACTTAAAAACCTGTGGCTGCCTTTATCCCAAGGCTGTCAAGATGAAACAAAATTAATGTTTCCCAACAGGGAGCAATGGTATTCATATCATGGATGCTGTTTGTTAGTGTTGACACTTCTGTACATGTTGTTTGGAATAACATATACAAGCCTTGAAACAAATTTCCCAGCAGTAGTATCCTTGTATAGACTGAATAAAGGTTATTTTCTACAGGGAGGTATCTTATAAGAAAAAACAGTAGGGGAGGCCATAGAAGTGAGAGGATCCTATGGTGCTTTTTGTATTTAACAACAATCAATGGGTTTTATGGGAAATCATTGAGCAAAATGTGAGCTGCAAGCTACTACCCCATACTGATGTTATTTATAACCTTAGTCTTAAACTGCAGGAAAAGTACACTTCCGTCCTTTGGGGAATACATTAAAAGTATAAAGAGCAGATAAAAAGACAGCATTTCATGGATCACCAAGAACAAAATCCACTTAAATGAGTTTAGAGTTGGTTTCTTGGCTTTTCCTGTTGGAGGAGGACTCATAAGGTATTGCCCAAGAGGAAAAAGCTCTTACCGAAGTGCCTTTGTTACCTCATGCATAAACATGGGATTAGTGCAACACACACATGCATGCACGGGGCCTGCTTCTGACCACTTAACCCGGATCAACTTGAACACAACCAAGGCTGGATTCTGTTATTCATTTATTTAATTTGGGGGAGATGAGCAAGGTTAGGCCAGATTCTCACTACCCTTTTCTGAGCCATTTAAAGCAGCCACCGCTTCTTTTCTTTTATTTTTTATTTCTTATAAATGTGCTTTTAAAGCTGTGTCTGGGAAGGCAAGTTAAAACCTTCAAGGTCACAAGATAGTTAATTTTTTTTTAAAATGTGTGTTTTCTTGGAAAATCCTGATAGCCATCTCTGGGCAGAAATAGCAAAGGCGTTAACACAAATTAGGAATGGCAGCTTTACAACATTTGCTCAGAATACCTACGTGCAGACAAAGTCGGTGGCTCTCAGCTGCATAGGAGTGTGGGCCCAGGAGGAAGGCCCCTGACCCTGGGGTAGTGTATTTCCAATGAGACTGCCTTGGAAGTTCTTTGTGAGTTGACAGGAGTTATCAAGCCAGGACCCCCAAATTTGCTTCAGCAGCGTCGTTTGCATCAAGATCACCAATCCCAACATATAGCTGCCCCCAAACTTTGTTCC
This sequence comes from Homo sapiens, assembly GCF_000001405.40. Taxonomy (NCBI): domain Eukaryota; kingdom Metazoa; phylum Chordata; class Mammalia; order Primates; family Hominidae; genus Homo; species Homo sapiens. Next base: position 39,460,824 of record NC_000007.14, on the reverse strand, counting down.
CACTCTCTGCCCCTCCAGCTTTGCCCACCCGACGAAGAAAAGCTGAACCGCGAGGACAAATGAGGCCCAGGGCGGCTAGAAGAGGTGACAGCATGCAGGCGCGCGTTACCTGCAGATGGCCGACTGGCTGTACGCGGGGCCCTCTGTAGCACTGAGAGCCTGTCCCACCTGAGTCTGGGTCAGGCCAAGGGACAGGCGCCGGATTTTAAAAGCTTTGGCAAATTCTCGGATCTCCTCCAGATTAACCCCATCCACCTCACCCGCTGCCGTTTGAGGATCTGTGGAGATGTTTTTAAAAATAGGATCAATACGTCAACACACAGCCGAGCAATATCTGTTTATTACGGTTTATAAGAAAGTGGCTCTCTTTAACAGCAGAGCAGTGAGGAAACCAACCTCAGAGAATGTTCGCTTTGTCTCCCAGGTGAGACACCCAACACTCCATCCGCAACTCATTACACCTCCACAAATCATCCTTCGAGATGTTTCTGTCCCAGATAAAACCACAGCTTGTTCACACTGCCACTTCCCCAATGCCAGAGCATGTTCCTTAGGGCTTAACAAATAACAGCCAGCACTGGGAGGCACTTGCTATGGGAATGCGACTCCATTTTGCCCATAAGTATGTTCAAATATTGTGCAAAAATATAAAAAGGGAAAGGTTTCCATTTGAAATGTTTTAATTAGCATATTTAGTGCTAAAAATTGCTCTTGAAGACAATAGTATTTTGTATTTTTCCTTCAACTGATCGCCAAAGCAGTCAGGCTAACAGCTAGGCTAACAGATGATAATGTTGCCTAATTTCTTACATTCACATTAGTCCCTCAGAAGAGCATGCTTATGAAACTGCGAGAATGATATTGTCTTTTTCCCCCCATAGCAGTTTACTGACACAGACGCCTTTGTCCCCTGAAAGGGCACATAATAAAAAATGCCTACCACAGGAAAGCTCCTTTGGTGCCTGATAACGCGGTCAATTTAGGACTTATCAAGGGAAATGACACAACAGCTGGAGAATGAAACTTTTCCCCCCCTGGCTACTGATCCCTGGATAAATGAAAGCGTACACCAAGCTGGAGACAGCATGGGTTGGGGATGGTGGAAGATTTCAAAGTGCTACTCAATCCTGCCTGTAGCAAAGCCATTCTCCCTGTGAGCTGACTCTATTGTTCTTCACCTCATTCCTCGGACTTAGGTGAAAAGTTTTTCTCTTCCTTTTTCTGCGCAATAGCCCATCAATTTCAGTAAATTTGAGTACTTGTCCAAGGACTGTGGCAGACTATATTACTCTTCTGGGCTGAGAACTATGGAAACTCTAGTTGTCGTGAAACAAAACAAAACAAAACAAAACAAAACAAAACAAAACAAAACCCACAAAACCAGAACATTTGCACGCCAAATGCCCATTTTCAAGGACTTTTAAATAAAGATGTTAATATCTGTGGGGAGCTTGGAGCTTCATGTACAGATTTTCTCATTACTGGGGAGGGATCTTCTCCAGCCTGAGGAAAATGGACTCTGTCAACAGAATCAGCAAAACAGGTATAGATTGTCTTTTATCTTCACATTAAAACAACAACGACAAAAGTCCTGTAGAATGTCATTACTCATAATTTTGTTGTAGAAAGATTGGAAAGTGGTACAACTACTGCAATCAGTCTAATTATTTTTGAAAAGTAACTTCTGGGAGTCTGGAATGGAGGGAGGGGCAGTTCCAGCCTCAGAAACAGTTCCAGCCTCTATGGAGTTTACAGTCTATAGGGGGTTGGCATCCAATGCTAATGCATTAGAAACAATTAGAGAAAAGTGTCAGGCAGAGTATAATCAAGAACTAATGGTATGACATCCACACCGGGTGTGCAGAGACAGGAGAGTGGAGAGGAGGGAGGATTCATCTAGGTCTTCCCAATGGGCAGTTTTCAGAGAATGAAGGAGCCATATAGTCTGGTCAGTGGTGACAGCGTGCACACAGGCAGAAATGCAGGGAGGAGCAGGGCACCGTAGGGACCTGTCAGGTTGGTAGGGTGAAGCAGGAGTTCGTGCTAGGAGTAGTGAATATTTCAGTGTAGCACACTGAGAATCTATGAGCTCGGGCGGGGCAGGGGTGGGCAGTGACTATAAAATTGGTTTGACTGTTAAGATGAATGGAAGTCCTGTTTTTTTCTCCCAAAACTACTCCCAGAAGGCAGGCAACCCTTGGCTAATGAGATTTGTTCGGGCCGTCCCTAGTGGAGGCTGTGCTCTGGATTCCAAACCCCACGAGCACATCAGCCTGGAGCTGCTTCCGGGCTCGCTAAGGATTGTGGGAGCTCACTTCGGCAGTCGCAGTCTCGAGCCCTTTTTTCCTTTCCCCGTGAAAGAAATCCCTAGAGCAAAAGTTGCAAATGAGCAGTGTGCAAATAAAACCCAGCTTTCCTAGTGTTTACATAAAAAAAAAAGCACTTGCTAACATGTAAACATTTATTTCTAAAGGAAAATCTTCATTTCCCAAACTCTTCTGAATGTTAGAAGATTTGGCTGCTCCGGATGTACATTTGCACTTGGTAATGTCCAGTGGGCTGGAACTGATTCTGGCTGCTCCTTCAGCTCCTCCTCATGTTCACACCACCCAGCCTCCAACCTGCTCCCTGCTCAGCCCGTTTTGTGACCCTGCGTTTAAAGCATGCGTTTCCAGTGAGGCTGATATTGGTTCTGAGGGGGAGGCAGGAAAAGTCTTAGTACAATGGTGTGGTCCCCCAAAGGGCCATAGTACATCAACAGGGCAGATGTGCAACATATCTGTGGTATTAAAATGTTATGGGGGGGCGGGGTGGGGAGGAAGGAGGGCAATTAAGATAAAAACAAAACACCTAAAAATGCTGCTTGCAGGGGGAGTGGGGTGATAATAAAATAATAGCTGAGAAACTCTGGTTTAGAGCAGAGAGTACAGAATGGTACAGTGAGAGAGGGGTCTGGCCTCTCTGAGAGAGGGAAGAAGGGTTTGGCAGTCTTGCAAGGGTGTGAGCATGGAGGTTTGAAACTGAAAAGATGGAAAGCTGGAGACGTTCCATGTAACAATATCACTTTTAGGACTGTGATTTTCTTAATTTGGCAGGTATAAGAGTCACTGCTTTGGGCCCAGGGATGTGCATTTTTAACAAGTAACACAAGCGATTCTGATGCAGGGGATCTGCTGACAACTACAGAAAGAAATCTTTCTTTGTGGCCCTGGCTTGACCAAGTCTGGGTGTGGTGCACTCTGTGTGCCATTGTCTTTACTGATCCTTTACCATTATTCAGCAGGCTTCACTACACAGAAAACTTGCTCTCTCACCTGTATAGGACTGACGGGCCAGACAGGTCTGTTGAGGAGGGGCTCCGGAGCAGGCATCCCACCCTGGCCCTTTCCTTACCCCACTGTCACTACTTATGGCAAGTGGCCAAGATCTGGGAATCAGCGGGCTGGGAAAGTAAAATTTTTGCCTTTGTTAGCCCCATCTCTAGATCAGCGAGATTCAGTTGGATTAACCAGTATGTGAGGGGCAGGTCTTTAATCTGGAAGGGTTTCCATGGTCTACTCCAGTCCCAAGGCCTGTGTTGCCACCAGACACTGGCACAGGATTCGGCAGCCCAATGACTTGGGCTGACATTTTATGTAAATGTGTCCTCTAATCTTTCTTCCCTTCCTCTGCCGTCTCTATTGTTTATGTGTCCTTACTAGTTCCTTGAGTCTATCAACTAAATCCGTATGTGTGATCGTGCAGGCTGCTTTTTGTCAGATCACTGACAATAACAAGAGTTGAAAAGGAAGCTGTGGACTTTTAGTCTGTGTGCATTGATGCTGTTGTGTGGATTATCAAACTTTCACTTTAAAGCTCAGAGGGATGGGAGCCTGGGCTACTGAGCCCAGTATCTTCCATGAGGCCCCCAAGAAACAGTTATTCCACCAGGAAACTGAATTCCTTCTTCTTCCTCTGACAGTTTCCACTCTTGTATTTTCTCCTGGTTCTACTTAGCTCCGTGATAAAATAGAAATTCTTATGAAATTTAAACAGGGTGATGGTCCATTGGACAAAGTAGCATCTCTCTGCAAAATTTGTTGACTGCCAGAGGTGAACACTCAGATTTCTTTATATTAGTGTTCTTATCCAGAAAACTCAGATGGCAAAATATTATTGTTACCGTTTTGCTCCATGGGTTCTGAGACTACAAAAGTCTTCCCATTCAAAATGGGGTCCACTTCTAGATAAACATTAGCTTTACCCTGATTACTACCTGTGGGACTTGTCTTCACACTTTGGGAGAATTCATTAGATGCTGTCTGTAAGATGTTTTGAATTCATCAAAAGACGAATGCTCTTTTTTTAATCCCAAAGTTTCTGTCTTAAACTCTTGAGGTTGTTTCACTGGGAGAAGAGTTTCCCTTCCTTAAGGAATATATACTTTTCAGCTTGAAAAGGGGAAATAAGAGGTGATTGTGATAAATAGAGTCCTCCCTGGAATGCTCCCTCAGCTCAGAATTTCACATTCTGTCCTGGGATAGTTCAATCTGGCTTTCTGTCATCTATTCTCCTGGCTCTGGGGAGGTTGGGTTCATTTTAAGGATGAATCTGAAGGCCACCTTGATGGGAACTTCAGGTAAAATCCTCAGATCTCTCACAAGGTGGATCCAGCACTTTTAACCAGCTCTAGGGAAACCCAATCTCAGGTTTCTATGGAGGGTGGAGGAAATGACATCTTTTATAGAAGTTTGCTCCAGATTACATGAGCCTGATATATTAAAGACAGGGCCAGAAAGTAATAGCAATGATGGCCAGGGTCCACCCTGAGTCTGACACTTGATCAACTTATAGAGGAATTAACTGGCCTGGGGACTTAGGCTAACATGGCATTGAAAACTGGCAGTGACTCATAAACATAATGATGATGTTTCCAAAATCAAGCCTGGGATGCATGGACTGAAAGTAAAAAAGATTTTTATGGGTGCTAAATGCAAACTGTGTGAAAACAAACCTGCTTTGTAGAATCTGGTTGCGTGGTCACTGGGCACATACTGAATTGAATGCTCAGGATGCATCAGTCAGACAGAGTTTTGCTTTATTTTGCTGTTTGTTTGTTTTTTTAAATTTAGCTCCTTCCCACTCTTAGCCCGGGCATCAGTGTAAGGTGCTGCTAAATGGGTTGAATAGTCACCATGCATCAACATCATCTTTCTATGATTCCTGATTTGTGGGATTGTTATGAGAGTAATATACACCTTTAAAGAAGCTTCCAAAGGTATGAATTAATTAACTATGTTATGTAAATAGCTGTCTGCTTTTTAGTGCTATTCTCACAGCAAATAATGGGCATATTTACCACATATTTCTGAGAAATAGGAAGCCATTTGGGAGTTTGCAATGCAATTTGGGAGAACAGTATTTTTGCAATATGGTGACCTCTTTGGGATGTAGAAAATGGCATGGATTGTGAAACAGGGGTTTCACTGTGCTATATGCCATCAGCATGCAACTTTAAGTTCACTTTATAGTTTTGTTTTTTTTCTGGAGCTAACTATAAGTCATTTGCTGTCTAAGGATAGAGCTTAGGTGTTTAGAAAATGTATACTGGAAAAAAATCCAGCAAGTGATCAAAACCCTAAACCTACCTATTTCTAAACAGTGCACTGTAAATCTTAAACCTAATTGGGACATTTGTCAAGTACTTGTTTGACTTTTCTTCTGATTTTCTGAAAACCCTGCTTATAAAAACCATATCCACCTCTGATGATTATGGAGACTGAGCAAGGTTTAACACAAGGCAAGGTGTGTAGGTGCTATAAATAAGTATTGTGCAGATTTTCTAATAATCTGCATGTTTGGTAATTCTGAGCCCAGACGTGCTTTCTTTGCATATGAACATCTTGTATCATTACTAAGGTATTAACCCAGCATTCTCTTGCTTGTAGTTGGCAAGACTTTTGTATGATCCACCTATTCTAGTTCATCTGGCATATGGCAGGTTAGCCAACACTAGGATGACAGTCTTTGACAACGACGTGGAGGAGTCATTGGCCATGGTTTTGACCAAAGTTTTGGTGATATTGTGATGTAATAAGATATATATATATCTTATTTTATATATATATATATATATATATATATATATATATATATATATATATATATATATATATATATATATATATATCCCTGGTCTTCATCCTTGGTTCCTGGCACAGAGCTCATAAGACTCTTATAATTTCCTAACAAATAGGGGTGCTAGGAGCATCTTCTGTTCTAATATTTAGTCTTTGACCCCACTTCTTGACACAGAGTTCCTAAATCCTTTGGAATGTCCTGGATGATAGGAACATCTTTTGTTCTAATGAGGTGACTCTTAGGGGCTCCTGGATAGCTTCATGATAGTGGCTGGTCATCAGAAAGACAAAGCTATGATTAGAAGCTTGAAGCTTTTAGCCCCACCTCCATTTTTAGGGAGAGAAGAGGGGCTGGAGATTGAGTTAATAATCAATCATGTCTACATGATGCAGCTGCCACAAAAATCACTAAGGTATGGAATTTGGAGAGCTTCCAAGTTGGTGAAAACATCCACATTCTGAGAGTGGTGCACTCCAACTCTACAGGGACAGAAACTCCTGCATTTGGAATCCTTCCAGACCTTGCCCTGCGTACCTCTTCATCTAGCTGTTCATCTGTATTCTTTATCATATCCTTTATAGTAAACAAGTAGATGTATTTCTGAGTTCTGTGAGCCATCATAGCAAATTATGGAACCAGAGTGATATGATTCATGTACTATTCATTCTGTAGTTGCTTTTGAGACAGAAGGGATTTAACTAAACAACATGCTCAAAATTTGTGGCAACTCAAGTCCAGCAAGGGGTTAGGGCAAAGTGCGACCCCTAGTGGTACTGTTAGACTCTCCTGGCCTGCAGAGACAACTGTGGAGCTAGCTTGGTGTCATTCAGTCTCTGCATATGGGTTTGAAGTTTCCGGCTTCAATTGCATGTGGTAAAAGAGTCTCTCTTTCCCACGTCTATATATTTCATACCGAGGATATGTAATATGGTTCACTCATCATAAACCTAGAACTTATATGTCCCACTGGCTACTGTGCAATGAAAGTTCTATCTGGCCCATTAAAGTATCTCTGTTATTGATTTCTGAAAAAGGCTAATCCTTCACTGCCCAGCTGTGACAAGTGACTAGAGAGAACCCAGTTCCATCCATCTGACTGTCTGCTGTCTGCCCATCCACTCATTCATCTTTCTGTCCATCTTACACATGTTAACTATTTACCTTGTGTGAAACACTGTATTAGTAGGAGGTTGTTTGTACTTCTTTTTCATATTTAACTTATTTCTTCTCTGTAAGATGCTTAACTTTGGTTCTTTTTCTTTCAGGACCAAAGCTTAACAGTTTATCCTAAATTTATGACCTTGCTGCCATTTAGAAATGGAGTATTTTGCAGAAACTTATACAGAATATTGAATTGTAACAAAGTTTGACTCTTCCCGAGGAAAAGTTTTTTTTTTTAATTAGGGGAAATCTGGCTATAATTAAATTCACTTTATCCTTAACTTTATGCAAGTCAGACTAGAGTTTCTGGAGAGGGTTGTATATCTAAACAACCTAAAATACAGTTGATGGAAAATGCATATGTATCCTGAAACTCTGGTGTTGACCCATCTTTAAGATCAACAGCATCCAGGTTAGTCTGGTGAAGTGCCTGGGCATTTTTTCTTTTTTTGAGATGGAGTTTTGCTCTTGCTGCCCAGGCTGGAGTGCAATGGTGCGATCTCAGCTCACTGCAACCTCTGCCTCCCAGGTTCAAGTGGTTCTTCTGTTTCAGCGCCCTGAGTAGCTGGGATTACAGGCACATGCCACCACGCCCGGCTAATTTTTGTATTTTAGTAGAAACTGGCTTTCATCATATTGGTCAGGCTGGTGTCGAACTCCTGACCTCAGGTGATCTGCCCGCCTTGTCCTCCCAAAGTGCTGGGATTACAGGCATGAGCCACTGTGCCCGGCCTACCTGGGCATTTTAACATCTTTCCATAATGCCTCATTCCATTTTCTTCCCCACCCACAAGCATCTTTCTTGCCTTAATTATCAGTATAATTGAATATAGACATATATGTATGTAATTATTTTTCTTTTTTGAGGAGGATTACTTGTCGGGGAGGTCATGGCAACCATCCATTTTGTTTTAAGAATTGCCCCATGATATGTGAGGATCCTACTGTTCCTGCTATAACAGGTCATTCATGACACTTGACCAAACACAGATCCTCACATGTCCTCATTTTATGGCACAGATGCCTATGCAGGCACCCATAGCTACTGGATTTTTGGTCCCTGGTGAATTGCAATCTATGCACATGTTCTGCAGTTTTATATATAAGTAAAAACTGCACTAAACGTGACTGACATTAAATCAGACCATTGTCCCATCCATCTTAACATGCTGTTATTTGCATGTGATAAATATACTATCTATCCCTAGGGCCAAATACCATTCTAAAAACTATATATACATATATATAGGCTATTTAGGGAGGCAGACTTGCAGGCTTATCCTATTTTATGAATGGTTGTTCAGAGATTTCTCATCTGATTCCGGCCCATGCAGCTTCCCCCACATGCCACTTGAGGTGGCTTATTGTACACACACACCCACCCGCCCACAGGCATGCTCTCTTTTATTTCCTCTGACACCTACAAATAGAATGGCAGGGGACTTCAAACACACATAAAAGCAGCTTGACCTGCCAGCTGAGTGCCTGTTGTTGGTTATTTCAGTTGTGAGCTATGTGGCTCATGCCCTGAAAGCTGATCAGTTGCTACCTTCTGAAGTGGCAGGACTGACTCAGCACATCAGCAACTACTTAAGATGGAACCCGGTCCTTGATAGCCACTAATTCAGGGAGTGTGCTTTGGGGACCTGCTTCCCTAAGGAACCATCTGGTCCTGGGGACGGACTTCATCTCAATATTGACCTAGCAGTGCCAGGAAATTCCTGTGCAGGGTTGAGAGAAAGAGAGAGCAAGAGAGAGTGAGAGAGAGACAAGAAGGAAGACATTGCAAATAGGCAACAAGAAGGCCACCACGATTTAAACCGAGCCAGAAAGGATACTTACTGCTGACTAACTGGCCCACGCTCAAAGCTGAAGAAGAGGAGGATGAGGAGGAAGAAGAGGAAGCCTGCCGGACGGGACTTTGAGACATGGATGCTTGGCTGTGAGCCAGGTGCAGAAGGTTGCCTTGGGAGGCTGCTTGACCCACTGACGTCTGGGAGGGTTGGTGGAGCTACATGAGGGGATGTAAAAAAAATACACAAATGAATGAAAAATTAGGGGAAAAATGCCAGGGAACAGAAGTTTTATCTGGGAGTGAATCATTTTATTTCCAAGAATATATACTTCTCAGGAAGAGTGCGCACCCTACACAGCAGGCAGTCATTTTTTTTTTTTTTTTGTAGAGCACATATTGCCACTTGCTTGACAGGCATTTTATTAGTAATTCTAAATATATTATTAATTCCCTACTTGGCTTGTTAGAGCACCCAATTTTCTACATTTCTCGACCCTGGCATGTGGCTGGACCTTTCTGTCTATTCATACAGTTACAGCACACTTGACAGGCTTCTCAAGTAAGTATAGATAAAATATAACACCATCAACTCAGATTGGGAAACTAAAACTTAAAGGTGTGGCTGTGCCCCACCATTTTATCCTATGTAAACTGGTATTTTTAGAAAAGTTCCAATGTAGGCTGAGTGTGTGTGGGAACTTCCTCCTCTTACAGACTCTAGAGTCCGGATGGGTTTCTGTGGAGTTGATAAAATGCTGTCTGATATCCTAAGGAAAATTCAGAGAGAAGATGGGGAGTCAGAACAAAAATATCCCGTAGGATTTCTAGCTCTCAGTTGTTACTTTCTTACTCTGGGCCGGCCACTGTATTAAGGACATTGACTAATTTTCCTATCAGCCTGTGGTGTGGGTACTATTTCCACCCCTCTCTCACAAACAGGGAAGCTGAGGCACAGAGAAGCTAAAGGATTTTATAGGTTCAGCCAGCAAGTGCGGAGGAGCTGGTCTCTGGACACACGAAGTCTGACCCTGGGACCCGAGCTCTTAGTTATGATGCCACAAGGAAGAATTAATTTAATTTTAAAAATTGTGTGTGTGTTAAGGAAGGCTGTCTTTATATCCATTTATTCATGATTCCTCTACAGGTTATCAAAGGACTGTTGCTCTGAGAAGTGAGAGGAGCTCAGCTGAGGAGAGAAACGAGAGAGGGAAGGGAAATGCTTGCAGGTTCTAGGTCTACTTGGAGGCCCAGGAAGGATGTCTCTCCATCATTTTTTTTTCTTCTCCGGGAAAGCTGCCATAAGGGCAGGCCAGGACACCAAGCAGGTAGACAAGGAGCCTCAGCATTAGCCATCTTTGTTGATTGGATGTAGCACTTTTTGGTTTGTAAAGTGCTTTCATATCCATTGTCATTCTCACAGAGGTGTAGCAAGGCTTTTGTAAAAAGGAATCAGCCTGTGAGTAGAATTAGGTCAGGACCTCAACTTTGGTGGGAGAGCTACCCCCAAAACAGGCACCAGTCTGAGAAGGACTACCACCTTGTTAGCACCTAAGAGCCAGCCTGGGGTGTTTCAACTTCATATTTGTCACTGCTTTCCCAGTGTGTGTGTGTTCATTTTTTCATTCAACTTTATTGAGATATAATTTACACATAATAAAATAAACCCATTTTAAACACAGAGTTTGATGAGTTTTGTCAAATGTGTACACACGTGAAACCACCACGATAATCAAGATATAGAACCTTCTCATCATTCCACAATGTTCCCTCCTCTCCTTTGTCATCAATTTCCCCTCAACTTCCTGCCCTAGACAGCCACTACCCTGATTTCTGTCACTCTGGATTCATTTGTCTGAGTCCAGAAATGGAATCATACAATATGTACTCTTCTTGTATCTGGCTACTTTTGCTTGGCATACTGTTTTTGAGATTCATTCATTTTGTTGCATGCCTTGGTAGTTCAGTTTTTTTTAATTGCTGAATAGTATTCCCTTCCATATCTTATATGAATATGGTATATTGTTCATGAATTCATCTGTTGGTGGGTGTTTGGGTTGTTTCCAGTTTGGGGCTATGATGAATAAAGGTGTTATATAAACATTTATGAATAAGGCTGTGTGTCTACTTGTGTTTTTGTTTCTCTAATGTAAATACCTAGGAGTGGAACTATTGGATCATACTATAAATGCATGTTTAACTTTCTTAGAACCTCTCAAACTGATTTCCAAAGTGGTTGTACCATTTTATGTTCCCACCAGCAATGTATGAGAATTCCAGTTGCTCCACAATCTCACTAACATTTAGGATCATCATGCTTTTTAATTCCCTAAAGTGTTTTTATCAAATTAATATTTTTCCTTCAAACAACTGTTAGTTAGGGGCTACTCCAGAAATGTGCTTAAGGAGCTATTTCCCCTTCTGGTCCCCTGTGGTAGTAATTAATAATGGCTCCCCTACTCACATGGCATTCCTATGCAGCAGATGTGCCTGGCAGGATTATGTGACATAAATAACCAGCCTATGTGGCTGCTGAACATGAGAATCCAGGCTCCCACCCCATAGTGCAGGGATCTTCCCAGGAAACCACCTTGTGCCTCCTACAGAATTGCCTGAGGTTGCATTTCAAGTGAACACCCGTATTGTTGCTCAGCTATGCGAAGTAGAGGCTAGATTACAAACCAAAGACAGTTACAATTGACATGGGATCCCAAATTAATATGCATCAAGCATCTGCCAAAGGTAATTAGCCAAACTGCTGAGCACATAATCAACAATTGAATCCAGTAAATTTTATACTGTAGGGACACATATTAAAGATTAAATCTATTTTTAATTTGCTTAATAAAGTGTGATGGATATTTGCATGTCAATCTACCCCCTATAACGTATTGAGTTGTCCTTCTAAATACTGTTACTTGGCAAAAGCTTTTTACAGTTTTGAGTAACTGAATCATTAGATTGTCTTCGGTTTTACCATTGCATCAATATTTTATTGGCCCTGGGTGTGGTAAAGAACCATCAAGGAACTGGAAAAGACACCAATTTAAATATTTCTTCCTCAGACACAACACAATAAAGAAAAAATTACTAGACTGCAATATTGCTTAAATTAAGAGTCACTAGAGCAAGCTAGGGCTTCTAGGCAAGAGAAGAAATTTCAGATGAAAATAAAATAATTATTTTAAGAACTTGTTCCATGTCCATACAGTCAAAAGGAGAGTCAAAAGGAATCTAAGATGTCTAAGAATCTAAGAAAGATATTTTTCTTCCAAAGTAAATAATCATTTATTTTAGGACACTGGGGTTCTGCTTACCTCTAGAGTTCAACCAAACAGTTCAGAAAAACCAATACAAATTCTTCAAATTTCTTACTTGTCAAGGATCAAGAAGATTATATAAGCAGTGGCATCTCAATGGAGCCCATAGGTTTCATTCCAATTGCCAGTGTAAATGTGTATCTGTTAATTCTAGAATCATTTGCAAGCTGAGATAGAATAGCCTTCTGTACATGTCAAAATCAGCCCAGATACTGACCTCTCGCCTTCATAACGTCTTTCCTTAGAAAAACAGGACTTCAGAAGTACCACTTCTATGAAATTCCATCTCTAAAACTGTAATTCTTTCAGGTAAACTATGAAATATAGCACTACATCACTGGGATTCTTAGTTTAATGTTTTTGGTGTATTAATCTTTAGAAATTTTGTGCTTAAAATATATCAAATAAGAAAAGGCAAAGCAGAGATTTAAGCTACTTTATGAAACAGCTCTCGGGTTCAATATAAAAATTTAATATATGTTAAATAAGCAGCATTAGGAATATGTTACTTAATTTGATTTAATTATGTTGTTGTTTTGGACACTGACTTAACTGTAAAAATCACATATACTTGTATTGCATAACTATTGGCAAAAGAAATAGACATTTAAGTATTAAAACATAACCGGACACAAAAATTGGAATAATTTACCAAAAGAAAATGCAGGGAGTTAGGGAATAATTAGAAGCAGAAGAAAAAGTTTCTTTCCTTTCCTTCCTGGAGGGAAAGGGAAACTTAGATGCTTCTATAAAGGCAGATGTTTTATTACATTGTCTTAATTTTTGAAAGGCCAAATATGTGAGTAATGTTTATTGGATGCTTCCTACCTGTTTTTGTGTATATTATTTAAAATCCTGGCAATAGTCCTCCTTTTTAGGTATTGGTGATATCATTACAGAAGAGGAAACAGAGACTTCAAAAGATGAAATGACTTACTTGGGATTACACAGCTGGTATAAGTAAGCTTTCAATCCATGTAAGTCTGACTCAAGAGCCAGCACTCCTTCCACTATGCCCCGCTGCCTCTCAACTCCACGATCATCGGAGATGAGCAGTTACAGGTCAGGGAAACAGCAGGGAGCTGGGAATTGTGGGAACAAATGAGGTATGTTCAAACTGATAGATCATGGTGAGCTACACTTTCAAGTTGATCAGCCATAGTGTAGATCATCATGATCTATCAATGTGTTTCTTTTCCCTAATATAAAATTTCAAATATTTTTCTGGTTTAAGAATTATTGTCTGCAGTTCCCTATTTAAAATGCCATGTTTGAAAAAAAACATGGTACTCTCAGGTGGCTAGAAGATTATCCAAAAATAATGTTATGATTTTAGTGCAGTTTGGGGACACATCTCAGATGCAGTTGCCTACAGATTGTTCTTTGCTTGATATAATTAATTCTAGTTATCTGTACTACCCCCAAACTTACTCTTCTCAGTATTGTATCCTCTTTATATGATCGTATTTTCTATTTATTCGCCCTACTGTTAGTAGACTGCCTAAAGGAGCTTGAGTTTCTCTCCGTCTGAGTTTACATAATCACTTTCTTGCCCTTTTTTGAGCTGTGAGCCCAGTGTAAATAGGCTGAAAGCATGGAGAATCTGCAAGAAAGAAGAGAAAAGGAACAGCTCATGTGAGCCTGTGGCTGTGGATTTTCCAGAGGAGGAGGACCGGATGTCCATCCCACACACAGAATGACAAATGGAGCACAGGATGCAGTGTCTGAGAAGCTTTCTACGTCCTACTGGCTCTCACAGGCTTGCTCTCTTGGTTTGTTTTTACTGGTTGGCACTGCCAGGGTGTTTAATATATTCACCAAAAATAGACTGAAATAACAGCACACTGTAAAGGCTTTCTTGGTTTTCTGTGCCACTGATCCCCAGGTATCTTCTGTGTGTTATGCGGTATATCGTTAATAATGTTTTAGTTTCTGGAATAAATCATCTTCTAATTAAATGTGTCATTGATATTAAAATAAGTGGGGTGGCAAGTGTCTTGGAAAATGGACTAAAATGCAGAATGTACTAGGCAAGTTGGAAAAGTGAATGCATATAAACAGAAAATTCAAATGGGATTAAATATAAAGAAACTCACTTGGGGAGGAAAAATCTCTCTAAATCTGCAAAGGCAAAATGAAGGAGGGCTGGCCTTCAACAAAGATGTCAGAGAGCCATAGTGAACCCCAGGCTGAACCCACCCCGTGCTGCAATGGAGGCAATGAATACAACCCAGAGGGGTCTCGCAGAAGCCAGAGTATGTGGGAAGGGCATCATTACTTGCCCTCCCTGCCTGCCCTAGTTGGCATTTTTCTGAGTAATGTGTACCTTGGAATAGCTTGAAGAGAAATTAAATCAGCGGTTCTCAAGATTTAGTTGCATCAGAATCACCTGGAGGGCTGTTAGAGCACAGATCACTGGGCTCTACCCTGACTTTCTAATTTAGTAAGCCTGGGTTGGGGCTCAAGAATTTGCATATCTAACAAGTTTTCAGGTGATGCTGCTACTGTGGGTTGGAGGACCACACAGATTTTGGAAGGAGCTCCTCTTGGAAAAAGAGTTAGAGCAAGTGGATCTGTTATGTCTAGACAAAAGAAGCCAGAGCCCAGACATAATAAGAACTTTGATTAACTAGGAGGGTATAATGAATGCCTGAGCCTTACTGAGGAATTCATTCTACTGTGGACAGGACAAGAGCACAAATTAAATTTGCTGAGAGATTTATTGTTGACATCAGGATGAGCTACCTTCAAACATTTGGAGGACCTGGAACATGATACAAGAGAGATTTTAGCTATCTTTGTGGAAAATTTGAAAAGAGGAGGAAGTTATCCTTTTGGCATTCAGAGAGGCTTTACAGAGGAGGGAGGGATTTAGGACAGAGGAGGGAGAGTGGATCCAGACCCCAAAGAATGGATGAGCAGGAGCTTGCCAGACACGGAAGGTGGGAAGAGGTTCTAGGCCAGGGGCACAGAATGCACAGAAAGTATGAATGAACTGCATCAGCCGAACTTGGCAGGGAGTGAGAAGGTGAGACCAGAGAAGTTAGCTATCCAGATACATGACTGGAAGGTCAAAGGACTGCTCTGCATTGGGACCACCCATATAGATTTCACCCATCTAGGCAAACCCTTACTCTATTTTAGATCCCTTGTGGGTGGGAATGCCTCATTTCTATCTCATTCTGGGTGGCTTGAGAAAAAATTGAGAATCAGTGATTCAGGCCAGGGCTAGGAAGGAACATTGATTTTTTTGAAAATTAGTAACTGAATACATTTTTGTATCTACTTGAAAAATAATGATGGATGTTGATAATTGCATGGCATTTTAAGAGAGCTAATTTGAATAAGCTGTCTCTCATTGGTTTTCTGTTAGTACCAAGATTACCTTTTGAGGAAAAATTGAGTGCCTTCATGGATGGTAGTCTCCAAGTATTATAGCTATGGTATTTAATTTTTGAAAAATCTTAATGCTTTGATTTTGCAAGTTGCAGATTTTTTTTCCTTTCATTTTTCTCTCCCTGCCTTAATGATACTGAAAAGTCCTGTTAACTTTTGTCTGGATTTAGTCAAAAGGAGAATAAATCTACACAAAAATAATGTCTGTGTGGCTTATGAAGAAACTACTAATTCATAGGCACGGGGCAATTAGGGGAAAGAAAACAGGGCCTCTGAAGAGACCCTGACTTTGGGAGGTGTTCACCATATGCCACAACAGCTGTAGAATCCCTTGGAGGAAGCAAAAGGTTGCTTTTGAGCTCCACTAAATATTTTTGTATTAAGTAACTTTTCTTTCATGCACACAAAGATTCTCATCACTCTCTTACTTTCATCTGGTTGTTTGTTTGTTTGAGACAGTGTCTCACGCTGTAGCCCAAGCTGGAGTGCAGTGGTGCGATCTCGGGTCACCGCAACCTCTGCCTCCCAGACTCAAGTGATTCTCGTGCCTTAGCCTCCCAAGTAGCTGGGACTACAGGCATGCACCACCATGCGCAGCTAACTTTTTGTATTTTAGTAGAGACGGGGTTTCACCATGTTACCCAGGGTGGTCTCGAACTCCTGAGCTCAGGCGATCTGCCTGCCTCGGCCTCCCAAAGTGCTGGGATTATAGGCGCGAGCCACTGCGCCCGGCCTTCATCTGGTTTTTTTCTGAATTTGTTTTCTGGTATTGCTCACCAAGGATTTCTGATGTAATACTGTGGAAGCTATATTTAGGGCTGTCAAATACCGGTGTTTTTTTTAAAAAAATACTGTTTACATTTCAGATGATAACTTTGCATGTTCTTCTCTCATCATTGGAAAGAATCATCATCAGTGTGTTGGATACTACATTCTTAGATTCAGGCTCTTAATTAATGGTAGGCAGATGTGAAAATTCATTAAAGATGTCATTACTTTTATTAAATTAAAACAAATCATTCCAGGTCATCTGGTCTGACAGTCCTATACTTTACTTCATGAAAGTGGACTTCCTTCTGAGTATGAGTTAGGGAACTCTATGTTCCTGTAATTTATGACATATTTTACCTTCAGAACTATGCTCTTGTGAGATCACACATTTGTCGTAAATCACATGAAAAAATAAATTGAGAAACTTCTCTAATGTGTGACAGAAATCCTTTATTTTTTAGTGGTTGTCCATATTATATTTCTTCAATGTAAAGGGTAATATTTAAAGAAAAAAATTGAAGACCACTATCCTTATACCTTTTGAGCTTTTAACTTTTTGACTCAGGGGTTTTTATGATTGGCAAGCCTCAGAATCACAGCTTTTACATCTGGGACTCACACTTGTGCATCTCCTGTCAATTTGCCCAACTTGTTAGCTTGATTGCGTGTTCTCATGGTGTCTCAACTGGAGCCAATGCCAAGAAATAAAGTCATTCATTCATTTCTACCATTTCCCTGGTATTTCTGACCAGGTTCACCATCAGTTTTCTGGATATTCCTGGGACTAGGACAGACCACTGGCACATGCCTTGAGCAAGAGGGACAGGCCCATTGGTGCCTGCCATGACTTGGGTATTTGAGATGGTTCCCGCATTGCTCTTTTCCGCTGCGCTCACGTGTTCTCTCAGCGTGCACATACCTGAGAGGTGCACATATGTGTACTGGTGAAGGGAGCCCGCTCTTTGGGATGCTGGTTGTAGCTGACATGTTGATTGGGGTGTACTTTGTTGGATTTGCAAGGTACATCCCCAAGAAGCTGGCTTTTTTTTCCAGTTGCTAATCTCCAATCCTGCAGTGAAGAGGACAGTGGTGGTGGTTAGACTAGCAGAGGACTGACCATATGTTGCTGCAGTAGGAACAAGATTTCATTCCGGGGCTGACAGATGCTGCGTGAGAAGGCTCCTGAGGTGTGTCTGGGCCTGTGAGAGAGACTATGGAAATGGATTACTGATATCTGCTGTGAGCAAGGGGTTAGGAGTGGCACCATTCCTGCCTCTTATTTGCCATTTCTTGGTTAGGCCTTTCTCCTGGATCAAAACTGTACTACTCCCAAACTAGAGCTGCAATTTTGTGTCACAGCTGTAGTCTATCACCCACACTCACCTTTGAAATTCAAGGTGAGAGTGAGAGCTACTTTATATTAAATGTTAATGATTTCTAACTAATTCATCACCTTTTTGGCAATTTACAACTGGCTTTGCTGACAGAAAAGGTTTTTAGCAGATTGTAGCAAAAGAGGCCAATTTCCCCATATTTTCCCCCAGAGATAATTTTGAACATAGTTGGACCAGATGAAACTAGGGTTTAAAAGGCCAATGAAAGATAGAGAACCTTGCCTTATTTGAGGAACCACTTAGAAGGTAGAGAATCAAACAGAAATAGTGTAAATAGCAAATAGTGAAATAAATAAACCAGCTGAGAGATGGGGGGAAGAAAAGTCCTTAATGATAAGATCGACAGAGACTGCTTGGGATAAAGCTGAGGAAGAAGAGGTGGCTCCCCAGGCTACAGATTTAGATTTTGAGTGAGAAGACAAAGTCTCTGTCTCCAGAAAGTGTACAGATTCAGACCTTGCTGGGATTCTCCTGATGTTGGCTCCCTCGCTGGGTGAAGTTCCCTTGCTGAATGCTCTAATAGATCCCTTCACTTCTACCTCATGGCACGTACTGCTGTCTTAGTGACATATTTGTATAAGTCTTTGGTGAATGTACATCTTCCTCACTACCCCATAAGCTCCATGAAGGAAGAGCTCATGGCATCTGTCTTGCCCACCAACACAGCCTAGCTTCCTGGTACCAATGCCAGACACATGGTAGGTGATCAATAAATATTTCCATTAAATAGATTTTTTTGTACTCATTGAACAAGCAACTGGATTTTCCAAGCATAGTCTCTGAGAGCCACCAAGAATGGGTTTGTTTTCGTGGTTGGATCAGGAGCCAAATGGAGGCAATGGCTGAGGTATCTGGAAGGATATTTCTGCATTGTTGTAGATAAATGATAATATTGGGACTTTCTTCTTCCCTTCTCTTTATATTTTATTTCCTTGCTAACTGCTTTACATTATACAGCTTTCTGACTTCACATAAAGCCATGTGCTCGGTCATACACTCACTCTTAGTCTTCATCATTCCTGTCCACCACCTTTCTTTTGTTAGTGTACACTCCAGCTTTAACTCTGGGTCTTAGCCTTGCCCACCTCTTACTTCTTAACTCACTCAGTTAAGGAGCTCATTTCAACATGTTTCAAACAGGGACAATCCAGACTTTAAAATGTTGTAACAGAGAAACAGAGGAATTGATGTTTCTTCATTGCTTTACCTAATTTTATTTCTGCAGCATTTGATGCTCGTCCACTTCCTACTTTTTTGAAATACTTGGATGCTAGATCACCACACTCTGGGTTTCTCTTTTAGTTACCCAACCATTTCTTCTCTCATTTTTCCTCTTCCATTCCTTAAATGCTGATGTTTCCCAAGAGGGACTCTTAGTCTTCCTTCCCTTGCTTCTCATATTTTTTTCTGATTTTTTTTCTTCCCTTGCTCCTCTTGCTTTCTCTGGTGTCTCAATTGTTTTCAGCTACAACAAATGTACTCATGACTTGACTCCCATGTACTCAACTCCAAGTACATGCTCTCATTAATTCTTCTTTGTGTTTTGCTATAGACTCCTAAATGGTTTGCTCACAGTAGATGGTTTACTTCAGTTCAACCTCTGTAGTGCTATCAGAGTTATTTTCTTGAAAAAAAAAAAAAAGCTAAGCTTTAAAAATACCTTTTACACGTTTAACAGGTCCTGTTCCCCATGCCACCCAACTGAGTGAGTCCCTCCAACAGGGGTTGTCAGACACCCTATATAGGAGTGATCCTACTGGCATCAGGTTGGTGCCCCTTGAGGTCAGAGGTCCCAGAAGAAGGAGGAGGCACCCATTTTTTCTGTTCTCCAGACTTCTTGAATGACATATCCAGGCACGGGAGTGAATCGGATGAGTAGGGCCTGAAGTGAACCTCCCAGCAAACTGCAGCAGCCCTACAGAAGAGGGACTTGACCATTGAAAGGAAAACAAGCAGAAAGCAACAACAACAACATCATCATCATCAACAACAACAACAAGCCCTCACAAAAACCCTCCAACGATCAGCAGCCTCAAAGACTGAAACTAGACAAACTCACAAAGATGAGAAAGAATCAATGAAAAAATGCTGAAAACCCAAAAGATCAGAGTGCCTCTTCTCCTCCAAATGATCACAACATCTCTCCAACAAGGGCACAGAACTGGATGGAGGATCAGATGAACTAATTGACAGAAGTATCAGAAGATAGCTAATAAAAACTATGATGAGCTAAAGGAGCATGTTCTAACCCAGTGCAAAGAAGCTAAGAACCTTGATAAAAGGTTTGAGGAATTGCTAACTAGCATAACCAGTTTAGAGAGGAACATAAATGACCAGATGGAACTGAAAAACACTGCACAAGAACTTCGTGAAGCATACACAAGTGTCAATAGCCAAATTGATCAAGTGGAAGAAAGGATATCAGAGTTTAAAGACCATCTTGCTGAAATAAGGCATGCAGACAAGACTAGAGAAAAAAAGAAAGAAAAGGAATGAAGAAAGCCTCCAAGAAATACGGGACTTCATCAAAAGACCAAACCTATGATTGACTGGAGTACCAGAATGAGATAGGGAGAATGGAAACACGCTGGAAAACACACTTCAGGATATCATCCAGGAGAACTTCCCCAACCTAGCAAGAAAGGCCAACATGCAAATTCAGGAAATACAGAGAATACCATTAAGATATCTTATGAGAAGATCAACCCCAAGACACATAACCATTAAATTCTCCAAGGGCAAAATGAAGGAAAAACTGTTAAGGGCAGCCAGAGAGAAAGGCCAGGTCACCTACAAAGGGAAGCCCATCCCACTAACAGCTGACCTCTCAGCAGAAACTCTACAAGCCAGAATAGATTGGGGGCCACTATTTAACAATCTTAAAGAAAAGAATTTTCAATCTAGAATTTCATATCCAGCCAAACTAAGCTTCATAAGCGAAGGAGAAATAAAATCATTTCCAGACAAGCAAATGCTGAGGCATTTTTTTTACCACCATACCTGCTCTGCAAGAGCTCCTGAAAGAAGCACTAAATATGGAAAGGAAAAACTGGTACCAGCCACTGCAAAAACACACCAAAAAGCCTGGGTGTGGTGGCTCACACCTGTAATCCCAGCACTTTGGGAGGCTGAGGTGGGTGGATCACCTAAGGTCAGGGTTTGAGAGCAGCCTGGCCAACATGGCGAAACCCTGTCTCTACTAAAAATACAAAAAATAGCCAGGTGTGGTGGTGCATGCCTGTAATCCCAGCTACTCGGGAGGCTGAGGCAGGAGAATCAGTTGAACCCAGGAGGAAGAGGTTGCAGTGAGCTGAGATTGTGCCTTTGCACACCAGCCTGGGTGACAAGAGCGAAAATCTGTTTCAAGAAAACAAAACAAAAACAAAAACCAAAAACACCAAAATATAAAGACCAATGACACTATGAAGAAACTGCATCAACTAGTGTGAAAAATAACAAAATAGCAGCACGATGACAGAACCAAATTCATACATAACAATATTAACCTTAAATGTAAGTGGGGTAAATGCCCCAATTAAAAGACACAGACTGGCAGATTGGATAAAGAGTCAAGACCCATCGGTGTGTTGTATTCAGGAGACCCATCTCATGTGCAAAGACACACGTAGGCTCAAAATAAAGGGATGGAAGAAAATTTACCAAGCAAATGGAAAGCAAAAAAAAAACCAGGGGTTGCAATCCTAGTCTCTGATAAAATAGACTTTAAACCAGCAAAGATCAAAAAAGACAAAGAAGGGGATTATGTAATGGTAAAGGGAAAAATTCAACAAGAAGAGCTAACTATTCTAAACATATATGTACCCAATACAGGAGCACCCAGATTCATCAAACAAGCTCTTAGAGACCTACAAAGAGACTTAGACTCCCACACAATAATAGTGGGAGACTTTAACACCCTAATGTCAGTATTAGACAGATCAATGAGACAGAAGATTAACAAGGATATTCAGGACTTGAACTCAGCTCTGGATCAAGTGGACCTAATAGACCTAACAGAACTCTCCACCCCAAATCAACAGAATATACATTCTTCTCAGTGCCACATGGCACTTATTCTAAAATCAACCACATAATTGGAAGTAAAACACTCCTCATCAAATGTGAAAGAACTGAAATCATAACAGTCTCTCAGACCACAGTGTGATCAAATTAGAACTCAGGATTAAGAAACTCATTCTAGTTCTAGATCCTTGAGGAATCACCACACTGTCTTCCACAATGGTTGAACTAGTTTACAGTCCCACCAACAGTGCAAAAGTGTTTCTATTTCTCCACATCCTCTCCAGCACCTGTTGTTTCCTGACTTTTTAATGATCGCCATTCTAACTGGTGTGAGATGGTATCTCATTGTGGTTTTGATTTGCATTTCAGCCCAGCCATCCCATTACTGGGTATATACCCAAATGATTATAAATCATGCTGCTATAAAGACACATGCACATGTATGTTTATTGCGGCACTACTCACAACAGCAAAGACTTGGAACAACCCAAATGTCCATCAATGATAGACTGGATTAAGAAAATGTGGCACATATGCACCATGGAATACTATGCAGCCACAAAAAAGGATGAGTTCATGTCCTTTGTAGGGACATGGATGAAGCTGGAAACCATCATTCTCAGCAAACTATCACAAGGACAAAAAAACCAAACATCGCATGTTCTTACTCATAGGTGGGAATTGAACAATGAGAACACTTGGACACAGGAAGGGGAACATCACACACCGGGGCCTGTTGTGGGGTAGGGGGATGGGGGAGAGATAGCATTAGGAGATATACCTAATGTAAATGATGAGTTAATGGGTGTAGCACACCAACATGGCACATGTATACATATGGAACAAACCTGCACGTTGTGCACATGTACCCTAGAACTTAAAGTATAATAATAAAAAAAAAAAGAAACTCACTCAAAACCACATGATTACATGGAAATTGAACAACCTGCTCCTAGATGACTCCTGGGTAAATAAGGAAATTAAGGCAGAAATCAAGAAGTTCTTTGAAACTAATGAGAACAAAGACACAACGTACCAGAATCTCTGGGACACAGCTAAGGCAGTGTTAAGGGGGGAAATTTATACCACTAAATGCTCACATCAGAAAGCTAGAAAGTTCTCAAATCGACACCCTAACATCACAATTAAGAACTAGAGAGGCAAGAGGAAACTAATCCAAAAGCTAGCAGAAGACAAGAAATAACTGAGATCAGAGAAGATTTGAAGGAGATAGAGACAAGAAAAACCCTTCCAAAAATTAATGAATCCAGGAGCTGGTTTTTTGAAAAAAATTAACAAAATAGGTAGACCACTAGCTAGATTAATAAAGAAGAAAAAAGAGAAGAATCAAACAGACACAATAAAAAGTGATAAAGGGGATATCACCACTGATCTCACAGAAATACAAACTACCACCAGGTAACACTATAAACATCTCTACACAAATAAACTAGAAAATCTAGAAGAAATGAATAAATTCCTGGACACATACACCCTCCCAAGACTAAACCAGGAAGAAGTCAAATCCCTGAATAGACCAATAACAAGTTCTGAAATTGAGGCAGTAATTAATAGCCTACCAACCAAAAAAAGCCCAGGACCACATGGAGTCACAGCTGAATTCTACCAGAAATACAAAAAGGAGCTGGTATCATTGCTTCTGGAACTATTCCAAACAATTGAAAAGGAGGGACTCCTCCTTAACTAATTTTATGAAGCCAGCACCATCCTGATACCACAATCGGGAAGAGACACAACACAAAAAGAAAACTTCAGGCCAATATTCCTGATGAACACAGATGCAAAAATCCTCAATAAAATACTGGCAAACCAAATCCAGCAGCAGATCAAAACTTATCCACCACGATCAAGTCGGCTTCATCCCTGGGATGCAAGGCTGGTTCAACATATGCAAATGAATAAGCGTAATCCATTGCATAAAGAGAATCAAAGACAAAAACCACATGATTATCTTAATAGATGCACAAAAAGCCTTTGATAAAATTCAACATCCCTTCATGTTAAAAGCTCTCAATAAACTAGGTATTGATGGAACATATCTCAAAATAGTAAGAGCTATTTATGACAAACCCACAGCCAATATAATATTGAATGGGCAAAAGCTGGAAGCATTCCCTTTGAAAACTAGTACAAGACAAGGATGCCCTCTCTCACCACTCCTATTCAACATAGTATTGGAAGTTCTGGCCAGGGCAATCAGGCGAGAGAGGAAAATAAAGGGTATTCAAATGGGAAAAGAGGAAGTCAAATTGTCTCTGCTTGCAGACGACATGATTTTATATTTAGAAAACCCCATCGTCTCGGCCCCAAAACTCCTTAAACTGATAAGCAAGTTCAGCAAAGTCTCAGGATACAAAATCAATGTGCAAAATTACAAGCATTCTTTTACACAAACAATAGACAAGCAGAGAGCCAAATCATGAATGAACTCCCATTCACAATCACTACAAAGAGAATAAAATACCTAGGAATACAGCTAACAGGGGATATGAAGGACCTTTTCAAGGAGAACTACAAACCACTGCTCAATGAAATAAGAGAGGACACAAACAAATGGAAAAACGTTCCATCCTTTTGGATAGGAAGAATCAATATTGTGAAAATGGCCATACTGCCCAGAGTAATTTATAGATTCAACGCTATACCCATCAAACTACCACTGACATTCTTCACAGAATTAGAAAAAACTATTTTAAATTTCATATGGAATCAAAGAAGACCCCATATAGCCAAGACAATCCTAAGCAAAAAGAACAAAACTGGAGGCATCACTCCGCCTCACTTCAAACTATACTACAAGGCTACAGTAACTAAAATAGTGTGGTACTGGCACCAAAACAGATATATAGACCAATGGAGCACAATAGAGACCTCAGAAATAACACCACACATCTAAAACTATCTGATCCTGGACAAACCTGACAAAAACAAAGGGGAAAGGATTCCCTATTTAATAAATGGTGCTGGGAAAAGTGGCTAGCCATATGCAGAAAACTAAAGCTGGACCCCTTCCTTACACCTTATATAAAAATTACCTCAAGATGGATTAGACTTAAATGTAAAACCCCACACCATAAAAACCCTAGAAGAAAACCTAGGCAATACCATTCAGGACATAGGCATGGGCAAAGACTTCATGACAAAAATGCCAAAAGCAATGGCAAGAAATGCCAAAATTGACAAATGAGATCTAATTAAACTAAAGAGCTTCTGCACAGCAAAAGAAACTAGCATCAGAGTGAACAGGCAACCTACAGAATGGGAGAAAATTTTTGCAATCTATCCATCTGACAAAGGTCTAATATCCAGAATTTACCAGGAACTTAAACAAATTTACAAGAAAAAAACAATCCCATGAAAAAGTGGGCGAAGGATATGAACAGACTTCTCAAAAGAAGACATTTACACAGCCAACAAACATATGAAAAAAAGCTCAACATCACAGATCATCAGAGAAATGCAAATGAAAACCACAATGAGATACCATCTCATGCCAATCAGAATGGTGATTATTAAAAAGTCAGGAAACAATAGATGCTGACGAGGCTGTGGAGAGATAGGAACATGTTTACACTGTTGGTGGGAATGTAAATTAGTTCAACCATCATGGAAGACAGTATGGCAATTCCTCAAGGATCTAGAACCTGGAACATCATTTGACCCCGCAATCCCATTACTGGGTATATACCCAAAATAATATAAATCTTTCTACTGTAAAGACATATGCACATGTATATTTATTGCAGCACTATTTATAATAGCAAAGACGTGGAACCAACCCAAATGCCCATCAATGATAGACTGGATAAGGAAAATGTGGTACATATACACCATGGAATACTATGCTGCCGTAAAAAGGAATGAGGTCATGTCCTTTGCAGGGATATGGATGAAGCTGGAAGCCATCATCCTCAGCAAACTAACACAGGAAAAGAAAACCAAACACCTCATGTTCTCACTCATAACGGGGAGTTGAACATTGAGAACAGATGGACACAGAGAGGGGAACAACACACACCAGGGCCTGTTAGGGGGTGGGATGTGAGGAGGGAACTTAGAGGATGGGTCAACAAATGCAGCAACCACCATGGCACACATATACCTATGTAACAAACCTGCACGTTCTGCACATGAATCTCATTTTTTTTTGTGTTTTTTGTTTTTGCTTTTTTTTTTAGAAGAAGTTTAAAAAAAACCCAAAAACAAACCTCTCATAGATCTCCAGGGCTTGGCTGCAGATTAAATCATCACCATCATCATCACCATCACAATCATCATCACCATCATCATCATCATCACTATCATCACAACTATGTTAGTGCTTACTGTATGCCAGGCACTATTCTGACCACTTCATATATATATTAACTCATTTAATCCTCATAACCACCCTGTGAGATAGCTACTGGCGTATCCCCACTTTACAAATGAGGTAACAGGGGCACAAAGATGATATGTAGTGTGTTCAAGGTCCCACAGAGAAAAAGTCCATCCTTTTTAGATTGTTTATAGAGCCCTTCTATGAATGTCCTCTGCCTCCTCTCTGCTCCAATCACATGAGCCTTTCTCCTGTTTCTCAACACCCCATCCTCTTTCCCATTTCCCTGCCTTTGTGCCTGCTGTTCCCTCTGCTTGGAATGTTATTAACCCTTCGTTTACTTGGTTAACTCATACCCAGCTGTCCGGACTCCATTCCCAAGCCATTATCTCTGGGATGACTAAAAACTGTCCGGGCAGAGTTGGTCACTTCCAACTCTGTGGTGATACCTGCCCTGTCACAGGACAGTCTCTGCTCTACTGCACAACAGATTCTGCTTATAAATCTGTGTCCTCTACAGGGTGATGAGCTCCCTAAAATCAGAAAGCATCTCTCCTTTATTTCTGTTTCTTCACATTTATCAGGGGCCTGCTATACAGTAGGTTATCACAAAATGTTTGTTGAAGGAGCCAATTAACCAGACACTCCATGAGGTCAGGGACCACACCTTTTTCTGTGCTGTGGACCCAATCTCTAGCACAAATACACAGGAAGCTCTCAATTGATATTTGAATGGAAAAATTAACCGGATCATCATGGTTTTGTGAAATTCAACCAAGCAGAACTTCCTATTTTTCATTTCCTCATTTGTAGGCAGTGGTTTCAGCAGCAGCACCTTGGGATCTCTTAATATTTAATAATTTTTTCATTCACAGTTAAGGCATGAGTGTTCTTGGTTTCTTTTTGACCTCATTTTGAAAATCTGAAAATTAAGTATCTTGAGCACAGATTAATAAGAATACATCCCTATTGAATTTTAGGGCACTCTCTCTGTTTGTAATTTAATATATTCTTATTTTTATATTAAAGAGGTATTTAGTTATCACCCATATTCATTAAGAATGAAAAAGAGTTACATGCCATTTTATAAGTATCGATATGTTCAGATGAGTGAGATCAACTATTTTGTAATGTAAAAGTTACTTTTCATTGATTGAGACCAAAGAGGAGAAGCTGGGTAAGGACAGTGTCCTGTGCCATGGCTGCCTTGGCCTGGAACATTTACCTGCTGGCCGGGCTTGATGGGTGACAGCGTGATGCCCTGGGTGTTGATCACGGGCAGGATCTGGTTCCCAATGACTGTGGCGATGATCTGGCCCTGGGCGTTTGTGAGGAGCTGGGGGGTGATTGGCTGCACTTGCAAGCCCTGAGTGCCGCTTGCTGCTTGGCTCGATGGCCCTGGATTAGGCATCAGTGGAATGGTCCCGATAATCTGCAAGAGAGGGCCAAAGGTGAGGAGCTGGCTCGGTGAAGGGTCTGTGCATGCAACTGAAGACCATGCAGTGCCTGGTCTCTCTAGGATGCTCCCTGGGAGCCGACTCAGAATCTGCAAGCAGCTCTGGAGGGGGGTGTGGTGGAAGAAGGTGGCAGGGGCAGGCATCTAAAGCAGAGATAAGTACACACGAACTGAGTTCATGTGATGGAAGGGAGAAACATCTTATTTAAAAATAAAATCAAGCATCTGTTAAGGTATAAACATGCGGTTTTTGCCAGGGCAGGTCTGACATCTGCTTTCTCTCAGAACCAGAGGGAGGATGGGCTTCTCACAGCACTCAAGGCCCTCTTCCACCTGGGAAGAGTGCATCCCCACCACCCCCCAACCCCGGGGGGCTCCACACTTTCTGAACTAGGGGATCCTTTGACATTCTTTCCTCTGCCTCCTTCCCTCCACCAACATCCAGCTCCTCTCTCAATGTCGGGGGAGGGGCTCCCCGATACCCCCAGCAGGATTAGGGGCCTCACACACCCTGGTGTTCACAGTGGTGGAGAGTCTGGGCTCTGGAGACAGAGTGACAGGATTCCATTCCCAGCTGTGCCACTTACTGACTGTGGCACATTTGTCAAGGGACCTAAGCTTTCTGAAGGCTTGAGAGAATTGAGATTATAAACAAGCTTTTGAAACTCTTAAAATAGAGGTGAAATGACTACTGAGGACTGAAATCAGAAAGAAAGTGCCTTTTAAATGATGTGTTTTAAAGCCAGGGCCTAAAGGTGAGGGGCTTGGGGCTTCTGTGGCAGGTGGCAGGGGAGGCTCTTCTCTGCATCCAGTGGCTTCTGGCTTCAACGAGGGACCATGGGGACTGACCACAGGAGGGGCCTGGCCAGATCCAATTACTGTGCCAAGGAGAAAGGCACCATGAATAGAAAAACAGCAAATGGACAGACTGGGTGTCCATAGAATCTGGACATAGAGACCATATTGTTAGGGACACACTGTTAGTGACAGATGTAATCTGTAAAAACCTAAAACATGATCTCTATTTCCAACTGTGGTGGCATCTCCTGAGAAGCGACGTGGCACTGGCCGTGTGGATGCTTTTCTGCCTCCACACACGGTAGGATGGTTACCTAGCTCTGCTTTCCGGTTGCCTTCAAGGGCTCTGGCTCTCAGAGGTGAAATCTGGTGACCTGGCCTGGGGGCCACCAGGACACAGTAGTAAGATCTCAGGAAGTGTTTTTACACATATGATTCCTCTGCATTCTATATTCTTACAACACCTCTGTGAAGTAATATTTGTCATGCCTCTGCTTACTAGACAAGACACAGGGGCACAGGGAGGCCAAGCAACTCAGCTGAGTCTCTTCACAGAAGTGTTTGTAAGTGACAATCTGGGGCTACAGTCCAGGTCTGGCTGACCCCACGTGCTCGCTTTTCCATCCTTCCCCCTAGCTCCCACAGCATGGAGGACCTTGGAGGGTGCCAGCTCTTAGAAAACACACTGTGTGTCTTGTTTGCAATTTCCCACTAGATGAAAGGCTGCTGGTGGGCTGGGTTTGTAAGTGATACTGCTTTCTACCCACACAATACCCTGAGCAGTGCTTTGAACATAGTTTCTCAGTAAATGTTTTTTGACTGAGTGGTTTCTAGACTCAGCCGTCACTGGGACTCCAGATGCAGCTGGAACCACAGGAGAATTGCAAGACCATGCCATTCAGTGACAGATCTTGCTGGAGAAAGCCTCCTCATCCCTATGCCATTGCTTCCACCACAAAAGCCCCTGTGGGATGGCACTAATGGAGGACTTGTG
The DNA here is from genome assembly GCF_000001405.40 of Homo sapiens. Taxonomy (NCBI): domain Eukaryota; kingdom Metazoa; phylum Chordata; class Mammalia; order Primates; family Hominidae; genus Homo; species Homo sapiens. The sequence continues at coordinate 39,431,260 of NC_000007.14, read as the reverse complement.
CGGATGTCAAGTATCAACGGCATTTGTCAATGGAGGCCAATAAAGTTCAGGTAATTACTGTGAGAGTGGTCAGCTGTCCCCTAGGGAGTGTGGCAGGGCTGCAGTCTCACTGAGCAAGCCCGCAATGCCTGGCCCGCAGCATCAGCAATGAGCACGTCCCATCAGTGTGGGCAAGGTCAGGAGGCGTCCACATCAATAGATCATAGCAAGTACTTTATTGATGAGTGGTCTTGCATTAAACAGCCAGGATTCAAAGGCTGGCTCCTGTGACCCCACAGGCAAGGTAAGAGAGGCCCAGGAACAGGCCTCCCATCTTCAGCTTATGTTGGATAACTCCCCTTTCCACACATGCACAATGAAAACTCAGCCACTGACCCATCCACTCTGGCCTTCCCCAGTGTCTTAGGCCTTTGCAGCCTCATTTCATCCTATCAGCCTGAGCTGAAAGCCTGTGGAAGCTGGATGCATCTACGGGGCAGGGCTGTGGGTCCTGTTTGGGGCAGGGTGTCGGTGCGATTAAGAGCCAGTGGGAGCAAGTAGCCTGAGAGAATGGTTCAGGGTGAGCACAGCACATGACAGTTACAGAACACACTGTGATGAAGAGAGAGGCGTTCTGTCCCGGGAAGATTGACACCAGCCTGTGCTCACCTCTGCAGTAATGAAATACTCTGCCTACTTCCTGGGTGGAAAGAAGAAAGGCAAATGCAAACAAGTCATCAGCCTCTTCCTTAAGCACAACCTCACTTTCAACTGTGCCAGCACATTACTAAAACATGGCGCTGCCTATGTTCCTCCCCACCCTGTCCTTTCTTCTTTTCTAGGCCTGAGCATCACTTATCAAGGATAGGATAACAGTAGTGTCAGAGCCAGAGGAATCTGTAATGACCTGACTATTGGTGCCTTTAACAAAGACAGTCTGCCTTGGAGGTGGAGGTGGGGGGTCAGGAGCAGTTCTAAAGTCAGGAAGCCTTTGGTGGCACTATGCATTTCTTATTTTTGTTCCCCTTTCAGGGGCATTGGGGTCACCATCTCAACGTGTCAAAAACTCAGTAGTGCATTATGGGGAATTTCGTCATATTCCCGAATGTATCACAATATGTTGGTTTCAATTGGCTCCCATTCATTGAAGGGTAAAGATGGTCACACATTGTGTCATCTAAATATTCTCTGATGTGCCTATTTCGCTTATGCTGGCTCTGATTCCTTTTAGCACGGCCACAGATCTAATCAGAACTCCTCCATGGACTTTGACTTCACAGAGGTCGCAAGAATGGAACCGGGGGAGCTGAGATGGCAAAGATCTGAGACTCTGTACTCATGAGAAGTTGTCCATTTCATCTGTGGAAATCATATTTTAAATTAAAGGCCTTTTGATATTCAAGGGAAGTATTTGCATCTACATATGTTTCAACTAAATCAGGAAATGAAAATGGAGGTTTGACAAGGCTGTAGGGGAATCTCTTCTTTGAGAATGAAGGTAGAAACAGGATGCTTTTGGAGTTTGACTTCCCAGCTCCCAGAAGCTAAGATTTACTGCTAGGAGAAGTCCTGATGGAAGGATTTGCCACTGAGCACACGGACAACTAGGCTGTGACTCCTGTTCAAGCCACTCAATGTACCAGACAGATTTATGTTCTCCTGAAATGCCGAGGATTCCTGCAGAGCAGCCTAATACTGCTTCTCTCTGTAAACACTGTGTCAAATGCCATGAAGGATGCCAAGAAGATGCAGCTGGGGCAGGGGAGGGGTAAACAAGACAGGTACCTTGAATGCAGAGATTCCAACAATCCAAGGGTGGAAATGATGAGCACCAAATGAGTTAGCAAGTACTCTTTGAGAAAAATCTCTATACCCACGTGGTGACTGTGCAAAAGACTATTGGGAATGAATGAGTCACTTCCGAGGAAGAAAGGTGGGGATGGTCCAAGAGGCCTTCACAGAAGAAATGGGGGCCAAGCAGGGTCTGGAGATTGGGTACGATTTGGGGAAGGCAGAGAAACCATTCTAAACAAGAGATCAGCCTAAAGGTGAGAAACATGGGGGATGGGGAGTTGAATGCAAGAAAAGGTTGAGACAGGTTAGCTTGGGAGGGTCAAATTCCATCCAGCCAAGGGGTTCCGATGAGTGAGTTTTTTTTTTTTTATTATTATTATGCTTTAAGTTCTAGGGTACATGTGCACAATGTGCAGGTTTCTAACATTGTATACATCTGCCATGTTGGTGTGCTGCACCCATTAACTCATCATTTACATTAGGTATATCTCCTAATGCTATCCCTCCCCCCTCCCCCCACCCTACGACAGGCCCTGGTGTGTGATGTTCCCCACCCTGTGTGCAAGTGTTCTCATTGTTCAATTCCCACCTATGACGAGAACATGCGGTGTTTGGTTTTCTGTCCTTGCGATACTTTGCTCAGAATGATGGTTTCCAGCTTCATCCACATCCCTACAAAGGACATGAACTTGATGAGTGAGTTTTGACGGGAGTGTAGGGAAGTGCTGAAATGGGGCTATTCTGTGTGAATGTCACTGTGTGGACAGAATGGACTCAAGTGGTGAGGGACTACAGATCTGGAAATCAGTTGTAGACCTAGGATGCTGCTTAGTGTCCAAGTGTGAAGCAAAATGCCTCAATGACTCCTTGGCATAGGATTTGCTTGATTCACTAACTTTTGCTTCAATTCAAAAAGCATGGCCTACTCTATGCCTAGGTTGCAACATTAGAAATTTTTCAGTTAAGTTATTGCCCTGTAAATCTCACAGCAAATAGCTCAGGCATTGTTTGCAATGATCCTCTATGTCTTTGCCCCGATTCTCCACCAGTGGTGATTCATCTCTGAAAAATGCTTTAACCAGGCCAAGGCCCATACCAGTAATTGTAATAATAATTTGTGACCTAAAACAGTTCTGGCTTCTCTGAAACAGGACTTACTTGGTTGTTGCTGTGAATGTCCATCTATCTCTTTCCTTAAATGAGTTAAGAGCATAAGTCACAAAAGAGGAATAAAGTTCATATTATAAGAGCAACTAAAAAAAATCATTCAAATAGTAGTGTTTGCTAGCACACATATTTGAAAGATCCCCATTTCCATAAGAACTTGAGTGACTTATGCCCAAATGTGACTATCACTAATTCAGCAGCTATTATAACTTAAGCCATAATGAAGATTAGCTTGCAGTTGTAGCAAACCCCAGCAATTCAGGGCTCTGGAGCACCTTTGGGTCATGAGGTTATCCTTACATTGCCCTCAAGTGCCTCAGTCTAGTTGAGGTAGTCAATAGAGATGAATCATGACTGATGGTGGGTAAAGTGTCCTGAGTGTTTTCACTGCTGATGGGTTCATGTCATCAGCAGCAGTCTGAGGGTTCTGTCACAGAAGCCCAGGGCATTCAGACAAGTCATCTGATAGGCCACATATTGTTATAGCCAATGATATGTTGTTAAACTCTGTTATGGAGAATGTGATTGCAGACGTCAAATTGACAAGTAATCTTGTTGCCCATATACGTAAGAAAAGGAGACCTATCAATGCTGTAAATCGGTGACTTCCTCAGATCTTTCAATCCATCAGCAGAGACAATTCTTTCCCAAATATTTGTACAATCTCAGCACATTTTGGTCAAGAGATTTTTGTTAACGCTAGCATCATTCTGTCCATTCTTGATACTGTTTGGTATCAACTTTAGAAACACACTCACAGACAAGAGTAAAGAACTTGGAGGTGTCAGGATCCTTAAAATGGCACTTTCTGTCACACTAAGAGAGGAATAATTTGCGTGAAAACTGATGTTATTTAAACAGCAATAACAATAATAAAAACAATCCTCTCCCCTAAAAGCTTCTTAAAAGCCATTAAAGGTAATTCTCCTTAATAGAGTTTAAGATGTGTACCAAGGAAAAAAAAATTCCCCACTGGCTGGATTTAAGGCCAGGCTTTGCCACCAACTAGTAGGAGATCATTGGTGAATTACTTTACCTCTTAGGATCTCAGTCTACTCACCTGTAAAATAGGAATAGTAATGTCCACTTCATAAGGTTACTGTGAGAACTAAGATAATCTATGCAAAGCACTCAACACTGTGGTTTACCAGCCAAATAAGTGTTCAATAATAAATGGTCATTCGTAGCTTAATTTTATTTACATGCTTGTGTGGTAACTCCTGGGCATTTACACTAAATTGCAAAAGCTCTTTTGAATTCTTCTGAATGTTATATTTTTTAAAGTGGAAATTGTTTACCATGATGAATAGAAGATAATAACTTATTATGAAATATAATTTAATCTTCCCTGTTTTATAATAGAATGCTACATTGGAAGTTTCCATGGGGGCACCAAGACCCAACTGGTGCTGCATTCCAGGGGAGGGACTAGACTATGTGCTGGATTTACAGAGGAGGTTACTGAAAACCAGCTAGACAGTTCCAGAACTCAGACCTTGACAAAGAGGATAGACACAGAATTTTTGAAAAATCTGTGTCTTCCTCACTTCCAGAGGTGGAGCATGGGGAGCTTTCTCCTTACCTCAAGGATAATGAAAGTGGCTGAATAAATATTGTGCTCTCAAATTTGGGGGAAATATTCTTGAGGAATGAAAAGGTGAGAGCCTATGGCTTTTGAGCTGAGGAGGGAGGAGAGAGAAAAAGGGAGGGTGAGAGAGAGGGAGAGAGAAGAAGAAGAGGGAGGAAGAGGAGGGAGGGAGACACAAAGAGAGTGAGAAAGATCACTGCCTGCCATTGACCCTAGCTACTCTCCCATGATAGCAGGAGTAAGGATGTGTGAGTGTTTCTCTGGGCTCAATATCATGGGTCTGAATGATTTAAAATCCTGTCCCAGAGGACCCCTTGGGGAATGGCCACTGGGACAACACCAGAGAGGGCTTTGAAGAGTAGATCTGGAGAAAACCAAGCTCTGAGCAGGAAAGGGGCAGCTGGAAGAAAACATGGTGCCCATAACAATGAAAGGTCTCAGCTGGGCCTCAAAAGAACTCATGAAAGTGCCCCCAAGAGTTGGCCTGAGCCAATGGCTGGTCCAGAGAGCAGGAAGCCTTCTGCTATTCTTATCCGCTGGTCTCTCCTTTCCTCACCTCAACCTGACTGGTCGAGAGCATCACTAGCAAGCTGGAGCAGGATGGGAACCATTCCAACAGGGAGAGCAGGAGGGGCCGGCTACCCTTTCCCACAGCAGCAAGCAGCAGGAAGGAGCCCCAGTTGGGGCTGCTAACGGCGTTTTAAGTTAGGGTTGCAGCTGGGACTGTTGTCAGGGAACTGGACATCTTATTTGCAATTTAAAGTGGCTATACAAGATTGTGTTACCTGAGATACCCAGAGAAGTCAAGAAGCAAGAAGCCACTGAGCTTTCGTTCCAGGGCAGAGGAACATCACCATTGAGAAGGCTGAAAGGGGCTGCCTTGCTCTCAAATATTAAGGCCAATAATACACAGAAAAGACATTTTATGAGTCATAATGAGCATCAGGACTTTGTCAACTAAGAATGCTTGAAAAACAGAGGAGAAATGAAGGCAAGAAGGAGACAAGGGAAAAGAGAGAAGAGATAATTTAAGAAGCTAGCAGAGGTACAGCATTTTAAATTGTGAGCAGAATATATTTTCCCATAAACTATGAATTTGGTTTATTTCTGAGAGGTAGCGGCTGCTATTTATAATACTGATTGTTGAAGTTTCAGCTGACTTAAACGTGTATACTATTCGAATGCATTAGTTGCTGAAGTTCCTCTGAAGATTTTGAAACCTTAAACTTAATAACAGGAACAGTCAATTCCTACCAACAGGGACAATAGTTATGATATCTAAAAAAAGGTCAGAAGAGTCAGGAGAAGTTTTGACATGGTCATTGACAGTTAGGTTAGCAAGGTTATTCCCATTAGTAACCAGAAATATTTACAAGGTATAACAAAGATGTGCTTTTGTGGCTCTTCATTTCCTCTATTATGTTTAATTAAATACCAAACTCCCAAACACGCTCTTGAACAGTCTTTTGTTTGTGTAGTTATTGGGGAAGAAGTAATCTAGTATGTTTGCCTGTGTTTTCCAATTACAAATGATGAAGCAGGGAGAAGAGATTCTATCAGATCTTAATGATGTTAAGACAGGATGAATAATGCCAATTCCAAAAGTGCTTTATGGGAATAATTTGCATATAGAGTATGGCCTGAACCCTAGTTATGCAGCCCATGAGCAGCAAACCTCGTAGAGGAAAGTCCACATCTCAGGGAATTGACACGTCTCCCAGGTAGGAGTCAACTCAGTGGATACAATGATCATTCTTATCGGACTTGAATATTTCTCGGGTCCTTTGGCAAAATAAAGTTAGCAGCCTCGGCCCCATTCTGAACAGTTGACAGTTCCTACTACAATAATACTACAACTGAATCTAGCACACTCCACACTCTGGAGGCAGGTGTTGTGTTTTTTTTTTTTGTGTGTGCTTGTTTTTCCTCAAATTTTTAATTTTAAGATGCAGCATAGTATCTGGGGTTACATATTTTACTGTAATTATGAGATTTGCCATGTTCTCTTTTATCTGGGTTTCCACTCGAGCTTTAGGAAACATTGATAGAAAAAGGATTTGATCCTGAATATAATCAAAAGAGTAAATTAAATTTACACAAGATTATATTACATTGAGATGAGAATTAAGTGAGGAGTCATTGTAACCACCTTCTTGGTCTATTCCTGGAGTGATTGGTGGGCAGCAATCGGTGTCTAGGAAATGTATCATTTTTTTGAACACGGTGTAGGTGCCTGCCACGAACACATGTTTTAAAATTATATCTGAATTATATATTGGCATAATGAAAAGCATACTGGAAAGTTCTGGATTACTTAAGGCTAATTGATTTCTCTACGGTACTTTTTTCTTTCTACTGCTCTGAATACTTTTTACTCAACTAGAAAGTAGGACGATGAAAATAGGAGATGGGGGAGTCAATTGTGCAAAATGTTATCTCCAGCTATTGTCAAGGTTCAGCTGGGCATTGCTATGGACTGAAGATTTATGTTCCCCCAAACTTCACATGTTGAAACCTCAAGTCCAATATAATGGTATTTGAAGTGAGGCCTTTGGAAAGTGATTAGGTCAAATGGGATTAGTGTCCATATAAAAGAGACCCCAGAGAGTTCCCTGGTCCCTACCACTATGTAAGGACACAGCAAGAAGATAGCTGTCTGTGACCAGGAAGTGGGTCCTCACTGAACACTGAATCTGCTGGCACTGTGATCTTGAATTTCTCAGCCTCTAGAACTATGAAAAATATATTTCTGTTGTTTGTAAGCCATCCAGTCTACCATATTCTGTTACAGCAGCCAGAACAGACCAAGACAGGCACGATGTTGGAATCAACGTTGACTGGCCTTCTCTGTAACTAAGGGGAAATACTTAGGGATACAAAGTAGTTCTCCCAGAAAGGGCCAGATAAGCAAGATGCTCAGCACTATATGTAATTCTGTTTGGGCAAGGGAAGTGGAATTTCAGGCATCTTTTTGGAAATGGACAGAGAACTTGCCATTTTGTTTCATGCCTATCTTCTCCTGGGAAATGTATTGCTTATGGTTAACATATACTCGAAGCTTTAAGTATATAAGCTTGGTTATATTTGTACAAATATTAATAATTACATATTAAATGTACGCCAGTATAGACAGTGGCAGCATTTTCACTGGCAGAATCCCTCTGCTTTATTCTGTGATGGCTTCAAAACTAAGAGGTTGTTTTATTCATGCATTTGCTCATGTACAAATTCATCACTCACTCACTCACTCACTCACTCAGCAAATCCTTTCTGAGGGCCTCCTGTGTGCCTGGCATGGGGGCAGGGCATACCACATTGTATTAGTTCCCACTATAGAAGACCAGGATGTTACCCAGCCATCTGAATTTGTGTAAACACTCTCTTTTGGATTAGTAGGAGTATTCTGTAAATCCTCTCTTAAGGCACCAGCAGCCCACCAGTGGAGAAGAAAACCTAGGCTCCCTGTAGGCAGGACAGTCAAGATGGCAGCAATTTACATAAAACTGAAACCCACACTGTTGACAAGAGTTCAATAGGCTCTTTTCTCCTCCTGGAAACTGCTGCAACTGTCAATGACTTTAGGTGATCTCCTAAAGTTTCTCCTTTTGAAGACCAATTACATGCTCAGATGTGTTTGCTGCTGGACAGCCGAGTTAACCCTTCATTGAAATATGACCTTATTCTGTGGATTGAAATGTCTACTCATTTTTATTCCAATTAGAATTCTACAGATATGGAAATTAAAATATATCCATAGATGGGAACTTTTTGGGAAGATGATGTTGCTGCACCATTGTTGATGGCACTGTCAGGCAGTTTTCTAGATCTTGAGAGTCCGAGAAATATCTGTCTATTCTGAATTTCATTTTAAAGCCACTCTGTAGGAAGGAAAATGACCAAAATGCCTACGTAAGTCAGGTAACAATCCGGACTGAGTTATTTTATGGGGTGTAGGTGGGAAGTCGATCTACTGGGACTTCTGGTCTCTAAGGACATAAATTGAAGCCACTGATTTCCCACTGGAGAGTAGACATGGCAGGCACATGGTGGAAAATGACCTCAACTTTGCATAGCACAATTCTCCTCCTCAGTGGCCGCACCACAGTCATAACCTCTGCACATCTTTAGTCCATCACAAGGATCCTATGCATTTCTTACTTGTAAACAATGGCACAGCTCCATCACGCTCCCAAAAACTTCCCATCTGTGGATATATTTTAATTTTCCTATCTGTAGAATTCTAATTTGAATAAAAGTGAGTGGACATTTCCACCCACAGTTATTTATAACAAGGGCACATGAGATATCGCATAAAAATGAATTCCTTCAAGCCACTGTGGCCTTGGTTTCCATTTCTAGCATCTTACTTATTCTTTTTTCCTCACTTATTTATTTATTTGAATATTACTTATTCAGTGGGAGGAAATGAAAATATTTGTAAATATGATCTAATGCTTCAATTTCCAATTCTTCTTAGTGGTTTTACGTTTTGATTATATTTGTCCACTAGAAAGTTTAAGAATGTTCCAGGTACTAGAAAACAAAGACACATTTTTATGGATAAACTGCAAACATTTCTTTTCATCATTCTTTCCTTTTTTCCCCAGTGACTACAAATTAAACTATGGTTTCTTTTCATTTTCTTGGTAGCTGCCAACACTGTCAAATTGCTGAAACATTTTTTCCCCCTTAAAAGAGAAGCACAACTGTGGTGAAGCCATCATTTTGCGGAAAGACCAACTTCGTGAGCCTTTATATGGCTTTGCCTGAACTTTAAGTTTTAATACCAGCAAAAATATCTAGAATTTGCAGAAGTATTTCTGCTTCTGCCTGTTGATGCCAGATTAAGTGACTAAATCAGATTAAAGTTATTTATTGCTTGGGAGAACACCTGTTAGTTTCACTCAGCTTTGGTCCTTAGAAGCTTTAGTAAACATTCCTAAATAAACCATTAGACCTATGAAATGTTTATATTATTTTTCTTCCCAAATGAGAAAAAAAAGAGCTACAGCAGTGGTAGCAAACAAACAAACAAACAACAACAACAAAACCCTAAATTTGGACCAGTGATCTCCAATATTCCAAGTTTTTTGGAGCAACAGGAATTGGTGAAGAAAATGTTTGGCAATTGCTTTAAGAAAATACTGTACAAATTTAGCATCCCTTTGTGCTGTGTTTATACTCAGTGAGCACATACAAGCTGTAAAGCTGAATTTAAATTAGGACAAACAACAAAACAAGCCTCTAAGAAAAAAAGAGGGTGGGGAACGAAGCGTGCCAAGTGCCATTAAAGATGCATCTGTTCATCACCACTCAGTTTCATGAGTCCAAGATGATTCATATGCTTTCTGTGAAGAGAATATCCATTGTTGTGGCAAAATTAAATGTATTTTGATACTTGCATGCAATATTTATCTATCTATTCAATCAGAAAAAAGTTGTCCTCATCACTCAAACATATATTACTTTTTCAATTTCCTGTTAGTAATTTTTTTTAATGTTCTTTAGGGTGAGACCACAGAATTTCTCATTTCTCACAACAAAGACCGTAACTCATAAGAATTACGCTGATGAGTTTTTCTCGTAAAATTGCATCCCCATTTTCATAGGTGAACAATCTGCAGCCTTATCCCTAATGATTAGGCAGTTTTTGATAGATGTATGGAAAGAGGGCTGGATATACTCTTCCAATTGTGGTTTCTCATAGTTTTCTAATTCCTACTTTAAATGTCCCTCAGAAAAAGAGTATTTGCAAGGCACTTCAAATTTGGTCCTTGTGAAATATGATTTCTTATTGCTAATAAACCAATCGATAAATGTAATGATTTTCTGACTGTCCTGTTTTAAGCTCAATAATTTATAATTTATGCTGATAGCATGAATTTTGGCATTTTTAATCTCAAAAGTTAGTTTCAAAGTACAGCCTTGTCAGGAACATGTCTCACAGCCTTGCCAGATGATATCATTCATAGACTAGCCCTATATATTATTAAGTAATGGAAAAGGTGGAATAATGATACTTACATCAAAGATCCATTGACATGTTTAGCTACAAAACCATTAACTTAATCCATAACTCAGAATTTAAAAAAATCTATTTAACTTTGCTAAAAAAATTGGAGCATTTTAAGCAATGTTTGTAGTATCATATTTGGTTTCTGAGAAGGTAAGTTTTTAGTACTTTCTGATTCACCTAGGTTCTGGATTTCAGGAACCAGTCTAGATGTGCAAAACCATAGATACTATTCCCATTTCTACTGCCTTATCTCCATGTGAGCCTAGAGGGGCAGAAACTCTACTTTTCAAATATTTAGAAATGTGTATGATTTTATGGTCTCAGAAATCAAAATGAATTCTCAGAGTCTGGAGTAGCACACTATGTCATTTCCTTTTGTGTTCATTTAAGGAATTTGTGTATCACCTTTTAAACATAAACATTCTTTCTTTCAGTAATGTTACCCTTTGTATTAAAAATCCTAAATAGTTCTTTTATAACCCAGTAATACTGAGAAGATCCTCATATAAAGAAGGCTTCCATTCTAAACTTGCAAGAAAATCTTCAAATTCCATGTGAATTTAAAACAGATTTTTGGTTTTGTCCATGTTATTTGTTCCTTCCTTTTGGTTATCTAGGATAGTTTGCTGACATTACTTGCAGATTTACTGAAGGCAGATGGGAATGTTTTCATTCTAGACCATCAGAGGAAATCAACAGTTGTTAAATGAGCCTAGCAGGTAATATCTCTGTGGCCCTGCCTTTTGATTAAATAAATTACAACATTTTGTTACGGAGAAAAGTGAATGCTATTATGTCTAGCAGCCACATAGTCATGTCATAGAGGCAAGCTAGGCATCATCTAGCCTGTTGCTGCTGCTGCTGCTAATCTGAAGAAAACAAGATTGTCCAGCTTACCCGGTCACTAATGTGTGGGCAGCTGACTCAAAATCATCAAACTGGTCTTCTCTGCATGCTGGCGGGACCATGGGTTTCAAGACAGATGCGAGTGCCAAGGATTTAACATCCTTTGTTACTTTTACTTTTTACAACAACCCCAAAATGTTAGCTGTTAAAACAATTGAAGTGAGTTAACTAAATAAACAATTGCCATTTTCATGAGATATAGTAATGCTGGATGACCCACTTAAAAGCATATCCACATAAAACTTCAATATATTAAACAGACCCTACTTTAGGCCAGGCATGGTGGCTCACTCCTGTAACCCCAGCACTTTGAGAGGCTGAGGTGGGCGGATCACTTGAGGTCAGGAGTTTGGGACCAGCCTAGACAACATGGTGAAACTCCATCTCTATTAAAAAATACGAAAATTAGTGGGCCGTGATGGTGCGTGCCTGTAATCCCAGCTACTCAGGAGACTGAGGCAGGAGAATCGCTTGAACCTAGCAGGCAGAGGTTGCAGTGAGCAGAGATGGCAACACTGTACTCCAACCTGGGCGACAGAGTGAGATTCAGTCCCAAAAAACAAGCAAAAAACCCAAACAGACTCTACTTTAGATCAGCCACCCTGAGTGGGTTAAAAAATATATACATATATACGTATATATATGTGTATATATACACATATATACGTATATATATGTGTATATATACACATATATACGTATATATGTGTATATATACACATATACGTATATATGTGTGTATATATGTGTATATATGTGTATACATATATATGTATATATACACACATATATATACATATATACACATATATACACATATATACACATATATATACATATATACACATATATATACATATATACATATATACACATATATACATATATACATATATATATACACACACACACACATGAAGAGAGCACTATATTTATGAAATGACTACTATATGGTAGGCACTGTATTAGGCACTTACACACGTTATGCTGAAAGCAGCTTTGCTTCAGAGGAAAGCTGGGCTTCAAAGCAGCCAGATCTGGGCTCAAATCCAGGCTCTATCATTTACTGTATGGCTCTGGAAAGTTGGTTAACTTTTCTTTCTTTTTCTTTTTTTTTTTTTGAGACAGAGTCTCACTCTGTCACCCAGGCTGGAGTGCAATGGTGCGATCTCAGCTCACTGCAACCTCCGCCTCCTGGGTTCAAGTGATTCTCTTGCCTCAGCTTCCCAAGTAGCTGGGACTACAGGTGCCTGCCTCTATACCTGGCTAATTTTTGTGTTTCTAGTAGAGACATGGTTTCACAATGTTGGCCAGGCTGGTCTCGAATTCCTGACCTGAAGTGATCTGCCTGCCTCAGCCTCCCAAAATGCTGGGATTACAGGCGTGAGCCACCGTGCCTGACCTGTTTAACTTTTCTGAGCCTTCAGTTCCTCAGCTGTAAATTAGAGATGATAGTGCAAAATCATTGTGAGAATGAAATGAAATGATGAATTTATGCAAAAATGCTTATTGACTAGCATATTAGCATATATGAAATACTCCATTCAGGCCACAGATTTTATTACTGTATTTATGGTCTTTATGTGCCAGATGCCGTTCTAGCCATTTGGTTCTAGCTGCAGTGAACAAAACAAAATACTTTAAATTATTATTACAGTACAGTGATTAAAAACAATCTCTATTAGACATAACTGAGTTTGAATCCAGCCATTTCTAGTTGGGTGATATTGGAAGTTTCTTAATCTGTATAATGGGAATAAACCATATTGTGTGTGGTAGTAAAGAAAAAGTAATATATCAAGTGCTTGGCACATAAATAGCTGCTTGGCACATAAATAGTGCTCAATTAGTGGCAGCAACATATTAATTTATTATTGCTATTAATACTAATCCTCCTAACAAACTTGAGAGGAATATATTAGTGTCATTTCATGGAAGAGATAACTTTAGCTGAGGAAGATTAAATATCTTGCCAGCGGGGGCAGAGCTGCTTGCAGATGAAGTCAGGATTCAGATTTGTCTGATTTGAAAGTCCATGTTCTTTATCCTGGGCCACCTTTCATGTGAGTACATGGACATTTGCACTGTCCATCTCTGTTACTCTAAGGAGATTGGTTTATTGTATCTATTGGCAAGTATCTCATCTAGGGAGTGTGCAACATTTTTTTTCCTGTTTGTGTATCTTTGTGTTGTTTGATTAATAGCATTTACTTACAAATATAAAGCTGCATCACATCTTGACTTCACTGTAGTATTCTGAACCCTCCACCTGATGACATCTTCTCAGGATCTATTTATATTGTTAGTTATACAGGTAGGAAAGCTTAGTTGATGAGACAAATGGCAATTTGGAGTAATGGCTAGTGCACTAAATTCAATTGGGTCATTCAAAGGCCTACATTTGAACTTAATCTGGCTCCTCTCACTGTTGTAAGTTGTGACTTTTCCATTCCTACCTAACTCTGATTTATTTCTCATTTCTTTCTTATTGGCTCTGTGAGTTGATGACATCTTTAAGAGTATTCATCATGTCAACAGCTCACAGACCAATAAGAAAGTTGGGTGCATTATTGGGCATATGGTGTGGTAAATGATATACTGAATGTTTATTTGAAAGTTTAATGTCGCTCACATGTGAATTTAATGTTTTCTCCTCTCCGATAATGCTCATCTTAACTATAAACATAGTTTGCAGAAGGAACTGATGTTGTTCTAGGACGCTAAATCAAAATTCAGCACTTCCTCCTTTTCTTGTCCACCCTCCTTCTACTCAAATCAAGTTTAATTTTCATTCTATAGTTGGAAAAGCTGAGATATAAATGGCTTCCACTCCCATCCCTGACTTTTTGTTAAATACTAAAAAGGAGCCATCATCAACAGCCCATTGTATGGTCTTATTGATACTGGAATTGGTTCAGGATATAAATAACATATTTCCTCAATTATAGTATCCCCCTTAATTACAACATTTCAATGATAACTTCTTTTTTTTTTTTACATTTTTAACATTTTTGAAATTAGGCTACTTCTAACAATTGATATACTTGTTAAATGTGGTATTTTCTTTCCTCCTCTCCAAAAATCACTGGTATGACTTTAAGTGTAATTTAAAATCAGTGGTGTCTTAGACTCAAAAGAATTCTTGTAATTCTTGCTCTATCAATCCCACAGAGTAAGAAGACTCAAAATACAGCATTCGATATTTCTCTTTTTCTTTGGAAGGGTTTACCTCATTCTGGGTGGATCTAGAAATGTGTGGGGTCTTGCCACATTAGGAGCTCAACCAATTCTAACATCACTGTGCTGTGTGGGACAACAATCTTCAGCTGCAATCTTCAGCACAACAGAAGATTCACTGGGATAGGGTTTTCTATTGAGCTCTGAAAGGCTCATTTGATGAGTGCCCATACGAAGCACTCACCATGCATTTCTTTCCTCATTGCTAGGTTGCCTCACTGGAAGCCAGGACACCTATGGACACCTTAAGGCGATTTTCTCTGGCAAGAAGTGGAGATCTGATACAGACTTTTCAAGAATGTCTCATTGCTTTAGACAATTCCCTGACACTACCTGTCTGGTTTCTTTGATTAGCAAAAATAATCATAGTAAAAATACCAATCAAAATACCCTGTAATTATTCGGTAAGGTTTACATCTCTTTACAGTTTTCTAGTGTGTGTGTGTGTGTGTGTGTGTGTGTGTGTGTGTGTGTGTGTGTATGCCTTCGAGAGAAATCTGTGAGGTTGACAGAGCAAGAATTACAATTGCCATTTGCAGATGGAGAAATGAAGGTTCTGGAGTTTGTGACATGTCTGCGGAACAGCCAGGAAATGAACCAGGACTCTGAACCCGAGAAAATCAGGGTGATATGGAAGGATGGGAATGGACTTGGAACGCAAATCTCAGTTCTGCCACTTCCAGAAGATGTTATCCCAGGGAGTCACTTAACCCTTGATGTCTTGAGAATTTGCTCATTTGTGCAGCTGAGATAGTCAAACCTACCATGAACTGCTCTGTTAGGATTATAGATTATACCAGCCCCAGGGTGAAGGCTTAATGCATGGGAGATATTATTTTCATTGTTCTTTTCTGGAAGTCACTTGGCCCAAAGGAACATTCAGCTAAAGCCTAGCACTCCTCTAAGAATTAAGCCAGTTAAAGAGCTTTGCACACAGTAAGAAGTCATGTGAACATTCGTTACAGTATTTTGCCATAAGTGGGCACTAATTGGAATGTAAACTATGCTCATGAAAGAAAGATCTAATATGTCAGACTAGCTCTGAGGGAGCTGTTTGTAAATGGCATCTTGTTACGTAGTACCTGTTTAGAATTATAGCTGTTATTTAGGTTGCTTCATTAGTTAATTGGTCCTCTCCTATCCTTTAGACAGACAGGATGTGCCAACAGACTAGATTTAGGAGCCTCCACAAGAAAACGTTTCCCAATTCCCAGGAAAACGAAATACTCATGGATAAAAATTAAAAAGATGGGGCAGGAGCGGTGGCTCACGCCTGTAATCCCAGCATTTTGGGAGGCTGAGGCAGGTGGATCGCCTGAGGTCAGAAGTTCTAGACCAGCCTGGACAACATGGTGAAACCCGTCTCTACTAAAAATACAAAAATTAGCTGGGCGTGGTGGTGTGCGCCTGTAATCCCAGCTACTCGGGAGGCTGAAGCAGGAGAATCGCTTGAACCCAGGAGGTGGAGGTTGCAGTGAGCCGAGATTATGCCATTGCACTCCAGCCTAGGCAACAAGAGTGAAGCTCCGTCTCAAAAAACAAAAACAAACAAAAAATTTAAAAAGATAAACAAAACGCTGCAGCAGCCAGAAGTGGGAAAAGTGACAGCATCCCAGTTCTGCTTTAGGTGAGAGAGAACTTGGTCCTCTCTAGCTCAATCTTCAGAGAGAATCCTGCAAACTAGATTTCTCACTGTGCATTCCCGCACACCCATTTTATGGTACATGGCAGCCTGCACTGCTGAGTTTTGCTGGGGAAGGAGGGTAGAAAGAAAGAGTTCAGAGAGGGCTTTCCTTTCAGTTCTTTAAGTTAACCCTAAAGCGATTGATAACTCTTTCATTTCAGAAATGTGGTGGGGGGGCGGGGTAGAAGGATGGAGGGCGGGGCGACCTTGGGCGGGGCCGCACCCGCAGTCTTAAGGACGCACAGCCCGGCGCTTCTGCTGGGGCCCTGACGTCCCGCGCGTCCGCAGCTGGGCCGCCCCGCAGCAAAGCTTCCTGTCAAGTCCGCCGCCCGCGGAGTCCCTGCGCATCGGGGCTCAACAGCGCCATTTACCATCAAGAGGGTCCCAGGCCTCAGGACGGCGAGGGCACTTCCGCCCTTCACTCCACAGCCGCCCCCTCCACTCTCCCTCTGCCTGGGCACTGCAGGAGAGCCCCTTCAGCGAGCGCCTCGGATCCTCCCACGTTCATTTGCCCTCGGTTTGCATATTACGAGTCCCTGGGACTTTTGGGAACAGTTTGAGATCCCTTATCTCTGCAAACGTGTTATGTAGGTGTGTGCCCTCAAAACAGCACAGAAATCACCGCGAAGCCCCGGTTGCAAAGGAAACCCCCATTGGAAGAGGTTCTGTTCTGATTTAAATCACTATTTCGCATTTTTAAAAACGTGGATAGGAATGAGTGTGAATGGCTTCCTGCAGCATTTTTTGAAGTGGGCTCTGCCAGCGTGAACTCTGGGAAGTGTTCGGTTGGGGAATACAGGGTTAAGAAAGTTAAAGGGGTTGCTGGGGTGAAGCTCGGTGGGGCAGCCCTGCCGCCTGGCTCCGCCCGCGGGTGGGTCCCACGCGAGACGGCTGCGCGGCGCTGCCCGGCTCCTCGGACCAGGGGACCGTCGTTTGTGGGGCATCTTGAGGGGCTCGTTATTTTCCCGAAGCGCACATTTAGGGAAAAACGGCATTAATGCAACTGTTTCTCCTGAAATGAGGAACTAAAGCTCTCAACTGGGCTCTAAGGGGAAATTTGATATGTTAGTAGAAAGATTGAGGTTTATTGTTTTATCTTTATAACTCAGATGAAGTCAGGGTAAAATTCCTATAATGTTACTAATCCCATGAACATATATATTTCCCAGTCTCTAGAAAGAGCTGATTTAAGAAATGTTATTCGATTAAAAAAAAATGCTACTTGAAGTATATAGTTCACACAACGTGACTTAATTTTTACACCTTTTAAAATAAAATTTGCTACAATGACATTGCAAATGAGACAATACAAGCTTTTTCAGATTTTTTTTTGGCTTATAAAAGAAAGATGGCCAAAACCATTAGTTAAGCAAGGTGATATGAATAGATTGCTCTGTTCATAATATTTGTGAGAAAACATACAGACACCAACTCTGAATTTTCAACAAAACATGTCTGATTCTTACTTATTCAAAATATAGAAACAATATATTCTTTTGCCTTTTTTGTATTTAAAAATGGTATTATTCTGTACATATTATTTCGTATCTTGCTTCTTCAATGAATATTTTGGAGTAAAAATGCAGAACGTGCATGGAAAGTGTTCATTTTATCATGGTAATCACCTTGGGAATGGGAGAAGAAGGTGCTACGGTTTCAGCTGTGTCTGTCATGTTTTGTTTCTTATTTTTTCTTAAAATTTTTTAAAATTAATTAATTAATTATTTTTTTTGTGGCTGCTTCCCGCGGCTCCTATCCCTCTGTTTCTTTTAAAAATAAGCAAGAAGGCCGGGCGCGGTGGCTCACGCCTGTAATCCCAGCACTTTGGGGGGCCGAGGCAGGCGGATCACGAGGTCAGCAGATCGAGACCATCCTGGCTAACACGGTGAAACCCCGTCTCTACTAAAAAATACAAAAAAAAATTAGCCAGGCGTGGTGGCAGGCACCTGTAGTCCCAGCTACTTGGGAGGATGAGGCAGGAGAATGGCATGCACCTGGGAGGCGGAGCTTGCAGTGAGCCAAGATCACACCACTGCACTCCAGCCTGGGCAAGAAGCAAGACTCCGTCTCAAAAAAAAAAAAAAAAAAAAAAAAAAAAAAAAAAAAAAAAAGGCAAGAAAACTGAAGCTAATACGGAAAAAATTGTTAATATCTAGGTGGTTAAACAAGAGTGCCTTTTGTATTGTTTTGCAAAAATTATTTTCTATACATTTAACATGTTTCATTGTTTAAAATGAAATAAAGTAATATATGTGAATCTCCCTAAACTCCTGATCAACTGGCTTTGGCAGGATATTTCTAATGCACCTCATTTATTTAGTCACATAGTCAGAATTACACATATTTCTTTTCCATGGGGTTTGAAAATAATTTTACAAATGTGTTAAGCTATGGCTTTGTTAGTTCTTTTTGGCAGATCTAATAAAACCTAGAGAGGGACTCAACACTCACTGAATAAATTCATTGTATCTCAATCCTTTGGCTGAGATTTGCATTTACTACAACTTTATTTTCATTTATTTTGCAGTGATTTGCTTTAAAAGATTCTCATGTATTTAAATGATGGGCTAATTACTTTAGCAACCCACAGTTCAGGGTTAATTGCTGGTTTTTCATCCTAACAGAATAGCCATGATTTATTAAATGCTTATGGCATATATCAGGCACTGTGCCAAGCACTTTTTCTACCACATTTAACCCCGCAACAAATATATGTGAGAAGCCTATCATTCCTGTTTTACTGGTGAGGAAACAGAGGCCCAGAAAAAGGTTTTATAACATATCCAAGGTCCACACAACTAAGAAGTGACAGTGTTTGGGTTCCAATAAAAGTCCATTCTTTTAGCTACTCTCTTGCTCTCTGGAGATGTTATTTGTCTTATTACAACCCAGAGCAACATCTCCATCTGAACGTCATGTTGCTTCAATTCTAAGATACGTATTTTTAACCATGTTTGAAAGTGATGACATTGGGATGGCCTTCCAGTTGATGTGTCCATCTATGATGCTGGTGGTGTTCCTGCCTCTCCATCCACCCCTCTCCAGCCTAGAGCTTTTGAATAGAGTTGAGTGGCAATCAATGGTTTTGTACAATCAAAGGCATATCCTCTAGGTCATAATGCATAGGCTACTGTTAGAACCATTTGATTGCTTTTCTTTCATCACGGCCTTGTGGTCATTTTAGGAGGCAGCCCCTATCCTACACAGATCCAGAAAATCCTTCCAAATCTCACCAAACCAACTCTGCTCAGCTGTCATATGTATGTGCGTTCTTGAGTAACCTGACTAGGTAAGTCTCTTTACTTTTCCTTCTTTTTAATACATTGAAATAATAGTGTTTAGTTGACTTCCCCCCCCTTGACTGGCTTTTTAAGGACAAACGCATTTGACTTTACTTGCTGCCACTTAAGAAAATTTCACAGTGGTCTAGGACTTAATTTCATCAGGAAACATTCTGAGCTTCAGTTAAAATGTAGAATGCTTTCTTTAGCACCAGTATATAATAAAATTTCATTTGCTTTTACTTTTCTGCAATAACGCCAATAAGGAGATATTGCCAGGGGCACCAGGGAAGCCAATTCTATAGCTGAACAAATCGATAGTAAATCTACTTGCCAAATCTTGAACATACCCACTGAATAAGTGTTAAGAGCACATATATACACTCACATTTTCCCTCCTCCCTGCCGAACTATCCAAGATAAGGGTAAGATTTCCTTAAAATAACTTAATGTCCTACTACTAAGATTTTCACATTCTCAAACTCCTCACACATACACAGACTTCAGCATGGGTTTTTGTGCACAGTTATGAACTGAAAACACATACCATCTTGATTAATAGGTAGCATTTATTGGATGATAGCATTATTGAGTGATGATTATGTGCCTGATGCCATTCTCAGGACTTTAGTCCTAGGACCCGGTGTTACTATTATCTCCATTTTTCAGATGAAGAAATTGAAGCACAGAATAAGGAAACTGCCCAGTCTCACAGCTGGTGGATGGCAGTCTGGCTCCAGAACTCTTTCTTTTTGCTTGTACACTGTACTGCCTCTTGCTGCATGTCCAGATCAAATATAGCTTTCCGGAAACTATGAGTCAAAACTCTTAACAATGATGATGATGATAATTATGCAATCATTTACTGAGAATACCTGTGTACTCAGGCACTGTGGTAGGCTTTCCCCACACATTATCTCATTTAATCTTCATAACCTAGGAGCTTAGATTTTATTATCCTTACTTTATAATTGGCAAAACCGAGGCTCAGAGAGCTCAAGTAATTTGCCCGACGTCACAGAGCCAGTTATGGGCCAACCTGGAATTCAAACAAGTCCACAGCTAGCACCCGTTCCATTGCCCACCTGCCACACTTGCATGATTTCCAGATCCAGTAAACAAAGAGAACTAGGATGTTTTTCTCAGCAATGCCATAGTCATGATCAATTTCATGACTACTAATTTCAGGAGGACACATGCTACCTTCCCACCTCAGAGTGGAGTTGGGTACTATATAACTTTAGAGCCTTTAACATCCCTGGGTAAGATATGTACTTTATGATTTTATTTATTTATTTTGGAGACAGGGTCTCACTCTGTCACCCAGGCTGGAGTGCAGTGGCACAATCTTGGCTCACTGCAACCTCCGCCTCCCAAGTAGCTGGGACTACAGGTGCCTGCCACCAGACCCAGCTAATTTTTTTGTAGAGGCAGAGATTCGCCGTGTTGTCCAGGCTGGTCTCAAATTCCTGGAGTCAAGTGATCCACCTGCCTTGGCCTCCCACAGTGCTGGGATTATAGGCATGAGCCACCATGCCTGGCCTCTACTCTATGACCTTAGAATGCAGTATTTCTGTTCAAATTCATAACTCTATTGAATAGTGCCTGTTCTTTGAATGAATGACACACGAATGGGTGGGGTTAGAAAGTTACAAAAACAACTGAAGTTTTTCCTCCATGTTTGCTCAAAATAACTACTGGTTGGGGAAAAAAAGGAGCAGTAATAAAATTCTTCAATATATGGAGATTTCCTATCTCTTTAAATTTACTGATATCCAGTTAACAGAAACAGAGTCAGATGCCAAGATAGGGAAGCAAAACTGCCAAGTCCCAGGAGGGGGGATTTCTTTCTGTTGAGAGTTGAGGGCCAAGACCCTGACGGAAGATTCTGGCATGTCTCCCCACGTGGGGTGGACATCTGCCCAGCCGAGGACATCTGCCCAGCCTTAGGACTGCTTGCCCTGCAAAAGTGCACCACTGGCATAGGCTGTGGGCCCTGTGAGACACTGGGTATGTCTCGTGGCTGCCTCATGTGGGTTCCATTTGAACATTAAGAATGAAACTATGGCTTAGGTAGGTTAAGTCATGGCTCCAAGATCATAAAACTAGAAAGAGGTGGGGCCTAAACTCAATCCCAGGTAGGTCTGAATTCAAAGTCTTAACTAATGAATCTTGCTTTTTGTTTCCGGGTAGCCAAAAGAATCTAGAGGAAGGGGAGGATCAGAACATTTCTGATAAGAGAACCCCCATCTCACCCCACCCTTCTCAACAGACCTAACCTCACCAAACTATCAGTAGAGTAAAACATGCTTTCCACACTTAGGTTTAGGTTTTAACGTGATTACTCTTGGGTGAACTTCCAAATGTAAACAATAGTTGATGTCAAGAACTCAAGTGAAAGAATCTTTAAACATATTCAGAGTTTTCTCTTTGTACCTTTTCTGGGAAAGTGCTATGCAGATTTTTAAGAAATTGAAAATGGGCTGGGTGGAGTAATCCTACTTTACATGGTATTTTGAGAAAGGCTAATTGTAAGAATCTGGTTCCAATGTATTGCTACCTTTTGTGCCACATTAACATAAGCCAAAGGAATATGCACACACACAAACAAAAAACACAAAATTTTTGCCTATCTCTTTTGGTGTAATTTGACCACAGGCTGTTCACCTCACTTCATAGGGTCACACAAGTATCTCTGTGCCAACAGTTGTAGGACATGCACCATTTCCTGGGAAGATAACCGGGTTTATATTCTGAACATCAAAAAAACAAAAAACAAACAAACAAAACCAACCATATCACTACATGAATATGGCCAATTATCCACTGGAAGTTTGAGTATTTTAACTCTTGAACTGTTTCTGCACTAGGTGGAAGACATGACCCCATTGGGCACATGTGTTAAAACTTAAGATTTCATGAGTAGGCATTATTGATTTCTCTGTGAATGTAATTTTTTTTCCACTTTAAGAGGTTTGTATGCCACATCAAATAAACGATCATACCACAGTTTCTAAAATAAGATATTTTAAAGTCAACTCTTATTCAATGTATGCACAGTACCAATCAATCTTCTACTTGGAAGATCATTTTCTAATGGGTACTTATGGGCTGGGAAAGCTATCCCTGGGGTTTGGCAAAGGCCAAAAAAAGCAAGTGTAGTAACTCTAGCTCCTGAGAATATCTAATTGGCAAAGTAATCAGCCCTTAAATCATCAGAAGAATAAACTCCTAATAATTCCTTCTAAATAATAATGGATTTTCTGCATCACAAGTATTCAAGTGATGGAGCATATCAGTGTATTTTACTTAGATGTAGGAACAAAAAAATCAGAAGGAAATATCTGTCGGTGGATATGGTTTCTATCTTGAACTCCTAAAATTTACATCTCAAGGGCCAGCTCCCTGGCAGGAGTGAGGCAGGGTGTCCTATTTCTGGGCACAGCTCTACGAAGCAGCGACCTGATGTGAGTATGAGTTACAGACATTAAAACCAACTTTTCCTCTACACCAATACCCCGTCCCTCCAGAAATCTTAATAGGCTTTTGAGAGCCTCCATTTAGAGCCGGCTGCATAAAATGATCCTTTGATGAAAAGGGATTGGAACAAGGGTTAAAGCAGACATTGAAAGGTTACTGTAGAGGGCACAGTGTTCATACAACCCTCCTTTAATATGTGCGGTGTGCACCTGTGATAAGATGATTCATTACATGGGGCCTCTCTTTGACAAGCTCCATCGTTCAGCCCTCGGGGTTCTGACGGGACAATACCACACCCGCCCAGGAAATAAAACAAGGTCAGCTTTTTTTCCCTGGAATGTAGACAGAGACGATTTAGCTTATAATGCATCTTTGTTTACTCTTTATGTAAAATAAAAACAGGGTTCAAGACATCAAAATGCCTGCTCTCCACAGAACAGGCCAAGCAGGGAGTATGCAAACACACTGCTGGGCAAATAGATAAGGCTGGGGGGAAAAGTCTTTGTGAGAATGCTAGCTCCTTCTCCCTTGGATTTCATGATCAGTCACACTGGAGAACCAAGTGTCCTAACCACTGGGCTCTGAGACAGGCCTTCAGATGGAGGGTACCCCGACATCATCAGCTTCATCTCGTTTGCTTTTTATGCAGCTTTTGGGTTTATTGGGTTGTCTGAAGCTCTTCCAGGATCTAGTATGAACATTATGTGGCACATTAGCAGCGTTGAGGGGACAGACCCTCTCTCATGACATGAGGAAAGTTTACTACCCCTGACATACTGAAGTAAATCAACAAGCATGCCAGAGGTTGCCTGGCTTCCGTAGGAATTGGCAGGAGGCCAGGGACCATGGGGCTGACTTGCAATTGGCTTCATTCTAACTCACCCCTTTTCTTTGTTGCTTTTACAAGACTTCTTCATCACCTTCCCATACATTCAAAAATTGGCTTTGTTAAGACTAATTTTGATATCTCTCTCACAGCAATTATGGAAGGAAACTGATCAGTTTCCCTCATTATCCAAGTTTTTCCTTAAGTGAAAAGTAAAAAAAAGCAAAACTGACATTTTATTTTTAAGATGTAACTTTTTTCTTTTTGAAAGAATGCCCCCTGTAATGCAAAGTAACTTCTTCATATAAGGTCATAACATGAGTCATAGTACAGAGATAAAAACAAAATAAAACTTTGGCAATCTAGAGGTAGGAAAAAAATCTTGCTTCTAAAACATAGAAACACCTCCCAACCCTTCTCCTATTCTTGACATTGCTAGTAAACATTATTTATTTGCCTCGAATAGATGCGGTTACATATCACTGTCATGCAAAAGAAATTCAATTCCTTTCCGAGTTCAATCTGCCATAAAAATGCACTCTTGTTCCCATCTCCCACTCACCTGTCCTTGTGCATTAGTAACTAGTTGACCTGTGACCCCCTGAAGACTGGAGAGGGCATTGCCAAAGGCCTGTGAGCTTGCTATGGAGCTCATGGCTGCTGCAGCCGCTGCAGCCTGACTTGCTAGTGGATTATTAACCAGCTGCAAAGAGAGAAAAGATCACCGTGAAAACCACCGAGAGGCACAGGCACAGCACACGGACACAACATTGACTCTGGGGAGGTAGTTCTCGCCTCAATTCGCTCATGCAAAGGGCCTGGAACCCACCGGAGGGGCGTGGCGAACATTCCCCCGGAAGCTCTGGGGTAGGGGGATGATGGAAACGAGGCTGGAAGGAAAATGTTGGGGAGCTTGGTGGAGTCTGGGTTTAGGGCTAGCCCAGGAGGGAACGAGCCTGAACTTCAGGGGTGAGGTGGGCTGTTAGGACCTTCTGGGGTGGAGAAATGATTTCGCAGAAGCCCTCTAGACTAAATAAAACTCAGGAAATATCTGCTTTCCCTGAGGTAACCAGACAGAATAGGAGAGTAAACAGGATGGGGATCGGGGAAAGAGAGGAATAGATTTTTAGGATTTCTAAGAATGAATTTATCATTTCCATTTGTGAATTGCAGTTTCTTTCAGGGACATCGAGCGAGGCAGGTGTTCCACCCCACTTTCTTGTTTGAGGGGAGAAGGAAACCAAAGCCAGTAGAAATGGAATTTATGGCCTCCGTGCTCTCAGAGGGTGAGTCTAGGGCTGCGACAATTTTGGGGCTTTAACCTAAACCACAGGATTCAATGCCAATGAGAAAGGTTGTTCGATGAATGGTCAGATTGACAACTGCTTGCTGTTGTAGCTGATACATGGTCTTTCCTCAGCCTCTTTCCTGGGACAAGAGTGAAACAGGGAGGAAGAAAGAGAGAGTGGGAGAGAGACCTGCCGGGGAGGAGGTTATGGCTGCCAAAATCTGTTTTTCCATGGAGACCAATTCAATATTCTCCTTCCTGCCAATTTTCCACGCCACAGGTTTTCAGGCCTTCTGACCATGAGGCAGAAGTGTGGCTTCAACTAAAATCTGCATTTAGGTTAATGACTAGATATAAATTCAAGAAACATTTAAACTATTTTCACAGTATTGGTTTTGATACATGAATTTCATTTGTATTTATTCTAGGGTGTTATTTTTTTCCCCATATAGTTTCTCTCAAGTACAACAATTGTTGTGTTGGAAATAATGCATTTTCCATCACCAGTTCCCACATCCATGAAATTCCTGCATTTTTTCAGAAACCTGCCACGACTAAGACTAGGTGGAAAAAAATTAATGCCATACCTAATTCAAGTCTTGGAAGCTCTTCTAAAAATGCCACTTTTAAAACTTTCCTTTCTTCATTTTTTGTCTCAGTCTCTCTTCTCTCTCTCTCTTTTCCTTCTTCCCTTCAAATCATATTTTATTTCTTAATTTCTTTGGAAATTTGCCTAGAGATTATACTATCTTATGAAGAAGGAAATATTAATTATCAGAGAAAACATCAAAAAGGACAGGAATTTAATAACTATTTTTTCATTAATGTGGTATCTTTATCTTATCGGTTTCTTTATTCATTTATAACTAAATTTCACACAACTGTTCTTCAGTAATTCTGCTGACCCAGCACATTTTTTAAAAAAAATGAGAATCCATTTTAAGTTGATTACTTTATGTCTTTTGCCTTTATCTCTCTCCTAAAAGACAATAATGATTTTCTTTTTAAGGAGAAAAAAATTCTCACTCATCAGCCTAAAGAGAAACCCTGTCTTATCCCAGATTACCACCATGGGATTTAAAATTCAGGTTGGTCTTGATTTTGATTTTTGGAGTATGTCTTTAAAGGATAGGTGGGGTAACTATGCATCCAGAAGTAACTCTCCTTGTTTGTAGACTACCTAAAGTGAGAAGAGTTCATAATGTGTTCTTTTTTTTTTTAACTTCTGAAGTGAGAAGACTGCTTGGGAAATACTGTCTCCGAACTGCCGGTACAGACACTGCCCATTGGTACAATATTTTTAGGTCATCTGTCAATTGCCATGTTTGCATTTCTTTCATGCAATACAAGTTGAAATCATAATGAATTTCTTGAGTTTCAGGAATATCTCAAAATAAACTTCTTCATCCTCAACAAATGATTAAATTATGTTCAGTTGGATCTTAATGTTGACTATGGATTTGGTCCATGAATTTTGGGTGAACAATTTAAGTATCTACATACAGAATGCTCTCTGAAAAAGATAGACAATTATTTATATTTAATGAAAAGAAAATATTTTTTATTAATTGCAAGGCATTTCCCTAACATCTATGTTGATCAAAAATTCATATAGGAAATTATAGAATTATTCTCTGGATACCAAATAGCATAGATTGAGAATTTCCTACATTTAGGACACTAGTGTGTTGTTCAGATATAGTCCCATGCAGTTTGCTGCAAATTCAGGTATTGCATAAAGGATAAACAATTATTCTGAATACAAAACAAAGTCTCTACTTAAAAGTGGGCTTCTAAGCTTTTGTGTTTTGGGGTCAGAAATGGATATATTTCAACTGCTTTGGATGGCTGCCTTGGCAACCACAAATATATAGGTTTGGCTTATTTTTAATGTTTATTTCCTCTGTATTCTGGTCCTAGCTTAAAACCTAATTTGGTCCTCTTTTTGCTGCCTTTCCCTCTTAATGAAGCAAATGCCAACTCAGATGACTCTTTTACTTCCTACCGTCATTCCAGTAGGTCTTTGTGGAAGTTGTCTGGGTTCTGGGGAGATGCCCTGCTGTTCCTGTAGAACTAGAGCTAGAACCACAGTCACGGAGTGTGGTGTGCACAGACAGTGGGTGCAAGCCAATCTGTAAGCTGACGGCATTCCAGGAGGACCACTGGTGGTGTTGATGGATGTAACTTTATACATACATATCTTTTGGCTTCTCTGTCTGTGACTGCCAAGGCAGGGATGTAATATGCATTAAAATATGTGGGAGGGAAGTGAAGGGGTTGGTCAGGAAACCACACGTGTTCTTCTCATCACCTCGGGTCATGTCACTCTGTATTGTCCCCAGTCATATCATGTTAGCACTGCTCCTATCGATATTTCTTGATTGGAGACTCCGGGTAGATTTGGACAGCAGGGAACCCAGGAACAATAAATGCACATAATGAGCATGTTATTGTTCCGGGACCAACTGGATATTTTGAAGCTGCTGCCAAGTTTATGCCTTCAGATCTTTCACTGCCAATGTACCTAACCAGCAAAGGATGGCCCAAATGAAGTCTGACTGTAATACATGGTCTTGTTTTCAACAGACTAGCTTAAAAGACATGATGAATTCTGGTGTATGCTTGTTGATAAATGTGGAAGCTTTCTAAAGGAAGGATTTGCAGAGGGCTAGAGTTCTTATGTTGTATACAAATGGATTCTGGGCCTTGAATACATCAAGTTCTACTTCTGGAGTCTAAATCCCACTAAGAGAAGCATTGATATCTTAAGACAGTTTTCTCCTCCCTGGAATTTTAGAGAATACAACAACAGAATAATTTTTTGAAGTAGTTTTATGCCAGTGAGGAAGGGCTCCAAGCCTCACATTCCCCTGCTCACCCATTAATGCAGCTGAGGGCATCAGCTCTGAAAACAGACTGCCTTGGTTTGTGACTTTAAGTAAACCACACTTCATTTTCTTAGGGGTAAAATGGGTATGAAAAGAATATCACACACAGGGTTAGGATGAGAATTAAATGAGATAATGCACTCAAAAGTTTTAGATTAATACCTAGCATACATTATTTTCTTAATAAATGGTAGCTAATGTTCTGATGGTTTATACTGTGCATGAAGATTTTGAATTAATCAACTTGGAATTAGAACTCACCTCCATAAATATCTTTTTTCTTTGGAAATAATAGGAACATGGGTAACTATTCCCTATTTTTAGAGCAATTTTATTTTACTTTTTTTTCTTATAAAAAAAGATCAGCTTGAAGAATGTGTAAAAGTATTTTAGAGTAGAGAGCATAAGCAACAAGTATTTAAAACAGGGCTTCATCTGCTTGTCTTGGGCCTGTCCTATTTGATGGGATTAGCTCATCTGTAGAGAAAGTAGTGCCTAGAGTCTGAAGCCAGGGTCAGCAGGTGACAGCAAGAGAAGACATTACCTTATTTATAGTACGTTTTCCTCATCCTTAGTTTGCAACATTCGTTAGGTTTCCATAAGGGCACCCATTTTGGAGTCTAATTCCTGCCTCATGTCAAAATATTGTGAATGAGTCCATCTCACAGTTGCTGATTTGATAGTGAGGGAATGCAGGAAAAAGATTTGCAAAAAAAAAAAATTCCTTTAGGATTTACAGTGATTTATTTCTATGTCTACATATCAATATGGATATTTGGTGCTCATCTCATAATGAGAATAAATCCATATTTCCAAATCTATATACTTTGTGCATCTCCTTGCTGTCTGTGTACACTAAATGGTGATGAGAAAAAAAGCTTTGATAAAGTCTCCCTAGGGAGCACCCTTAGATGATGTCATATGGATGTCACCATACATAGTATCACATGATGGAAGAAAGTTTTTCTCTAAGTCATGTCCCATATTCTCTTTCTCTGAAAGATGCATAGTTTGTATCCTGAAAAGAATTCAGTTTCCTTAAATCTGAACATTAGTAGTCATAATATTTGTCATGCAAATGGGCTGATTATATGATTCTATTATTATAAATCTCATGTACAAAAATACGGCAGCATGATGAGGCAATTTAGCTATGGTATTATATTCCTATGTTTATGTCTTCATTCTAAGAGGGACTTATGAATGCAGCTGCCTCAAAACCTTTCTTTGGAGCATAATTGCCCATGATCTATAGTTCTATCATTCTCCTCATGAGCTATGTGGATTTTATAGAGTATGGATTTTGGAGCAGCTCTTTTTTGCTACTAACTTTTCAATTTAGAACCCTGGGACTACGGTGTCATTGTTTTCAAATGAGGATATTCATAAACGCATTCATCACTATTCACTCTTCATTTAAGGTTTGAAATGACTCGGCCGTGGATGCCTAGAAACAGCAGGGCAAATGCAGCTTTTGAGTTCATTTACATACATTAGGACCTTGACTTTTCCTATGTGTATGAAAAAGTGTCTCTTGGTTCCTTGGGATTCTTCTAACCAAATCAGTACTTCCACATCTTACCCTCAAGTCTTCTCTTAAAAAGTCAAGAAATTATCAGTAGACAAATACTGGAAGAGTGACCATATTTATCTCAACAACGTGGTTGATGTGTGTTTTATCCTACTAAATTTTCCCCCCGGGTCTCATCATTATTGTTGTGTTATAACAACACCCTCATAACAGTTAGAAAACCTGTTTTGTGAGTTCCAGTATTGAGCCAGGATTTGCTGCTCACTGTCTGCCCACCCTTCCCTGTAGTGGTGGCAATGTGTTAGATGCTGACCTTCCCACTCTCTGCCAACTGTCTCCATTGACCACTGCTGAGAGATTTTTGGGGCTGGGGTGCTTGAGATTGAGAGATGCCTCTGAGGCACTGCAACATCCTAAAATACCTTTTGAGACAGCCAGGTGGAAAGGAGTCCCCAGAGAAACACTAACCAGCCTGCGCACTGGGAAGAATGTGCACTGGGGTGGAGCCACAGAAATCCACGCTGTTTGCAGCAGGGAGGAGCCTGGCCCCTCCTCTTCCTGGGTGGAAGCTGGGATTCAATCAGGAAGTGCACCAGCAGGGACTCTGGCTTTGCAGAGAGTCCCTGTTTCCCTTTTTGCCCAATAAATCCTGTTTATCTCACCCTTCAAATTGTCTGTGGTCCTAATTTTTCATGGCTGTATGACAAGGACCTCATCTTTAGCTGAACTAAGGAGATAGTCCTACAACGCTTTGACTCACCAATGTAAAATCCCATGATTTTGGTATAGTTTCAGAATTAATTATATTTTATTTTCACTTAATGGTAAAATTGGAAGTATAGTAATTTTCTGTGAGTGTTCCAATATACAGCCATATTGGCTAACAGAGGAATTTTTAAGGTAACCTAAGGTTTTTGGTCAGCTTTCCCAGAAACAGAAAAGGGAAGGGAGGAAAACTGACCCAGCTCGAGGCTCTGGAGTGTTTGTAGGGTCTCAGCGTTGTCCCACCCTATGGGAAGGAAGCTGGGCTGTCATACCCTATACCTGACAGTCCTTGGTTAACAGCCCGTGGGGTGAAGATGAGGGTTGGCAATGCTCAGGCACTGCTGGCCCTTTGCTCTTGGGGTCAAATGGATCCTGGAGCCTGAGGGAGTCCTTGGAAGAAAGCCTTCAGATGCAGGTCATTGAAAGCCCAAGGTGTGGGGGCAACTCATGGAAAAAGAGGGATTCCAGGGGATCTGGGTGGAACATATCATTTTGTGACATAATAAGAAATATATATTTTGTCTTCATCCTTGGTTCCTGACACAGAACTCCTAAACCCTTGGAATTTCTGAGTAATAGGGGTAGGAAAAACATCTTTTGTTATTCTTAAGAAGCCCTCTTTCAACCACACCCAACTTTATGCTAATGAGGTGGCTCTAGGAGAATTCGACCTGGCTGGTAGAGTAGCCAAACCCTGTGACTATGGGGATAGAACTTGCAGCCCCACTCCCGAACGAAGGAGAGGGAAGAGAGGCTGGGGACTGAGCTAATCACCAGTGGCCAATGATTTCAGCAATCATGTCTTCATAATGGAACCCTATACAACAGATTTGGAGAGTTTCTCTTTGGTGAATGTATCCATGGGCTGGGAGGGTGGTACACCCCAAACTCCCTGGCGACAGAAGCTCCTGCACTCTGGACCCCTTGAGACCTTTCTTTTCTTTTTCTTTCTTTCTTTCTTTTTTTTTTTGTTACATTCTTGAGACAGGGTCTCCCTTTGTTGCCCAGGCTGGAGTCCTGTGGTCCAATCCTAATTCACTGTGGCCTCGAACTCTGGGGCTGAAGCCATCCTCCCACCTCAGCCTCCCAAGTATGTGGGACTATAGGTTCATGCCACCTCTCCTGCCTTTTTCTGATTTTGTAGCCATAGGGTCTTGCTGCATTGCCCAGTCTGGTCTCAAACTCCTGGGCTCCAGTGATCCTCCTGCCTCAGCCTTCCAAAGCACTGGGATTATACGTGTGAGCCACTGGGCCCAACCCAGACCTTGCTTTATGTGTCTCTTCATTTGATCACTCATTTGTATCCTTTATAATAAACTGATAATCATGTTTCCCTCTATTCTGTGACCCATTACAGCAAATTATTGTGCATGAGGAGGGAATGGTGGGAATCTCCAATTTGTAGCCAAGTCGGACAGAAGTGTGGGTAATCTGGGGACCCCCTACTTGCAACAGGCAGCTGAAGTGGGGGTCAGTCTTGTGGGACCGAGCATTTATTCAGTACCCACTATGTTTTGGGCATTGTGTGAGGGGATACAGTGCGAATGACAGACTGACATGTTCTCCACCCTCATAGGGAGTATAGCTAACAGGGAAAAAAATTTGGGTGGGAAGAGAAGGGAAGTAGGAAAAAATAAGCTGGCCAGGAAGCAGTATCCAGACCTGGAGGGGGCGGCAATCTGGGGTTAGGGGTCAGTGGGAGAAGGGGTGGTGGTTTAGAGAGATCTGGAAGAGGCAGCACAGAGTTGCTCAGAAATGTGTCTTGCAATTAATGCACCATTCTACCTTGAAAGTGGAAGCAGCACAGTGAAACGATTAAGAACTTGAAATATGGAACTAGATTGCCTCAGTTCAAATTCTGAGGCTGCCCGTAGTTAGCTGCACATCTCTGTGTCTGTTTCTTTAGTTGTAGTAAAATGGGATTATAATAGTTGTAATGACATTGTAGGGTTGTTGTGAAGAATATATGAGATAATATAGGCAAAATACTAGAAGAGCTCCTGCCATATAATAAGCCCCATATAAGTTTTGCTGTAATAATTGTATTCCTTCTAGGAACTTCTGGTCATATTGCTGTTTTAGGATTGAGTCCTCTCTCCTCCTCATTCCCTCTGGGATAGTCCGACTGGCCTTTTTGCAGATCCTCAACTACCTCAGCTGTTTGCTTTGCTGTTTCCACCAGTGGAACTCTTTTTCCCATTCTCCCAGATCACCTCCTTAGAGCCACCTTCCTTGACTACCTTATCTACATAGCATTCCCTTTCTTTTAGAGATTCATGCCAAAAGATTTATAAGCAAATGATATGATGTCTAGAATCTGGTGCAAAATAGTCCAAAGTGGGAGGGTGGGTGGGGATATGGAAGACAGGTCTTGATTTGATCATTGTAGGAACTGGATAGTGGATCTATATGGCTCATTAGACTTTTTTTTTTTTTTTTACTTTTATATATGCTCACAATTTTCCATCATAAAAGTTTTTAAGAAACCCTTCAATTCTCCATCTAGTCTTGTTTATTTCACAACTTATTAGAGTCTGATATTATATTATTCACTTACTTGTTTATCCTCTTTCTCCCGCTCTCTAAAAGTGCATTTTGGTTCACTGCTGTATCTTTGACTCTTTCAACAGTGCCAGGCATCCAGTAGGCCCTCAATAAATGTTTATCGAGTGAAGGAGTGAGTTGAAAATCTCTCTACCTGACTGAGAACATAGTGGGAGCTTCACTCTTTAATATTTACAGAAAAGAGTAGAAATTTTAGAGGCAAACTTGTCTGAATGTTTTTTTTTTAAAAATACGTGCTTCAACATGCTGAAACTCTAACTCTGCTAAAATACAAAAGAAATTAGCTGGGCATGGTGGCACATGCCTGTAATCCCAGCTACTTGGGAGGCTGAGGCAGGAGAATTGCTTGAACCCGGGAGGCGGAGGTTGCAGTGAGCCGAGATCGCACCACTGCACTCCAGCCTGGTGACAGAGTAAGACTCCGTCTCTACTATATATATATATATATATACACAAAATATATAAAATACATATTATATATATGCTTTACAGGCTACTTGCAGTGGCTCACGCTTGTGGATCAGGCGGGTGGATCACCTGAGGTCAGGAGTTCAAGACCAGCCTGGGCAACATGGTAAAACCCCGTTTCTACTAAAAATACAAAATTTAGCTGGGTGTGGTGGCGTGTGCCTGTAATCCTAGCTACTCGGGAGCCTGAGGCAGGAGAATTACTTGAGCCCGGGAGGCGAAGGTTGCAGTAAGTCCAGATTGCGCCATTGTACTCCAGCCTGGTGACAAAGCGAGACTCTGTCTCCAAAATGTGTATATATATATATATATATATATGTCTCTCTCTATGTCTATATATATGTCTATATTTTATATATAAATACATATACATTTGTCTCTATATTTTTGTCTATATATATATTTGTCTATATATATTTGTCTCTCTATATATTTGTCTATATATGTCTATATATTTTATATATATATATATAATATATATACTTTACAATCTCTCACACCACATTGGACCAACTGGCCAGAGCCTCACACATCTGGTGACTCAGTCCTGAGAGCTCCTGTGTAACGCCTGTGCTCCAATCTGTCATGTGAGTTAGCACCAACAAATGCAGCCCTCCTCTTAGTTGCACAGGCAGAGTCCTGAAAGGTCAAAATTGGCACCGAGCAGTCTTTCATACTAGTTGGGAATATTCCAGGACATAAAAACTCAGCAGCCAAAGGTGAAGACCTAGCTCTTCTCTGGACATTTTGGACCAAGAAATTGCATCCCAGATGTCCCTAGAAATTCTTTGCCTGGAATTGGGTGGGGCTGGGCTGGGCTGAGGGCTTAATCTCTTGGTTTGAGGTTATTTGGGAGCTGAAGGATAAAGTGGCAGTGAACAAGTCTTTTTTTTTTTTTTAATGATTGGTTATGGTGGTGGAGACAGAGTCCGGCTATGGAGGCTACATCTCCCCACCCCTGCCTCATGAACTAGGCCAAAGCCCCACAGACAGCAGCATGGGCCTAAGCTGAAGAGGCTGCCTTCCCCAGATAAGGATGGATTCTATGTGCCCCTAGGCACAAGTGCTGCTGCTTTGAGGCCAGGCGCTGGAGAGTAACATCAGTTAAGGAGGTGGGATTTCTGGGGGTTATCAGGCCACTTGGGCACTGAGATGGTCTGTGGCTCCTGGAGGTCATTGGATGCAGAGTGAAAAGTGAGGCTCTACTCAGATGGCTTCACGAAGCCTGGACTTCATTGCAGGTGGACAGAGGGGACTCTCCATGAGCACTTGTGGACACGCTGAAGAGTTATTCTAGAAGTATGCTGGAGAGAGAGCTATATCCTACATGGGGCCCAGGTCCAAGTTGTGCAGAGTTATCAATGAGCTCTGCACCTAGGGAGCTTGGGAGCACTTGAGGGAGGGGAAGGAAATAAATGAGTCTGGCTGACACACAATGATCTGGTGGCAAACTCTTAGAAAGCTCTCCAAATGGATGCATTTCTTTTTATTTTTAAATTTACTGACAAAATAGTCAAGCCCAGAGTTGAAGGGAAAAACTAGCTTTTAACTTAACCCAATACATTGATTTGATTTTGAAGTAGAGAGGTCAGCATTATGGAGACACACCAACTCTAAATCAGATTTTATCCAAGTTATATGTAGACAAATACTGTATTACTACAAGCCTACACATCTCATTTCCTTTTCTGTCTAGTCTTCCATTTAATAACCTGAAAAATCTATGTTTTTATTGAGTTTCATGCTATTTTCTTACTTACATACAATAGTGCTACTCTTACCAATTGCCTATTGTCATGGCACATTAGTTAGGTGAATTTGTTGATATTTCAAAATTACTCTTTCTGGTTTTGTTTTTTTATATTCTATCATCCAGTTTAAACAAGTGATTGGGGGCACTCTTGTGATGAAAGTTTTTTTGGAAATAAATTTTGCCACAGTATAGCAGTGGGTGTTACTCTAGTTTCTAGCTACAGAAAAGCACAATACACTCTTTACCCACCTGTGCCTAATTTACTTTAGTTCCCAATACTTGCTGAGTTCTTACAAGGGACAATAGGTGCTATTGAGTGCAGAAAAAAGACCAGGAAGGATGAGGGGCTCCAAGAAAGCTGAGACACAGGTTCTTTCTGGAGCTTCAACACAGTGTTGTTTATCAGATATTTTCTAATAAACCAGGGTGCAGGCTCTGTGCCAGCCCCCAGGGACACAGAGATGGACAAGACAAGAGCCTCATGCCTTGAGGCACTGCCCATATAGTCTACCCTACGTAGCCAATGCTTTAAGAGAAGGGCAGAGGGAGTCCAGACAAGGGATCCTCATCAGGCTGTGGGGAGTGTGGGAGATTTCTTGGGGAGGACAGCTTTGGAACTGAGTCGTAAAGGATGGCTCAGAGTTGATTGTGAGGGCAGTGAGAAGGTGAGAGGAACAGGCTTCTCACCCACTGGGAATAGCATCATCAAAGGTGTGGTGTTGAGAAATAGGATTTTGTGTATAGAGAGCTGCTAGTTTGGCACTTCTGATATTTTGGGGAACATGAAGTAGAAGGAGGAAAGCAGCAGATTATGGGGTAAGGCACGTGCTTGTAGAGGGAGGACCTTGTATATTATTTTATGGACTTGTCCTCTTTGTTCATAGGCAATGATGGAGGGACATGATCAGATGTGAACTTTAGAATAATCACCTTGGAGACTGAGTTGGACTGGGTGGAGATGGGTCAGACTGGAGGCAGATGAGAACAGGAGGTAGCTGGGAGCAATAGGGCAATCAGAGGGAGGGAGTGCAGCTGGGGGTAACTGCACACAGAAGCACGGTATGGTTCACCACTCATTCATTCATCAAACACAGCATCGACTGTGTGTCAGGTATGGTGGTGTGGTCTCTCCCTGCAAGCTTCTAGAGTATCGGAGAGACAGATAAGTAGACAGACAAGAGCCAATGGGTACAAGCCAGTGTAGGGGTATGCTAAGTGAGCCGTGGACATACTGGGGAACTGGTTAGCTCAGTGGGGGAAAGAGGAGGGGTGTCATGGATGCTTCACAAAAGAACTGATAGCAGCTCAATCCTGGATAAATCACAGACCAATTGAGCAGATGGGAAAGACACACAGTTGGAATAGAAAAAAGAATAATTATGGGATTGTGGGATGTCAGAAAGCTGGCTATGCTCTGAATGTCCACAGCACACCTAAGACAGGAGATGGAGCTCAGGAACCTTCTGAAATGGGCTTTGAAGGCAGAG
The DNA here is from genome assembly GCF_000001405.40 of Homo sapiens. NCBI lineage: Eukaryota > Metazoa > Chordata > Mammalia > Primates > Hominidae > Homo > Homo sapiens. The sequence goes on along the minus strand of NC_000007.14, from coordinate 39,394,557 downwards.
AAAGAAGGTGGGAGAAGGAAAATAGGAAGCCCATGTATGAGTGGTGTGCTTGAGTTCATATGGCAGAGTGCCCACAGAGCGTTTCCCCTGCAGGCTGTTGTTATGAAAACACCTCAATGTTCACATCCTCATGCAACATTAAAGAGCTAGCTTTAACAGCTTTGCAGCCCAGGAAACAATAACAATTGGTAGTCATCAAGTTATAAAATAATTTCATTTATTTTATATAAAGGGAACGCTAAACTGCTGACTGACCAAAAATTAATAATTGAACTTTGAATAATAAAACCAAAGGCATCATCTTTAAAAATACAGAATGTTCTCTATTACAAAAAACTACATAGACAGATGATGAAGAACCCCCATGGCTGGGTGCACGTGTTAAGACTGAGCTGTGATTTTATAAAGGATAATGTTAAAAATTAATTAGAAGGGCTGTACTAGTTTATTATGAGATCTCAGATTCCTGAGAGTCTGCCCAGCATAGCTGGAAGTCTTTTATTTATTTGGGGACTAAGTACTGGAGCATTCTGATGTATTTTACTCCAGAATATTGTGTCTTTTCTACAGATTCTATTTGTACCACTGAAACCCAAGAAACTTTTCTTAAGTCCAGCTAATTCAATTAATTACTTATAAGGAACAAAGCATATGCCTCCTCTTCCTTCCATCCCAATAACCACATTGGTTATTAAAATATGCTTGTAACAAATGTTATGCATAATATCTTTGTTTTATCAGTCCATGGGCAAATGGAGAGCCTTGTTAAGCTGTTACTGAATTTTATTATTATGTATAATGGCTTGCTTGCCTCATAAAATGTATCCACTGAACAGCTGTTGTAGAAGGAAGCTAGCCAGAGATATGCTAGCCATCCCACAAAAAATACTACATTTGGGCCATACGATATATATTTTTAGGGGACCAGTAGAAATGAAGCCATTTGTTGTTGGTCTGCCGCTGAACCTTAGAACATCTACCCTCTTGAATTCACAATAAGGGTCAGATATATCATTTTAACTATAGGGAGAAGAAAATGCCATTTCTGGTCATGTCACACCCATCTTAAGTGGGTGTCTGTAAGCAGCCCTGGGTTCACATCCATGAAGGTTTCTTCATTGTAAAGAGCCCAGGGGGTCCTTTTGGCAGATGATTCGAAAAGCAGCTGAACATTCCAGGAGTATCTGCCACACCCGTGCCAGAGGTGCTGCAGCATTAAGTGCCCAAAAGAGAACTATGTCGTTAGGAAAAACAAATGGTCTAAATTATTAGAGAAAATACGACTGTGTAGAAGTGGGAAGATAAGTACATGAAACGGAAAGCAGAAAACATGACTAGAATGCTCAGAGGGAAATAAAATCCTTCTCTGCTCACAAAATATATTGGTTATAGTTTGTTCTAAACACATTAAGCTAACAGTAAGAACCACTACCTGTAGAAGCCGTAAGCCAAGAAAATATAAAAAGTTTTTGTATTGTTGTATAGATTGTTTGGGAAGTTTCCATTAATAAAACCGAACATAGGTTTAAAAACATAAAGCTTAATCTCACCAAGAGCAAAAGCAAGGCTGTGTGGGAATTTTCTACATTTAGGAAGAAGAGAGCAGGGAATCACTGATGGAAGAAACCCATCTCCCCAATCAGCAAAGAGAAAAATATTTTAAAAAATGCTTTGGCAATCCTGTGACTATTGAGAAATGTTTGGCTGTGCACTTATGAGCAGAAACTAGGTAACTGGTAGTGCAGGAGAGAATGTAAAATTGCTCAAAGTCTGGGCACCTGGGCTGTCTTCCTGCATCAGCAGCTCCCTGGTCATGCCGTCCTGCCTCGCCTGAGCCTCCATGTTCCTGTCCGTAAATTGAGAAGGTTGAACTACATCCGTGGTTCTCAAAATGTAGTCCCAGACAGCAAAGAAGCCACAGCAGTTTTAGGGATGTGTGTTACAGAGTTACCCTTCCCTGACGAAAACCTCTGATACACACTGAGGTCCACCCATCAATCATCCCTTGTGTTGCTCCAAGGATGGGAGAAAGCCAGATTTGCTCCCTCCTTCCAGAGTTCTGTGGGGTGTTGGGTCTAAGGCTAGTTCCAAGAACGCTCAGCTTCTCTGAAGCAGACCTGGAAGAAAGGGCTTTCTCCCACAGTGGCACTGAGTGTGGTCCTGGAATGAATCACATCAGCTTCACCTGTGAACTGTTAAAAATGCAAATTCTCAGCATCTACCCTAGACCTGCTGACTCAGAAACTCTGGGGGCTGGAGCAGCAATCTGGGTTTTAATAACTCTTTAGGTGATGCTAATTCATGCTAAAGTCTGAGAAGCCCTGAATCAGATAATTTTTTAAGGTTCTTCAAATGATAAAAGTCTACGATATGCTAAAATGGAATAAAATTTGGAACAGTGCTATATTTTTTGAGTCCTGCTCCTAGAGGGATTACTAAATAAATGTATTAACTAAATAGAATTTTCTAAGTCTGTTTCAGCAAGTAGGAACATATGGCTAAAAATAAATATTTAGTGAGTCAAGGCTTTAGCAAGTTTCTAAAACAACTGGGCTGTTCATTGACTTCTAGGTTGGCTTCCAGCAGCCCACAGGCAGCAACAAGAGGCACGTGAACACCTCTGGGCTGGGAATGGGACTAGTGGCCTTTCCAACATGATCAGAGCTATCACAATGTTCTATCCTAGGGAAAACAATGGAACTTTAAATCTATAATAGATTTTAAATAACAACTAGTTACCTAATGTTAAAAGATAAGTAACTGCAAGTCGACCAGACAAAGGCTTTCAAGGTTATAGCAAAGACTTAGAACTGGCATAGCAGTTTTGCCTGTGTACTGAAGGACAGTACTGCAGAAGGGAGGAAGAGAAAGGGTTGGTTGTCGCTTTGCAAGAGAGGGTTGCCATCTCTGTTGACAGAGACACAGCTGCTGGGGATTTTCATCAGGATAACTTTGGTATGAAACTTGGGAATAATTTAGGTTTTGAGGGGATATATTCTTGTGCCTGGATGGTAGAAAGTTTTACTCATACTTTGATTTTTTTCAGAATAACATGTACACTACTGAGTTCTTATTTTGTACATTATATTTTCAAAAATGAGAGCACATCTTATTATTCATTATGCCTCTATACTTCTCAATTGCCATACTTAAAGGAAAAATAAAGCAAATGGCTCAGTGTAAAAAAAAGGAGGAAAAGAAAATAAGCAAGTTTAGGAGGTGATCATATAATTATTATATAGGAAATATTAAAATAAAATATTGAAATAGAAAATGAAGTAAAAACCACAACATATAAACATGTTTACTTTTCTAAGATTTTGGCTTTAAGAACTTGGACAAATTGACCAAGATAGTCATCAGAGGTTTCAAGAAAAAAAGCCATCAAGTAACAAGAAGAAAATGTGATTTTTCAAGAATTTACCAAAATAAAATGGAAGTTCATAATGTTTTAAGAATAATGTATTTTTTAGCTAGTGGCTATACATGTTAGCAAGCAATGATATTTTGGTAGAATACTTGACAATTACAGCAATCCTCAAGGTGTGTTTTGTGGGACCCTAGTCCCAGGGTTTGCTCGGAATGAAAGGTTTGGGAATGAAACAGGTTTGGGGAACACTGCATGAAGCATCTACCTCTTGGTGATTTATAATGCATGTCAGGACACTGATGGTTCTGAAAGTTGTCCACAGGTAAAAAAAAAAACCAAAAAACAAAAAACAAGAAAACCCTGTTCAGCTTGTTTAACTCTGCGTTGCCCAACATTATTTGATGATAGTACCCACTTCTCATGTAACGCCACTAACATCCCTTAGAACTTATATTCTATGTTATACACTCTGGGAAAAGCTGGGTCATGTATTACTTTGTTATCCGCCGATTTAACGAATGCACTAATGGAAGAAATTTGTAATCCACCTTGGCTTTTCTCATCAACTACAGCTAAAGGAAGGACTCTATCTTCCAAACCTAGATGCTTCTCAAACCATCTAGGTCTGGAAAACATTCCTTTTGGTGCTTTTGTTAATGTTCATGCAAATTGGTTAAGATTTATTGATTTAACAAGAATCATGGAGATGCATGAGCTTTAAGAATTCACAAACACATCTGCCTTGCCTTACCATTAAGCGACCATCACAGTGATATTTCTGCTTTGTCAGAATTATCAGAGCCTTGATTTGCCGCCCAGGCTGGAGTGCAGTGGCACTATCTCAGCTCACTGCAGCCTCCACCTCCCCCTTTCAAGCGAATCTTCTGCCTCAGCCTCCCAAGTAGCTGGGACTATGGGCACACACCACCATGCCCAGCTAATTTTGGTATTTTTAGTAGAGATGGGGTTTCATCACGTTTTCCAGGCTGGTCTCGAACTCCTGACTTCAAGTGATCCACCTGCCTCAGCCTCCCAAAGTGCTGGGATTCCAGGAGTGAGCCACTGCACCCAGCTATTAATTGAAATATCACTAAGTGAGCATGATCGTATCTGATGGTGTCCTCACTATCACTACCTACCTGATGTAGCATCTTTTACATTCCAAAAAAAGAAGAGGTCTGAATGGAATGGAATGCAATGGAAAGGAAGCACATGTATTAAACAAAAAACTCTTAAGAGGGAAAAACTATAAAGTGGTTCTCAGCAGTAGGTGGGGATTTGGAGTAGGGCCATCTGTGTTCATTTGTGGCCATATGTGTCTATTTTAAAAGTCATAGGGTTTGAACTGGATCTGTGGCTGACTTGCCCAATTCTGGCTTGGGAGTAATACTTTTCATTATTTTCTATTCATTTGTGCCTTAATATAATTGTTAAACACAGGGGAAAAATGGCCACTAAGAATCTCATTTTGTTTTTGAAACCTCAACATTAAATAAAACCAAGAAACACAAATTTTTATATGTATTGGATATTACAGTTAGGAAAAAATATTTTTGTATGAAGGAGCAAATTTACATTTGGTCCTCTATTTTCCTTAGCTTCTGTAACCACAGCTTCTTTTTTAACCTTAGAAATATTGGTGGAGAGATTGATTTGCACCTACAGATCAATTGCTATCCTTCACAACTGCAATCAAGGCAAGTTACTCACAACTGTTGGTCTGGTTATATCCAAAGTTTTTCAGAACTGAAGAAGTTTATATCCAGTTTCTGAGAAACTTTGGATATAACCAAAGTATAGTCATTATAAATTATAATAAAATATTACAGTTAAAAGCCTGGCTCTAAAATAAATCATTTTGATATTTTAGAATTCATCAGTGACAAGATTGTTTTGAAGCATGTCAGAATAAAACTAAAACATGTAGAACTATTGTTCTTGGAAATACATTTATTCAAGACATGATATAGTCATGTTGCTACACTCTTTCCCCTAAATTTTCACTGATGTGTTTAGAAAAGTAAAATGGCACGGGGGCTTGCTGTATATTTCTGAAAATGAATGACACTACTTGTGTTTCTTATGGCCATTGCTAGTAACACTATGACCAATACAGATATATTTCTCTGTGACAAACATCTTCTTGAGGAGGAGCCAGTAAACTGAAGTGTACAGATATCAAAATAAAACAATAAAATTATGGTAAATAAGCCCAAGAAATGTAGAAAAAATTGCATTCCATTTCAAAAACTTTTTGAAACAATCCTATATTTTTCTAAACATTTTTAATGTGTTTCTTTCTCATGAACTTTGTCACCTAGTATTCGAATAGTAATCATGCAATACATTAAAAAATAGGTTATCTCAAGTAGAAATGGTTTCAAATATGAAATAGAGTTTATGTACTAGCCGTTAATTTACCAGAATAGATAGACGCACTTGACAGCAAAATAAAGACTTTTCTCTCTCTTTTTGATTTTTGTTTTTCTCAGAAGACTAAGCCCAGGAAGTTCAATTCACCATTATGAGAATCATTCCACAGCCAACTTTTCTTTGTTTGAAAATCATTTTGGGCCAGGTGCAGTGGCTCATGCCTGTAATCCCAGCACTTTGGGAGGCCGAGGTGGGTGGATCGCCTGAGGTCAGGAGTTCGAGACCAGCCTGGCCAACGTGGTGAAACCCTGTCTCTACTAAAATTACAAAAATCAGCTGGGAGTGGTGGCGGGAGCCTGTAGTCTCAGCTACTTGGGAGGCTGAGGCAGGAGAATCACTTGAATCCAGGAGGCAAAGGTTGCAGTGAGCTGAGATTGTGTCATTGCACTCCAGCCTGGACAACAGAGTGAGACTCTGACTCAAAAAAAAGAAAGAAAATCATTTTGATAATCAAACAAGGATATCAACAGGACATTCAAACAATGGAAGCAAGGAGGTGATTTTGATTGATGGGGACTGTGATGACGCCTACTGAAGTTCCCTTCTCTGTTCCTGTGATGGTGAAGTTTTCCATGTGAGCACTGTCGCAGGACAGTGAAACACTGGGCCATGAAAACAGATACATGGTCAATTCTGCTTTCACCAAAAAACCTCTCCATTCTCTTTTTATAAAGATTGAAAAACATTTACTCTGCTCCTTCTTTGAAAGGTCATAACCTGAGGATTTATAATTTCCTAGAAATAACTGATGCTGGTGTCCCTTTATTTTTATTTTACAATTAAAGGATATGAAGTGGCCTTGTTGATGGATTGGATGACTGCTCGAGGCAGGAGGTCTGGCTTTCCCTCCATGAACTAGGAGCGGCCTCAGGAATCACATGAACATGTTAGATGTGCACTTTTCGAGGCCATGGCTGGATCTTAGATTCATTCTGTGACTTTACCTGAGGCTCAGTCCTGACAGCCAATGGACTCCATCAATGATTGATTAAAGCATAATGTTCCATGACTATCAAGACAGCAGCTCGAGAGCATCTGTAGCAAATGAAAACAACTGTTTTTGGCAGAAATTGTCCTGTATCCAAATGGACAAAGCTGAATAACTGTATGTGGATGATTATATCAGTTCTGCTGTGTGGAGCCAGGAGCCACCGAATTGTGGAGGTTCATGTGGATGGAATGCGCACCTGACGTACTAACTTGATCCTGACATTCCAATATAATCCCCTATTCTCTAAAGGGAAAAACTAGTGTATTTGTTAGAGACGTAATGGAACTGTAGAGAGTACATTCAATCAGCTACGTAAACTGTGAAACAAATGTCAGGTTTTCCTGGGTTCTGCCATTGTGGTCTGTAAAAGAAGAAGTCTGAATGGCAGGGACTGCAATGGAAAGGATGCACACGTATTAGACAAAAAACTCTTAGGAGGGGAAAACTATGAAATGGTTCTTAGTACTGGTAGGTGGGGATTTGGAACAGGGCCATGTGTGTTCATGCGTGTCCATATGTGTCTATTTCAAAGATGGCACGATGGAATATAAAATAAGGATTGTGTGTGTCTTGTCATGGAGACAACCACTGTGGAGAGACAAGCAGAACCATCCAGTGGGTGACCCTGGGTTCCTGGGGATGAGCGGGTTGGGTCCACTGTCTTCCTGTCCCCCAGCACGGGGTGCTGCATGGCAGTTCAACCTACCACAGGGTCCCCTGCTGCAATGGCCCTGGGCAGCTAGTGTTTCCAGCTGAGATACAACTTCTCTGAGCAGTTGCTGTTCCAGCTTAGACTGTTTCTGCCCCACTTTCAGGGTTGATGTCATGAGCCCAATGCAAGGGGGCGCTGCAGAGGGGAGCACGACATTGACTATTACCATCATCTCCTAACTGGCTTGCCGGCTGTGTATTTAAAGATGTTTTTGTGTGTGCGTTGAAGACAGACTGGAAGGCAACCACCTATCTAGGGATTTATACACAGGATAAGTGTGCTAATAATTGTGTGCCACTGCTATTTGATCCAACTTCTTCTTGCTCTTTTTTTGCATTATTTTCAGAAAATTAAAGAAGGAATTATAAATAAAATAAAGTGGGACTCTAGCTCAACATGGCCTAATATTATAGAGATAAGGTGACCTTTCCCATCATAGTCCAGTCCCTGTGCTGTTGCCAGAGCAGCCATCCTGAAACATTTGCTGAGATCACCCTCCTGTTAAAAATCTTTGCTGGTTCTCCCTTGTCCTCAGAGGAGCAACTCATCTCTCATCTCACTGTGACTGCCCCAAATGTACAATTCTAACCTCATCTGCACTCTGCACCAAGTGTGAGGGAGCTATAATAGAACGGTGGAGCTCTGGAGTCATATTGTCTGGGTTCTAAAGGAGGCTCTGCCACCCTGTCACCTAGATAGAGTTCCAGGTGTGTTTACCCAGAAGCAGACTCTGTGAGTTTAGTGTGTAGGATGTTAATGGAGGAGGGACCTTGGGATTGACCCCTGAAGAAGAGAGCAGGTGGCAGCTGGAGTGAGCAGAGAGAAATCAAGCTATGGTGCAGGCCTGGCATCTCTGGCAGCCCCACGGGGAAGCTTTGGAGCCAGAATGGTCTGTAAAAGTGGCCTAAGTTGGTTCTTTTTTTTTTTTTTTTTTGAGACGGAGTCTTGCTCTGTTGCCCAGGCTGGAGTGCAGTGGTGCGATCTCAGCTCACTGCAAGCTCTGCCTCCCAGGTTCACACCATTCTCCTGCCTCAGCCTCTCGAGTAGCTGGGACTATAGGCGCCCGCCACCACACCTGGCTAATTATTTGTATTTTTTTTTAGTAGAGATGAGGTTTCACTGTGTTAACCAGGATGGTCTCGATCTCCTGACCTTGTGATCTGCCCTAAGTTGGTTCTTTAAAGCTCCCTGTGAGTAGGTCATTGGATGTAGGCCACCCTAGAAAGGGGCATGGCCTTGGGCAAAGCTCTGGATGAGAAGACTCTGCAGCTGAGACCCTCTGAGAGGGGCTGCTGACAGCAGGTGGCTGTGAGCCAAGAGCACTCCCGGACAGCTGGAGCAACACTTCTCCATTGAAGAGGGACCTGGGGCACTACGGCATCCCCATACCAAGCCTCTCTAAGCCTCAAGTTCCTCCAGTCTCAATGGGGAGTGATAAAAAGCATTTACCTTGGGACATCGGTATGAAGTTCAATGCTCAGGCACACAGCAGGTCGCACAAGGGTGATTATTGGGTTCTTAATGCTCTGACCACTCTGAGCAACTTGGCAGCTCCTAGAACCCAACATGTTCTTTCACACCTCCAAGCCTCTGACTAGCATACTTCTCTCTCACTGGTGATGGTTTCCCAGGACCGTGTGCAACTCAGGAGCAGAGACCATGTCTTATTCATCTTTACTTCCTCCCTCTGCCCCTGGTGCTGAACGCAATGCCTTGTTAGGCAAGCAATGGGTGTTTGTTGAATGAATAAAAACACAAGAGGGAAAAAGCAGTCATTCGTGACACACAGATACTCTTTCCATTGCAAAGATTTGAGATTTGCAGAACTTACTGTGTCTCATTTTCTAACTTAACCCTCAGGAAGCTCAGGGTTAAATTTAATTAGCAATTATAGAAATGATATAAGCCTAGCTATTTGGTATCTTATTTTCTTGTCACTCTGCATGGATTTTGGTGTTTGTATTACTGGCTCTGCTTATGAGTATTATATGTTTTTGATTATAAGTTCTCTCAGATCCCTTTTGGGTGCAGGCAGGTTATAAATCACATATATACAAAAAACAACATTTTCTAAATCCTGGCTTCAAAAACATTTGGATATTATTATTTGATCAAAATTTATCCCTCTACTTATGAGGATTTATTTAGAGGACACAAAGCTTCCAAATGTGTTCTGAATCAACTTAACTCAATAATTTTGCTTCCATTCTGTGTGTATGAGGAGCTGCGGGAGAGACAAATAGCAAATGGATAAACCACAGACAAGGCAATATTAGGTAGTGGGAAGTGCTAGAAAGAAAAGGACTAACTGCGGAAGAGAGAAAAGATACTTTCAATTGTGTGGTCAGGAGAGATCTCTCTGAGAAGGTGAGAGTTTAGAAATGAGAGGAAGCCAGCCATGGAAATATCTGGGTGCAGAACAGTGCTGAGAGGGAGCAGCAAGTGCAAAGGCCCTGAGGCAGAAACAAGCAGGGCTTTTTTTTTGTCATTTTTTGCATATTCATTATTTTAATTTATAGCAAATACATGTGGCAAATTTGTTTACTTTGGTTAAAAAGAAACACAAAAGAACTGCAGATTCCAACTAACTCTTTAGTTCTTAACTCATTTGTTGCCCTACATTTCTATAGTCTTCAGACATGATCATTGATAAGAGCGTGCTTTGAGTTGCAGTGCATTTTGTTAAAACTTTTAAAAACTTTATATAGTTTTTAACGGTCATCTGTCACCGCTATTACAAAAAGGAAACAGCCCAGCCATGTTGTCTGGTCCATGCCCAGGAGCATTTGATCCAAACCAATTGCAAGTATTTCTCAGGACAGAGTATCTATTATTTTATGAGCCACGACCAATAAAATTCCTTTCTCCAGACTTTAGTGGAACAAATGAGAACCACTGGGGCTGGTTTGGATTTATCCTCCCCTCCTTGACCTCTAACTGGGCAGTGCTTTGGATTATTGAATCAGCTTCAGGATCAAATATCTTTGAGTTCCTTACATTTCAATGATTTGTTTACCACATATTTTGAGACCCCTATCTGGGTTGCCATTTATCACATTCAAATTAAACGTTCTGGGGAGAAGATGATACAGTTAAATCATTCTGCCCTTGCAGAATTAAAGAAGCATTTCCATGAGATCTAATGTAACAGCAATGCTGAGAGATAGGCAATTGAGAGATGAAAAAACAGAAGCTCAGAGAAGCTGCCCAGATCTTATAGGTGTAGAAACTCCTGACTTTGGAAAAGATGTACTTTCTCAGTAGGTTTGGTAATGGCTGTAGCTTTCACAGAGAGAAATGGTAATTCATCTTCAGAGGTCTGGTTCGAGCACTCTAAGCACACCCCGAGCACTCTAGCACTGCATCACATGACTGGTTTGTTGTGTGATTGTGGACACCTTCATGCAGTCTTTTTGGGTTTTGGTCAATGGTTAAGCATCTCTGAGTGATATGAACTCAGTGCTGATTTTAATACTCTGTTGGTGGAGACAAAAGAGGTCAAAGATGTAGCTCTTCATGCTGAAGAGTTTACACCACTGGATTGATCTAATTGGGGGTCTTAGATCTCCTGAATAAAGGAAATTTAACATTTTCCTTATAAGAATAAACTAAAATATTGCAGAAAATAGGAACATAGAAAGTTTCTGTTAGTGGTGATTCAGACTGAGGTTCTTATGTCATAGACAAAAAAAATAGCTGTTTGGGGTTCCTAGAGGCATGAATCACATCAGATCACCAGGATTTTTGAATGGCTGAGAGGCTTTAAAAACAATTTTAATCTTGTGCATGGAAATATTACAAAATGCATTGCCAACTACATTTCCTTCTTTTAACATGTATTACGTTTGTTACACACAAAGTACAAATTTGTTGTAGAAAATTGTAAAGACAAGCAAATAAAACTTAAATTAAAACCACATCAATCCCAGAGATTACAATGCTAATATTTTGGTACCTGTCCTCTTGCAGTTCTCCTTGGCAATGCGCATATTAATAACAATAGGAGCACAGTATAAGTACTTTTTGCGGAAAGGTAATTTTTAAATTCACTTTTTAAAAACTACATGATATATTATTCATTACCTTTCCACACCAATAATTTTTTGTGCCTTCCTATACTTAATGAAATTCCTCATTTTCTTGATGACTCCAGGGTATTATTATGAAGATCAATTAGTCATAGTGTGACCTGCCTGGCTCTCTGCCCCCAGTCCTGTTTCTGGGGTGTTTGAGGATCTCCACCTGAGGAGCTTTGCCCGTCAGATAAACAGTACATTCAAGCTTTTCTGACTTAGTGCCCTATTCTAAGGCTCTAGGTGGCAACCAGCCTCTTCAAACTGGGTTATGATCACATTTGCTCTTGCTTGAGTTCTTTCCCTGAAAACCTGCAAGCTACAATTCCTTCCAGTCTGACAGCCTCCTCCAACCTTTAATCTTCCAACCTCCCAAGACAGCCAGCTCTATCCTAAAGGCTTGCCTCATCCTGCATACCAGGGCCAGTGGGCCCACCACATGAATTCCTGGGTCCAGCACTCTGTCTCTTTTCCCTGAGATCCGTGGCTGGGGTGGGGTCTATTCCAGTTGCCTGCCTCACCCTGGTCCACTCGCCTGCCTCGGTTCCTCTAGGTCTTCCCCCATCCTGCTGGCCCAGGTCTGAGTCTCTGTGCTGGTGCTCTCTTTCTATTGGATGACCTCCACCCTTTGCTTCAAGCTCCCAGGCCTAGAGGTTCTGTCTCTCTGAACCTCTGTTCTGTCTCTCTGTTGTATGTTTCTGTTCTGTATCTTCCCATTCTGATAGGCAGGGTCTCAGGTGTCCTTGGGTCTGCTTCGAAAAGCACCTTTTTCTCTTGTTACTTGTTAATTATAATCTTCCATGCTTTTGCAGCCAGATAACCAATCTGGTTGGATCTGGGTCAGAACTTAAGTGATTTCTCTCCTTTAAATAATGTACATGACATTTTGACAAAGATTGAACCATTTTTATATTATTATTATTATTATTATTATTTGCTTGTGTGTTGATTCTCAACTGCTACAAAGAGCTAAGTTGCTGGACAGAGGAATTTCTAACAGGGGAGTTGTTACCCTAGTTGTGGGTGAAAAAAATGTTTTTTCTTACACTTTGTCATGAAATTACATAGCTATTAGCTCAAGGGATTTGTTAAAGATATAAATAGGTTCCAGAAGAGCTTGTATAACTTTACTACAGACAGAAACTGGGTCAGTAAGTGGAAACCAGGAATCTAATCAACTGATTATAGGAATCCATTTCATAATTAGGTCATTTTTCTGCTTAAATTGGAACATGGGCATTGTCCCCTGCAATCATGCAAATATCCTTAGGTTGAGAAACACCTATATGTACAAATCAGTCTTTTGCAACTCATAGCAAAAGACTTCATTGGGGTTCTCTTGAAAGTTGCTTTGGATGGGTTGGTGAAATGTGACCCAAGGTGAAATGCCTTGTGCCTGGGGTGGAAAAAGAAGTTTTTAAAAATGGAAAGAAATGAAGCTGGGCATGGAGGCTCATGCCTGCAATCCTAGCACTTTGGGAGGCCGAGGTGGGCAGATCATTTGAGGTCAGGTGTTTGACACCAGCCTGGGCAACGTGGTGAAACCCCATCTCTACTAAAAAAAATACAAAAAATTAGCTGGGTGTGGTGGCGCGTGCCTGTAGTCCCAGCTACTCAAGAAGCTGAAGCACAAGAATAGCTTGAACCCGGGAGGCAGAGGTTGCAGTGAGCCAAGATCGTGCTACTGCGCTCCAGCTGGGGCAACAGAGTGAGACTCCATCTTGAAAAACAAAAACAGAAACAAAAATTAGCTGGGCATGATGGCTCACACCTGTAATCCCAGCTACTCAGGTGGCTGAGGCAGGAGAATCACTGGAACCCGGGGCGGGGCAGAGGTTGTAGTGGGCTAAGATCGCACCACTGCACTGCAGCCTGGGGGACAGAGTGAGTGAGACTCTGTCTCAAAAACAAAAACAAAAAACAAAAAAGGCTGAGAAGGCTGGATGTTTGATCACAATTTTCCTGTCACTCCATGCTGTGGGCTGCCCCACAGTTTTCTCCTTTTTTAGGGGATGAGATAATCTAAGGACTTTGAGTCCACCTGTCTCCTGAATGCCACACAGTGCTTCTACCTGGGCCCACTGGAGAAACTAGTGGGTGAGCACGAGTAGAATTTCTGGTGCACACGACACGAGGAAGCAGGACTTGGGGATCTGTCGGGAAACTTGTCTCAGCGAAGTCATTACTAAATATCACTGTGAAGAGAACCAAGAAGGGAAGACTTCTAGGAGCCAAAAGGCAGGAGCAGCACTTCGGCAGCTTTTCATACTTTGCCTCCGTACAGATATTTATCATAGAAATGGATATGTGCTAATATAATAATACAAAATAGGTAAAAGACATTTCAATTTATAATGAGGTGACTTTTTTTGCTAGAATATAGTATTCTCACACTGATGTTGTCCTTATTTTGTTACAGTTTAAAAACCTCCTGTAATTTGTAATAGAAGCAGTGCTAATCTGAAAATAAGGAGTTTTCAGAGCATCCTTCTGCTAGGCTAGCAGAGTGGCCTACATCAACATTATTGGAGATGCAAAAAGATTCCTGCAAAGGATGATTTTTATACATGTAATAATATTTACCATGTAACACAGTATGTGCCAGATACCCAACACAAATTACTGCACTTAATCCCACAACACATTGAAAAATAGATTCTATTATTCCCATTCTCAGGTGAAAAAACTGAGGTTAAATGCCTTGTCCAAGAGGCCTGGGAGTAGCTGCAATTAGAATCTGGGTCTCACTCACTCCAGGGATGACACTGCCTTCTTAGAGTATAACAAATAAAAGAGAATTTTTTAGGCCAGGTTTATACAGCTCAAATTAAATGGAGCCATGAAAATATTCAGTGGGAGCATCTATATTTCTCATGTGAATAATATGGCAATTTTTTCCTGAGTTATCTATATTTCTTCAATTGGGTTGGGATGAATAGATCATTTCTAAATAAAACAGGAGAGCATAAAAAATGAAATGAATGGGCTCAATCCCAGTTGAAGCAAGAAGAGTAAAATACATTTCCCTGCTTGAAAGAAAACGATTCATCTATTTGAGGTTCTATAAATGCCCTCTTTCAGAAAGTCATACAGCTCTGTCTAGAAAGGCATTTTACCTCAAAATGACGAGGGCTTTCATTTTGAGAAGGAATATCCTCTCACACTCTGGCCCAAGCGAACAGTTCTCTCTGAAAACCAGGGGAGTTGGTGTTGGTGATAGGAGGGCAAGGCAGGATGGGAAAACGATGAGGAGAAACCAGCCCTGGATTTGTGTTTAAAATTTTTTTTTAAAAGAAAAAAGGAGAACGATAGTAATCATCGTGGAAAATAGCGGAGCTTGTAGACTGTCTGGCTCTACTGCAGGATCACAAAACTGGGTGGAATTTTACCTAAAGGGCATTTAGTAATGAGTCATGCAAAACAGGAAAAAGAAATAATTTGTGCCTGTCCCTTAACATTTGAGTTAGGAGGATTGGAGCTTGAGGAAGGGAGGTGAAATGATTCTGCAGGCAGGTGGGTGCAGGGTGAAGAGCAGGGGAGGTGGTTTGAAGACAGAAGGGGAAGTGGCTAGCTGAGTACATGGACTTTCAAAATGTAATAGTGACTGTAAAGCACTATTGATTTACAGCGGATTGATTGCTGGAGGAAGAGTAATATAGTAAAATATCTTTCCACCAGAAGAGATTTTAATGCATATGATTCTATGCCAAAATCTGTGGTTCTAGCTCCAACTTGGGCCTAACCTCCAGACAAATCCCAAAGGTCTGTTGTGTATTTCCACGAGAATGATGCGCAGCACCTAAAACTCAGCTTGTTCAAAACGGACTCAATTTCTTTCCCCCAGAGCCCTCCTACCCGATTCCTGAGTCATTCAGGCCTGGCTCCTCTCTTCACTTCTAGGTCCCATCAATGACTTATCTTACCATTTTGACTTTGAGGATCCATCTGCTTGTCCTCCTCTTTTCCACTAGACCTTGGACTATTGCAAGGTCATTCTTGATCCACCTCTAGCATCTTTCATGTTTAATCAATCTTCCCCACAAGGGAAAATCTCAAACAACTACATAATTCAGTTATAACGTGAGCATCAAGAGAGCTTAAAGAACTACATAATTCTGTTATAATATGAACATCAGACACTTCTATATGCACATGAATTGCCAAGAATGGCTGATTTCACCTTTCACATGATCAGAAACAATTTAATAAGGATTTCACATTGGTGTTCCTGGAATCTGAAGAGTTTCTGCCACTTTTTGAACCCAAGTTGCAAGGATGATAACCAATGTAGCCTTGGATAAATATTACAATGTTGGAGAAAGAAGGGGTTTTTCAGAAGATCTGTAAATGGGCTCATTTTTCAGAAGCAGAAACTAGCAATCAGTGACAGCAACAGATTGACGGAGCATAGACTTTGAGGCAGAGTCAGGACTTGCTTAAACTCTGTCTTCTGACTCTTGGTTCACGCTCTTCCATTCCACACTATGCTCCATCATACCACCTCATGCCACATCATGCCACCAATATGCCACATCATGAAACCAACATGTTTCACCAAAGTTTCAGGAAGGTTGACTTAGTCTGTAGACGGGATTGGAGGGGATTCAGGGGAGCATGGATAAGGAAGGATGGGAAGGAGGTCAGTGCTGGAGCCTCAAGAGCTATGACATCTGCAGGGTAGCCCAGGATGGTGGCAGTGGGGACAGAGAGAAGGGAATAAATTCGAGAAAGAGAACATGACTGCACCCGTAAACTACTCTTTTTGCTCAAGGATGTTCCTGGGATGGAGATGGTCTCTTGAAATATATTCTCATCATTATAAGAGATGGATTGTCTTCCAAGGTAGTGGTCAGTAAGTCACTCTTCAGATGCCATCAAAACCTGGGTCAAGAGATGGGCTATGTACTCCCACTTATATCATTGGACCAATTAGTGGCACAAAATATTCTGAGGGATGCAGATACCTTGAGGGGCAGATTGCTGGCAGAAACTTAGTCAAGAGATTTGACTCCAAGCAAGAGGGAGAAGGAAAAGTTTGAGGAGAAGGAAAAGTTCCTCTCCTGAACCAGCTCTTCTTAGAGGTACCTACCTTTTGTGGCTCTTATGCAGGTTATTTTTAAAAGTAACTAATTTTTAAAGTGAATATGGTTTTTGTATCTTCACTTGCTTTTTTACAACTCTTTACCTTTCTGCAAGTTCCCCCTCCCTAGTCTACTCCTAGTTCTTTGGGGGAATTTCTGGGGTTAAACCTACATGTTTCAGGTCTTAAAGCCATCTTGGAACACACATGGCAAAACAAGTATATTTAAATTCTTCTGCCCCAAGGTTGACACAGCGAGGGGGGAGCAGGGAGCTAGTTACTGACATGTGAACACTAAATGAAGCTCTGGAAGTTCTTCCTGTAAAGCTGTCAACGCCTATATGCTTTGGCAAATCTTGGAGATGTGGGCCCAGGAAGACAACCTTTGAATCATTCTCTTAAGTATGGCAAACATTTTCATTTACTAAGGAAATGATTTCTTTTATATGTAATTAAAATATAATTATAGGCCGTGCATGGTGGCTCATGCCTGTAATCCCGGCACTTTGGGAGGCTGAGGTGGGTGGATCACCTGAGGTCAGGAGTTCAAGACCAGCCTGGCCAACATGGCAAAACTCTGTCTCGACTAAAACTACAAAAGTTAGCCAGGTGTGGTGGTGTGCACCTGTAATCCCAGCCACTTGGGAGGCTGAGGCAGGAGAATCGCTTGAACCCGGGAGGCGGAGGCTGCAGTGAGCCGAGATCACACCACTGCACTCCAGACTGGGTGACAGAATGAGACTCCATCTCAAAAAAATATATATATAATTATAAATATATTTAATATTTAAGTTATTTAATATTTAAGTTATTTAATACCTAATTTAAATATAATTATATAAATTAAACAATTGATTTTAATTCACTTTATATATTTAATATATAGTTAAACAAATATATTTATATGATCGACATAAGTAAAATATATTTTTATAATGAAATATGTAAATATGCACTTAAAATATACTAAATAAATATTAAATATATAAGTATAAAAATACTGAATAAATATTAAACTACACTAATATTAAAATATACTAAAGTAATATTAAAATAGAGCAAAAATAATTCTAAAAATAAACAACAAAGCTATGTCCATCACAGATACTCATATATTTAAAGTATCATTTTGAGTTTGACATCTATTCTAGGAACTGGAGGCTTTTCCAGTGTTGTGATTGCCACTATTTTAATAGCAAATGATATTCAAGTAGATAATAAATTTACAGTTGTAGGAGTCCCTGGAGATCATCTACTTACTGGGCATATGTGGCCTTAGGTATGTTTCTCAAATACTCTGGGTCTTACTTTCCTTATCTGTGAAATGAGAGAGCATGAGAATGTTATCCAGGTGTCAGTTCCAGACTGGACCGAGTCTTTTTCAGCACCAAGCACAGCACTGAGTTGGTGATGGAGCCAGCACTAAGATTCCCTTCTGGAGACCTTATTCTCCACAATTCCTAGCCTCAGTGCTCCTCTCCTTTGCTTCTCCTCCTATGAATACCCCTCCTGACTACTCACTCCTCCAACACAGTTTATTTTCATACTTAATTTTAGCAGACCAGAAAAAAATAAAGTTTCAGTCTCAAGCCACAAATCTCCTTTGCTGTCCTTAAGTGAGCATCCAACAGCGCTATTCTATAGTATAGATCAGTGAATGGATAAACTGTGGAGTCTTATATGACCCTATAAGGCAAATTAATCACCAATTTGCAATACATTGAAAATGAACAGAATCAAGTCAATAATATAAGCTACAGATTGTTGAGGACAATTATTGAAAGCACCCAACAGCATTGTGCTAAGTGGGATTTTTTTCCTTCAAATAAAAAAAGGTTAGTGAAATAGGTACTATTATAGCCCCATTTTATAGATGAGGAAACTGAGGTTTTGAGAATTTAAGTAGCTTGCCCAAGGTCACCCAGCTAGTGAATGGCAGAGTGGGATTTGAATTCAATATAGTCATGATCCCCTACTGCCTACTTGAAAGGGGCAGGGATGGGGTTTGGGAGCAGAGAGAAACAACAACAACAACAAAAAACTCCACCCCCAAATTGCTCTTTCTGCCAAAGCATCTCCTGCTATTGACTGCCAACCTGAACACTTAGTCACAGGACAGCTCTGGGTATGTCTCTTGGGGCTAAATGTCTCCTTTAGGGCTAACTGCTTCTCCTGTGGGGACTGTGTTAAAGTTTATCTTCTGCCTCCCCTCCCAGGAGTTTCCACACTGCTGCAGCTTTAAATAGGAATCTTAAATATTTGAAAAAAAAAAAATCAAGGAGGAAGCATTGGTCTTGGCCATCGAGTCCCTGTGTCCCAGCAAAGGGAAAGGTGAGTGGTGAGCAGTAAGCCAGGAAGAAGGGACCGCAAAAGAGGACTGCATGGCTGGCTCTGGGGGTGCCTCCGTGGAAGGTTGGGGGGCTGGGAGGACTCCCACGGCTTCAGGGACTGGGCGGCATGACCTGAATGAAGGTGGAATTTCCCAGTCCCACTGGTCATCACCTGAATAAGAGCTGGAGAGTAAATGAAAATAGCCATCCCTAGGAGAAAAATATTTATTCATTTAATGGCTGAAACAAAATGCCATCTCTGTTGTGATAACAAAAGGTTTAAAGTGCATTACTGTCGTTTCTCAATACACTTGTGGTCTCGCTCCCGGGTCATATGGTGCAACAGTCCATGTAATCCCCTGAATGGAAAAAAATTAGGCTCAAAGTGCCAAATGGATGCCCACAACATAATATCAGGTAAAACAAGCATATTCCTTCATCTTCCCGCCAGCCCCCTCCCAAAACCTCCCCAAATGTTAGAGAAATAGAGAGAAATTCCAGTCATTTCTCATTACTGTGAAGGTCAGCCTGGCTGGGAAAATTGTTTCTGCTTTACAATTCCCCAAACTGTAGAAAGCAGTTAGACTTCTGGACAAAAACTAATGTTGCATTCAAAGGGAAAAGAGGCTGAGACGGCATTGCTGCAGTAATAAGAGAATTTTTTACTCTTTCCACTTCCCTGTGAACCTAATCAACTGTGACATGAGAAAATATACTGGGTTCACCCAGCCAGAATCTGACTGCCACCTGAAAATGTCCTCAATATTCCGCTGTTTGGGACTTTACAATGATCCTTCCGACATCAATTTTGTGCATGTACATCAAAATGCCATTAGAAATGCCTCCCCACTCCTCCACTCAATCCAAGAGTCCTGGTGAAGACTCCCCCGTGGTTGACTGACGGTTCCTTTCTGCTACTCATTTGAAAACATTTGCTTATATGGAAAGGTGTCTTGTGGGGAAACTAGAAATCTCTGGATCTCTATGCTGACTTCTCCCTAAAAGCATTCTTGAATATCTTTAGATGGGGATTTTAAGAATCTGGGGGGCTTTAAGAATCTGCCTTAAACCTGTAATTAGAATTTGTTGACTTGAGTTCCCAGGCTTTCCTCCAGACCCAGAAAGCTGTCAGTATCTCACGGTAGATTGGAGTTCAAGAAAAGGCGAACCCAAATGTGTTTGTGTGCAGGGGCTGCCCACATAATCCTAGCTGCTGTCAGAAGCTATACTGTACAGGTCCAGTGCAGGTGGTTAGGTACACAGATTGCTTTTTATTCCATTCTCCTCCATGCCACAAGCTTGTGTACGTTCTCTGGGCTCATACACAGACACATATACATGCATAAATGATGTGCAGCAGTTTTTGACAAGTGCTTGGCATGTATAATGAAATTCTTGATGACAGCTGTATTATTTCTCAGTGACGTAAAGTTGAACAAATCTAATGCGACTTTTCACAGTGGCATTATCATCATCTCCCTTTGCCCCAATATTTACAGGAAATATTACAAGTGTTTGACATATAAGTTCAGCATTTGACTGACTTTAATAACCATGTGATCAATAAGAAGTGATATTTTTATAGTCCAAGTTCAATATTTAAAGGGTCACAGGTGGCAAATCTTTATCAAAGCAATAAGGCCAGATCTTTTTATTTTTCAAAATCCATTATTTCTTTGAAAAAAAACTTCTTTTTGGAATGAATATAATTAAGAGTTAAGATCTATGAAAAGTTGCCTATATTTACAAAGAGTATGGGCATTATAGAGGACACAGATACAGATACCTTTGCTCTCTCAACACCTTGATTTTTGGATACTGAGAAGAAATTCAACATGATGAACATAGATAGCAACTGGGTAGAAAATCAATGAATGTAAATCTGGGAGCTTATTCTTTATTCAATAAGGAGACCAGTTCCCAGCCTCTTTGTAAAATTATTGCTTCTCCAGTAAATGCATACAGTTAGCTAGACTAGGTAGGCAGTTCTCCACTTTCTGTGTGCTTGGTTCTGAATCATTTCTGAAGTGAAGTACCAAATTCTTCCATCCACCTTTCTCCCTTAGTCCATACTCCTCCTTGGGTGCAGGATCTTCAGAGCAAAAGAAACATTTATGATTTTGATTGCTGGGCTACAGAACAGGAACATGACTGTTGGCTCTTGGCATACTAATTATCATATTTGAGTTGCTCATAGCATTGGTCAGCCTCGTAGGTCAATCAGTCGATCTTCTAGCACTTACAATCTGTGGAAACCGCTCAGCGTCCCAACATTATCAGAACTTATCTCCCATCTTCTTTGTACCCCTCTCTTCCTTCACCTTCTGTCATCAACGTCACTGCTACTATGGTCATATCTAGTACTTATATAGCACTCACTATGCGTCAGGCATTGTTCTAAGAACTTTACAAATACTAATTTAATCCTGATTGATAGCAAATCTATGACGCTGACACTTTAATCTGCATTTTTAAAAGAAGGAAATGAAGGCATAAAAGGGCTAAGCAACTTGCCTAAGATCACACAGCTACTAAATGAGAGTCAGAATTCAAACCCAAGCAGTCAGGCTTCAGTCTGCTCTCCTAACTATACATCTTGCCTCTTATTATATTTTAATTTTTTAAATATCTTTATTTTTAGGGGGCATTATTATTATTATTATTATCCTTACTATTACTCAGTAGCAAGGGTAAGCAAACTACTGCTCATGGGCCGAATCTGGCCCATAGCCTGTTTTGGTATGGCCCATAAGCTAAGAATGATTTTTATCGATGAACATTTACAATTGATTTGATAATGAGAAGCACTAAGTTTGTACTCTAATGATGTGATACATTATCCCCTGGTGATCGTTAATTTTATGTGTCAACTTGACAGGGCCACAGGGTGCTTAGATGTGTGATCAAATATTATTCTGGGTGTTTCCATGCTTGGATGAGGTGAACATTTAAGTTGGTAGACTGAATAAAGCTGATTACTCTTCAGTATGTGGGTGGGCCTCATCCAATCAGTTGAAGGCTTGTGCAGAACAAAAGACTGACCTTCCCCCTAGCCAGAGAGAATTCTTCTGCCTGCTCACCTTCAGACTCTATCTGGTATATCAGCTCTGCAGATTTTGGACTTGAGAGCCTCCATTATAAGGAATTGTATAGATAGATATATTCTATTGATCCTTTTTCTCTGGAGAACACTGACTAATACATGTCCCCCAAAAGAATTCCATTCTTCTCATTAGTAAATCTGTATTATAAAAATTCTACTCAATTCCTATTATTATGAGTTTCATCAATAAAAATTTTGTGGAAATTTGTTTTCTCTCTTTATATAAGTACATAAAGAATATCCTTGGCCAGGTGCAGTGGCTCAAGCCTGTAATTCTAGCACTTTGGGAGGCTAAAGCCAGAGGACTGCTTCAGACCAGGAGATTGAGACAAGGTTGGGCAACATAGGGATACCCCATTCCTACAAAAAATTTTAAAAAATTAGCAGGCATGGTAGTGCGTGCCTATAGTCCTAGCTACTTGGGAGGGAGGCTGAAGCAGGAGGATTGCTTGAGCCCAGAATTTGGAGGCTGAAGTGAGCCATGATTGCATCACTGCACTCCAGCCTGGGTGACAGAGCAAGATCCTGTCTTGAAAAAGAAGAAAACAAAACACACACAAAAAACAAACAGGCAAACAAAAAGAATATCCTTAACTTGCAAAGCCTAAGATACATACAATCTGGTCCTTTACATAATATGTCTGCTGGCTCCTGCGCTATAGCAATGAGCCCGTGGTTGAACGTAAACTAGTTAATTACTTTGATTAACTAATTGTCTACCTTGAGTGGGTGTTGGGCAGAATCATCAGTGGAGTCAAATGACAGAGGGTAACCACAGTGTGTCCAGCATGACTCCTCTTGGGTGGTATTGGGGAAAGCCACAAAGCTGGCTCAAGGGGACATCTGTAGAAGTGACAGAATAGCCAGTGGACTTGATCAATAGCCAGTGACTGTTAGAGCAGTCAGGGGTAAAGGATGGAGGGAGGAGGAGAGAGGACTGGCCGTTAGTGCTCCGAGCCCCCAGACTGAACTTTAAGAACCATTCTCGGCCGGGCGTGGTGGCTCACACCTGTAATCCCAGCACTTTGGGAGGCCAAGGTGGGCAGATCATGAGGTCAAGAGTTCGAGACCAGCCTGACCAACATGGTGAAACCTGTCTCTACTAAAAATACAAAAAAATTAGCTGGGTGTGGTGGTGGGCGCCTGTAGTCCCAGCTACTCAAGAAGCTGAGGCAGGAGAATCGCTTGAACCCGGGAGGCGGAGGTTGCAGTGAGCCAAGATCGTGCCACTGCACTCCAGCCTGGGTGACAAAGCGAGACTCTTGTCTCAAAAAAAAAAAAAACCATTCTCCGAGTCTGGCTTCTTTTTCCCTGAAAACACATAGACAGCCTTGATTCCATTGACTGTAAAGATAAGTATTCTTCCTTCCACCACTGCACAGGTCTATGCCCTGCAGAGGAGAACTGTATTCCTTTCATCTTTCTGGAAATTCATATAATCTATGAGAAAGGGATGGTACTAGTTAGGGTTCTCCAGAGAAGCAGAACTAATAGGAGATATCTCTGTCTGTCTGTCTACCTACATATTGAGAAGGAGATGTATTTATTTTAAGGAATTGGCTCACAAGATTTTGGAGTCTGGCAATTCAAAATCTGCAGGTTGAGCCTACAGGGTGGAGACCCAGGAAGAGCCCATGTTGAAGTTCAAGTTCAAAGGTCATCTGCTGCAGGATTCCCTTTTGCTTGGGAAAGGTCAGTCTTCTGTTCTATGAGGCAATCTACTTTACTCACAGTCCACCAATTTAAATGTTAATTTTATCCAAAACACCCAGAATAACACTTGAGCTATGTGGGCAACGTGGCCCAATCAAGTTGACACATAAATTAGCCATTGCAGGAATTAATTTAGGCAGAGGTGGGGAGGGGGCATAGTTGGCCAAAGCAGTGGTACCCATTTGCAGCAAAAGAGAAATTATCCAATTGAATAACTACTACTGATTCAGACATCCAGGAGCACACGCACCAATGTCTTCCTCTGGCTCTTCCTGTCCTTCTAAATTATACTAGAGCTTCAGAGCCCTGCTCAAGTTCCACAACCTCAAGGAAGTCCTCTTGGACACTTTCAGTTCTCAGTTGGCTCCTCTTTGGGTCTTTGAGAGCAACTGCTGTCTTCCTACACCGTTTATCCTTTACTATGTTCTCTTATGTTGCACGTTAGTCTTGCCTTCTGGAAACATCCTAATAATCTGTATCAGTAAAAATGACCCCAAGTCATCAGGAAGTTGCACTTAGGTTTCCTTTCATTTACACTGGGAAATCTCATCAATCTGTCAAATCTGTGAAGTGTCTACTTTACCAGGTTGTTGGAGGATAATGCAGGCATACCTCGGAGATATTATGGGTTAGGTTCCCGACTACCACAATAAAGTCAATATTGCAATAAAGCAAGTCACATGTTTTTTGGTTTACTAGTGAGTATGAAAGTTATGTTTACACTCAGTCTATGAAGTGTTCAACAGCATTATGTCTAATGTATAAAAATACTTTAGGCTGGGTGCGGTGGCAGTACTTTGGGATGCTGAGACAGGAGTATTGCTTGAGCCCAGGAGTTTGACGCCAGCCTGGGCAACATAGTGAGACCCTGCCTCTAACCACCCCCACCAAAAAAAAAAAAAAATGCTGCGAGTGGTGGTGTGTGTCTGTAGTCCTAGCTACTTGGGAGGTTGAGGTGGGAGGATCACTTGAGCCTGGGAGGTCGAGGCTGTAGTGAACTATGATCACACCACTGCATCCCAGCCTGGATGACAGAGCAAGACCACATCTCTGAAAAAAATACTTTATTGTTAAAAAATGCTAACAATTGACTGGGCATGGTGGCTCATGCTTGTAATCCCAGCACTTTGGGAGGCCAAGGAGGGCAGATCCCCTGAGGTCAGGAGTTCAAGACCAGCCCGGCCAACATGGTGAAACCCTGTCTCTACAAAAATACAAAAAAAAATTAGCTGGGCATGGTTGTGGGTGCCTGTAATCCCAGCTACTCAGGAGGCTGAGGCGGGAGAATTCCTTAAACCCAGGAGGCGAGGTTACAGTGAGCCGAGATCACACCATTGCACTCCAGCCTGGGCAACAGAGCCAGACTCTGTCTCCAAAAAAAAAGAAAGAAAAAGAAAAAAAAAAGCTAACAATCACTGAGCCTTCAGTGAGTTTATCTTTTTGCTGATGGAGGGTCTTGCCTCGATGTTGATGGCTGCTGACTGACAGAGGTGGTGGTTGCTGGAGGTTGGGCTGGCTGTGGAAATTTTTAATTTTACCCACAGTAGAACTTCTCTCAAACCCTGCTGCTGTCTTAGCAACCAGCAGTTTATGTAGCATTCTAAATCCTTTGTTGTCACTTCAGCAATGTTCACAGTAGTTCACCAGGAGTAGATTCCATCTCAAGGAACCACTTTCTTCACTTATCCTTGAGAAACAACTCCTCATCCTTTAAAATTTTCTCATGAGATTGCAGTCACATGAGATTCTGTCACATCTTTAGGCTTCACTTCTAATTCTAGTTCTCTTGCTATTATATTTCCACCCCACCTTCAGTTCCTTCCTTCACTGAAGTCTTGAACCCCACAAAGTCATTCATGAAGGTTGGAATCAACTTCTTTCAAACTCCCCTTAGTGTTGTTATTTTCACCTCATTCCAGATGAGCTGTCATCCAGGCTTTGTTGTTTCATTTACAAAACACAGGTAGAGTTGATTTAGCATCATTCTTAAGGGCCCTAGGATTTTACCCTAGGAATGGTAAATGAGCACTGGCTTTAACTTAAAAGTCATCAGCTTCATTAGCCCCTAATAGGAGAGTCAGCCTGTCTTTTGAAGCTTGAAGTCAGGCATTGAATTTTCTAGCTATGAAAGCCTTAGATGGTATCTTCTTCCAATAGAAAGCTGTTTCATCTACATTGAAAATCTGTTTAGTGTAGCCACCTTCATCAATGATCTTAGCTAGATTTTCTGAAAAACTTGCTGCAGCTTCTACATCAGCACTTGCTGCTTCGCCTTGACTTTTACATTATGGAGATGGCTTCTTTCCTTAAGTCTCATGGACCAACCTCTGCTAGCTTCCAACTTTTCTTCTGCAGCTTCCTCATCTCTCTCAGCCTTCATACAATTGAAGAGAGGGCCTTGGTTTGGATTAAGCTTTGGCATAAGGGAGTGTTGTGGCTGGTTTGATCGATCCAGACCACTCAAACTTTATCCATATCAGCAATAAGGCTGCTTCACTTTACTTTTAATTTCCTTCAAGAACTTTTTCTTTGCATTCACAACTTGGCTAACTGGTACAAGAGGCCTAGTTTTCTGCCTTTCTTGATTTTTGAATGCCTTTCCCACCAAACTTAGTCATTTCTAGCTTTCGATTTAAAAAGTGAGAGACATGCAACTCTTCCTTTCACTTAAACTTGGAGGTCATTGTAGGGTTATTAATTGGTCTAATTTCAACATTGTAGTGCCTCAGGGAATAGAGAGGCCTGAAGAGAAGGGGAGAGACAGGGAAATGGTTCACTGGTGGAGCAGTCAGAATACACACAACATTTATCGATTAAATTTGCCACCTTTTATGGGTATGATACGTAGCACCCCAAAACAATTACAATAGTAACATCAAAGATCACTGCCCACAGATCACCATAGAAGATCTCATAATAATGAATAAACTTGTAATATTGTAAGAATTACCAAAATGTGACACAGAGACACAAAGTGAGCACGTGCTGTTGGATAAATGGTGCCGATAGACATGCTAGATGCAGGGTTGCCACAAACCTTCAATTTGTAAAAACTGCCCTACTTGCAAAGAGCAATAAAGCAAAGTGCAATACAACGAGGTATGCCTGTATGAGATCATGTTTGTGACAGTACCATATAAACCACAGGCAAGATACAAATAGAAGATTTTTATTACTATGATACTCTGTTTAAGAAGGCAGGGGATGGGGGCAAAATGCTTTTAAAAGATTTACATTTTACACCTTTTATAGTGCTAGTACTAAAAGGTTTAACCCTTACCTCTTCTGGGAAAACTCATCTATCAAGAGAAACTTACTTGTTTGAGGGTGATGGATAGCCAAGGTTTTCCTGTGCTATTCTGATATTCTTCCATTCTGTGTCTTTTAAAATATGTTTATTCACAGATTTTAAAATTGTGTTTATTTTCACAGCATGGGTGGTGGCTATCGGACAAATGGCTTCCCAAGATCATTGTATATTTGAACGTTTAAATTTAAAATTAAAGGTTCAAATTTAAATATATATGAATATTTTGACTGAGACGAGGAAAGGAAATAATTCCCAAACTACTGTTACTGGTAATGGTTAAATTAATGAAGATTAATTCATCAATTTTTTTGGATAAATGACTTGTGGTGAATAGTGTTTGCCATGGGTGAAAAGGACCCCAAAGCTTTCTTGTGATTCTCAAAATATTGCCCCTCTTCAGGTCTCCCCCTCTATCTTTGTAAAGATGAGCCCCAAAACTTTTTGTATTCCTGAAAAACTCACCCCTCCTCTCTCCTCTGGTTCTCAAAGCTGGCACCACAGTCTACCCTGGAGGCCACCGGAAGTAAGCCCTGACATCTTGTATCCCTGTTTGTGCTGGTCACCTCAAGAAGCCCAAGAATCCCAGCTCCATCCGCACATCTTTTCCCATATGGCATCTGCACACTCCATCTCCTCCCCTGCCTCCCCAACTCCTGAGACCTCCCTCTGGGCTCTCTGGAATTCCTGGTCCTTCACTAGCCAAGTTGCCCAACTCCTCAATATCTTCTCAGACTATGCCCCACACCTTTTTGCCCCAGCAGAAGTCTGGCTGTCCCGAGGACGCTGCTTTCCTAAAGACCTCATAGGTGGTGGCTGTTCCCTACCCGCTCCTAGTGTCTCTGGGCCTGGGTAGGAGGGGATCTTGCTTGCTGGTCGTTGCTGCTCTCAGACCATTCTCCCATCTCCTTGAAGACCACAGTTTAGAAGCTCATACCCAGGGACTATACCACTTGCTACCCTTTGTTACCCTTAAAGTCCTTGTCACCCCACCTCATTCCTTGAAGCCTTTGCTCCTGGCTCTCTGTCATGCCTTGTGGAATTATGACTGCTGGGGGAAGAGTGTGTGTGCATCTGTGTGTGTGTGTTTGTGATATTTATCTCCTTCCAATACTGTGGTCTCCCAGTTCTTTGCCCTTCTCTCCTCAGGGAGGATGTCCTTTGCTCTACCTCAGCCGTATCTCCCAAGGTCATGCTCTGGTATTGTCAATGACCACACCCTTTCCCTTGTCTCAGGTACAAGTATTCCACTCTCTGGCCTTTCCTGCCTGTTTCCAGCTCATTCCTGTGACTACTTCAAACTCCAATGGTGAAACAACTGGAGTTTGTTACTGGTTAAACAATTCTTTAACCCCACTGGAATTTATAACACTTAAATCCCACCACCTTTCTATTGCCCCATAAGCATCCCATCCCCTAGAGTTCTTCCTTCTTTACCCAGCTTAACATTTCATTGTTCAACTTTGCACCTGCTCTGTGCCTGCACCTACACAGCTGAATGTGGCTGGAGAAAAACCTATAACTGTGCTGATCAACCTGACTTCAGATACATAACCATTAACCTCAAGTAGACACACCCTGACACCACCCAGCAATCCTAGGACATTTTACCCACACACCTAGAAGGACTGTTTCACATCTTCTTGCTTCTCTTCAGACCTCTAGCACCTCCTTTCTCATTCTCACTCTTAGCCATTGACCTGGCTTCTTATTCCATTGAGAATAGATAATCTACTTTTTGATGGGATTGTTTTTTTCTTGCTAATTTGTTTGAGTGCATCGTAGATTCTGGATATTAGTCCTTTGTCAGATGTATGGATTGTGAAGATTTTTCTCCCACTCTCTGGGTTGTCTGTTTACTCTGATGATTGTTCCTTTTGCCATGCAAAAGCTCTTTAGTTTAATTAAGTCCCAGCTATTTATCTTTGTTTTTATTGCATTTGCTTTTGGGTTCTTGGTCATGAAATCCTTGCCTAAGTCTAGAAGGGTTTTTGCAATGTTATCTACTAGAATTTTTGTAGTTTTAGGTCTTAGATTTAAGTCCTTAATCCATCTTGAGTTGATTTTTGCATAAGGTGAGAGATGAGGATCCAGTTTCATTCTCCTGCATGTGGCTAGCCAATTATCCCAGCACCATTTGTTGAATAGGGGACCCTTCCCCACTTTATGTTTTTGTTTGCTTTATCAAAGATCACTTGGCTGTAAGTAAGTATTTGGGTTTATTTCCAAGTTCTCTATTCAGTTCCATTGGTCTATGTGCCTGTTTTTATACCAGTACCATGCTGTTTTGGCAACGATGGCCTTATAGTAGAGTTTGAAATCAGGTAATGTGATGCCTCCAGATTTGGGCTAAGGGCATGAATAGACAATTCTCAAAAGAAGATATACAAATGGCCAACAAACATATGAAAAAATGCTTAACATCATTAATGATCAAGGAAATGCAAATCAAAACCACAGTGTGATACCACCTTACTCCTGCAAGAATGGCCACAATCAAAAAATAAGAAAAAAAATAGATGTTGGCATGGGTGTGGTTAACAGGGAACACTTCCACACTGCTGGTAGGAATGTAAACCAGTACAACCACTATGGAAAACAGTGTAGAGATTCCTTAAAGAACTAAAAGTAGAACTACCATTTGATCCAGCAGTCCCACTACTGGGTATCTACCCAGAGGAAAAGAAGTCATTACACGGAAAAGATACTTGCACACGCATGTTTATGGTAGCACAATTCGTGATTGCATAAACGTGGAACCACCCCAAATACCCGTCAATCAACGAGTGGATAAAGAAACTGTGGTTATATATATATGATGGAATACTACTCAGCCATAAAAAGGAAAGAATTAATGGCATTTGCAGTGACCTGGATGAAACTGGAGGCTATTATTCTAAGTAAAGTAACTCAGGAATGGAAAAGCAAACATGGTATGTTCTCGCTCATAAGTGGAAGCTAAGCTATGAGGATCCATAGGCATAAGAATGATACAATGGACTGTGGGGACTCAGGAGGAAAGGGTGGAAAAGGGGTGAGGGATAAAAGACCACAAATTGGGTGCAGTGTATACTGCTTAGGTGATGGGAGCACCAAAATCTCACAAATCACCACTAAAGAATTTACTCATGTAACCAAACACCACCTGTTCCCCAATAACCTATGGAAATAAAAAAAAAAAAAAAGAGAATAGAGAATCCATCAGAAGAAAACTTCCATGCCCTTTCATTGCTGCAATACTCACCTGCAGCAACTATGTCTGTGTTCCGTTCCTGTGGATGACAATGCTGAGCTGCTCTCTAGAGAAAACCCCCACTGCTTCAGTGCATCCATGCCTCTTGCCTATTCAAGAACATCCCTGATTTGTTTCATCAATTTCCTCCCTCTACGGGATCTCTACCGCTAAGATATAAATAGGAAGTTTCTGTTTTCATCTTAAAAAACAAACCTCTCTCGACCCAACCTCCCCTCTAGCTATTATGCCATTTGTTGGCTTCCTTTCAGAGAAAAATGCCAGAAAAGAATTGTCTATTCTTGATGTCTCCAATTCTTCTTTTATTTCTTTTTGAATCCACTTTGATCACTCCAATTCATCGCTCCCGCTCCACTGAAGCTCTTGTCAAGGTCACTACTTATTTCCAGGTGAAAACTCCAATGGTTAATTCTCAAATTTCTTTTTACTTGACCTACCCAAACTGGTTGACACAGTTAATCATTCTCTCCTTGAAACACTTGATTTACTTTTTCTTCTAGGAGCCCCCTTTTCCTCCCTCACTGAGCCCTCTTCTTAATCTCGTAGGCCAATTTCTCTTCCTCCTCAGAAATCCTTAAAGTTGGGGTGCTCCAGGGTCCAGTACTTGAACCTCTGTTTCATCCAGGCTCGCTCTCAAAGTAATCTTATCCAGGCCTCTGGCTTTACATACCAGCAGTACACTGATGAACTTGCAAGTTTATATCTCCAGCACGGACCTTTTTCCAAAACCTGATTATCCAATTGCTTCCTCAACATTTCCTGTTAAACATTTAGTGATCTTGCAAACATGACGTGTCTAAAACTAACATGTTAAGAACAAAACGTGCACAAACCTTCTCTTCTCACTGTCTTCCTTACCTCGATCAATGGGGAACTTCATACTACCAGTTGCTTAGGTCAAAATCGTTGCAGACATCCTTGACTCCTCTGTTTTCCTTACACTCCAAAGCCAATCCATCAGCAAATTCTATCAGCTCTTCCTTAAAATATATTCAGAGTCTGATTACTTCTCACCATCTCCACCACGTACAACATGGTACAAACCATGATTGTCTTTGTCTGGATTGCTGCAGTAGTCTCTTAATTGGACTTCCTGTGTTCGCTCCTGACTCTCGGCAGTCTGACCTCTTTATAGCATCTACGGGTGTTCGTGTTTTATTCCGAGTACTAGCTACAGTTCTTACAGTGGCCTGCAAGACCCAGCGTCATCTGGCCTCTGCTTCTTCTGTGGCCCCATCTCCTGCCTCTCTGTCCCTTGCCCACTTTGTACCGGTCTTGCTGGCCTTTCTTGTGCTTCCTGGAACCTTTCAAACATCCTCCTGTCTTAGGGCTTTCCATCTGCTCCCTTCCCTGGAGTGTGCCCTTTCTGCTGGTCCCAGGAGAGATGTCGTCTCTGATTAACCTACATCAAAGAGTAACCCCCTACTCTAGCACTTTCTTTCACCTTGACCCCATTTATTATTCCCCCCATGTAAGTTATCAGTGTTTGATACACTATGTGTTTGTTTATTTGCCTTTTTTTAATATTTGTATGCATGTTTGATTCCTGCCCTAGCTCCTAGAATAGTGCTTGGCATCTGTAAGTGCTTAACACACAGTTGATAAATGAACAAATGACTCATAAGACTAAAATGATACCAGAACTGTAGATCAGAAGTTTACTAAAATGGTATCAGGAAACTGAAAAAAGTTCCCTAGAGGATGAGGTCTGGGTCATTTTGCCATAGAATCCTCTGTAAATCTTAGTATTCCATGAGTCCTTCTGACCTTGCTTGTACTGTAAGCAAGCTTGACCAGAAGGGAGGGTCCTAACAAGGGGATTCTCCAGGTTCTTTTTGGGCTACTCAATTCTCCTTATATGTGCTAGAATAAAAAATTGCATTTCCCCTCCCCACTTTTTTTTTTTTTTTTCTGGCCATTGATAGCTTTCAAGAGGAAATAAAAAGGCATTGCTTAAATGCACAGTATCTGAATTTTGGTCCAGACTAGAAACTTCAAGATGTATTTTAGTAGATGCTTTTTGAGCAATTTAAGACTAGATTATAATTTTGTTTAGATTTACTGAAAGAGCAGCTTCATAGTTTTAAACAAGGGGATAGCAAGGGCTACCATGACATTGGAGGCTGAGGAAACTGAATACCACTGTATACTCTCAGACATCACCACCAGATAATGGCAGCCAGAGGGGACCTGGCACTGTCCTATGTGGCTGGGTGCCCTGTCTGCTGGCCGCTTGTGAGGGACATGCTACATCCATGAGACAGAATCACTCTCTGTAGCCTCTTCCCCCTTGCCTAACCCACTCACTTCTGCAAATAACCTCGGACTCTCTCAAACACCCGAGCTCAAACATTTGTAGGTGTTCTTTATTCAGACTCAAGAACTTGCAATTTCATTGTGACCTCTTCAAACAGCACGAGTAAGGAGAAATGGTGAGAGAAACACATCTTTTAATGTTGTTTCCTGGCTCTCAAAGTATGTTACATAAAAAGAAAAATAATAAACTTAAAAATGTTTTTTGAACTGTCATTTGATGATGTGTTCGGCAGTCTTCAGAAAATAGGTACATGTTACTAACACATTAGGAGGAAAATAAGTTAAATAATAATTTCCAGCAGCAAGCCTGAAGGCTATCATATTGTCACTCAATAATCTGTTTCTGAAAATCCCCAAATGCATTTTAGTAGGTCTGCATGCTTTCAGCTTTCTGGATCACATATCATAGGCATTACATCCAAAAGAAACAGAGGCAGTCAAACTGACGGATTCTAATTTAGAAACTGAAAAGTGAATCTTCTAGTGTTTCTGAAGGTTAAAAAAATGACAGCCTTGCCTCTTCTCCTGAAAACTTATCTTTAATTATGCTTTGTGGTGGGAGAAAAACAGCATACTTGCTGAGTACAATACCTGAGTTTTAAAAGCTACTTTAAATTAATGCATTCATACTTTAATCAGTGGGTCAAGGAGTCCGCTTTGCAGAGCTCACAGCTACATTTATGCAGCCAATCTTGATTTATAAGAGAAATCAAGGCTGAGCACAGTTGAATACAGGGAAATCACCACCTACAAATAGACAGTGAGGGCTTCATTAGATTAAAACCTTTTGCCTGTTTGGGGTATGTTCTTTCTTTCCTGTTGAATTCCTGAGTAAAATAAGGTTGGGACCTCCTGGGCTGCATTCCTAGATGGTTAGACATTCTAACTCATAGGATGAGATAGGAGGTTGGCACAAGGTACAGGTCATTTGCTGATAAAACAGGTTGCAGTGAAGAAGCCGGCCAAAACCCACCAAAACCAAGATTGCCATGAGAATGACCTCTGGTTGTCCTCACTGCTACACTCTCACCAGCACCATGAGAGTTTACAAATGCCATAGCAATGTCAGGAAGTTACTCTATATGGTCTAAAAGGGGAGGCATAAATAATCCACCCCTTGTTTAGCATATCATCAAGAAATAACCATAAAAATGGGCAACCAGCAGCCCTCGGGGCTCCTCTGCCTATGGAAGTAGCCATTCTTTCATTCTTTACTTTCTTAATAAACTTGCTTTCACTTTATTGTATGGACTTACCCTGAATTCTTTCCTGCACAAGATCCAAGAACCCCTCTCTTGGGGTCTGGATCTGGACCCCTTTCTGGTAACAAAACGAGTGCCCTACGTGATATTTTACAGGGTAGCGGTAGAAAGCCTCAGAATGTTTATGTGTAACTTCAAGGTTTCTACTCTTTCTACTTTAAATCATGTGCTTGAAGTTTAGATAAATCGTTTATTTTACATTAACGTTTCTATTTTCTTTGTTTTAACAACTGTGTATGGCTTGTATCTCGTCTCTCTCCCTCTAAAAGTACATTCAGTATATTCATTGGAAAGTATTTGCCTAACACCAAGTTAACTAGTACTAATTAATTCTCAAAATCATAATTAATAGGTAACTGCATTGTGGGCAGTATATCTCAAAAGGAGCACTTTCCCTTGGTTAATATTTCACATGTACCTTAACCGTAGGAAGATACTATCTGAAAATGCAATTCTAAATAAGGATGTTAACTACCCTGTTGAAAAGTACCTGAATACTTCACTGCAAACAAATCTTGCATGTAAAATATAAAAATTCTCTGTGTTGCATTTGAAATCTGATAAATATTTATTATCAATGCTGTTTGCTTTTAATCTGTTCAGGATATCATTTCTCCAGCTTCTTAGTAGTTAAACAAAAATGGCATTTACATTACAATATTGCTTGCCAACAACCTCATTTTCTGGTTTAGTCAGCAGCCCTTCATGCTTGATTAGTCTTTAATTATACAAATACCTACATATTAAAAAAAGTTTTCTTTTTTCCATACTTTGAGCATGTAATTATTTTCTCTTGCATGCAATAACCTTTAATTTTAGGATTAAGCAACTGATTCTTTTTAGTATGGATGGGCCTTTTCAAGTGTTAAAGCAAATTTGGTTATTGTATTATGAGAAAAATTAACTTTGGGAAACCTCTCATCAGTGCATTTGACAGCTCCCTGATCAACTGTTACAGAAAGCATCTGGAATCTAAAAAATAAAACGAGACTTCATTCCTCCAGCTTTTTGCTATGTCTCCCTATCTCTTTGGTCTAGAAATGTGATAATTTAATTAATTAAAGCCTCCAATGTACCAATTTTCCTATTTCCATAAATTAGGAAGGAGAGCATATATTTTACATAAAAATATTTTAATACAAAGGCTGTTTACAGTTCTAGTAGAGAAAACCCCAAACTGTAAACTTTTATAATAAAATATTTTTCTATAATAAATCCAGAGGATGTTTAAAATATATGAGTATCTTGTTGGGTTATATGGTGTTTCTCTCTACTGGCCATGCCTAATCCTTGGGGCCAATGAGATGATCAAACAACAATGAGGCTTAGAAGTGGTACCTCTCTTTGCAAAACCAAACTTGGTGTAGATGAGCAAATCCTTTACATACTGTCTAACACGTTGTTAGGTACCTCTTCTGTATTACTTTCCTTCTTTCTGCTCTCATACTAAACCCAGAAAAAAAATCATTTTCTTAAGGGAATCACCTTAAGAAGCAAACTAACTTGAGAACGTCACAGCACTCAATAGCCACATTAAATATGTACCATGTTCTAGGTTCCATATTAGGCATGAAGGAAACAGAAGCGAATAAGACTCACAGATCTATGCAGTAAGGTTTTGGCCTGTGTTTAACATGCTGCCAAGAAGACATTTTAACTTTTCTTTATTATCTGTTCCAAAGTTTAATTCATGGGACAATAAAAGCATCTTCTTGTCATACTCTTTTTTTTTTTTTTTTTTAAATACAGAAGTACAGCTCCACTTTCTTTTGTCCTATTCTCAGGGTTAGCCAGAGGATCTCAGAGTCTGACAGGACCATAAAGCACACCTGATCCGACTCCTCTACTCTTCAAGAGAATCACTGAGGAAATATTAACTGATATTAATGAACAATCATCTTCAGTTACTCAATCTTTCTGTTAAAAACCCCAGTTTCTCACAATGCTATAGCTCAACCCATTAACCATTTGTTTGTGTATTGCCCTTGAGCCTTAAATAACATCTCTTTATTAATAAATTGTTTACAACTTTATAGAGCAGTAGTTCTT
This sequence comes from Homo sapiens, assembly GCF_000001405.40. Taxonomy (NCBI): domain Eukaryota; kingdom Metazoa; phylum Chordata; class Mammalia; order Primates; family Hominidae; genus Homo; species Homo sapiens. Next base: position 39,358,565 of record NC_000007.14, on the reverse strand, counting down.
AAACCCTGCTGATCATCAGAATCACTGGCTGCATCCAGGACATTCTGATTTTGCAGTTACTGGGTTGGGCGAGGAGAATTTGTGTTATTAAAGAGTCCCCATCTGATTAAAACTTTTTTATTTAATTTTTTCTTATGAGGAATTTTAAATACATCTAAGTAAGACACAATAGTATAATTAGGTCACATGGACCCATCAGCCAGCTGCAATAATTATCAACTCATGGCCAATATTCTTTCATCTGTACCCCACCCAAACACGTCCACCCACATTATTCTTTTTCCTTCAATATCATTTTAGAAAAAAATCCTAGGGCATGCCATCATTTCATTTGTATTTCTGTAGGTATCTTCAAAAGCTACTGTTAAAAAAAAACTACCTATCACTATCACACCAAAAAATATTAAAAATAATTCTTTCGTATCATCAGATATCCAGTCAGTGGTCATACTTCCAATTGTCTCATAAATGTCATGCTTTTTCTTTTTTACAGTTTGCTTGAATTGTAATCTAAATAAGGCTCACATAATGAGATTGGTGCTGTGTCTTTTGATCTACAGGTCCAATTCTCCTAGCTCACTCTCTCTCTTTCTCTCAAAATTCATCTGAGAAGAAATCTCTGCAGGTGGTTTTGATATGTGGCCAATCTGGGAATCATGACTGCTCTGAAGCACCCTCAGAGGCCACCAGAGGGGGCGCTAGAGCAATTCGTACTCTGAAGCCCCCACCCTTGTTTATGAAACCCTTTGCCCCTTCCCCTCCGTGCCACCTGCAAACCTTTTCATAACATGGCATTTTTGGCTCTAGAGAGAACATGATACATTTATAAGAATTACTTTTTCCATCTTCTTATTAAATTTAGAAGTCATCCAAACTTCTTAGCTTTTGTGGCATCAAGCCAAGTGAAATCAGGTGGCAGTTTGGAAAAATGTTGGAGGTGGCATGGTGATGGGCTTGGGGTAAAAGGCCCAATAATTTATCCTCCAAGCCAGAACAGTCCTGAGAATGAAATGTTAGGGATTACCTGGATGGTAGACTTGCACAGAGACTACCCCGGTTAAAAGGAGGTGGGAGGATCCCTTGGGGTCAGACCGGGGCTCAAACTCCAGCTCCACCTCTTACAAACTGTGGGACTTTTGATGAGTTACCAGCTTCCTCTGAACCCTAGTTTCCTCGCTTTCATAAGTAATTGCATGGCATTCGTAGAAAAACATACCCAAAACACCTAGGACAGTGCCTGGCATATGTTAAGTGCCCAGCAGTGTTTTTGTTTTTTAAACTGGATCCTTGTTTTCATACTGGGAGATTCCATGTGTGTTTGCCTGCTCTTGCAGTGGGGTTTGAAGCAGCCAGGCTGTGTCATGTGAGAGTCCCAGGCATCCAATAGTGGGGTGTGAGGTGCACTCAAGGTAGGAGATCCATTTTCATTTTCTTTGGGTCTCCCTATCTTCTTTATAATATGTTTATGCTTTGGGTAACATGATTTAACCCACGGATCAATCAGATCTATAAAGTATTAACAAGACCTGCTTCTTTGCCTATTATATTCTGAATAGCAAGAACTACCATGTGTTATTGAGATGGTAGGGAAAAGGAAACAGATTAATTAGAAAATGATGGTCCTTACTTTGATGTACATTTCTTCCCAGATAAAATAAACTGATTTAAAGCATTTAAATCAAGCCCCCATTTCCCAAAACCCACTGTGAAGATAATGCAGAGAAGGATGGGGTTGAAACAATTTCAAAGGAGTCATCGTAGCATCTAAGGCTTTTATAGTTCTTATGATGTGCCAAGCATGGTTCTAATTATAACAATAAATAGCTCTTCTTTCATTAGTCATCGTTATCTTCGTCAAGAAATTTTGCAAAGAAATTTAAGACAGTCTGATCACAGGCACTTACATATTTGTGACATGAATAATTGTTAAATCAGAAATCGTCACATACAACAATTATTGACAGCCCTGGGATACACAGAGGTGTGAGACATTGTGTCTGTTCTTAAGGGGCTTATAATTCAAATGAGATAATAAATTGTTCATAAAAAAGATGAAAATAAAAGAAAAAGACTTAAAGAGCAAATGCTAAGTGCCCAATATACGAGTTCAGGAAAGTGATTGTTGAGGGCTGGGCCACTGTGGGCACTTCATGGAAGGAGCAGGAAGTGAAGTGAGCCATGAGGGGTCAGTGATGAGAAGACGGGACATTCCAGGCAAGGGGCATGGACCAGCAAAGCGAGGGAGGGATTGTGTCAGGCACATCTGGGCATGGTGGGAGGCCAGGGTGAATGTGGCAGAGGGAGTTGGAGGATGGGGTGATGAGTAGGGCCAGAGTGTCCAGGCTAAACAGGCCAGCAGAGGGTTTGAGCATGGAGGTGATATAAACTAAATGTTCTTTTAGGAAGATTAACTTGACAGTGGTTTGCAAAGTGGATTAGAGAGAAAACAGAAGTAGAAAGACCAAGTTAGGGAAGATGGTGATAGCTCTGCCTTGGGGCCAGAGTAGGTGGGAAAAGTGAGAAAAGTTCCAGGTACTTTGGATGTGAAGCTCGACAGCCCCTGACTTCTCTGACCAGGGGCCTGTGGACCTGGCCTTCGACTTGCACCTTCCTGAGGGACACAGCTTCCAGGGGCCTAAATTAGCCAATTAATCCCTGTGGGGTTCTGTGCTTCCTTCCCACTGTTTCTCTTTCCCTTTCACTTTCTCTTTAGAATTATCTACTCATTTTTGGTGGGACTACTTGTCAGCTTTTAATATATTACTTAGTCTCTCATTTTAATAGGCTTGTTAAACCACTAATCTGCTGTGTGTTTTCAACCACATAGGCAGTGGTATAATGTTGAAACTTGAAGTTCCCTGGAAGATACGTGTGTGTGGGCGAAGGCTGGGGGGCTGGGTGGTGGGCATTTCTTTTTCGTTCTTTTTGACTGTTGGGAAGGGTGTTTGGTGTTTAGGGGCTCATATCACATGCAATATGTTGGGATACTGATATACCTGCTTCCTGGCCTGCTATACACCTAAGAAATCCCATCTCTGTCTACCTGAAAAGCTGGGTCTTTCAGGCTAGGGTTTTTCAAATTCTTCTGATCTTGTCTCATAAGAAGAAACACATTTTACATCTCAGGCCAACACATATATACATACAAAATATATATGTACAATTAGATCTATCTCTCAACATGTAACTATATATGTTCATTTGTATATCACTTAAAGGAAAGTGTCCTTAAAAAAATTTGTAGCCTTTCTGTGCTCTGGCATTTTCTACTCCTTTTTATTATTTTCTTTTAAAAATGCTAGTTACAAACTACTAAACCAATTTAGCAATCACTCACAATGTCATGAAAAACACCATGCCCTTCCCCAATCTGGGCACATGGTCCCACCTAATCCTTCACAAGGATCCCTAGAAAGGTCCAAGGCACAGCCTCTTGAGTGCCAGGGCCAGCCTGTTTCCATGACTGCCTGTCTTCCTATTCCTTGGTTCAAGGGATCCTCATTTTAAAAATGTGCCAGATTCATTCCTGGTGGGAGGGAGAGCCTTGTCAGACTGGGGGCAGAGAGTATAAACATCTGGCCCAGTGATGAATAAATGGGATTTAGGCAACCTATCATATGGTCAAGAAGAGAGCTCTTACTGCTCCAAAGGCAACTGATAACTATTGATTGGGAAGAACACCTCCTCTCCCTGCTCCTTTCCAATAATCTCTGTTTTAAGATGATTTCCTTCAGGAAAGGCTGAACTCTCTTTATCTAGTTTCCTGATAAAGCAGAAATAGTTAGCAAGAAGTCTTACATTCCTCCTAAATTCTAACTTCTGAGAATTCCTAATGAAATGGCTAGACTGGGTCTCCTTCTTTGTGTTTTAGGGTCTCCTTTGAATCTCTAATGGGGAGATAAGAATTAACTACAGTGAGATTCAAGGAGATACAATGAAAAGGATCTAGACTCTGATGTGTTTTCTTTAAAAAATACTATACGCCGTCCACATCAACCCTGAACACATGGTATGGTATAAAGTGGTGTTTATCTAAACATTAGAACACCAGGACCATATCTATGTTGGAACAATCAGATCTCACAGCCTAGGTTTCTTCTTCCTCTCTTGTGACACTTTAGATTATTTCAATCCATGTCCTAGTTGAAGAACCATGTTGGCAAGGAGATTTTTCTAAAGGTTTTTTCCTATTGCTCAGAGCTAAAGGTTTTGTCCTCTGACCTTTTGATTCCCACTCTGCATCTAATCAATGTCAGGTCACCACACGTAAAACTAAAAGGAGGTTAAATGGAAAAAACAAAAGCACAAAGCCAAACAAGCACAGGGCCCCAGGCCCGCCCGGCTGAGATTAAAAAGCTCACCATTTTGAAATAGTACAATAGTACAGTCTCTTGGAAAAGAAAATATTTCTTGTTTACCCTCCCTGTTCCCCCCACCTCCCATTTGTTTGGTGCCTGATTTGTTTCCAGTTGCAGCAGGGAGGTCAGAGCAAGCCAGGAAAAATGAATGGAATCAGCCTCCTGCCGGGCCGCCTGGAGCGGGCGGGTGTTACGGATCAGCGTAAAGCCAGCTTCCTTTCCCGGGCCTGGGCCGATGTAACTCACTGGAGTGGCAAATTACATCAGACCTACAGCTGTAACCCGACATTATGATTAATTTGATCAGTAATTTCTCCTGTTTTTCATTTTAATCGGTGTGACTATTCTGCTGTGGCAGGTCTTTCAGATCTAATTAAGATAAATTTCCGAGTAAAAGACTTGGCAGACTTTCCGAGTCAAATCCAGGCATCAAGTGTGAAGACCTGCAGCCCCAGTCCATCACCTTTGGGGAGGGCCGGGCCTCCTGCTGGGCAATCAGCCATTCACACTTAAGCAAATTCATAATCTCCAGCACTGCTTAGTCATTCTCTCAAAACGTCCCAGGCAGGAAAAGAAAGGAAGAAAAGCCCTAGACAATGTCATGTTTCCCCATTCCACTGATTTGCCCAAACTACATGGATCACCCCATAAGTGGATGCTTTACAGAATCCCTTAGATGATTTTAAATAAATTTTAAAGCATTTTAAATAAATCCATGCATACGTATATATTAAGCAAACGCAAGTATGCATACATACAAATATTGAAAATACATGTAAGTGACTATGAGGATTTGTCGTTCACATGTACATAATAGTTTAACCCTTTAGTGCAAGGAGACAACTATATACATATTGGGTGGGGGTTGGCAGGACATAAGAGTTTATTTTCCCAATTTGTTTTCTTTTAGGTCAACCCATGCATTCATGTATGCATCCTTAGGCTGATATTTGTACAAGTTCCGGTAGGTTTCTGTTCTTTGAAGATGAAAGTGTGAATGAGATTTCTTCCCAAAGCCCATCATCAGCAGGACCTGCCCGTCCAATCTGGGGCAGGCAGACATTGGACAAAGGTCCAGCTGTGCCTGGGTTCCTAGGTCCACCTGCCTCCTTGCAGGAAATGCAAAGTCAGGCCAAGACCTTTGAAAGGGCAGGTGTTTTTGAAGACATTTCTTCCATTTTGTCAAGAAAACGTGTTTTTATATTCCATGTTCTCACTTACAGGTGGGAGCTAAATCTTGGGGACACAGGGACATAAAAGATGGGGGGAACATGAGACTCTAGTGGCTTCCAAAGGTGGCTGGGTAGGAAGGGGCAGGGGCTGCAAAAGTTCCTTTTTTTGGGCACTATGTTCATTACCTGGGTGATGGAAGCAATAGAAGCCCAAACCTCAGCACCTTGTGATATACCTTTGTAACAAACCTGCACATGTACCCCCAAATATAAAATAAAAATGAAAATTGAAAAAAAAGGAAACCATTGTCTTGCAATGATGGCAGCACTTCCAATTATTATAAAGTAAATTCCCCATTCAAACAGGAGTGACTATTTCTGAAAACAAACATATCACTGGAGTATGCTTACTATGAATGTCATTTTGTACACAGTTCTCCTGCACCCCTGCCCCCTTAAGAGGTTAAGGAATTTCTCCGAACCACCACTACAGGATCTGAAATCAGGTAAAAAGAACCACAGTCTGATTCTGTGTATGGCCTCTACATTTTAAGGATCATTTTGTTACTGTTTTGCATGTATCTTGTGTTTTGCTCTCGAAAAAGAGTGTTGAAGCTATGGTGTTAGGAGAAGCTGCCGCCTCCCCTCACTGAGGCAGGCAATCTCAAATGCACTGTGATTGCTGCATGAAAGACAGTGGGGACAGGTATGTGTGATCTTCACAGTCCTATAGCAAGGTGATTTGGGGCCTACAAATTATCATAAGACCCTCTGACTTCTCACAGGGTTTCTGTTAGCTATCTCAGCTCTAATTTAGTTAGTGGCCACAGACCACTTTAATCGCTGCACTGGTGTTTCAGTTTTGTAGAAATGGCTTCAACAAAACTAGTATATTTACTAAACAAAAAGAACAGACTTGTCCTCAACCCCAAGCTTAGAGTTACTGATTGCTGAGCAATAATCAATCAAGATTTAGATCAGGAGCTATGAGAAAGATGTAAGCTACAAGAAAGGTCAGAGAGGTGGGCAAATGAGAGTCTTTCCTCCAACAGTGCTATCTACCTCCATGACTCCAGGAGTCATGTAATTTAAATAACATCACTTTAGAAGGAGGAAACTCCCACCATGAGAAAAGACTAACAAGAGGCAGATTTGCGCAGTGGGTGAGGTTTTGACATCAGATAGATCTGAGTTTAAATCTCACTTCTTACAAGTCCTCACACCTAACGTCCTCATGTGTGAAATGGAGCTGGTGGTACTGGGGCAGGAGGGTGGTGGGTCCATTGAGTAGCACTTTACCATTCAAGGTGAGCAACCCGCTGCATCAGCATTCCTGGAGCTGGTTAGAAATGCAGCATCTGGGGTGGGCTCTGGATCAGAATCTACATTTACCAGCATTTCAGGTGGATCCATATGCAAATAAAAGTTTGAAAAGCCCTACTATAAACTAGATGAGACAACATCTAGCAGCAGTGGGGCATCTAATGGGCTCTCAATCAGTAGCAATTGTTCTTGTTTTGAGAAGATGTTAAAGATTATGAAAAGGATTATTTACTTTCCCTATTATATTTTAAATATCAAATAGGAATCACCAGGTTTGAACTTTTTCTGCAGATATCGGGCTAATAATTCAACTCCAGAGTCTGGGAGGGGCCCAGGTGGCTGACAAAGCACAGACAGGGTTGTTTTCCTTTCCTGATGGGCTGTGAATCTGGGGAGGGGTAGAGCACAAATGATGCTGGCTCATCCTTTTTGGAAATGAAGACCCAGTCTTATTATATCATAAAATAAAGTCAGTGCTGACTCATGCAATCAATACTTACGGCAAAAAGCATTTTGCATAAACAAAGGGTAGGATTTTGTTCTTTATAAATGAATAACTGGCAGCCTATTTACAAGATCATACATAGTTGTCCTCAAAGCTGGCTGCACACACGGAGTCTCCTGGAAAGTTTAAAAAATGCTGGTGCCCACCGCGGTTCCATTAGAATCCTTGGGTGGGCCCCAGGGCATTGGTATCTTCAAACAACAAACAAACAAGCAAACAAACTCCTCAGGTGTTCCCAGCGTACAGCCAACATTGGGAACCACTGCTGTAAACTTGGAAAATCTTCTCTTGGAAAAGAATACAAAGGAATTGAACAAAATATGGCTGTAGGAGCGCAGGCGTGGTCTCAGCTGTTTGAAGATGGTGTGGCTTGGGTGAGACAAGAAGAGGGAGAGACAGTCACCTGCCAGGCAAGGCCCAGTGGCCCTGAAAATATTTGATTACATGCAGGTCTTCCTTTCTGGTATGAAGATACTCACTTTTTCACTTGAGAGGCTCACTAGCAATGAAAATAACATGTAGGCTGTGCCTTGAAGATGTGTCAAATGGCTTTAATGTGATCATTGCATGCAGGGAGCTTGGAAAACATCCATTTTTGCTTTCTGCCTTTCATAACTTTCTGCCTCAGGTTGGTCCCAAAGACCACTTGGCTTTAGCCTTAGATTGGTCAGATTCCTTCCATGGAGTGCAGACTACTGGAGGTGAGAACTGCTCTAAGGAATATTCCTTTTTTAAACCTTAGACAGGAGTTCAAGATTATTTATATTTTATCTAATTAAAAAAACCCCAAAAAACCAAGTTTCCAAGACAACCAGATTCCAGAGAGCTTTCCTTGGGGGAAGTGAGAGGGTTTCTCTTAAATCTTCTCCCCGGACCCCTAAATGTTGCTTTGTTCTCTTTAAACGCCACAGTCACAACATCAAAATACAAGGACAGAGAACTCATGTCTGGAAAGAGCAGCTAGTCTCTGGCAGGATATGGAGTCCAGCTGAGAAAAAAAAAAAGGAATCTCTAACTTTACTTCTTTTTTATGACAGTTAAATATCTCCTGGTGTAGAAAACTAAGTGGAGGTGCTGGGCTGAGCCCTGTCGAACTACAGTTCAGACAAAACGGGCTGGAAGGGTTGCATTGATCGGAGCCCAACTGAGCCTTCAGACACAGCTACTAGTTCTGAGCACAGAGCTGACAGCATACAAACGCAGGGCACCCCTCCACTGCTGCATTCATCTGCGGCCATGAAGGCATCCCTACCGAGTGGCCAAGGACACAGAATTGCCCTATCCAGGAGACAGCCACTCCAAGTGGCACATGAACCTGTCCTGCATGCCTCAACATGGTGCCTTTCTCTGCCTTGGCTCTGCACTCACAGGGCCCCAGGACTGGTGTTTTCAGCCAGAATGCCCAATTTAGTTCTCAACAGTGGAAGACAAAAGAGAAAGAAAACACCAGTGATTCTGAGAGTCTATTTTTAAAAACAGGAAATAGAAAAAGAGCAGGATAGGAGCCTTGTAACTAAGACAATGCCCCACAGACATGGAGTTTTGACTGCTTGGTGCTCTAGACGACTTAGTCCTGGCTTACCATACAGATTTCAGGCTGATGTGAGCTGTTGTTTGGAATCCAGACCCTCTTAAAATGCAGGGGTGGAGAATGAGGGTGCCAGGGGCTGGGGGATCTCCTGACCATTGGAAATTCCTCAGTCAAAAGATGAGGAGGGTGCAAGTGAGAAGGGGAGAAGGCATGCACTCTCCCAGTTCTGTCGGTCCCGTGGGTCTGCAGGGGCTACGTGGTCCAGGGGCACCCTGGCCGTGATTCTCATGCTGTGGCATGAGGAGGCAGGACTCCGGTTGTGTGAGCACTAGAGACAATGGGCAGTGAAGAAAAGGAAGGAAGAAGGGAGGACTATCTGGAAGAGAAGGTCTCCAAGACTTCAGCTGCCACGAGAAGCAACCCAGCCAGGTATTTTATGAAGTGATTTTCCTCACTGTCAATTATCAGAACCATACCGTTTCAGCTTTCTCGTCTCTTGCCTTAGTTTTAAGTTTTTCCTTCCCTCTTTTCTCACCTTTCTATACTTGGTTTTCTCCACGGCCCAGCCTATTGGACCTAGTCTGTGGATTTCTACATACTGTCCTGGATAAGGAAATGGAGGTTATTTTAGTTGTGCTGACCCCACAATTAAGGAGGCTTTAGAGCAGTGGTTCCTGAAGGATTTTTCACAGGAGATATTAATTAGCATTATGTGAAATAAAAGGCTCTAGAGGTTTCACAGGTTTCAGAATTTCTTGGTTAAATCGTGTTAACTAGACATCTCTACTGCAGGATGTCTTTTAGCCTTCAGTATTCAAATAATCTTTGCAAAATATACAGGAACAGGATATAGCATGCAGCACTTCTATCTACCCATCTATCTTTCTACCTGCCTACCCACCATGGAATCTGTTTTTAATAAAATTTCTTTGGATCAGTGTTTTGTGGAAGAAAATTTGAGAAATGCTGACTTGGAAAATGCTGGGAGCCAATAAGGAAATAAGAATATATATTTCACTAATAACCAAAATGAACATCGCAGAGGTGGTAAGATATAAATAGAGACACTTTGAAGTCAGACAGACTAGATCTGGAATCCCAATTCAGCCGTTGTTAGTGATGTTGAGAAATTTGCTTGAACTTTCTGAGACTTAGTTTCTTTGGGTTGGAATGAAGGCAATTTTAGCTTCTTCTGGGTTGTGATGAGAAAAAGAGAGACCAAAGAACTTAGTAAAAGATACATAGGTAAAGGATCATGGTTACTCCAGTTAGAACTGTGAACTCATGAGGCCAATGCATGAAATAAGTATATAAAAATGGGTTTAAAGATCATCTAATATAAACTTTTCATGTAATAAGTGACACAACTGAGTCCTAAAGAGATTAGGTGACTTGCCCATGGTCACTAATTAGCGATCTAGTTATTGGCAGAAGTGAGATCATCAAGATTCTTCTTCTTTACCCAAATACTAAAAACCACAACTTTGGGAATTTACAAGGAAAAAATAATTCTTGGTTCTTTTTTGTTTGTTTTTGTTGTTTTCTCAAGAGTTTATTATGTATAGTTCATATATTGAAAGTTTTAGATGTAACAACTGTCTTCTCCCAGCCTAATATCTGTACACCAATTTTCCCAACTATTGACTACTACACAATATGTTATTTCCCTATTAATTTGTGATGGCATCTTTATCCTATATCAAGTATAATAAAAAAATTCTTCATTCTTAATAATAATATTGATGGGCTGGGCACAGTGGCTGACACCTATAATCCCAGCACTTTGGAAGGCTGAGGCAGGTGGATCACTTGAGCCCAGGAGTTCGAGACCAGCCTGGGCAACATGGCAAAACCCCATCTCTACAAAAAATACAAAAATTAGCCAGGCGTGATGGTACATGCCTGTAGTCCCAGACGCTCGGGAGGCTGAGGCAGGAGGATGGCTTGAGCCTGGGAGGTCGAGGCTGCAGTGAGCTGTGTTTGTGCCACTGTATGCCAGCCTGGGTGACAGTGAGATTCTTTCTCAAATAATAATAATAATAATAATAGTAATAATAATATTGATGGGGAAACTGAGGTTTAAGTTGGAAGTCTTTAAGATTATATGATTAGGCAATATTAGCATTATGTGAGTGCATGGCTACAGTCCTTTCTTTCTGTTCTAAACCCCTTGGAGCTCCACAGCTCTGAGATGCCCTTTAGTGTAGGTTTGCCCTGTACTGTGTGTGCTCCTCACCCCTTTCCTCAGAAATGCCCCGTACCTCTCTGACTCAGGATGACGCTACGAAACTGACATGCAATTATTAGCCTCATTCTAGCTACTATGGGTTTTTGTGTAGTTTGCAGGGCATCATTTTATTGTGTGCACATGCATTTTTACATTCCTGTGACTATTTGCTTTTTGTTCAACTTTGAGTGCATGTGTTTGTCTCATATTCCCCAACAGGTTATAATATCTATAGTCGAGGATGGAAAAAAAGTAGGCAGGATACTAACATTTTTTGAGTGCCAGATATCTATCAGGAACCAAATTAGATACCCTCACATAAGCCATTGCATTTAATCCCCACACCAACTGTCTGACCAGTGAGGAAACTGAGGCTCAGAAGGATGTGCTGACTTGACTCAAATGTCCAGCACAGCGAGCATTCAAACCCAGGCCCATCTGCTTCTCAAGATCACACTTTCTCTGAGGCATCATCTTGTCTGTTCTGCAAACCTTCTCCAGGACAATGCACAGCACAGGTGCTCAGTAAATATTTACAAATCATGATAAAAGTGCTTTCTTTACAACGTGGAGAATATTCACTTGCAAGTCTATGCTTTGGAAGTTAATTTAAAAACCAGTGGAAAATTTACCCCAAACTTGTGGGAAATGAATTGAAGCTACAAGATGAGAAATAACTTGTGATCATGAAAGCAGTAGAATATTGTATTAAGTTCACATAAATACTGGCCAAGCACTGCTCATTCAGAGCAAAGTGCCAGCCGGCATATTTTGGGCATCTCAAATTGCCACTAGACCCTGCATCTATGCACATGAAGGCAAAACTGTTTCAGAAGCATTCTGAGCTAGACTTTGGGATTAGTTTCATCAACCACCATCCAACAGTGAAGGGACTGGACAGTGTATGTGGCTCTAGGCTCTTTGCTGAGCTTGCTGCAGACAGACCATTGCTCTACCCCCACTGTCAGGATCAGAGTGGTTCTCTTTTCTTTGAGAAGTGATCACTTGCCATGTTCAAACGCTGCAAGAATCTTCCCATCCTCCTTTGAGTCTGGCACCCTCATCATCTATCGCTACTTGACGTGAGTTTCCATAGCCAGTGGTGTGAACATGCTTCCTGCTTTGTTAAACCCCTTTCTACATGATTTGACTAATCTACGGAGCAGTACCCAGGAATGGTAAATCTAGACAACGACAAAGAAGCACTACAGTATATGAGTAGATTCTTGGTAAACTAATTTTTTCCCTGCCACTCTCAAAGCAATATAAACTTTGTTGTTCCTCCTGGATCTCAAATGCGTGTAATAAATTCTTTGAAATGCCAGTAATGTTGAACTGAGAGTTTTTTAAAGGAGATTTTCTTTCTTTCATAAAAGGAAAAATTGTCCCTTGCAGAGTATATGGATAAATATGTTATGTTTATTTTATTCAGTACTTAATACAGTTGGGTAAAGGGATTCTCATTTCCCACCCGATCTCTCACTGAATGAGTGAATCATGAATGAAGCCCTCAATTTTCTGGAAGGTAGTATAAACAGAAATAAATTCATACTCTTTTATATCTTTAGGCTAATCAACATTTGCTTAACAAATTTATAGCATACAAAAGCATTCTCATCAGTATGTTATATTTGATTTTCATAACTCTCTGAGCTTAGATGGATTTTCTTTTCCATAGTAATAAAGTTTTCTTTGGCTTTTTAGCCAAGAGGAAACCTTGCCTACCCCATGTGGATTCTTCCAGTTTTCCAAAGGTCCTCAGAACTCGGATTGCTCTGAGAGAATGTTGTCTACATAGTGATACTTCCATTATTTTTACTAAACTTACTTAATTTCATAAAATCATAAATTAGTTCAGTGAAAAATGTCAGCCAAAAGAGTTATTTGATTGTCATAACATTTCAGTTCCATCAAAAATAATTGCTTTATTAGATCTGTGCAATGAAGAAGATGGATTTCTAGCCCCTTCCTTGCCCCAATTTGTTATCCAACATGCATTTGTTTTTCTACTGTGCAAAATTTGGTGCAATGTTCAAGTTCAACTAGAAAGTGAGATCAAAGACCTGGCCGAAATTTACAATGGACAGAATGTCATTGACTTTGGCGGATTTTTGCTAACTAAATCATTTAGACAGCCAGTAGCAAAGCTGAGAGGGATGAGGGTGAGATGAATGAGGCACTCATTTCAGGAACCAAATTTAAAGGTGTGTCCAGAAACGTAGTAATCAAGATGAATAAGACCTTACTACAATATTTTAAGAATGAGTGCCAAAAATTCATGATCACTAAATGTTCATATGACTGATTTTTTTCTTTTGCCTCAGACTCCAATATGGCTCAATACTGTTACTGATCCTGCATTTAAAAATTTGAAATTTTGTTGTTCATAGACTTTTGGCGTTCATTTTGATTTTTGAAAATATTTCATTCAAACATTATCTGAATTTTTGAGTACACCCTTAAATTCTGCATCTGAGATGAGTGCTTCCAAGCCTCACCATCATCTCAGTCCTGGCTAGGAGAATTCTGCGTAGTGATTTAGCCCTGTGTAGGTAGAGAGATGTCTGAGTTCTATATTTACAGTAGCCACACAAAGGAGTTATATGAATACACCCACAGAGTCACCCAACTCTACACAGTTTTAGGGGTTTGTAACATAAAACTCCAATGGAACTGAAGGAGTTCTAGAAAGTATTTAATTTTACCCCCTCCCTTTTATAGATGAAAAAACAAACCTAGTCCCACAGAGCCTTGAGTAATATTGTGGTAAACCGATTAAGACTAATTGCTGGGGGGGGAGGGGGTTTGGCCTAGGACACTGGGTCTTTTCCATAGGGCAGACCCATGATTGGAGACCATTTGCTTTAGAGAACTTGAAAGTCCCGTAGGTCTAGCTCCTTCCCAAGGCTTTGGGCTCTTTATTTTAAAAAGTGATAATGTACCACCTTCTCCCATTATGTATGCACTTTGGAACTTAGTACTAAGTTTGCCAGTGGGAAAATATCTCAAATGGGAAGACCAGAAGGCAATGCCCACTGCGCAACAGAGGTGGGATTCCGATGCAGTTTTACTCTGCTGTGCCTGAGTGGTAACTAGACCTTTCCATTAGCAAATGCACATGGTTGAGAATACATTTCACGCTCTCAAGCAACTTCACCTCCGAGGAGGTGACCGTGCCCCTCATTCCTCATATAAGCACAGATAGTTTTCACTGTCCAATTCCTACTGATCTCTCTCTCCCTCTGTTATTTATTAAAATGTGCAATAGAACAAGAAAAGGAAAAGATTATCCTGCGTCCTGCCATGCAAGATGGTACGTGGGAGGCCAAGGTTAAATGCAGCATTTGGTTTCTTAAGCTTCTCTAATGTATAGGTGTGGAAAAGCAATCTGGGACCAGAGCTTATAGCAGTGACTCTCTGAGGATAAAAACTTGACTTTAATTTGGACTCTCTGGCTAAGATAAAATCTGCTTCTGCTATCATTATCCCACTTATGTTTGTCCTCCACTCTCTTTTCACTCTGCCACCCAGCTGAGTGGGAAGAAATTAACCTGACCTTGAAGAATACTCAGAGAATCTTCAGGACCATCAAGTTTTCAATAGCCAATAAAATTCCAGAGGCCTACTAACATTGAGATTATAGATTCATAGGCCTGAAAAAGACCTCAGACCACACGGATGAGGGAAATGAAGTCCAGAGAGCTAAAGTGACCTATCCAAAGTTATGAGTTAGTTGGAGGCAGGGTCAGAACTAGAAGGGGGACTCAAGCCCTCCGGTTACCCTCTTCCACCTACACCATGACTGGGCTCCAACCATGCCCAGCATATCTCCAGACCACTCAAGAGGGAATATGTGCACAATAGGGCTTTTATAAGATGTCTGAAATTTTACCAGTGCAAATAAAAACTCCCAAGGAGTTTTCTTTTCAAGAAAATTCTTCTTAAAGGTCATAGAAAGGAGGCTTTTATTTCACCATTCTTATGCTTATGGGGTCTCTATCCAGATTAAAATTACGTATTGAATTTTTTTTTTTTTTTTACCTAGATCATGTTTTTTGCCCCAAAAGATTGCTTCCATTTATGTTTCTGCTTCTATCAAACACAGTCTATATTTTTAGTTTTAGATTCAGGCACAGCCTGTGGACTGTGGGTTTGAGCAAAAATAAGGAGTATGGACTGCTCTCCATCCTGGCACCCAAGGACTAAATTCAGCTCACAGTGCATCTTGTTTGTCCCACACACTGTTTTTATAAATTTGATTTTGGGTTCTACAACCAAGATTACTTTACTTATTTACAGGGACTGCTAGGCCCTGAAGACCTCTGCCCTTGCATTTCCTGTCTAGAACTTCTCTCCTCAAGCCTCCTGGGCAAGAACGAAGCCATGGGTGGGTGGGTCCTGAGTCTCAATGGAGAATCTATAGACAGATCTCCAGGGGCAGCTTCTAGAGTCTGCTTTAGACCACCAGACCTCCTATAATGCTGAGTGATCAAAATTAATAAACAAAGTGATCCCCCTACCTGTGCGTCTCTGAAAGGATAATACTTTAGACTCCTATCTATCTTAAAACAACTTGGTTTTGTAAATGTAATCCTTTTCACAGAATTCAGTAAAAGAGTAAAATAAAATTACACTGCAATATTGCAGAAAAGCCTGATACGAGGTATTTGGATAATTTTTGTTTAGAGTGTTACTACCTACCAACACTATTAATTTTTTTTCATCTCAGGAAATGACCTCACCCAAATATAACACACAACCTACTTACATTTATTTTTTTCTAAAGATATGGGAGCATCTGCACAGTTTTAGAAATAATTGTTGTCCTCCAAAGTTTTGTTTTTAAAGCAAAAAACCTAATTGACTGGCTTTCCCTGGTAATCTACATTGCATAGTTCTAAACTAATATCTCTCCAGCAGATTTTTGAATAATGTAAAAAGATAAAGCCCACATGAAAATAAAGGGTTGTAAAATAAAATTTAGGCTATCATACATGAATTTAGTTGATCTTTATTCCCTTAATAATCTTCAAACAAAAACACTTTATAAAGATCATTAGTTTGGAGAGTTAAATATCTTTGCAATTCCTTTTAAACAGTTTTCTTTTTAAAAAGTTCAAACATTCCATGTTCCACAAACTCAAAAAGCCTGCAGCTAGTGTAAAAATTTTTTTTAAACCAAAATATTCTCTATTTCCTTTATACATGCCTGTAGTAAAGGAAAAAAGTCCTTTTATGCCTACCGACACAGATTTGTTTAACATCTTCTCAGTAATGTTTTAAAAAAAATTTGTAGCAAGTCACTCATTTGGTGGTCATCTGTTAGATCCACAGAAGTTAGAGTAACAGCTCCTCTATATTTAAATGTACTCTAAACATATTTATTAAGTTTATAAGTTAAAACTTCAAAAATGAAAAATTAGAATATTCTCTCAGTGTTACAAAGAAAGAAATGTAGCTCTGAGCCTTCATTTGTTGCAAAACCAAAACAAAACAAACAGCCCTGGGATTTCCACGAGAAACTGTTAGGAGAACTTTCGGAAATTCCCCTAAGTTTATTTTCATGAGGCTGCGTGGTCACTTCATCTAAAGTCCTGTCAACAGTCATTCAACAGGGCTTGTCTTCACTGGGATCTCACTGGCCAACAGAAATTTATAAAACACTGACAGTGTTCAGGGAAGGCTGAGGTCCACAGAGCTCAAAACTTTCACCTAACAGGAAGGAATACTGGACTATATCGGACAACTGGGGACACACCTAAGTAATTTCACTCCTCAAGGAAGGGCAATATTTTTCTTTGGTAATTTTACCTATTTTGGTGCCTGGAATAGAGAAATTAGATGGTATATAGGTACATCTAATGTAAGTGTTCTTAAAAAGCATTAAATTAATTTTTTGGAATAATAAAGTTGAATCCCAAATGCTGCCAACATTAAGGTTGCTGTAATCATGCCTTCTGTAAATTTGATGACACCTGCTCTTTCAGTAGGTGTCAAGTGGACAATGAAGACGTTTTTGGACCATGTTCATTTTAGTCCTAGGTCAAAGGTGTTACGTTGTCTCACCATCGTAAGAATTGTATAAATACATCTTGAAACTCCACTCATGAAAATGTTCAAATTGAAAGTAGCCCTGGCCCAAGAGCCCAGAAAAACACAATGACTCATCTCTCCCAAATGTGTTCATTTCTAGGAATGCTTTGGGCCACACCACTGAGAATCCAAATTGGAAGAGACAAAGCTATGGGACAACAAACTAAGTTCTAAAATACCAAGTCTCTAATCCACCTGCCTTTCTGTCCGTGTACCAACCTGTCTTTATTTTGTATACTTTTCTATTTAGGAGCCAAGGATACCATCGCTACTGTCATTCTCAGGCTGGGGAGAGCCGGACTGACTGAGGTTTATACCCACCACTATGGCAAGGGGATGAGATGGCACTTGAAACAGGTCCACAGGCTGCTCACTCTGTTTAACTTTGTCACAGTACTACAAATACACGAGATTGTCTGAAATCTCACAGGGAAAAATGTCATTGTGCAAGTCAAAGAATGGATGGCTTGGCTGAGTTATTAATTTCTGGATCTGATATGATGACATCACAGTCATTATGTTTTGAAGCTAATTTATTTTAAAGACACCTAAGTTAAAAATGGTTTTCTGAAGTTTAAAGTCATATATATATATATATATATATGAATGCACCTATCCATTCCTTCTCAATAGGTAGGTTATAGATGAGCTCTCATGGTTAGCCTGAAATATCTATTTATGAAGCTCTCAGCCTCACAGTAATAAAGTAAACCTATAGAAGTTTTATTCCTTTATAAAGATGCATATTGGTTGAGGCTCTTGGCATGAATTTAGAGTACTTGTTAGTCTGTGGAGTAATGGTTGGAATCTGGGACATAAGACTGGGGCTAAATTTCTTTGCCCTCCTAACCCCAGAGAGTCTTTAGAAAAATAGAAACAAAAGAGCACAAAGTACTTAAGGTGAGACACTGTTGTATTCATAATATAGAGAAATAACCACCATGCCTCATGGACAGTAGATGCAGTTCTCCATGGGGCTACAAAACTGTGCTAGTAATAATTTTAATTGGATGCTATCTTTGCTGCCTTCAAAAAGTATCATAAAATGGAATTATTACAGGCTCCAAATGCACTTATAGTGCTGGCCTCTCACAGAAGGAAACAGATAACATTTATCCTTTGGAGGGCAACAGAAATGGGCTTCTATTTGTTTCGTTTACATGCATCCCCAGTTGCCTTCTAGTTGCTTCTTCTTCCCTATGTCTAAGAGATCAATTTGAATTAGATGCTGCAGAACTGGATGCTAAGTTTTGTGTGGTCCCTCTGCCTTTGGGGATGGCACCACCCCATGGAAAGGTCCTTGGTGCTCCTAGGGGCAGACGGGAAGCACGGGGAGCATACCTGTAGAGGATTGGGTGGCGTGAGCGGTGAAGGCAGGCCATGTCCTGGAGACTGACTAGGTTTCTGCGGGGGGCTGGAGCTCTGCTGGGTTGGAGATGGTTGGTTCTGGTTCTGGGAGTGGGAGTGGGGTTGGTGCTGCTGGGGCTGAGGCGCCTGTTGCAGCTGAGATGTAGGAGCTGGCGGCTGCTGAGAGGCGGGTGGTGGCTGCTGGGGTGGGGTGGGCTGCAGCGGCTGCTGCTGGGACTGCGAGGGCGCCTGTGGGGCTGGTTGCGGGTGCTGGTTGGTTGACGGGGGAGGCTGCTGCTGCTGCTGCTGCTGCTGCTGCTGGAGCTGGAGCTGGAGCTGCTGGAGCTGGGAGTTCAGGGATGAGGTAGCTACAAGGAGAGAAAGCGAATGTGGAGTGAGATAACATGACAAAGTGTCTTGCTGGGTCTTGACAGCCTGTCCAGTGCAAGTGGAGAAGGGTTTCCTTTAGAAAATTCTTGTCCTTGCCCCCTGAAGCTCTTTGGTATTTAAGAGTGTTGTGAGGCACTGGGAGAACAAAGGTCACTTCTGGGGAAAGTTTAGAATTTCTGGAGGACCAGCATATAACACATCAGGCATTACTTTAAAAGGTGGTGAACAATGCAAGCCAAAGGTGTGTGGTAGGAATGGAGATTGTTTTTTAACTACTTTCTCTCTCTCTTCCTTTCCATACTGCATGGGAAATACATTCATGCTTCAAGATTTCATTTAGATTGTTGAAGTCCAACCAGTTTAGTTGTTTTGGTAAGTGTTTGACTGGAGTTAAGAACAAAAAACCAATTGTTTGCAATTGCCTTTACATCCATCATCAATATCATTAATGGTATCATTTTCACTTGCTACTTCAGATCTCCACCCAGTTGCTTAGATGTCTTAGTGTCAAATTTCTAACTGTTTTTTTTTTTTTTTAAAAATTCAAAAGCAGTACATGCTTCTCCATTTTGCAGGGTCAAAAGCCTGAGTCTGAATTTTTTGCCTGCTGATTAAAGAGACAGAACCCCTAAACTGGAGGGATGATAGCAGGTGACTGAACCAAACAGTGTGGTGATTAGACATCAGCACCTGAGGACAGGACAGCACCTAAGGACTGAGGGAATGAAATCATCTTTTAAGATCTTGTTATGAGAAAGGTAGAGTTGGTGGGAGAAAGTGTCTTAGCACTGAGCACGCAAAATTTGTTCTCACATGCCCATGTAGCACTGAACAATTTCTGCAGAAGGAAGCTGGTTAGTTTGACCTAAGAATGGTCTAGAGAAATTTACGGCTAAAAACCAAGTTCACTTTCTTTTTTGCCTAAATCTCAATCTAAAAGCTTTCTAACAAGCCCATGAACAAATAAACATATAAGGATCAATGTCAAACCCACAGGCCTTAGAGGAAAGTGTAGCTGTATTGGTGAAATGACGATGCAACCATTTCCAGGGGTATCAAATACCAATTCTGTGATCTCACATACCATGTAGGGCTTCCAACTTGGTCCAGTTGGGATAGCAAGTCCTCACTGAGCCACTGAACTGCTCTAGGTCTATGCAAGCAGTCCAGTGTGTGGCCTGCCTTGCGTGTAGAGCCAGGGTGTTCTGGGGCTTGTGATGTAATCGTAGAGATAGAGATGGCATGAGGGAGGCCTGGAAAGTACCCCGGCATCATCCCGTTTATTAGACCTTTTAGAGAAAGGCCTGCTTTTGCCATTTCCCCCTTTCTTCTAGTTTACAAAATCACATTTTATCAAAGATGTGGGAGCCCTGCTCTATTCTGACCTCCCTAGATCTTCTGCAGTCTGGAGGATCCTGGGGCAGGGGAGCCTGATCTCTTCTTCTGGTGGAGTTCCAGACTTCAGGGACTTGATTGCATCTGGCCTCCTGCCTGATTCAAATCGAACCTAACCTGATGTCTTTCAGGTGGGGGCACATATGTTAATGCTTATTTCCATGGTTGACTTAAATACCATACTGCTTCATTTTGGTTAGAAAAGCATTTATCTAAATCAGCATTTAGAAACAGGAAAGTCTGGGAATATTGGCAGATAGATGTTGGCAGACGGGTAGGTACAGCAGACCCTAACCTACTAATGAGCCTTGGTCCCAAATATGTCTCCCTTCCTCCATATCCGTAAGTTCATATTGCTTGGGTATTTGTTTTCCATAACAGCAGCTTGACTGGAAAGGCATAAACCTAAGCCTTTGAGTTACATAGACTAATTTGACATCTGCAAGCAAAAAATAATACAGAATTAAATATGTTCAGGTATACACCAGATGCAAAGGAAAGCAGGAGGGGCATATATGAACGTAACTTGGGTCTGAAAAACACCAAAGCCACCTACACACTAACATGAAAATGAGAGTTAAAAAATGTGAAAATATAGTGCATCGAAGTGGCTCATTGTGTAAAGCATAGTGAAATATGACAGAGAAGAATGAGAAAATAAGATGAGTACAGTTAGGAAGGTTCAAGGATGTATTAATATTTGAACTACAAAGAATGTTTGCAGATAAAATGATGCTTGTTGGGGTAAAATTCTGACCCTAAGCAGGGAAGGTTAAAGACTTTACTTTCTTCCCTGGTATTTATTCCCTTTTATGATGGTTTCCTCTCTGTCTTGTTACTATACACGACATAGGCCAATGTTAAATGTAAAATTTAACTGCAGAAACAGCAGCTATGAAAGGAAAAGGGATACACAGAAATACATTCTGAAAATTTACTTTAAATTTTTGAAAAAGAAACACAAAACAAAATTTCATCAAACCAAATTTCCTAGAGAGAAGAGAGAGTTACGGTAAAGCCGTGTCTTGAAACTTCCCAAATAAATAATTTAACATGACAAAGAAGCCAAGAATCCTGCATTTCTCAATTTGTTCAGTTTCTATATATTAGCTGTAAATTGTAAACAATTTCTCATATTGAATCTTTGTTAAAAGTTTCCTCAGTAAACCCCTACACATAAACGGAGCCACATCATCAGAGGTAGCAGAATTGTATCGGATGGGATTTACACAAGAAAAGTCAAAAGCACTTGAAAAGCAAGTCTGTGGAAGATTCTGGAAAAATACAAATGTGTTCTATACTTAGCAATGTACAGAAGGAAAAATGGTGCTCAAATGCTAAAGGAAGTATGATTTCTAGCAACATCCTAACCTACTTTATGCCAAAATATAAGACCATACTATTATAAGCACTCTAGTCAGCATCTCCACTTCAGCATTTACTTGGACTTCTCAGGCTCAGGCAAATGTGGGCATGGCTGGCAAACTGGTGGATTGGGTGTGAAAGCCTATTAGGAAGGAGAACAGCCATTACTCACTGCTGTTCACATACCTCCAGGTATGTCTGGGAGCTGGAGTAGACTCATCTGGATATGTTTACAGAGGGCAGAAAACCCACGCTGAGGAGGAAGGAAGCAGCAGGGCTTATCACTGAAAGTGACCAGGAATCCTGGAAAGAAGCCTTGTGGTAATGCTTATCCAAACCCATCCTCATCCCAGCCCCTCGGTGCAAGCCTGGTCCTAAGGAGAGAAAGAACACCAAGGAAAAACAAGAAGAGTAACCTTGAAAATATGACACTAAGTGAAAGAAGCCAGACAGCCTTGGCCACATTTCATTCATATGAAATGTCCAGAATAAGTGAGTCCATAGAGACAGAAGGCAGAGGAGTGGATGCCAGGCTCTGAAGGTGGAAGGGATGGGGAGGAGATGCCAGTGGGTGTGAGTTTCCTTTTAAGGTGAAGAAATAATTCTGAAACTAGACAGTGGAAATGGTTGGACAAAACTGAAAATATACTTAATGTCACTGAATCATACATTTAGTTAATAGTTAAAATAGATTTAATAAAGTGTTAAATAGTTAAAGTGGCAAGTTGTATGTTATGTGTATTGTACTACAAGAAAAGAGCTGTTTGTCTATATTCACACACTGGGGACCAAGTTACATTGCCCTGGGAAGCCAAAGGGCAAGAGCATACTTCTCCTTTGCTCTTCATGGCTTTATGGTCCTGAGGGGTCAGGGCAGCCACCAGCAAGGGCTGTCCTGTTGGAGCCACAGGAGAGCCTTGGCCAGGATGCCGGCACAGGGAGAAACACATTGTGCCTACTGGAAAGGCACAGGATTGGCAGGGCAGGGCGTTGGGAACTGTGGACTCATTTTCAGGTGCACACAAGACCCCACCCCAATGGCTTCGAGAAATGCTGGGGAAGACTTGGAAGCTGGACACTGAGCAGGCACAGAACAGCCAAGGAAATTTCGGTTAAAAGTAAGACAGTGCTTCACAGTTTGAAGATACCTTCATTTAATATGATGAATTAGCTTTTCAAGACAACTGTATGGATAGATGGTGTTATTGCCATGTTATACATATAGAACTCAGTCTCAGAAAGGTTAAGTGACCTTCCCAAGTTTACACAGCCAGTGAATACCCTGGGCACTTCCCAAAACCTCTTACATGACAGGATTATTTGTAATGATGAGGCAACCAATTTTCTCCTAAGGGTTTGACCACAGAAGACTGCTCACATGCAGAAAGATGCGCTCCGTGGCTGTGCTTGTGAGAAGAGGTGGCTCAGGTATCTCATTATTGAGCCTAAATTGAAGGGTCTGCTTGTTCGGCTCCTGGGAAAGTGTACAGTTGTACCTCAGTCCTACTGCAGGCAAATCATTTGTTTAAAGCCTGCTGATGAGAAATGTAAATGTGTGTTTCAAAGATAAAGATGCTAATTTGAGTATGAGCCACGAGTTATTATAAGGAACAGAGAAACATGGCTGTTATTATAAGCAACAGAGTGGTTGCAGGAAGGGAGGTGAGAGGTATGAATGGAAGGGAGGTGGAGAAGGGCCATGGTACATGTTATTCATACCACTAGTTTACCTTGATGGTAAGAAAATGCCTCCTCCATGCTTAGACATAGGGCGGCAGCAGCTCTGTGCTCAGGCTTGGTGCCAGTTTAAGGAAAGTAACTAGGCATCAGTTTACCTTGTCCACAGAACTCTGTGACATATTGTCTCTAGAGTATCTCCGGGGTGGCATCTAAGATTTCCCCAGCTGGATTTGTCCCTAACTGGGGGAAGCAACTCCCAGATCAGCCCCAGTTGTAAAGAATCAATGGGCCCATGGAAAAACCTGTGTTCCCTGATGTAGCCTTTGCCTCCCTAACTCTGTATTTATTGTGTGCTTTTGCTCCCCACTAAGATCTCTAGAAGAAGAAAAAACAGGAATCTTGAACATCCCAAAAGGAGGAATCTGAATTAGTAAATGGAACATCCACACATGCCCATTAGGTAAGAATATCTCAGGGAGCTGAACCAAGGATGCAAATCAGAAACCCCTTCTGGTGTCCCCAGTAAGGGTATCCCTAGCCTGCACCCGCAGATGGAAGTTTTGCAAAGTCGATGGGAAAAGGTAGATGGCTGCGGACTGGGGATTTTGAAAAAGTGTAGAAGGTGAAAACTTGCTGGGAGGTCTGCCTTTATTCTTTTTTTTTTTTAATTTTTCAAATTTTAGATTCAGGAGGTATATGTGCATGTTTGTTACGTGAGTCGATTGTGTATAATAGTGGTAATTTGGCTTCTAATGTACCCATTCCTCAAATATTGAACATTGTACTCCAGAGGTAATTTTTCATCTGTCATATGCCTCCAATCCTCCCTGTTTTGGAGTCCTCAGTGTCTACTATTTCTATTTTTATGTTCATGTGTACCCAGAATTCTGTCTTTATTCTTGGCAACAATGTCAGAAACAAGCAAAGTCAATTCTGCCTCAGAGTCTATGATGTGTGACCATCTTGCATATGGTCAGTGTTATCAGCTCCAGAAGTATTGCTACACATGTCCTTAATCTGTCTTTTTGCTTCTTTTGCATTTAAGGCAGAGATCTAAGTGTCTCTTGAGATGTCAGGGGAAAATAAAGATAAATTCTTCTAATGAAAACATCCCTACACATTTCCTTGTATTGTCTGAGCCACCCAAGCTTCTTTCTTAGGTTGATTGTTTCTGCCAACTCTAGCAGCCTATCTCAAATTGTGGACCAGAATCACCAAGGGAGCTTGTAAGGAAATTAGATTCCAGGGAGTAGGGCAAAATCTGCATTCTAAAGACCTACCTCAGGGGATTGGGAACCATTACCCTTGGGGCTCCTAGCAGCCCTACAGGGAGCTGCAGCAAGTGGGGAGGGTGCGACTTTTCCCTTGACTTTCAACCAGATCAGCTTGCAAATGCAGCTCCCCAACACTGAGACTATTTTTATATTTATTTATTTATTTTTGAGACAAAGTCTCACTCTGTCACCCAGGCTGGAGTGCAGTGGCACAATCTTGGCTCACTGCAACCTCTGCCTCCCAGGTTCAAGCGATTCTCCTGCCTCAGCCTCCCGAGTAGCTGGGACTATAGGCGCGTGCCACTGTGCCAGGCTAATTTTTTGTATTTTTGGTAGAGATGGGGTTTCACCATGTTAGCCAGGCTGGTCTTGGTCTCCTGACCTCGTGATCTGCCTGCCTCAGCCTCCCAAAGTGCTGGGATTATAGGTGTGAGCCACCACGCCCGGCCTGAGACTATTTCTTTTAAACAAATTGTTCTGCCATTAGAAAAAAAAAATTGAAACAAGATCATTGGTTGGAAAGAAAAGAAATAGACATCTGGAAATCACCCAGTGTTCTTTAGTGCCTTTTGTTTTGGAAATTAGGGGAATTCACCAACCACTACCGCCTTTGTTGACATTTTAGGGCACACTTACTGGAATGTTTTAGGACAGGTTAAGTCTGAGACCTAATATTAGCTTTTAGATACCTCATTAAATAGGAAAGATAAAAAGCGAAGGATGTAAAGTAGAATGTAGAAGCTATGCAGGACTACCCCAGGGGAGCTGCACCTGCTCAGCAAAGTGTTGGGGGCGGGGGCTAAGCACTCAGAGGTGGCAAGTCCCCCATGAGTTCCCAGGGGGTGCTTGCTGAGGTCTCTTTATGGAACAGCTGACTTCCCCACTATTTCCACCTGCAGAATAACCCCATCTAGGCCTAAAATCTCAAAAAAGTAAGAGAAAGAAATTGAGAAAACATTCTAATGTGGATGTGGGCACCCCAAAGTAAAGTGCTTCTCCTCTCACCTACCCTAAAAAAGCCAGTCAGCCTACAATCTCACCCCAAAACACTGAGCTCTCCATTGCTTTTCCCAGTCCTTCCAGTTGTCTACTGAGTGCCAACCAAGATGAAAGAAAAACAATCCACACCTAGACTATTCCCCCATGAAACTGCAGGACACCAAAGATAAAGATCTTTTAAAATCCAAAAAGATTTTGGAGAGAAAATGAAGGGCCACATACAAAGAAACATAAATCAAACTGCTATCATACCTCTCAATAGCAAAACTATATAGCTAAAATCAGAGGACCAATGCCTTCAAAGTTCTGAGAGAAAGTTATCTCCCACCAAGAATTCTATTGCTAACTCAACTGTCTGGCCAGGGCCAGAGCAGACGAAGGCCCATTTTGGAACTTACAAAGACTTAGACATCTTCTCTTTACATAATTTTATCCTTACATACTTTTTCTTACAAAGTTGAATAGGTACTTCAGCAAAATAAGGTTATGAACTAAGGAAGAGGAAGACAAAGGACCCAGGAAA
The DNA here is from genome assembly GCF_000001405.40 of Homo sapiens. NCBI lineage: Eukaryota > Metazoa > Chordata > Mammalia > Primates > Hominidae > Homo > Homo sapiens. Next base: position 39,332,383 of record NC_000007.14, on the reverse strand, counting down.
CAGCGTTGAAGTCACTCAAGAGAGCAACACAAGGGAGCCCCACTGTGACAGCTGTATAGCAGTTCTAGACAGCAGCCAGTCCACAGCAGAGCATAGGGGCAGAGGCTGTAAGGGGAAAAATCTGCAGAAAAAAGGGGGATTCCATAGTAATGAAAAAATATCTCAGATTTTGGAAGAATCTGAGAATGTGAAAAAAGAAACAAGAAAATTCAGGAAAAATCAAAGCTGTCAGGGAAAGTCACAATCCAAATATGAAGCAGCTGTTCCAAATTAAAACAAGAAGTCATTGAGCTTCCAGGAGAAAAACTGTTGGATTCAATGCTGAAGAAAAAGTAAGAAATGAAAAGATGCTAGCCACTTCCTAAAGAAGATACACATTTCTTTTTATAATAACACTAATAATAATGATTTCAAAAGGAAGGGCAATAAGAAATTTCTGGCAAAACAAACAAACAGCATAAGAAACAAATGCATGGTTTTATGAGAAACAATAGGAGAAACAAACATAAACCAATTGTGCAATAAAATGTGATGTACTACTTATCAGGGAAATGCCTTTCAAAACCACAGCGAGGCCGGGCGCGGTGGCTCACGCCTGTAATCCCAACACTCTGGGAGGCCGAGGCGGCCAGGTCACTTGAGGTCAGGAGTTCGAGACCAGCCTGGCCAACGTGGTGAAACCCCGTCTCTACTAAAAAATATACAAAAATTAGCTGGGCGTGGTGGCGTGTGCCTGTAGTCCCAGCTACTCAGGAGGTTGAGGCAGGAGAATCGCTTGGACCCAGGAGGTGGAGGTTGCAGTGAGCCGAGATCGCACCACTGCACTCCAGCCAGAGTGACAGAGCGAGACTCCATTTCAAAAACAACAACAACAAAACAAAACAAAACAAAACCGGAGTGAGATACCACCTCACTCCGTTAAAATGGTTATTATCTAAAAGACAGAAAACAAGCATTGGTGAGGACGTGAAGAGGGAACACTTACATACTATTGGTGGGATTTCAAACTAAGACAGCCTTTGTGGAAAACAGCATAGAGGTTCCTCAAAAAGTCTAAAATGGAACTACTATATAATCTAGCAATCCCACTATTAGATGTATATACAAAGACAAATCAATATAGTCAAAGAGACATCTGTACCCTCATGTTTACTGCAGCACTATTCACAACAGCCAAGATATGGAATCAACCTAAGTGTCCAGCAACTGTGAATGGATAAAGAAAATGTGGTACATATCCATAACGGAATACTGTTTAGCCATAAAATGAATGAAATTCTGTCATTTGCAGCAACATAAATGAACCCCGAGGACATTATGTTAAGTGAGATAAACCAGACACAAAAAGACAAATACCACATGATCTCACTCATATGTGGCATCTAAAAAAGAAAAGCCATAGAAGCAGAGAGTAGAACAGTGTTTACCAGAGAGTGGGGAAGGGTCAGGGGAGGAGAGGCAAAGCTTGGTCAATGGGTACAGACTTAAAATTAGATAGGAGGAGTAAGTTCTGGTGTTCTGTTGCACAGTAGGGTGACTGGGTAACAGTAAGGTATTGTACATTACAAAGTAGCTAGAAGAGAAAATGATAAATGCACGAAATAATGAATACAACATAGATATGCATGGAAATATCAAATGGTAACCCACAAATATGTACAATTTCAATGTCAATTAAAATAAACAACTTAATTGAAAGTAAAATGTGGTGTGATTTTGAGCATTTGGTGGAGTATGAAAGGATGATGCACTTGGGTGTTTTCTTTGAGTGGCACTAAAATCCACACTGAGAGGAATACTTGATCACTGCGTATTTTTTTGGCTCTGCAGGAAATAATAAGGTAGCCATATTAAAGTCAAGAGTGTTTACTGACTTGCAATTTTTGGAACAACCTATAAACAAAGCATGAAAGATTTCACGAGAACACAAAAGCTATCATCCTTGACCACGTGGAAGGGAATGCTTGGTGGGAGGGAGGAGGGGAAGGGAGGACCGGGGTACTACGTGGAGAGTAAAGAGATGGCTCTGCAGTTGACAGAACAAATAGAGACTTAAACATGCTACTTAAAATTATACAGTTAACTAAAAATCGTGCTATGCTTCTCTTTGGAGCAGGGAGAAAAAGAGAGTGAGAGATGTTGTAAGTGAACTAAACCCTCATACTCCATAGCAGGAAATGAACAGATGATATATCAAGTTAATAAAAGACAGAGATAAACTGGAAGTCTTTGGAAATACGGAGGTAAACTCATAAAGCCTAAAACCAGAAACGGTTAAATGTGATTCTCCTGGGGAGTAATCCTGAGGGTGGAGAGGAGGATGGCTGAGAACTTAGCATGTTTTCAGAAGCCTTGTGGATTGAATTGATTTTTAACCACATGCATGTATTACATTGATAAAAAATTTAAACAAAAATTAGTTTCAAAACTATGGCTACATTTTATATTATAACAGCAAATTCCTATGTTTTAGGCACTGTTTTAAGTATTTGACGTTAATTTCTTCATTGGTTTTCTCAACAACCTTATAAAGTAAGTCTCCTAAATTGGACTCTCTCAGATGCAGACCCTGACCTAAGGATTTGAGTGCAAATGATTTAAAGAAGGGCTCCCAAGAAAAACCAGGAGGGGAGTGAGGACAGCAGGATGGGAGGGCAAGAAGCCAAGCAAAGACAGGATTTCAGGGCAAGTCCCAGCCTCATCCTGATTCCAGGGAGCTCTGAAGCATAAATGACACCTTGAGGTTTATCCTGCCTCACAGAGTCCCTCTATTCCCTTGACTTCTCCCAACACCAGTGAATCATTGATTCCAGCTGGGGACGGGGCATAAACTCCAAAACATTTTGACTTTCCGTAAGGGGGCGGTGACTTCGGTGCCTAAGAATCAAATGACTTCTAAGAATCAAAGTATATATTTTAAAACTATTATCAGAGGTGTTTATACTATGTAACAGGCCATGTTAAAGTACTCTTAAGAAAGTAGAAATTGCCCTCAGAGAGGCAAGCTATGAATTTCCATGGAGCAAATTTATAATGGGTTGGTGAAAGCACAATCATATCAGGTCTTCTTGGCTTGCTTTCTGTCTCATATACACAGACATATAATAATAATATATTATTATATTTATTATATATTATACAATTATATATATTTACAATAATATATACCATGTAATTATATTTTATACAGATTTACAATGTTATGTATAATATATATATTACACCAAGCCATATTAAAGACACAGATGGCTTCCCATTTATTTGCTGCTTATAGTCTCACTGTGATATGAGCAATTATACACATGGGATAAAATAATATTGAGCCACTGTAAATTGAGATGAAGTAACCGTTTTCATATCTTCTGCATGGACTAGACATTGTTTCTGTCTAGTATATCTAAATATCCTTGAACTGGTGAAGGTTTTAACATATTGACAGAAACTAAGTGTCTATCAGATGAAGGTTAGTCATTACGGGAAGTACAGAAAGACGGCATCACAGAAGCCAATTCTGAGGTTGGAGTGGTGGTCGGAGGCCATGCCCTATCTGGTCCAGCTGGCAGGCATATCCCACTGTGTAGACACATGTGGCCATTATATCTCTGAATAAATTGACATGTCAAGTCCTGTATTTATACTCATCTTGCAACCTTCTGACAAGATAAGGATTTTCATGGAATTGTCCTTTACAAGTAGAGAAGGTGTTGATCAAAGGGCAATAATATTAGCGCCCCTTGACAATTATATTTCTCTTTGTAAATTAAAACGGGCATTCTGGTTTTATAATCTATCTTCTTCAGTTTGAGTCAGCATTGTGATATTCTGATCCAGCCTAGGACACTAATTAAATTGAGTTTCTTGCCATAGGCTGAGATCTAGACCCTATACAGGACCAAATTCATCTTTGGCTCCACTGATGATACCAACTGTGGCATGAACCTTCTCTTGAAAAGTCAACAATAGATATTTGTTCCCGATAGATTAAGAAATATTCCCTAGGACTATTCCACAGGATGCTAGTTGCCACATATGTTCCATGAAAAACAAGTGTCCAATGGCCAAAAAAATTATTTGGGAGATCCTGCATGTTTCATCCTATTTTTGGAAATCCAGTGAGCATTAGAATATTAATGGCTAGAATTTCAGCATTAAAGAAACCCGATTCGGTCGGGTGCGGTGGCTCACGCCTGTAATCCCAGCACTTTGGGAGGCCAAGGCAGGTGGATCACGAGGTCAGGAGATCAAGACCATCCTGGCCAACATGGTGAAACCCCATCTCTCCTAAAAATACAAAAATTAGCTGGGTGTGGTGGTGTGCACCTGTAGTCCCAGCTACTTGGGAGGCTGAGGCAGGAGAATTGCTTGAACCTGGGAGACGGAGGTTGCAGTGAGCTGAGATCATGCCACTGCACTCCAGCCTGGGCGACAGAGCAAGACTCTGTCTCAAAAAAAAGAAACCCAATTAGCATTTTCTATCCAATACTGACCAAACTCATTTGACCTTGGAACACCATCTTTTTTTTTTTTTTGACACAAACTAATGCATACATATATGGAACTAATATTATTGGCGGGGGGGTCCACTTAGAAATAACCTGAAGGTGTCACTGTCTTTGTTGTCAGACATGACTGTTTTACAAATGAAGAAATTTTATATATATGTCTATATATATATGTACACAGAATTTTATATATATATGATTTATATATTTTATATCAGGATCTCTGGAGAACATGATGAACTATTTTCAATATAAAATAAACATAATAAAATTCTTTTTCTTTTTTAGAGTGGGGAGTCTCACTATGTTGCCCAGCCTGGCCTTGATCTCCTGGACTCAAGCAATCCTCTCAGAGTAGCTGGGACTACAGGCATATACCACCATACCTAGTTTGCCTATTGATATTCTTCTTTACCCCTAAGAAGATTGTATGTGTTAATCCATATGTCAAGCTTATCCAGTGTGATGAAACTGGCGAATTCACACTGAAGAGAAACTTTGAAGGTAATAAACATCCTTGACTGATAAAAAATACGAAGGTGTTAAAATATAAATATGTGTTAAGTGGGTATGTGCGTATGAATTTCTGTTTTTTTTTTTTTTGAGACAGAGTCTCCCTCTGTCACCCAGGCTGGAGTGCAGTGGCGTGATCTCAGCTCCCTGCAAGCTCCACCTCCTGGGTTCACGCCATTCTCCTGCCTCAGCCTCCCAAGTAGCTGGGACTACAGGCGCCCGCCACCACGCCAGGCTGATTTTTTGTATTTTTAGTAGAGACGGGGTTTCACAGTGTTAGCCAGGATGGTCTCAATCTCCTGACCTCGTGATACGCCCACCTCAGCCTCCTAAAATGCTGGGATTATAGGTGTGAGCCTCCATGCCTGTCCTGAATTTCTTAATAAATGCAGTTTTCATGAAGGCAAAGTATTTCAGATAGTCTGGTAGGAAAGGAGAAAGAAATACAAAATAGGGTCTTAAAGTGTGCAAAGGTGGGAAACTGGAGCTGGGACTTTTCTGACCAACTAGGACAACCTGGGGCTTAGCTGAACTCTCCCCAGGCTCTGGGAAAGCATCATTGTTATGGATTTTCAGCTGTGAGGAGCTTGGTATGAAAATTCTGCTCCTCGAATAAGCCTACAGCATGAGTTAAAGAAAAAAATGCAGTTCTATCAATACTAAACATTTTAACAAGATCTTCTTTAAGACAAAAAATTTAAATAACCCTCTTCTGCCTTTTCCCATCAAATTTCAAGTATTTTCCAGGTGTTAATGCAATAGCAAATTAGAACTCCTAGGGTTTGAGTGGGCATTTTGACTTAATTCTGGTGGATAGATTCTACATGTTCCTTGATTTTGCTTAATTGATGTTTGGATAACCTGCAAGGAATCCATAGACTGTTTATGGAAACATTGATTCTTGATTTGAAATCTGTTTGCTCAGCAGATGGGACCAAATTTATCCATCAGAGAATCTTGCCTTCACACAAGAACTAGTAGTATTCTTTCCTTACAGAGTTTGGCAGAGGATTGGTGAAGAACATGGCAGAAACAATGGGACTCTCCTTGGATAACGGTTCTTTGTGCTTTGCAAATTCTCCAATACGTGGATAACCAAGTGGTTGTTGTTGTTTTTCTAGAAGTCTGAGATTCACTGTCTATGCCTCACTGTCTTCTTGAAACCAAATGAGTTTAAGGACAGAATATACATTTGGGTGAGATAGGAAGCAGCTCAAAAAAGTGCTCACATTCAATCCCATTATTTTTCCTCCATTAATGTGAAAAAGACCTATTTACATCTTTGATGACTTCTTAGAAGGCCAATCCACCTTGGAGGTTAAAAGGTTTAAAATTAGAGCTAACATTTATTGAGCATGGGTTTTCCAGGGATATTTTTACTTTTATAAAAATTAAGGTAGAAGAGAACCCATAAGCCATATTCACTAAAAATTATGCTACCGGTATGGGGTAAGGGAGAAGTATGCTCAGTTTATATTCCTGTGTTAATAAAATAATTCCTTAAATTCAGCAAAGCAAGATGCACCCCGGCTTTCAAAGCATCAGTGTTTGACTTTTCCTTCAAATGGAGATTTGTAGGAGAAAATATTACAGACAATTCAATGGCTACTGTGCCTGGTTTAAACACAGCACTATGCTCACTCAAATTTCTTTTAGACTATAGACACATGGGCCAGTGCTTATTTTCATGGTTGATTTAATCCATCCCCTGTGCCAGTGTGGGGATTATTCCCTACAGTTATTTTCCAGTGATCTGTCAGTTCAGATTAAAAAAAGTTAAGTGACAAAGATGCAGTGGCTGATTCCTTTAGAAGGCTGTGGAAGCTGGAGTATACAGCAAGAGACTTCTTTTTAAGGATCTGACTATGTTCTCTCTTTAATTTCTCTCACATCGCCACGAATCTTTCTTATCTAGGCTGAACTTTAAACTTCCTAAACAGGCAATTCAATTTTGTTCATATACAACAATTTCAGGGTTGCCAAAAAGGGTTTCCAGATCTTACTTCTTTGGCTCTTGCTTAGTTTTTAAGAAGAGGAGATAGCATATATTTCCTCACTTTACAGATGAAATCTAAGACATGATTCTAGGACCACATGGATCCTAGCTTTGCTTGGGATACACAATAAATGATAATACTGTCTCTTAAGCTACATCTCTTTTTATATTTTGAGATATAGGATTAAAAATATACCTTTGCCAGATTTGTAATTCTGTTCCAGATTCTTTGAGAAGAAACCTGCAATAAAATGATTTTAATTGTATAGCAAAATGTTACTCGTGTTAATGCTAAAAGTTACTCATATCATAAATATTATTATTATTCTCACTCTTATTTTCTCTTTCCATCTCTACAATAGAATTCTTTAGTAGGATTATGAAGATACTGGGTGAGTAATTTGGTTATTTTGTATTGATGTGCAAATTAGTCATTCAATTCACGCATTCATTTTAAAGGCTTTCATATGTACTAAGCTAAAAAGAACGCAACTGACAGTTTTAACAAAATAATTACATTAATTCTACACTCTGCTGCGAGAAAAGGGTCATCAAAAATAGAATCCTAAGAAAATTCATAAAAAGCAATACAATACTGGACTATTAATGGGGCTAGGATGTAATATGGTTGCATCATCTATATGATTACAAGTGTTTTCTGCAAATGTCTCATGGATTTCTGCCAGGATGGTTGGTCTTGCTTATGAGAAGTAAAATAGTATTATTTTTACTTTGTCTACTGCAATGTGGACAAAAGGGGCAAATAGAAATGGATCAGTCAGGATAGGCTAGGTTATGCTGCGATAACAAGCAACCTCAACATCCCAGTACAGTTTACTTCTTTACGTGTCCTAAATCATCAGGGGGCTCAGCTCATTGTAGTCACTTAGGTGGCCAAGCTGGTGGAGCACCTACTATCTTGAACATTACCAGAAGGAAAGAGAGCTTTTGAGAGTGAGAATTGAATGCTCTGGGCCAGAAGTAGCCCCCATCACTTTCTCTTGAAACTCACTGGCCAGCACTGGTCACGTGGCACCACTTGAATGCAAGGAGACCAGGAAGTGCCAAAGTGTCAACTCTCAGAGAGCGGGAGAGCCAGGGAAGTTTGGGGAACTACATTAGTGACCTCCACAAAGGTCTCACTCTGCCCCTCAGATGGTTTCCATATTTATCACTTCCTTTCCATTTTCATTTCCCTTTGTTTAACCTCATTTTGTCTTGTCTGCATCACTGCAAGAGCCTTTTTTTTTTCTTTTTTTTTTTTTGAGATGTAGTTTTGCTCTTGTCCCCAGGCTGGAGTGCAGTTGCGCTATCTTGGCTCACTGCAAGCTCCGCCTCCAGGGTCTAAGCAATTCTCCTGCCTCAGCCTCCCAAGTAGCTGGGATTACAGGCACCCACGACCAGGCCTGGCTAATTTTTGTATTTTTAGTAGAGATGAGGTTTCACCATGTTGGCCAGGCTGGTCTTGAATTCTTGACCTCAGGTGATCACCTGCCTCAGCCTCCCAAAGTGCTAGGATTACAGGTGTGAGCCACCTTGCCTGGCGGTGCAAGGGCCTTTTAACTGACCTCTAATCTCTTGCCTTCCTCACTCTCTCTCTCTCATTTATTAAATTAACTAATGTTATCAAGCCATTTGCCAAGTGCCCATCTGCCACCAGAATTATCTTTGTAAAACACAGATAGGATTATCGTATTAATTTTTTTAAAGAAGGGAATATGATATCTCTCAGCCCAAGGAATTAAACCATAGTGCTCAGCCCAATATTAGAGAATGAGGGGGGGCACTTTGACTTCAACCCACTTTTCTAGAGACACTCTGACCTCTTCTGAGAACCTCACTTCTAGTCCAGAGGTAGAAGCTGATGGTGCATGGCCATCCACAGCCAGCAGACGGGGATGTCCCACTTCCACACATAGAAACAGGGCTTGAAAAAAGTTTGAATGGGTTGACAAGACTAAAAAATCAGGAGAGCCTCCATAAAATATGTATTGTCCATTTTTCTTAAAGACAAAACAAAACACAACCCCACATCCAGAAGGTCTGGCAACATGACCCTGCATGGGGACTGGAGCTGAGTGCAGCTGTCCTCTTGCTGGGATCCATGGCAGCCAGAATGAACTGCCCCCTCTCCTGAAATTCTATGAGGGGACATCCTGTTGTGCATTGCACCACAATTAATGTGTCCCTGGATGGTTCTTTTACCAACTAGCTCCCTAAAGAAGGTAACCATTTTTATGCAGGACTTTTTTTTTTTTTTTAAATCTTCCTGTCTTCTCTCTCAGCAACCTGCATATAGCAGATGTTCACTAAATAATTAGGAATTATAATTGTAGGGAGCTGTAATTTGATTGGCCACTTGATGACTTCAGCTTATTCTTCCTACCTAACATGTATCATGTGCTTGCTTTGGTTAAGTTCACAAAAGTAGAGATACCACTGGAGAATTTCTGAGGTTCCCAAGATCCACTGCTCAGGGTTCTAGGAGACTACCTATAAATCATGTGACCTCTGAGCCTGCAATGGAGCTGCAGTTAATTTGGGGGAATGGTATAGATTTATTTTTCTAAAAAATCAAATTCTTGTGTTCCTTTCTTGAAAATATATAACTGTACAGGCCAAGGCAGCCATCTGGATGCATCTGGAGCCATATCCTAAAAATTCTGTAAAATAATTTTGTTTATGAACTAACAACTTATTAAAGGAAGTGAATGAACACCACCTAAGAATCCAGGATTTGAAGGTGTGCTATAGGAATTCAATAGGAAATATGTATATGAAATGTGGTTAAAGAGGAAATGACAAGCTTGGAGAGCCCTGAAAGGTTATCTGGATAAACAGAAAAGTACTGCAGGTAGGTCTGAGATGGACAGATTAAATCATAATCTTAAAAGAGCGAAAAATGTCATCCTAACCAAGGGCTGACCCAAATTCCACTCAATCTGGAGAGAAACATAATAGAGCACATGGATTAAGAGGGTTTGAGTTGAAGGTCAGGTTTTTAGTATGTCTGGGCTGGCAGGATGTAAAAGTCAGCCAGGCATAACAAACACGTTGCCCTGTTGAGTGAGCAGGCGGCGGAAGGGCCAAAGCATAAGGTGCAAGTGAGGCCCATGGGTCAGTTACTCACTTCTCTTCCCCTGGTCACGCTCCACTCCTGGCCATCTGCAATTGCATGCTCTGTCCCTAAGGGGAACCAGGCAAAAGTATAGGATGGATGAGCACAGATTCGCTAATAGGACGGGTAAAGCAACACAAAGATCCCTTCTACTCACAATGAATGAGAACATTTAACACTAATTTCAAACAGTTTATAGAAAAGCTATTTAGAGGAGGATGAGAATTTGAGTTTTACGGCAAGATAGCAACTCAAAACTATAAGGTACTTACTTCATGAAGGCTCTCATTGTTTGTCTGGACTCATGTAATAGTCTCCCATTTTCTCTCTCTCTCTATCTCTCTCTCTGTCTCTCTCTCTCTATATATATATAAATATATACAATGTTTATTCTTAAAGTATAGCTCCCTCCTCCCCTACTTCTCTTTCTCCCTCTCCCTTCCTCCTTTCTTCCTCCTCCATTTTCCTCCCTTCCTTCCAATGCATCTTCTCTCCTTACTCTAAAAATTTATTAAGCACCTGCATTAGGCTGGGGAATGTGCACACAATTGAACTTATAAACATAACTTCAACTGTGATTCTGCCTTCCTGCACTTCATTCACATCCTATCTGGGAAAACAGACATGCAAATGCTCAAGCACAAGGTGATATGTCAATATTTCTTCTTGGTTAATAATTTTCACTGTCTCCCCACATCTCCAGAGAGTACACATCATCTCCCTTCACATGAAAGCCCTTCACGACTCTGCTCTAAGCCCACTTTCAGGTTTTAGCTCCCAATATTCTTCTGGGTGTAACCTCACACTCCAGCTGCCCACTGCACGTCATTTCACACTCACACCTGGCTTTTGCTCATGATTTGTTCTGCTTTCTGAAATGACCCCTTAGCTCCCCCTCCTTCTATTTCCCTCTGTCATGATCCTACCCTTCTTTCAAAGCTCAGCTCTTCTTTCTGGGCAGCCTCTTCCGCTCCCATTTACACAAAGTAGGTATAATGAAGTGATGCCCTGGTTATGGTACACACAATAGTGCCCCCTTATCTTGTGGTTTTTCTTTCCTTGGTTTCAGTAACCTGTGGTCTGAAAAGATTACAGTATTTTGAGAGAGGGAGTGAGAGACCACATTCATATAACTTTTATTACAATATATTGTTATAATAGTACTATGTTATAGAAGAATTGTTATTTATTTATTTTTGAGACCAAGGGCTCACTCTGTGGCCTAGGCTGGAGTGCAGTGGTGTGATCATGGCTCACTGCAGCCTCGACCTCCTGGGATCAAGCGATCCTCCCACTTCAGCCTCCCAAGTAGCTGGGACTACAGGTGCATGCCACCATGCCTGGCTAATTTTTTAAATTTTTGGTTGAGATGGGGTCTCACTATGTTGGCCAGGCTGGTCTCCAACTCCTGGCCTCAAGCAATCTTCCCACCTTAGCCTCCCAAAGTCCTGGGATTACAGGCATGGGCCACTGCACTCGGCCAAAAATTGTTGTTGTCGTTAACCCCTTACTATGCCTAATTTATAAGTTAAACTTTATAGGTATGTATAAATAGGAAAAAGCATAGTATATAGAGGGTTCAGTACTATCTGCAGCTTCAGGTAACCACTGGGGGTGTTGGAACATGTGCCCCCTCAGAAAAGCAGCAACTACTCTATGTCTTTTATATTAATAGTTGTTAGCCAACATTAGAACACTATTGTCCTAGTTCAGACCATGCTGAAACTCCAGGGCTGCAAAAACACTTTTTGGATTATGAACCCCTTTGAGAATCTGATAAAAAAAATGTACCCTTTACCGAGAGATGTGTTTATACTTATAAATTTAACATAATTTCTCAGGGAATTTCAGACCCTTCTAAAGTTCATCCAGAGACACCTATCCACCTGATGACTGACAGCATCTGCGGGGGACCAGGCTACAGGTCCGGGTGAAGGGCATCTGTCCCTGAAACATATGGCCCTTCCTGGCATCCATTGATGGGGAGAGGTAGGTCTTCTGACGGAGATTCAGAATCTGGAAGGTGGGCCACGGTGGTTGAGGGAACTCTGGCCACTTGTTGGTTTTTATTCTCTTCAGTCAGGTCTTAAGAATTCTTATCTAGCCTCTGGACCTCCCAGGTGAGAAGAGTTAAAGCCTCTCTGCCCCATGGAGGTTCATTCTGAGTGAGCTAAAGGTGCAAGCCATATTATCTGATGGGAGGTTACCCTCTGAGCCGGCTTAAAGTCATGTTTAAATAGTCTAGCCTAGTCTCATTCTGTTATGGGCCTTCAGATCAGACACTATAGTGCATTGCTGAAACAAGATGCATAGAGGATGTCTGAGAATTAGGTAGACATCTCTTCATGCTTTGTTTATCTTATACAGAAATATGATTTTAAATAGTAATTTTGGAAAGAGCTATTGGTGTTCTGTGAGTCCCACTCTCTGAAGGAGTAGGGACTCTTTCCCCTTCATTTCATACCAAGAAAAGGAGGCTTCCATGGAGCTGGTTTATGTCCCTGCAGTAGGGAGTCACATCAGACCTGTGTTGGCCTCTTGTTGGAAAATGCCACAGGTAAAAAGACAGGCTGGTTAGCTGCTCTAACAGGGAGGCTATGGAGAGATTGTGGCCCTGGTGGCTGGCACTTGAGGCTTGCATGAGAATTTCCTCGGGGCTGGATGTGGGTCACATGAGTGACAAAACCCTAGCATGGCCCACCTGAGATTGTGTCTGAGAGAGTCCCGTGCAGAGGTGAATATATCTCAGCATGCAGAATTTAGAGGTAGGGCATCACCCACATTAAAGGATCTGTATTTGAGAGGCCAGGATTGGGAGGTTTCCAAAAACCACAATACCATCCCCCAGAAAGAGTTATCTGTAAATATCTCCAAGTCCAGCGAGCGTGAAGCCAGCCAACAGTAGTTAGTGCCCATCAGTAGGAACCATCCCTGCTTTCTTTTCCTCTGAAAGAGTCAGAAACTAAAGATAGAGGAGGAGGAGCTGAAACTGTAGGTGGGGAACAAAGAGAGATTCCCTTTCCCAGTTACAGGCTTTCTGCTTACAATTTGGTTGACATGTAGGACGTGGGAGGTGAAGGGGTCTGAAACCTCAAATCAAATTGGAGTTTTGTTTTGTTTTTATGAGGCAGGGTCTCCCTTTGTCACCAGATTGAGGTGCAGTGGTGTGATCATGGCTCACTCCAGCCTCAAAATCCCAAGCTCAAGTGATTTTCCTGCCTCAGCTCCTCTAGTACCTGCATGCACCACCACATCCAACTAATTTTTTAATTTTTTTAGAGATGGAGTCTCACTATGTTGCCCAGGGTGGTCTCAAACTCCTGGGCTCAAGCCATCCTCCTGCCTTAGCCCTCCAAAGTGCTGGGATTACAGGTGTGAGCCATTGCGCCTGGCCCCAAGTTGGAGTTTTGACTATTACCTGGGTTTGTATGTTCTACTTATTAAAGCAAAGTAGTGTTTATATTACCTAGCAGTAGCCTGGGATGTTACAGGACTTCCTTGAGTCGTCATTTGGGGGTAAGGGAAGAACCAGCCCTAATGAATAAGTTGAAGGCCACAGTGAGTTGAACAAGTCATGTAGTGATTGCACTAACCTCAGAGGAACTGAGCCTTGCTTTGTTTTTTTCCTAAGAGAGCAGAAGGGTTCTTTTGCAGCAGACACATAAGAACTACTGGGTTAAATGCACTGTATTTTCTTCTGTGCCTTTCCTCCTTTTCTCTCTGGTGTTGTCTTTGTGAGTCTAGGACCTTTGTTGAGGAGAGGGGTAAGTTTCTCTTTCTTTGGAAATGTTCATTCAGTGTTCAGCACATATTTATTGACTGTGCACTGCAGAGGCTATCAAGCCTCAGGGTACAGAGGGATCACCAAGGGTGCTTGTAAAAATGCTGATTCCAGGGCCCCACCTATGCAGATTTTGATTACATACCCTGTAGTGGGCTGAGGAATTGGCAGCCTTTAAACAAGCTTCTGGTGCAGGGGTCCTTGGTCCAACCGTGAGTAGTGCTGGTCTCTACTGGTTTCCTGGCACTGTGCTGGGTGCCTAAATATCACAAGAAATCAGGCATATTTCTTACCCTCAAAAATCTAACAGTTTGGTGGCATATGTAGCTGGCCTGTAAATTATCAACGTGTTTGAGCATGTGTTTCTTTGGAAGTATTTACAAACCATGAGACAGCAATAGGGTTAGTGTGGGAAGAGAGAGAAAAAAACCCTTGTAAGTGCCAAGCAAAAAACGTTTCCTACTAGTGAGACAGTCAGGCTGCGAAGAAAGGGAAAATGAAGGGCGAAGTCTTTAAGAGGCTCACCACAGTGAAAGAGTGACTAGTAATTTGAGGATTCCTTTGCCAGCATTCTGCCAAATGTATGAGAATTAGAGATGTCAGGGTCCTTGGAACTCATCAAACCCAATTTTACCCTTGAGAAATAAAGAAAATGAGACCCAGAGACCCTGAATGATTTGCTCAAGTGCACACAGAGAAGAAGGTAGGATTGTTTATCTGATACATTTTGAATATATGTTGAACCAATAATCACTTATGCCAAGGTGGGTCATTTATTGGCTTAGAATTCTGGAGGCAGTTCTGTACCTAATAGTTAAAATCCCTGTAAATATATGATTCAATGAGGAATATAATTAGAAAGGCCTCCAAAAACTTCTTTTTAAATAACCATTTTGTCTAAGATAAAACAAGTAAGTGAAAAGAAACCCCCATGGTAATGTATTATGTCTTAGCTTTTGACCATAAATTATTAAAACTGAAAAATATCTTTGGCACAAAAACTGAGTTGTGAATACATCTTCATTTGTTCAGGCACCATGTATTTATTGAGAGCCTACTATGTTCCAGGCAACCAGTGATGACTTCCAAGCCAACGTGGACTATGAAAGAGGGATCCACTTTAGAAAGGACACAGCTCCCTCTGGGTGTGTGCTGGCTTTTTACAAGCCATCGGCGAGTTCCCATCATGTTGGCAGCCTCTGTGCAGGCTTAGCTGACTGGGGAGTCAGTTTTACATGCCACTGAGCTAGGGTGTTCTCTGAGAGATACTGACCCTCCAATGGCAAGGCCAGGTTAAGCAGCTCAGCGACACTTACTTCCTTGTAGCATAAAGGATAACTTACTGCGGAGGGGGTGGGATTTGAGAAAAAGAAATTCCTGCTCTGGAATAAAGCACCTGGCTTATCGTGAGAAGGAAGGTGAGCTCCTGATTCTTGCCTTGGGAAGAACATCAGAGTCTTCCCTCTCAGGCTGAGACAATCCCATGTCACTGGGAAGCTTTTGTTAATCTCAGGCTATGTTTCTGATTTTGCCCCTCACTTTTCAAGTGAAAGACTTGAAAGAGAATGGATATTCAAAAAGACTCACCTCCACATGAGTTTATTTCTCTTTTATTATTAGGTGGTTAACAAAATCAAGTTCTATTCTGAAACTAATAATTGTAACATTTCATCTTCCTCCAGCAACAGCAAAGTGCAGCAATAGGATGAAGTGGCCTGTTGCCTTGTCTTACAAATAAATACTTTAAAAGTCTGAAGATCCATTTAGGAAGGGAACTAGGAAACCTAAAGTCTTTCACAGGAGACAATACACAGAGGACTGTGAGCTACACCAACTTAGGGGCTCCCAAGACATAAGTCTTATATGGAACATAGCACAAAGAACTTGGCAAGCATGGGGACTGCTGGGTATCCCCAGAGCTGCTTGACTCCACATTGTGGTGGTGAGACTCACTCACACTGCAATCAGTGGGTACTGGGTGAAAACTCAGGGGGCTCAGGGGCAAGCTAGGTTCCTAGGATATTTCTCAGCCACACTGCCTGAGGTCCAAACCCTTTACTGTCAGGTATTCGCATGTGGGTCCCTGGATATGTTGGGGACGAGTGTCACATGAAACTCTGAATAAGATCACTTTGTTAGTGTTAGAGTTAAAAAAGGAAATCAAAACACTAAGTCCCTGCCAGTGTTCAGAGGCTCCCTGGAAGCAAAATAAATTCAAATCTGTCAGCCCGGTGACCCAAATGGTATGGTTTGGGCATTTAAAACAGGAATGCTGAAAAGATAGCAAGTTGAATATTGAACCCTGTCAATAGACTGAGGCATGCTATTTCTGAGATTTCTACTGCCATTACTACTGTTACTATTCTTATTCCTGGTCTGACTGTGACCACTCTCATTGCTGTTACTCCTACTGCTACCAATATTACTACCAGGACACAGTGCTAAATCGAACTTAAACTCAAGGAAGGGCCTCCTCAAGCTGCTCCCAACCAACTTCTCTCATCTTAACTGGCAGAATTTTTCTCACAGGAGAAGTATATCAAAAAGAAAAACCATTTAATTTGGGGACAAATTATGTAACTAAATCTTAGATCTTTTGTCTATATAATTAGAAAAAATTCGTCACTCCACATGGGTGTTATAAAGCCAAAGTAAAGTTGTGCATGTAAAGTCCTAGGTCCGTGTCACCCATGAAGTCGAAACACTGAACGTGTTCATTCTTTCCTTTTCTTTCTCCCCAACCTACTGCCATTCTTGCTACTGGAGACTCCAACCAGGACTTAAGGGAGAGATCCATGGGATAAGTGGGAGAGTTTGAAGGAGAAAGGGGAACGGAATAAAGAGGATTAAAGCAGAGCTGCCCTGCTCTAGTAGCTATGATGAGGGGCCACTCAGATAGTAAGGCTGCCTGCCGGAGGATGGAGGAGAGTGGGAACTGACCATAAACCAGTGGCCATTTATTTTTCTAACAATACAGATTTACTGGCCCCAAAACACAAACTAAACTAATGCAATCAAAATGTTTATGGATCATTCATTGAGTACCTATTATGTGTCACACTTAATACACCTCCTCTAACCCTTGCAAAAACCCCTGGGGCTTCATTTGCACATATGACTTAAGGGACTTGTGTTAATGACCAGCTGCAAGCCAAGCCAGGAAAATCCTTCCTGCAGTGACCCTCGAGTATGGATACTTCCCTGGAAAAATTAACACTGTAAATGTTAAGGAGATGTTTAAAAGTGAAAAGAAGATTCTCTCCTAGGTTTGATAGAATTAGAGTAGCAAGGCTTTCTCAAAAATCCTAACCTATACATAGCTGTACATAGCAGCCATCCCCTACTCAACAACAAATGGGAAGCACAAACTTTTCTTTCTATGCTATAAAGCATGATACTAAAACTGACAGCACCATAAATCTCAAGTCACGGAAACGCTGTGAAATGTTACGTGTAACAGTGCAGTGTTACAGGTAAGACCACAGAGGTTGAAGTTTTGCTATGTTTTGATTTTGATCACCTGAAGACCATCTTTCAGAAGTTCTTTACTGTCACGGTGCCATGACTAAGAGGTTTTTTGTTTTTTTTTTAAGTTATCTACTTTAAAGTTCAGAAGAGTAATTACCTCAGTTGGGCTTAAGCAGGTACATTTCTAAAGAACTAGGAACAATTCTTTTTTTATTCAGCGCTTTAGATCTCTTTAATGCCTTTGCTAGAGTTTACTTCATGTATCCTTTAGAATCAAAGTGTGATTAATTTCGGTTCCAACAAAAAATAAGTTTTTGTAAATGTAAGAATAAATGTTTTATGTTTCTACTGTGGCATGGAATGTTCTTATGAATTCTATAACTTGCCAACTGGACTCAGAAACAGCAATAGCCTTACAAAACATGATTATTAGGAACATAAGAGTGACAAAACAGAAAAGCAAACAAATACAAATGTTTGTTTCATGCTCTTCCTTACCACTCCCAGCAAAAATGCCCTCTCATCAAAATGCCCTAAACCAACTCAATGCTTTTTAGAATCTTTAGCTCACTCACATAAGGTCTTTTACCCTTACATCAAAGAAATACTGAAGCTTGCTTCAACCAAGGCCCATGCCTAGCTGGGAGGAGTTGCCTGAAGATCATATTAATGACAATTTTCAAAAGAAATAGGGGATGATCTGCTTGCTCAATTACAGCAAATGAATTCCTCCTGTTGGAATTACTGCTGAATTGTAAATCTCTTCAAGAAAGGCCAGTCAACCAACTGTGCTGGACTCCCACACGCCGGGAGTGTTGTGATTCAAAGTGCAGCCAGTAGGAACTGGGTGAGGAAGCCAGGGACCTGACCTGCAGGCAGAAGTACAGTCACAGTTCCCAAACGCAAATGTCTGCAAATCATCGTCACACACAATAGAACAATCGAAGCTGCACGCAGAGCATCACAGAATCTCATGTGTGCATAGCATCACAGAATCTCAAAGCAGAAGAAGTTGGGGGCTCTCTGGACTAAACTTCCTTTAGATGGTAGGGAATTCTCCCATAGGGTCCCTGACAGCAAACATCCGGCATCTTTTTCACAATCTCCATTGGCAGGGAAGCTCAGCATTTATGAAGACGCTGATTTTATCATTAGCTCTGACGCTAAGATAATTTTCTTGAAAAACGGAAAAATTTACCTTTCTGTAAGTGTTCAAATTCTGTTTCTGTAGCAATATCTGAAAAGTCATTGTTGACATTTCTTCTAATATATTTAGGGTTAATTAACACAAAGGCTAGGTATTCGTCAGATTGTCCTGATAAGATTTGGTTTTCAGACCCCTCCGTTTAACTGCTATTACCCTCTAGGTTCACTCTGGTTCAAAAATGTTAAGGGGATGGACGGGGAAGGAATGGACTTAGACCCTGATTTATTTATTCACTAAATAAATACTCGAATGGCTACTGTGTTCCAGGCACTATTGTAGGAATAAAGAAAAAGAAAACAGATAATAATTTGCAACCTCAGGGAACTTACATTGTAGTCTGGGGGAGACAGATAAGAAACAAAATATGTAAAGATAGAGTAAGCTAGATGGGAATAATTGCCAAGGAGAAAAATCAAGCAGAGAAGAGAAAAAGAGGGTGTTGGGGGTATTGGAATTTTAGGTAAGGCAGCAAGGAAGGTCTCATTAAATAAGTGAGGGAATAAGACAAGTGGTGAAGAACCCTTGAGGCAGAGGCAATGGTGCAAGGCCTGAGGTGTGGTTGGGTTGATGGGTCTGGGGATCAGGAGGAGGGAAGTGAGGCTGGAGAGTGTGGGTCAAGAGGGAATGGAGTCGGGGATGGGGCTGGAAAGATAAGGGAAACCAGAAGGGGCAGAAACTTGTAAACCATGGAAAGAACTTTCGGTTTTCTCTGAGTGAGGTGGATTCTCCACTCCTCTGTTTGCTGAGTGGATTTTCAATATTGCTGCGTTCTCTGGGCTCTCACATAGTACAGCAGTCCCCCCTTATCTGTACTTTCAATTACCCGTGGTCAGCAGTGGTCAGAAAATATTAAATGGAAAATTCCAGAAATAAACCACTTACAAACTTTAAATTGCATGCCATTCCGAGTAGCGTGATGAAATCTCACACCGTCCCACTCTGTCCCCTGCGGGAAGTGAAGCAACCCTTTGTCCAGCAGATCCACATTGTACCCACTCCCCACCTGTTAGTCACTCAGCAATCTTAGTTGTCAGACTGACTGTTGCAGTATCGCAGTGCTTGTGTTCAAGTAACCCTTACTTTACTTAATAGTGGCCTCGAAGTGCAAGAGTAGTGATGCTGGCCATTCACATTTGCCAAAGAGAAGCAGT
This sequence comes from Homo sapiens, assembly GCF_000001405.40. Taxonomy (NCBI): domain Eukaryota; kingdom Metazoa; phylum Chordata; class Mammalia; order Primates; family Hominidae; genus Homo; species Homo sapiens. Next base: position 39,312,647 of record NC_000007.14, on the reverse strand, counting down.
GAAGTGCTCACTTGAAGTGAAAAGGTGAAAGTTCTCAACTTAATAAGGGAAAACATAGTACATAGAGGGTTTGATGCTACTTGCGGTTTCAGGCAGCTAGGGGTCTTGGAATGTGTTCCCCACAGATAAAGGGGGAACTCCTGTAGTGGCTTTACTGGTTAGGTGACTGCTTGGCTTTGTGCAAAATACTTAGGTCACGTTTTCTCTCGAAGCTTTATTGAGCTTGCACCACTGTCTTCTGGCACTGAATGTTTCTGTGAAAAAGCTGGAGACCAGCTTACTATGGGTACTTTCTAGACAGCTTGCTTTTGACACCTGCATGCCTGAATAACTAACCTTTAAGTTCAGTTAACAGTACCAAAACATGCCTTATAGCAAAGATTCACTATTAATTTTTCCCAGAACTTATTTTGTCATGCTGATTCAGTCCTTTCTTCATTTCCAGGTGTTTTTTTTTTCTTTTTTCTACTACATCGTCCATTCTCTTTGGAAAATCAATTCCTTTATATTATGTTGGATCACCAATGTCTATCCTCCGTATCTTTTTCTTCTGTGAGTTGCTTTAATCTGCAATTCCTTTTCTTCTATTTTCACTGCATAGAAATATAGGGCTATTAATTCTGTTTTCAGCTATGTGTATTCTGTTCACTGATGTTTCTAATTTATTATTCCATTCTCTAATCATGTTATTCTGGTTCATAATGTGTTTCTGTAGCCCCTAATTCTTTCTTTAGAAGTTTCATTCAATGTTGCCATTACCTCTTTGAGGTCTTGTTTAATTAATTTTATGTTCTCTTTCATTCCTTTTGTAAGGAATTTTTTATGTTTTTAAAAACTTTCAGGATAAATTCTTCATTTGCCCTTTGCATACTTTGTCCCTTTATTTTACAACTTGTCATTTGTGTCTCTATCTATCACAGCCTTCGCCTGTGGCTTTATCTACAGCTATAGCCACTGCTCTCTCTCTATGTTTATACCTACACCTACATAGCTAGATCATTGAATTATTTCTGCCTGGTCTAATGCTGTAACATCATTTATCCACCCATCCACTAATTAACTAATTAATTCAACAAATACTTATTGACTACCTAGTAAGGGCCGGGCACTGTTTTGGATACTGAGACAAATCAGCGATAAAAACAGACAAAAATTCCTGCCAATGCGGAGCTTACGTTCTAGCGGAGGAAGACAGAAAGTAAATAATGAGCTTCATAAGTAGGTACACTATATAATGTGTAAAAAGGTGATCAGTGTGATGGGCAAGACTGTGGCAGGGTGAGGTGATGAGAAGTGCAATGGGTCACCACAGGAGAGTTTTGAGCAGAGGGGTGATATGACTTGGTGTTTGTTTTTTTTTTTAATTTTTTAGAACCTGGCTGCTTTTTGCCTGTATAACATGTACCCAATGTGACCACTCTGCATAGTGTGAATGGGTTCTCCTTGAACTTTTTTTTTCCTTATCAGGGATCCTTTGCCTCTCAGAGTTTCTGTTGAAGACTGGGGCTTTTCTTTGACTGAAAGAGTGAGGAGGAGGAGACAGCCACTTGGTAACCCACTCCCTGCTCTCCGGAAATATTGCTAAAAACTGCATGCCAGGATGACTCTATCCAACCGGGATGTGACTTGCTTCCCTGGAGGATCACCCTCCTAACTGTCCCCCCAATTCAGGATGAGTCGCTTTCACTGGAAACAAAGGAAGTCGGCTTGAGGTCGCCATTGTCCTGCTTCATGCCTCTTCCCTCCCTTCCCAAGCAGCTCTTCACCTCTGTCTTGGACACAGGATGGGGAAAGGCAGGCAGCCAGCGGGGCCCCTGCTCTGAGGCAAGGCAGGGGACTTCACCAGCACCCTGCCGCTGGGTCGCAGCCTCCCCTGGTGGCTCTTGGCTCTGGTGTGCCCTCTTGCCTTTCATTCTGCAAAATCCTTTCTTTTAGTTCTAGGTGATGACAATAGTTCTGCCTTCCTCCTGGCTAGGAGAACAAAACTAGTATGTTGTACTTACATCATGTAATGGTTATTTGTTAGCATCACAAAGTACACACTGATGCGTAATGGTGTTTTCTTAATTTTAAAAAGAATCTGTTTAAAGGGAATCAAATTTTCATTTTGATACTTAAACCAATGACAAATGTTTTTCACCAACACTTGAGGATTTGGATATCTATCACTGGTTGGGAAAATGAGGGTCTTTTATTAAAAAGTCTGTGCTTCTAGGGGACAATCTCCTTTGTGTTCCTGAGTCTCGTAAAATGAAAACTTAAACAGATATTTGTGTATAAATCAATAAGGACACTTATCCCTTCCACGCCTTATACATAAAGCTGTTATTTCCTAAGTGTGTATAACGTGTTGAAACTTCAGCTACTTTTCAACCTTGGAAAGTTATTTTTCAAAAAAATATTAGATTCAATGCACAGATCTGAAAGGCTTCCCATCCTTTACAAGATTTTTTTCTTTCTCTTTTTCCGCTCATTGTAAAGCACTGTGAAGTATTGCACTGTGGGGCTATATACTCTGGATTGCCCTAGATTCAGGGAATTCAGAGTTAAGGCTCCAATAGTAACCTTAACTTTGCCTTCTTGCGGGGTTACGGCAGGCTTTTGTTATGTGATCACATCATCCAAAAGAGCTAAATTCTCCACCGCTTATCTGCCATTCCACCTGCAAAACCCTCTTTGAAGTCGATGGAGCTCTGGGCACTGAGGGGCCAGACATAGTATAGGAGAATTAGGCCCTGTGCATTCAAAACTACAAAATGACACATATATGTGCATTTCTTATCTGCGAGAAAAGGTTTAAAAGGCCACAATTTAGCTACTTGTTGGTGCCTTCTGGAGGAGCTATAGAGAAAAAAGAGTGTGAGCTCTTCCATTTATGTAAGTCACATTCTATGTCATGTCACCAACTCGTATATAGTTGTTGGATAAAAGCCTCCATTGTACAGGAAAGGTAACCTTGTAAAAATGACAAGCGTAGGCTTTCTTCATGTTTTATGCAATTAAAATGTTAACCTTGACATTATACTAGCCCTTCAGTTTTCTTTAAATGCCCTTCAGTTTGTGAACCTGAGGAAAAAAAATTTTTTTTAAAGGTGTGGAGTTTCTAGAGCTAGCAATCTCCTTCTTAACCATGTCTTCTTTATGGACAGCCATGGGGATCGGCTGTCCCAGCCAGGAGCCATTGCCATTATTTGAGGGTTTCCTTCACCATCTCTACTCCTTCATTTCTTCCAGGAAGTTTCTTTTCCATCCTACCCTGCCTCTTCTCTACTGAATGATTAGAAGGTAGAAGAGGGAAGAGAGAGGACAGAGAGCAAATGTTTTTCCATCCACCTCAGTCTACCCAGCGTGACAATGGTAGGTAGGATTCCTTGCACCATCTCCTCCCTTGTGGAGGCTCCGGCGTTGCTTCTTAAAGAAAATTCCTTGGACCCTCTCCAAGTCCTGAGTTTCCTCAAAGGCAGTTGAGTCTCTTTTCGTTCTCGCTATATTCTGTGCCCGACTCCCTCCCCCTCGTTCTGATTTATAACCAGGAGTGCCTTATTTTTATCTACATGGGGGGCAAACAAACAGGAGGGTGGGTGACACAGAAGAAGACTTTGAATGGCCGCTTGCGAGCAGTAACATCTGTGTAGAAAACCTCATAAAGGTGGCGTGTGTCTCTGCGTGTGGCTGCGCCACAGGACACTGAGGGAGAAGTTCTGAGATGCTGCTTTCCAAAATGGCCATCAGAACCCTGGGCTGACGTGAAAAGTGGGTAGGAAGGTAGGCGGATCAATTCCTGGCACCCGCAGGGGGAAGGAAGTGAGTTAGTGATGGGCAGTCAGATGATGTTTCCTGGGATGGGGTGGGGTACATGGCACAGGGCGCCCACTTCCTGCCGTGCCTCAGCCCTGGCTTAGTGGAGCAGAATACACCTTTTTTGGCTGCCCCCAGGAGCAATGGCCTCCAGTCTGAGCTGGATGACGTTCTACTTCTTCTGCCTGGTATGAGAGAGGGGACAGGAAGAATGGAAACCCTAAATCCTATTGTTTTTGAGAATAATGTTCTGATATTCCAGTTGGAATTCTGAGGTTATTTTTACCTAGAGACATGAGCTCAATTCTTACTCACATCTGTAGTCCAGGACCAACTTTCCGTGGGTTCTAGATTAGGAAGTGTGTAGGGCCAGAGCTGACAATCTCCTTTTTACCATGAAGCTGATGAAGCTTACGTCCCAGGGCCCCTCATGGGAAGCTTACGCACCTGGGGGAGGCCCTCACACCATGTCCTCCTGATCACACGTTTCACTGAGATATTTAACTGCAGGTGGCAGCCTCTGTTGTCTTTTTCCACATTGATCCCCATCCGTGCCCCCACCCCAACACTGCCCTAGGTTGGGGGTACTTGGAATGGTTGTGGGCATTTGTGAGGAACTTGAGTTGGGGATATATTCAGCAATGGTTGTCAAGACTGAGATGTCTTTACGTGGTTTGCAGTTCCTTCTATGAATAGCTGAGTTACTGTGAAATATCTTGGTGTAGAAAGTCCTTCTACCCCTTTGGGACATGGATATGCACTGCCATAGGACTTTGTTCGGTGGCACCTGGCACTGGAAGTAGGTGGACAGTGGAGGCAACAGTTGATATATGCAAAGCCAGAAGCTAGTCTATGAAATATTCTTCTAAATCTTACAACTCTTTTTTTTTTTTTTGAAACGGAATCTTGCTCTGTCACTCAGGCTGGAGTGCAGTGGCGCGATCTCTGCTCACTGCAACCTCCATCTCCTGGGTTCAAGGGATTCTCCTGCCTCAGCCTCTCTGAGTAGCTGGGACTACATGCCTGGCTAATTTTTGTATTTTTAGTAGAGACGGGGTTTTGCCATGTTGACCATGCTGGTCTTGAACTACTGACCCGCCTACCTTGGCCTCCCAAAATGCTGGGATTACAGGTGGGAGTCACCATGCCTGGTCTAAATCTTGTAACTTTTATAATGAAAGTAACTTAATTGAGGACTTTTTTTGTTTGACAATAATCCTAAAACTTTACTTACCAATAACACATGAAGCTCTAAGAAACTTTTGTAAGAATGAATAATTTTTCAAAAAAAGATTAATCATGACAGAGGAAGTATAAAATTATCTTCAATCATCTCTATGGAAATTGAGATTGCACAATTTTTGTCATCTGAAGAGGCAGTAAAAGGTATTAACCAAAAAACTTAGGAAATATTATCGAGTATGATAGATTATATTTGTGAATTTTGTGATGTTTATGGCCTTTCTAACTTTTACATTTGTAATTTGTTGTGATTTTTTTCTTATTCTAAAAAATATTAACTTTAATACATAATTTTGTATTCTTAATTTGGTACTCTTTTTCTTAAAGAGAGTTCCGAAAATTATACATGCTTCATGATCTACAATCCCAAAGCTGCCATTGTAGAAAGAATATTCTGACCTATTAAATATTGACCTAGCAAAAAGATGTTTTAAGAGGTGGTGGCTGGCCAACAATTATTTTAAATGTGTAACAGTCACTGCAGAAACAGTCTTCTGAGGGCATTTTATAATGCAAATCAACATCTCTCAAGCCATCATTTGGTGGGTCTCTTGGACATCTGAACAATCCAATGTCCTCAAACACTTCAGTGGAGTGACATCCCCTGCACCCCTTCTAATGGATCCCTTCAAAATTCTGATCCTAATTCAGAGCTGAAAGATTGCAATAGTAAAGCCCATTACAAACAGGAGCAAAGAAATCAAGAAACAATCTTAATCCTAACGTGGATGGAAACAGGGTCCTCTGGCAGAGTAAATGGAAAGCAACAACTCCAGTTTGGCCAGAGGTCTCCTATCCAAGGATTAGTATATAAAATCATGCTCCAGACATGCTGAAAGCGTATGCAAATAGCATATCTTTTATTTGGAAAGAAAGTCCTTAGGCTTTTGGTATTCTGCAGAAATCCTACATTCCTGGCCACTTTTTCTGAATTTAGCTAGGTATCTAGATTAGGTAGTGACCCCAAAAGTGAGACTAGACCTAAAAACTCGAAGGCAATAATTACAATGATGACAGAGTGTGGTTAATACATTCTAGAAAGTAGAACCAGGCAGAAGAGCCCCAACTGGCACCTTGTTAGTGATGTAATAGTGGTAGGATGGCGTAGCTGGGAGAGCATGGGTTTTGGAGATCTATGTTTAAATCTGACCCTGGCTATGTTACTTAACCTCCTGAACCTCGGTTTCCTCATCCATAAAGCAAGCTTAATGATACCCACCTGCAAGAATGCTAGGACGAATGAATGCAATGCTGTGGGTAAAGTGTCTGGATACCAGAAGATATTCAATGAGTGATAGCTATTATTTCCTTTGTGAGTTTATGCCACCACGGCTGTTGGAAGGTCAAATTCTTAGACTCATCCATAATAGCTGCTTTTATAAGCAAGCGTGACTTTATTTTCAACAATGCTAATTTATTGGCTACTGACAGGCTGGCAGTTCTTGATTTAATGTGTTGGGTTCTCTTGATTTGTGAACCTGGTTTCTATTTATTAGAAGCTGGGAAATTTTAGACATTGCTCATGGATATAGGATTTCACAGACTAAATTTGCAAATGGAATGTTTCTCTCTACAGTTAAGTAACTATAGATTTTTTTTTTAAAGGGAAAGAAAAGGAAATTGTAAGAAGGGCTATTCTGGAAGGAAAAGAAATTGAGTCATATTTCAGAGTGGTTAAAGGATTTACTATTCTACTCCAACTTAGAAGTTTTCTAAGAGTAAATTTAGTTCATTTCTCTTTTTCTTTTACAAATATTCAGTGGAAATCACATACATGACAATTCAAAGTATCAGGCTTCAGGATGTTCTCTGCACATTGAAGAACATTAGCAAAGGCCTGTTTACCATCTTACATTTTCAGAGAGATATAATATTGTCAATTTAAGCCAACTGTTTTCCTTCAGGTCGTACTGTATGTTCTCATTGGAATTGCACAGCAGGGGAAAAGCCTCTACAGAAGTCCTCCCATGCAATTATAATACCTGGAAACTTCAGAATTTTAACGCTGAGGACTATAACAGCAAATAACCACAAATACCAGGAAATGTGCAGACACTTGCTGCACATCTGTCTACACATCTTGATTGCGGCATGAATGCTTGTGAGTAGGCTAACTCCTCTTGGTCTTGTGATAATAAACCCAATATAAAGCTGGAGGGCCATTCTGACTTTTTAAAAAAAATACTGTTTAAGAGTTATAAGAAGGCATTTTTGAGTTACATACATTTTGATTTAATCACATTTTAGAAAACAACAAGATAGGAATTGTCATTGATTATACAGTAAGAAGTGCAAAATTAGAGACATTATTATTCCTAATTGTATGCCCCTGGGCAAGTTACTTGATTTAATTAAGCCTTAGCTTCTTCAAGAGTAAAATGAGGAAATGATACCTTCTTAAGTAAAGTGCCTGTGAAGATGAAATGAAATCATGTTTCTAAAGAGCCTATCTCAGCACTAGATGTCCAACAATGGTAATGATGATGATTTTAGCCTGTAAGTTACATATTGGCTTTTAGCATCACACATGTTAACTTGTGAATTTGTATAGTATACATAATTGCAGAAAGTTTGTTGTTTGTTTGTTTGAAAACAGGCTAAGAATTTAGCTGGGCAGGCATTAGCCTGAAGGTATGTGTTGCGTCTTCTAACATACCTTACTTAACTGAAAGACTTTTAACTAAATCATGCTCTGTATGAGTCCACTTTCTAGAATTTATTACCACACTCTGGTGGCTATGGTTAATCATCGCTCAGGGACTTTTAGCCTTAGGCTTACTTTTGGAGCCACTACCTAAGCTAAGTATCTTAATTCAGTAAAACTGTCCAGGAATTTAGACATTTTCTGCAAGATACCAAAAAATTTAGGGACTTCCTTTCCAAATAGAAAGGAATGCTGTGTGTGCGTACTCTCAGCTTGCATGGGGCATTATTTTTATTTTAATCTTTGGATGGAGGACTTCTGTTTAAGCCAGAGTTGATGGTTTCCATTTACTTTGCCAGCGAGCCCTATTTATGGGTTTCCATTGGAACTTGATTTAAGATTATTTCTTGATTTTTTTTCTCCTGTCTTTAAATTGGCTTTGTTTTACAGAATCTTCTAATTTGGGGTCAGGATTTTGGAGAGATCTTGTGATACACATACTTCTGTTATAGAGATTAGTGAGCAGAGGTTTGATAGGAGTTAGTCATGGTGAACCGTCTGAGGTTACCGAATTGTTCAGACGTCCAAGAGACACACCAAATGTTGGCTCAAGATATGTCGATTCGAATTCTCAAAAGCTCTCCAGAGACTGTTTCTGTAGTTTGTTTTCTCTTTCATGTCTTTGCTCATGTTTTCCTGTGATGCAACAGCCCCTTCGTTACTGATTGTGATTTCTTTATATATTAAAGGTACTTCACAGTCTACCATATGTGTTGCAGCTTTCTCAGTTTGTTTTTTATCTTTTCATTTCGGTGGGCTTTTAATATAAAGTTCTTTTACATTTTTACATATAAAATCATTGAAAATTTTCCTTTATGGATTTGTTTTGCTTTTAGTTCTAGAAACACCTAATCCCATTTGAAATGATATAAAAATCACTGAAAGTGTTGGTGCAAAGGGGTGACATTATCAGAACTGTGGTTCAGTGAATTAGTCTGATACCATATTTGGGATAGTTTGAAGTGGATTGATGTGGAAGACGGAGAAGGCTGAAGTTAATAATTTTGTTAAGAAATTATAAAGGTCTGAAGTAGGTGGTATTTCATGTATTATATTTCTTGACTTTGTTTTTTCCCTCTGAGAAGAATTAATAAGACAATTTCTTAGAATTTATTGAACTTCTTCCTCTCTTCTTTCCTTTCCTATAAATATATAGATTGCATGTCCATTCCTAAGTCTGCAGGCCATTGCTAGGTGTGCTGTGTGTATCATCACCTGTCATAGTTGGTACTAAAGCTTTGCTCCCACATTGACTGAAGGAAGGAAGTGAGCCTAGCCTCCAGAGCATCATTCCATCCCATCCAACCAGAGGATCACTTCTTTTTAATATTCCAACAGATCCAGGGAATAAGCATATTGTGAAAAATAGAGGACAATAAAAATTATAATCTGAGAATGTTGTGTTTCTACACATCCATATTAAAATAGTCAAGTAGAGGAATTAAAACATAAAGCAGGGCTGGGCGTGGTGTCTCACGCCTGTAATCCCAGCACTTTGGGAGCCTGAGGCAGGCAGATCACGAGGTCAGGAGATTGAGACCATCCTGGATAACATGGTGAAACCCCGTCTCTACTAAAAATACAAAAAATTAGCCAGGCGCGGCGGAGGGTGCCTATAGTCCCAGCTACTCAGGAGGCTAAGGCAGGAGAATGGCACGAGCCCGGGAGGCGGAGCTTGCAGTGAGTGCTACCGCACTCCAGCCTGGGTGACAGAGCGAGACTCCGTCTCAAAAAAAAACCAAAAAAACAAAAAACAAAACAAAAACATAAAGCAATACACTGTAGTGACAGCTATGTCTGTGCTACAATATCCAGTGCCTTTTCAAGCAGATGCAAAAGCAATGATTCTCCAAGTGGAATCCCCAGCCAACAGCATGAGCATCACTTTGGAACTTAGTAGAAATGTAAATTTTCAGGCCCCAGCCTGGAGCAACTGATATACTCTGGGTAGGACCCAGGAATCTGTGTTTTAAAAAGTCCTCCAAGTGATTCTGATGCACATTCAAATTTGACAACCACTGGACTGGATTAGACCTCATATCTAGGTCTCTGACGTTCAGTCACTCATCACTCAGTCATTGTTGTATGCCTACTGTGTGCTCAGTTCTACAAACACTTACTGTACTCTAATGGAACTGGTTGTATGATAGATGCTCAAGCGATGAAGAAAGGATGTGGTTACGCATATTGCTTATCTAAGAAGTAATTTTGATTCTACTCTAGTTTCCTGGCTCTCATTGATTGTTTCTTTCAAGTCAAGACAAATGTACTTATTGAAATTCTGTATGTCTTGTGCTGTGCTAACCACTGTAGAGAGTCCAAGCAATGATAAGACATAGCCTCTATCTTCAAGGATCTCATAGTTTCATTGAGACCAATCAAACATGCAGGGAATAAACAGCGCCAGGTTAGAATATAGATTCAACTACTGAATTCAGTGATACCAATGTGGAGTATTGAGTTTCTTCTTTTACACTCTATTAGTCTTCAAATGACTCTTACCCAAACATTTTATCTTTGGAACAAAATCCACAAGTGCATAGAGTGTGAGGGAAATAAATATCACCCCCCAACAGTGCATTTTTGGTATTAGATCCATCTATTATGATCTTTATTCCTGTGGTGGGGTAGATCCCCCCTGTTGTCCATTACCCTCTTTTTTAAGAGTCCTTAGGTTACCTTAGTTCAAAGCTTATTTGAACAAAACTTGTCTCATAACTTTTGAATTTGCATAGGAGAATGGGGTGTGAAATTGAGAAAATGTAAAAAATTTCAAAAGATGGAATAAGATGGTTTCTGAAAACTATAGACTGGAGAAATTGACTTCATTCTCATGCAAAACTCACAGCAACTGTATTAAATAAGCGGGTTGTAACTGCTTAAAGGGGGCAATGGCACAGAGCTGGCACATCTTATCCATGAACAAATAAAGAGGAAGAATTCTTTTTTTTTTTCCCCTGAGAAACATTAGCTTTGTAGACTTGGAGGAAACTATAGACAAATTACTACCATTATGTGGATTTAGGCAGAAAGTCAACAAAGTATGTCTGTGTGATTAAGTTGGAAAAATATAGGCTACTGGTGGCTCCATAAAATCCACAAATCACTGAGCATGCAAGTCTAGAGGACTTTTTAATGGGGCAGTGTCAGCCCAGATAGCTCTCTCTGATGCACTGCCTCAAAGATCTGTCCTCAGCCCTTTTCTATTTAACATTTCATTAGTGACTGGAATAAGGGCATAGAGGGACAGACTGTCAGGGCAATGACTGATGGAATAAGGGTCCAAAAAATTCATGACAGGGTGGAATGATGACACAAACCTGACCACATAAAGTTTAATGAAGGCACAGTTAGCAATCTTTGTGGTGGTTTCACACACACACACTCACACACCTGTGCCTCTGCAAGATTGCTAGTGTGTGATCTACGGGTAACAGCAGCACATGTTAAAAAGCCTTACAGGTTGTGGATGACAACGAGCTACAATGGATTCAACAACAGAATGATGCTGTTGGCCAGCGCTGATGTGATTGATAAAGGAACAGTGCCTGGAGGAAAGGCTGTAAAACCCCTCTGCACGGTGGACTGACAGATCCTACAGGGGAATATTGTGTTCAGTTCTGGATGCCATGATTTGCAAGGGCACTGGGAAGATCTCATCATTTCTTCCTGATGCTGGAAGACTCTGAAATAAACACAACCCAAACTTCTAGAAATGCATCAATTCTAGCTTTACAGGATAGCAAAGAAAAGGAGTCGAAAAACTATTAAATAGCCACTGAAAAACCACTTTTGAGCATCTGGATAGCCTTCTGGATAGCCATCATAGTGGACCAAAATATAAAAATCCTGAGAAGAAGAAAGGCAAAGTTACTCTATGGCATTTCCTCAAAACACAAATGGGATACAATTTTCCCTGTAAAATGAAAGACAGCATTTCAAGGAAAATAACTTTGCAAAAGTGGTAGTGAGTTTCCCGGTAAAGTTGTTAGAGGCTGAATTATGTCTCCTCTTGCCAAGTTTCTCTGTTGAAGTCCTAACCCCCAGGACTCTCAGAATATGACTGTGTTCAGAGATAGGATCTTTAAAGAGGACAGACATTAGGTTAAAATCAGGTCCTTAGGGTGGGCTCTAATCTGGTGTGACTGGTGTCCTGATAAGAAGAGGAAATTTAGACATGGACGTGGACAGAGGGAAGGTGATGTGACCTCTCAGGGAGAAGACAGCCATCTGCAAGCCAAGGAGAGAGGCCTGGGACAGATGCTTCCTCCATGGCCCTCAGAAGGAGCCACCCCTGCTGACACCTCGATTGCAGACTTTGCGTCTCCAGAACTGTCAGAAAATAAATTTCTGTTGTGTTAGCCACCCAGTCTGCGGTACTTTGTTACAGCAGCCCGAGCCAACTATGCCGAAGTTAAGTGAGGGCTGAAGAGGGTGGCTGTTGGCCAGCTCCAGCATTCGTCACTTGCCGTGAGGACTGGCCTGAGAGTTGTAAGTCCCTCCCCAGCACTTTGAAACACCTTCCTAAGGTCCCTATCACTCCTCTGCCCACTTTCCCTCCCTTCCTGGTCTTCGGGGATCTGGATACATCCTTGATTATCTGCATGGTTTCCATTCCACACAACTGAATTCTGGCTTCCACTTTAGTTCTAGTTATTTATCACAATGTTTAGTTTAGCCATGTAGAAGTTTTAAACTTTTATAAAGTCACGTTTGTTTACCTTTTTCTCTTGTAACATTTTTGTGAAGGACACAGTTTCCTATGCTTGGGTTTCAGGATTTCATCAGTGGCTGAAGGTGATTGGCACTGGAAAATACAGTATATGGTGGGTCCTCGTGGGCTTGGCCTGCCTTTGGGAGGGGAAGAGATGTGGCTCTGCAGTGGGAAGTAAGGCGGCCTAACTGGGACTGCTGGAAACAAAAACAGTGGGCTGGATGCTGAGAAGGAGTCTCTGCCTCCTGGCTGGGGGCATGAAACAACAGTGGCTGTTTGGCAGCAAAAAGCATGGCCTGAAGGAAGCTGCCTCGGGGCACATGCCAGCGTGCTAAGTTAATCAAGTTGTGGCTCATCACTTTTTCCCTGGCTGAGAATTCTCCCGAGCCTTTCCTGCCTGAGGGACCTTGACATCAGCAAAGGCCCTTTTGGAGTTGAATGAAGACCCACGTGCAGAAACAGCAAAAATGCCAGTGAGATGGGTAATCTAGGAGTGTTGTTTAGTTTCTAACCAAATGCTCCTTAAATCCGGTTTATTTAGTTCTCACGATTTTTAGATTTCAACATTCAATTATGAATGAAGCCCATATCAAACTTGAAACAACTCAAGCCCCTCATTACCTATTTACAAGTAGTTTTCTGCTGGGCAGGGAGGATTTTTTCATGGCCTGCTGTGAAATTGACACACTTCTAGCTGTTTCTGTTTTGTTTATTTCAGTGTCTTTCGGAAGTATCAAATGCTGTAGGCACAATTCAGGGAATTGGGCTTATTAATTATTTGAGTTCCCTCTCTAAGTGGACCCAAACAGATCTTTATGAAATAGATGAAATACACAGCAGTAGCCAAAAGGGTCAACAGATAAGACTGTCTGGTTATTCAAAAAAGATGAAGAAAAATATGTGAAGTAGTGATGAAAAATAAAACTGCAAGCATCTGCCTGGCCCGACTTCAAAAGCAGGTGAGGGTAGTTTAAATTTTTTAAAATTTAATTTAATTTTAATTTTTGTTTTATTTTATTTTACTTTAAGTTCCAGGATACATGTGCAGAACGTGCAGGTTTGTTACATAGGTTTACATGTGCCATGGTGGTTTGCTGCACCTATCAACCCATCATCTAGGTTTTAAGTCCCACATGCATTAGGTATTTGTCCTAATGCTCTCCCTCCCCTTACTCCCCACCCCCTAACAGGCCCTGGTGTGTGTTGTTCCCCTCCCTGTGTCCGTGTGTTCTCATTGTTCAACTCCCACTTACAAGTGAGAACATGTGGTGTTTGGTTTTCTGCTCCTGTGTTAGTTTGCTGAGGATGTTGGCTTCCAGCTTCATCCATGTCCCTGCAAAGGACATGATCTCATTCTTTTTTTATGGCATCATAGTATTCCACGGTGTATATGTACCACATTTTCTTTATCCAGTCTATCACTGATGGGCATTTGGGTTGGTTCCATGTCTTTGTTATTGTAAATAGTGCTGCTATAAACTTACATGTGCATGTGTCTTTATAGTAGAATAATTTATATTCCTTTGGGTATATACCCAGTAATGGGATTGCTGGGTAAAATGGTATTTCTGGTTCTAGATCCTTGAGGAATAGCCACACTGTCTTCCACAGTGGTTGAACTAATTTACATTCCCACCAACGGTGTAAAAGTGTTCCTATTTCTCCACAGCCTCACCAGCATTCTATTGTTTCTTGCCTTTTTTATTGCCATTCTGACTAGCATGAGATGGTATCTTGTGGTTTTGATTTGCATTTCTCTGATAATCAGTGATGTTGAGCTTTTTTTCATGTTTGTTGGCCACGTAAATGTCTTCTTTTGAGAAGTGTCTGTTCATATCCTTTGCCCACATTTTGATGGGGTTGATATTTTTCTTGTAAATTTGTTTAAGTTCTTTGTAAATTCTGGATATTAGACCTTTGTCAGATGGGTAGATTGCAAAAATTTTCTCCCATTCTGTGGGCTGCCTGTTCACTCTGATGCTAGTTTCTTTTGCTGTGCAGAAGCTCTCTAGTTTAGTTAGATCCCATTTGTCATTTTTGGCTTTTGTTGCAATTGCTTTTTGTGTTTTTGTCATGAAGTCTTTGCTCATGCCTACGTCCTTAATGGTATTGCCTAGGTTTTCTTCTAGGGTTTTTATGGTTTTGGGTTTTTTTGGATTTTGGATTTAAGTATTTAATCCACCTTGAGATAATTTTTGTATAAGATATAAGGAAGGGGTCCAGTTTCAGTTTTCTGCATATGGCTAGCTAGTTTTCCCAGCATCATTTACTGAATAGGAGATCCTTTCTCCATTGCTTGTTTTTGTCAGTTTGTCGAAGATCAGATGGTTGTCGACGTGTGGTGTTATTTCTGAGGTCTCTGTTTTGTTCCATTGATCTGTATGTCTGTTTTGGTACCAGTACCATGCTGTTTTGGTTACTGTAGCCTTGTAATATAGTTTGAAGTCAGGTAGTGTGATACCTGCAGCTTTGTTGAGGATAGTTTAATTTGACTACACTGAATCCCATCCCATACTGTCAGGGACATTTCACAGATGGCAGCCTAGCAGCTGTATTGTAGAAATATCCATCAAGACACATACTTTTATTTAAGACTGGACTTAAGAGGGGAGCAATATATGTCACAGTGGTCTTGCAAACTAATTCAGGCCATGATTATATATGTTAAAGCAATAGATTTCCGGTTTCCCTACTTTTTGGTTCAAGTAGTAGTCAGATAAGAGATTGGTCTGAGGCAACTATACACTTAACCAAGTTTTTCTTGTATTATAATAACGTGGCCCACGTCATCACTTGTTAAATGTGAGTTTCAAGTGATTTTTGTCTTATAGTGAAGGTAAATGCCAATAGGAAACCCGTGATGCTGATGGTATCATAGTACAAAGTCTCAGACTTCATACAGGAATGCTGAATTCAGTCCAGGAAAAAAATGTGCACGTATATGTGAATTCATGTGTGTGTGTGTGTGTGTGTGTGTGTGTGTGTGTGTGTGTATGTGTATGTGTGTTTGTAAACACCCCTATTAAAATAATTAGGCATAAACACTAAAGAATACAATTTAAAAAGCATTATTATTAGAGATTTTACTCTAATCATCAACTCTTCTTAATTACTGCTTAATTTAACTCTTTTGTCTCATAGGCACAAACAGACCTAGGCTTTCAAATATATTTTAGAATTAAAAGCTCTCCGGGCTGTACATATTGTTCTGATACCTTGGGGTTACAGAGCATGTTAATGTTAAAAACTCCTGTGGCTTTGAATAAATAAATGCACTGAGCTTTTATGAAGCAGTTAAACTCATTCATTCATTGATTCGTTCATTCATGCATTCAATGAGAGACATGGGCCAGGCACTGGAGAAACCATAGTGAACAAAACCAGGTGTAGAACCTATTGTCATAGAGCTAAGCGTCAAGAGGGGAAAACACGTTAAGCTAATAATCACATATAGGAATGTAAAGTTACATCTGTTCCCCTCTGGGGTGGCACTGGCAGGAGGGTGGCTTCCCTGAGGATGAGTTGGTGCCAATGAGGTGGGGAGGAAGGAGGTTCCAGGCAGAGGGAACACCACCAGCACAGACTGTGCAGTGGGAGGGAGTCAGGAGACCTGGGGAAGGAGGCCTTGAGGCTGTGTTTAGGGATTTTGGCTTTTATCCCAAGAGCTACAAGGGTACAAAATGCTAAAATTTGCATTTTGAGAAGATCACGCTGGTTGCAGCGTGGAAAACAGATTGGATGTGAGGAGAGGAAGAGGAGAAGGGATGGTAGCTTATTGAAATGCTATACATGGTAAATGTGAGTATTAGGGCTACAATTAGACTAAGATATTGTATCTTGTTCTCAATGATACTTAGTAGGGAAGGCAAAAATTCAGATTTAAAATTTGTTTGGTAGGGAAAACAGATTAATTAGTTTTAGAGTTCTCATAAATAATTAATTTTAGAGTTTCTGTAATTAATGAGCATCTAATAACTCTTCCATTTTCTCTTGTTCTCACAAAAGATAAAAACCCAGAGAATGTACAGCAGGAATCTATGTAGGAAGACTGGGCTCCACTCTGAAATTATTAACTAGAATACTATAAGCTTAATAGATATCTCTAAGTTTCAATTTCCTTAAATCTATGATGTGACTTTGCTCTCATAAAGCTATTACAGATGACATTTATGTGATAAATGCACTCCCATTAGGGTGCAAAGGTCTGATAACAGCACTAGCTCCTCATTAATTTCTGCTAAAGTGTGAAGGGCTGATAACAGGGAAATGCAGCTTTACAGAGGCAGGTACCAAGATTCCTCAGGTCTAGTCTAGTGTCTGGTACATGTTGTTGATATGAAATAAAACTGGGTTAATTCTCTCAAGTTACTTGTGTTTTGAAAGAATATGTTTAATTATATATTGGAAGAAATTTCTAGTGGATGAATTTTAGACAATTGTCTATGAAGTTTGTAGAAATCATTTTAAGTAGCATTGCCTTCTTGATATCAAGATATAACAACACACAGGACTACTCTATCTAAATACTAGGTTTGAGCTGCCACTCTTCTTTCCCATATCCAACTTCTTTTTTGGAGACGGAGTCTCACTTCTTCTCCTAGGCTGGAGTGTAATGGGGCAATCTTGGCTCACTGCAACCTCCACCTCCCAGGTTCAAGCGATTCTCCTGCCTCAGCCTCCCCAGTAGCTGGGATTATAGGCATGTGCCATCACGCCAGGCTAATTTTTGTATTTTTAGTAGAGACTGGGTTTCACCATGTTGGCCAGGCTGGTCTCAAACTCCTGACCTCAAGTGATCTGCCCGCCTCGGCCTATCAAAGTACTGGGATTACAGGCGTGAGCCACCGCACTGGGCCTCCCCATATCCAACTTCTTATTGTCACGTCACAATTCTCCCATGAGTCCCAAGAAAGCAGTTAGACTGATTTTCGTGTGTTGCTTACAGAACTCAATCACGCATACCCCCTAGGTTTTCATTTTAGGACTCTGATAACTGTGGAAAAGACAATTTGGACTAAATATTTTGAAAAAAAAAAAAGCAAGCAAGCAAGCATTTAAAACAATCTTGCTTAGGACTACCAGAATGCAAACTAAGAAATATAATTTTTTAACCCTAGAGTAGTTCATGGCATGACCGAAAAATGAGAATCTATTCATAATCTGTTTCTCTGAATCCATGAAGTATTGTGGAATTCCTGTTTCATTCGCCAAATGAAATGATCATTCCCCCAGGACCCGCCCCTGATTTCAATGCAGAGTGTCTTTCAACATAAGTCCCAGGCCTGACTCTGAAATGTTCTCATGTTGTGGGCTCAGTCCAGCAAGCATCCCATAAGAGGTCTTCCCTGGGGTCAAATACAAGTCAATCTTGAGGTGGGAGGTGGAATGGCCCAGCCACCCTACACCCATCAGGCTGGATAAACATTAGCCACCCCTGCTGGGAGTGGCACAGGTCCTGCCATCTCTTGGTGATCTGGCTTAACCAAGACTGGCCCATCCCTTTCTTGAGCTCTAGAATGAATCAGGGTGCA
This sequence comes from Homo sapiens, assembly GCF_000001405.40. NCBI lineage: Eukaryota > Metazoa > Chordata > Mammalia > Primates > Hominidae > Homo > Homo sapiens. The sequence continues at coordinate 39,294,658 of NC_000007.14, read as the reverse complement.
TTTGGTGGACTTCAATGGTACAGCAACTAGTGAAACAACATTTTGGTCCATAAAATTCAAAGGTAAGATGGACTCTGTTTTATAAAAACATCAACTGAGATAAATTTTGTTTTGTACTTACACACAGTTTGGCTCTTTTGCTACTTCACAGCTCTTTCAGTCTAGATAGGCAGAGGAAACAGTAGCATGTTTTTGTTTTGCTTATCCAAAGTAACTCTTTTTATTTTTCCTTCTCCCCAGTGGATTGTGTAGTATTAGGTTGGCGCAAAAGTAATTGTGGTTTTTGCCATCGCTTTTTGCCATCACTTTTTGATGGCAAAAACCGCAATTACTTTTGCGCCAACCTAATACTATTGTTAGACAAATGAATGCATCTTGTTAACAAATTGGCTGGAAAAACCTACTTCTAATTCCTCTGGCTAACCAGAAACATCAAGTCAGAGTAAAAAATAGAGACAGCTGTTGCCATCATGGTTTCAGGTTTCTGAAGGGACCTTTCTCCCACAGTGAAATGATCTCACTAGACCTGATTCTCATAGTTTGAATACAGGCACTACTTTATTTCCTTTTACTAATCAACTTAACTGGTTATTAGTTTTTACAACTAATAAATGCTATTAACAAATTGCCTCTCAATTTTAATACCAAAAGGGTTTAACTTACTTTTTTTCCTTTTTCCCTTTCAAAGTTTTTCATCCTTTGCTCCAGTCTTGTGCAGACCAAGCTGGACCTCCCCATCCAGTCTTCGCTGATCACTCAGGCCAGGATGGTTTCATGCCTCTCAGTTTCCCCAGGGACAGTGCAATTTCACCTCACCTCACAGGGTTGTAGAAAAAGAGATGTCCTCGTTCATTGGGATGAGAAAGAGTTGGACTTTAAAAACAGTCACGGGTTTCCTTTTTTGGGTTGAGTTAAAATGTGAACTCGGTCTTCAGGTGCTGCTGATTTGGTACCACATTTAGGTTTTATGCAAAGCTGACCCAAAGACTTGGCCCACTCCACCCTCCCTTGTCACCGGGGTTCACACACAGTCCAGTGAACGGGCCACCCATCCTTAACAGGAAGTGGGCCTGCTTCCCTCGGCTATCACGTGGTCTGAAGCGATAATGGTTCTAGGTAGATCCGAAAGGAAAGCCAAAGGAAGAGCCGGACAACAAAAAGGAATGAAGAAAGGAAAATAAATTCAAGGGGAGTAACGACGGGCCCCAAGCGGCCTTATTATATGAATAGACTGCAGATAACTACATCTTTCTACCGCAGCGCTTCATAAATTCTGTCATCTTGTTAGGATTGTCAGAAGCACACTGACCTCACTTCCTCCATTAACGAGCTCGCCCTATTTTGAGGGGAGATTCTTTATGAACACACAGCCCGGAAACACCTCATAAACAGCTTGTCAGCCTTGTAATTCTGGAAGTAACGAATTCCATGCCAAGGAGAGGGAGGGTGGCCCCCCAGAAGCCAGCTGACCCGCAGCAGAGAGGAGCCTGGCACCGTCGGGGCCGGGCAGAGGCAGGCGCACAGCTGGCTTTGTGAAGCGGCTAACAGCAAAGTGTAATCCCTGCTTACCGAGAAAGGTGTCAGAGCTAGATTGGTGGCTTTTCACGCAATCACTAGGTTCTTTTTATTTGCCTGGATGCTTTCTCTTTTTGGTAAGACAGAGGCGGCCAGAGCCCAAGCAAGATTCGGGGTTTGGAAGGGAGGTACGAAACGGCTCATTTGCGCACAGCCTACTCTGATGTTTTCTTTTTTGGTTTTGAGAGCCACTGCAAGACCCCAGCCATCCCTGCAGCCCCCCAACCCAATTATCTTCTTTGAGGCTAGATGAGGAAAACAGCTTAACGTTCCCAGTGATCCAGGATGGATTGAATGGTCAAAAATTGCATTCCGCTTCTATGAGACTGAGTTTTTGCTGAAGTCTCCAGTACAGTCATGAAAAGATTCTCGACTCTATAAAGGCAAGAAAAACTCCCCATGGTCAGCTTATGTACAGGGCAAGCTCCATAAAGTTGCTCTTGCTGACTAGCCTCAGTTTTAGTGTCTTGAGACAAACCGCATCAAATTATATATAAAAACAATGCATCCCAAATGCCAACGAAGACCTTATCTCTTATTCCTAAGGTGTTTCCTCTCGCTCCCCAGTGAGCTACTTTTCACCCCTGTTGATTTACGCTCTGTTGGTGGACACAAAGATGGGCCGAGCACAAACTGTTTAGTGCTTGCATTGGTGCCTTGAACAGATAATGAAAACAGCTCAGTGGCCAGGACTCCCTGCCCTTTCTTTCCCATAATGATGGCACCAAAACCCTTCACAATGAACATGGTAATCAGAGCCCGTGGACGGGGAATGGATTCATCAAAATTCACTGGATGCATTTTAGAGAGGGTGGAGGTGGGGAGCAGAGAGGCAGACAGGAAGATGAGCTCGGGACTCACCCCCACTCTTATAGGTTTCACATCTAGCCCGGCGCCGGGTGGAAGGTGTGTAGGGTCATCAGTTATTTCCAGTTGCTATTTTGGTCAGCCACATAAAAAATATCCCTGACAATTCTGAATTGCATGTATAAACCATTTTATGGCTGTTGGTCTTGTTGCTCTCTCCTCTCCTTCTCAGTTTTTTTCCCCCTTCTGAGTATCCCATATTTCCTCCTCTCTGCTATATCCAACATAAACATTTATCTTCTTGGACCATGTATTAAAAAAAAAAAAAAAGGTAAAGGGAATAGTAAAAATACAGAGTCAAATGTGAGTGGCAGAGCTATAATTCTTTATGAAGTAGCAGGTAAGATTGATTGTCAAGGGTCAAAAGGCTAGGTCAAACTCCGCTCATTCGTCAGCTGAATGTCATTTTTGTTTTCCCTGTCACCAGATAGCTTTAAAAAAAATTGCAACTCCTTCCTCATTATCTGGGACTTGGCTCCTTTTCTGCCATCCGGTATTAATGAAACCGTGCTTCAAGCCTAGCCCTCATCTTCTGAGGTTCTTCTTCATGTGCTGCCTCTCTCTCTAAAGCACTGCAGAGAGAGCACTGTTTCAAAGGCCATTTTCTCCTGCAGCCACGTTGGGAAATTGCCACTAGAGTGAGAATGATTTGGAAACACACACGAGGTATAAATGTTTGAATGAACAAAAATGTAATTAAATCATAGCCGGTCTAAAGCTTGTGATCCAGTGTAATTGGATGGTGGCAATATCTTTGCATCTCATAAAGAGCAAAACAAGATGAGATGTAATATCTGGAAGCCATCTAAAATTATGTGTCATAAATAAAGAGAAAAATTTTCCTCTTATAATTATAGCAGGTCACAACAACATAATGCAAAACCTGAAATAATGCATTGGCATCTAATGTGCCATCCTCAGCAGGTCAAATGTAGGTTAATGCTATCAAATAATCTCACTTTCAAAAGACTCATTTAATTAGCTCATGTTTAATTATTCTAAAATGAAAGACAGTGGTGATTAGATGGGAATTAATTTGTGAATTTTTAAGCACAGATTTGCCAAATGCTATACGTTATCAGCTAGAAGAGGTAACCCAAATTTATATCCACAGCCAGATAAAAACTTAAAGTTTAAACCTTAAGCAATGATGCTGAGTTCCTTGTTCTGTAAACTTGTGCTTTTTTTTTTTTTTTTTTTTCTGTCCTCTTTGCCTCTAAATATTAGTTCAGAGACCTGGACCAAAGGGGCTTGATAAATCCAGATTAAAATTTTCTTTATAGTAGTGACATTATTTGAATCAATCATCTAATCTTCTCCACAAGTACTTGCAATTTTCACTAGCCCATCTTACTCCTATTGGTTGGCAGCCACGTGGTGTGAGTGAAGTCTTTTATGAGCTGGGGAATTTTGCTTTATTTCTATTTCATAATCACAGGCCTGCAGTCCCTGAAGGAGGACAGGTAGTCACCACATAAAGTCCTGCAGAGCATCTCAGGAGGTTGCAAAGAGAGGGCATAGCTGGATTTGTAAGATTGACACATGGTCTGCCTCTTAAGGAGGAAAACATAAGGATGACAACAAACAAAAACGTTCAAGGAAATTCTCAGTTAATTTAAATTTACCTAGAAATGATAATTAACTTTGAATATAACATCTATTGATTTTGTAGCACGATATGTTTAGTCCCTGAAAAATGGCACTTGCAAAGCCATTCACCAGGTTCAGCTTGAAGAACTTGATTAAAAGGAATATAGCCTACCCATGTTTAGAATCGAGAATATCAGAGCACAAAGCTCAAGAACAGATTCTGTACAGGGAGTGGCTTGGTGGGGAGACTTGTCTAGGCAGCCTGAAGCTTTTAGCACTGTCCCAGGGAGCTACTCAAGCGAAAGGTGCAAGGGAGAGGTAGGCTGTGGCAACAAGAATGTTTCCGGTGAGATCTGGATTCTGAATGGGGATGGGTGGGGACAAGTAGCCCTGGGGAAGGAGTTGTGAAGAGCAATTCAGGAGACGGACTAATATGAAAGAGGATGTTGTCCAACCCAAAATATGAAATGGATTTTTAAAACTTGTATATCTGTGTGTACAAGAAAGGTGCTGACATAAACACGTTAAAAAATACTTTTCCTTAAGTCATATTTTTTTTCTAACTTTGGATGGTGCTTTATCTTATCATTTCTAATTAAAGAGAAATGATTTTACATTTTGTCATCCTGAGTCTTATGCCTATTCTTTGTAAATGTCACTGGGTGGTGAGAACTGAGGCCCAAGTCCGTCTGACTAAGCTGAGATGGTCCAACAGCAACACTGCTCACACTACTGACAGCAACTGTGAGGAGGAACACGGTCCAGAGATGACATGACAAGCCCCATGAGGATTGCCCCACACTACAAATAATAATGGAAATGTAACATCTCTGACTGAAAATGACCTGCGTGCTATACTGTGGGGCTAGGGTATTTGTTTTAATCGACTACCAAAACCAAGGCCAACTATTTTGAACCATAAATTCAGATTATTGGAGAAAACTGTTAAAAACTGACTGTATACATTTTCTTTTAAAACATCATTTTGATGTTGTTGAATGATCAAGAGCTACACTAGAATTTCAAACAATTTGGAACTGAATCACAGACAGACCTATTAGTGAAAGTTGATAGCTAATATTTTTCACAATTGAATCAGAATACTAAAAGACCTTGACAATTTTTAATGTGGGCATCAACTGAAAAAAAAAATGAAGTCCCGCTTTTAGGTAAAACAAAACAAAACTGTATAGCTGCAAGATCAGCAAAACTTGGCTTATGACACAAACAAAAAACTTTATTTAATTATATAACCTAACAGTTTGACTTGAAAATAAAATGGTCACGTGGTGGGTGGTTTCATAGCTAGAACGGAGTTCATAGCAAGGCTGGACCAGCCCTTCTGGGTCTTGCTGTCTAGTTTCCAGTGCTGGGGCTGGAGTGGCCCCCTGTATGTGTGGCCTGTGTTGGGTAATGCTGGGGCAGGAGGACCTGTGGCCAGGCAGAGCTGCCAGTGATGCCTTCCAGAGGCAGCTGGGAGGAGGAACCAATGAGGAGGGGTTCATGGGGGGAAAATAAGCAGAAAGGGAGGTGTGAGTGCTACCCTAACATATTTCAAGATGTTCTCCTGAAAAGAAGGAATTATAGTTAGGTAGCTCCAGTTTAGGGGAAGATCAGAAGCAATGTTTGGAAGTTGGAGAAAACGCACCGTTTTGGGCTCAAAATGAAATAAGGGTTTAATCTTTTATTCTAAGGATGGAATGTGCTGTCTTGATAATCTTTGAATACCTCTTGGTGGGGCTGAATAGGCAGAGGCTGAAGAGCACCTGGTGTGGAAGGATGCTGAAATTGCATGGGGGCTTGGCATAGATGTCCTCCACAACTGTATGTCACTATCAGTTTCGGTGGCCAACATTGACTGAGCGTCTTCTATGTGCCAGACACTCTGATTCAATGAAGTACCTAGTGGTGTTGTCAGCATCTACCTGATATGTTCATTCACTGCTTTTTTATTATGTGGTCTCTACTGACCACGATTAGGGAATGGGTTGAAAACTATGATGACTATGGGCACTGTAGGACAGATGATTCACGATCTGCTTAAATGATGGGCTTGCAAGCCAATGGACCAGGTGGTTGTATCTCCAAAAAGCATTGCAATTTTTCACTTGACCAAGGTGTTCGTGAACAGAAGGCTGATATGTGATGAAGAAGAAAGGAACTAGTGTTTGCTGAATGTCTGCTACTTGTGAGTCACTATGCTAGAAGCTCTATATTAGTTTATCCTCCTCTGTCCTATGAGATGAGCATGATTATGCCCCTGTGACAGCTGAGGATGTTGAAGCTCAGAGAGGTGAGGTTATTTGCCATGTCACATAGCTGAGAGGGGCAGAGGTGGGCTTTGAACTCAGGTCTGTCTTATTGCAAAGATGGTGGTCTTGACACTGCAGCTTATTGCCTCTGAGGATAAATAGTCCCCTGAATTGTTAACATTATCTCTCACAAAAGCTAGAGCTTTGATTATAATTGAAAGAAGATTAAACAATTAAAAAGAAAGCATAATTCAAAAGCTTGGTCTTTAATTATTTTTTAGTGTTTAAAATGTACCTGCTCTTTGATCTTATTTAGGCAAATAGTGTTAATTGCTACGAACCAAGCCCCTTCCCATTTACCCTTTACATGCCTTTGACTCCAGAATTTCCCAGTCAGCAATCTCCCCTACTGACAGTATACAGGTTCAGTCAATATACACAGATGCCAGAAAGCCCCCCTGAGCATCTGTTATATACAGAGCCCTGGGCTGGGTGCTGCGTATACCGTCAAGGCCAGTGGTTTTCAATTCATGTGCCCAGAAATCACCTGACATTCTTGAGAAAATGCAGGCTCTGATTTAGTGGGTCTTGGCTGGGGTCTGGGATTCTTCATTTCTTACCAGCTTCCAGGTGATCTTGGAGTAGCAAAGCACCTGGGAACCAAAGAATGACCCTGGACAGGTAAGACTTTAGATCATCAGATGATTGACCCAAGTGTTTTTTTCTGTGTGTGTCTCCTGGAATCTGAATGTGAAAGGCAAAACCAAACACAGTTAAGAGGGAATAGGCCCTGAATAGAATGACACACAGCTAACACTTACATAGTACTCTGCATACATGAACACATTTAATTTTCAAAATGACTCAGTGAGGTTGGTAGACTATGACTTTCCCCATTTTTTGATGAGAAGCTAAGGCCTGGGAGGGTGAACAATAGCTAATAGTAACTAGAAATCTGGACGTTAGCTTTAAGGCGTTGTGCATTAAAGCAGGGGTAACATACAGGGAGAAGAATCCAGGGGAGGGAACCGGGACTTTGAGGTCTAAAAGCCATATCACGCGCACAAGCCTTGAGGGAACTACGATATTTAGCCTGGATTTAGAACTTATCTTCCTTATCATTTTCTTCAGTTATTCGATGAGCTGGTTTGAGGAAGGGAAAGTAGGTTTATTTTATGTTTATTTAGGTAACTATTTGCAAACATTGCTTGTTGGGCTATTAATCTTGAGAGATGCTGTGTCGGTAAAAAGTGATGCTGTGGGCACAAGCAGGCTTTGTGCCTGTTCCTCATAGAGACTCACAGCATCCATTAGCCTATTAAAAGCTCTGAAAAGTCCCTGGGGAAGCAGACTCGCTTGACATCTTTTAAGTTAGGAATTTCATTCTTATTCGACTACAAACTCCCTCTCTGCCTTATGGAAAAAAAAAAAAAAAGATACCTCAAAAAGCTGGGCATGGTGGCTCATGCCTGTAATCCCAGCACTTTGGGAGGACGAGGTGGGAGGATCCCTTGAGGCCAGGAGTTTGAGGCTGCAGTGAGCCAGGATCATACCACTGTACTCCAGTCTGGGAGACAGAGCGAGACCCTGTCTCTAATAATGATGATGATGATGACAATGATGATGATACCTTTTAACATTCTATGAAACTAATTTGCATCCTTGGGACACACTTTGGAAAATGCTGATGTCAACTGGCGTAATAGGGCCAAGGAATGAAAGTTTCACATCAGGGAATGAGATTCCAGAGTAATATAAAGAACTTTTCTAACAATCTGACCTGTCCAACATAAACTCCCCATCACCAGGAATGTTCAAGGAGAGGCCAGAAAACTGTATTTGAGAGAAATCTGAGCACATCTGGAAAGACACACCATTTACAGAACGGGTAACTCGAACATTTTACATTGTCCTGTTAATTCTGCCCCTTAATTTGACAGTAAGATTAAACCATGCTGTGGTTTCTAAAACAATGACATTAGGAAATAATATTATATAAGTACTGTAGGTAGTTAAATTATTTTGGATTCACTGCTGAGCCAGGATGTTTCCTCCTTGTAAACTGTGTGTACCCCAGCCATCCTGCTACAGAAATACTTTTGTGATCCTTGGCTTGGTTAACAGCTCTAGAGTCTTTGAATCTATGTAATGTAGCCCCCAGCCCCATCTTGCTGGTAAGTGGGATAGATGTATGACCGTATAAATCATTATTTCAGAGGTTCCCTCCCCACTTCCCACTTCCCAGGTTAACTCTCTCACTTGCTCTCTGGGGCTAAAGTTTAAAAGAAAAAACTGTTTGGTCAACAAGTAGAGATGAGGCTTAAGTACAGATGCTGGTGGGAAGAGAAGCTCATGGACTCCTATTCACCCTTTTGCTCACTAATTCACTCCATCAATCAGCATTTATTGCGAATCAACGTGTGTCCTGTGCTGGAAATATAGAGCTACATGCTTCCTCCCTTCTGGGAATAAATGCTAAGATCATATGCAATCCTGAAAACAGGTTTAGATATGAGGATGGGGAGGAAGGCACCAGGAGTGGGAAGAAAGCAGAGGAGCTGACAGATGGGGGAACATGGAGTTGCTGGGGATGCTACTGAGAAACTTCAGCATCTTGTGTAAAGCCAAGGGCCAGTCTTTTTACAACATTTTATATAATTTTCAGATTTCTTTCCTCTATGGCTGATTGAAATATGTATTTTTTTCAAAATCTAACTCACATGATTTAAAACATAAGGTTTTTGGTCCTTACCTGGGGAGTGTTTTAGTTTTACAAAATGTTGAAATCCATATCATTGCCATGCAAGTTTTAGAAACATGTAGCAATTGGATCCAGTACAAATATGTTTTAAAACAAGCTGGCAACTTTCCCTATATTCACAAAAGGGAATTCTTGAACCATTGCTACTGGCTATGGAAACAAACCACACATTCAAAGGGCCTTTTTGCTAGTGGGTGAGTTGGGCAGAAAACTGTGAGTGACTAATACACGACATACGATGAGCATGGTGGCCATACATCCTACAGGTTTTATGGGCAGTCTTGAAAAATACCTTGTCCCTTTGTCAATCTGTGCATCATGCATGGAACCAAACATGGCATCAGAGTTTTCAGTGGGAACTATCTGCAGTGAGGGGGTATATTACAGGTGATAGAAGATGAGTTCCAATCCTTGCAGGAGGAAAAGTCCAAGAAATACAGTTGTGACAAATTAGAAAAAAATTTGTTGATTAGGAGTCTGAAGACTTGGGGATAAAATCCAGGATTTGTCGCTTTCTGGCCAAGCCACTAGAACAGCCTAGGTTTCCTTCTCTGTAAGATGTAATGGTATCCCCTGTGAGGGATGCAAGCTGTGGGCTTGAGAGCTTCACGGAGATCCCCATGGCTGACCCAGGTCCACGGGGAGTGAAGCCTCCAGCCTTCTTGTGGATCCTACGGACCTTGCCTGTGAGAAGCAATGATGCCTAGACCCACCCAGACCATCTTTATTGTTAGGGACTACAGATATTTGGGCATCTTATATGGTCAGAGGAGGAGGAAACAGACCTTGAAATAACATCATATTCTTACCAACCTTGACTGAATTTAACTTGAATTAGGAAGAAAAGCCATTTCTTATTTCTTGAGTGGCATGGAAAAGCCCAAACCTGCTATGATTTTAATGGCAAACACATTAAAATACCAAACAGAAAGTATTTGAAAGCTAGCACAGAGAAAGAGCTGTGTATTTCTCCAAAGGATATAGTGTCTTACTCCCACTCAGAAGGCAATATTACTATTTTAAAGAACAAAGATCAAATTAAATGTTCATGTGCTGTCACCAAGTATGTCAGTATATTTATGAACAATTCAAAATTTGAACTGTTTTCCAGACAGCTGGTCATATGTACATTAAAGTAGTTATAATAACCTGTCAGGAGAAATTTCCTCCAGCACATTCATTGGAGAAAATACATGTAAGAACAGCAGCCTTTTCAAACCCCACCAAATCCCTTTATCTTGTGAACAGCTACTACCACAGCTACAAAATCCACAGAAAGCCAGAGCTCACAGGAGTTTATTATATGACTTCCTTGTAAATTTGCTCCCTACTGTGAAGACTTTGGGCTACAAACATGCACTTATACAGAAAGAGTTGCACTAGCCCAGCCTGAGATGTGTTAAATGGAATCAGTCAGATCTCCAATATACAGACCAAGTATCTATCTTAATCATGTGTACATCAGAAAAATTTATCTTACTACCAAATCTCTTTTGCAAAGGGATTTCCAGCCTTCTCTAGACCATAGGATCTTGATAATACCGGAGAGGCTTGGTTCACGGTGTAGGGGAAAGGTTTGGCCTTGGAGGCAGAGAGTGAAATTTGCATCCTTTTTTTGTCATTTACTAGATGTGTGCTTAAGCAAATCACTTAAATGGTTTAAGCGTTTGCATCCTCTTGTATTATCTGTATCCTTTTGTATTATCTGCAATAATTTAATAATGCACGTGTCACACTTTGAGAGAGTACAGGTGCTAAATTTTTAAAAAGTTAGAAAGGAAAATAAGTTAAGTGTCTTTTGGCTGAGCTATCCAGAAGCAGTGTTTCTTTAACATGTTCATTTGGTAAAATCAGCAGGTCTTGGGAATGAGTTAAAATAAAGTAAGCTTAAAAAGTCATGATTTGCTCAATAGCCAAAAAGTGGAAACAACCCAAGTGTTCATCAGCAGATGAATGGATATAGAAAATGCTGTGTATACATACAATGGAATATTATTAGTCTTAAAAGGGAAATTCTGATACATACTACAACATGAATGAAACTTGAAGACAGTACCCTAATGAAATAAGCCAGTCACCAAAGGACAAACACTGTATGATTCCATTTACATGAGATACCTAGAGTAATCAAATTCATAGAGACAGAAAGTAGAATGGTGGTTGTCAAGGGCTTGGGAGTGGAGGGAATGGGGAGTTTTTGTTTAATGAGTACTGAGCTTGAGTTTGGGATGATGAAAAAGTTCTGGAGATGGATAGCAATGATGGTTACTTACGAATGTGAATGTACTTAGTACGACTGAAATATACACTTAAAAATGATTAGTAATTGGGAAAGAGAAAAAAATAAAGGGCATTCAAATTGGAAAGGAAGAAGTTAAATTGTCCGTATTTATGGATGACATAATCTTATATATAAAAAAACTTTAAGACTCCACCAAAAATCCTTTAAAACTAATAAATGAATCCAGTAAAGTTGCAGCAGACAAAATCAACATTCAAAAATCATAGCATTTCTAAATGCCAATGGTGAACTATCTGAAAAAGAAGTCAAGAAAGCAATCCCGTTAACAATAGTTCCAAAAAAAGAAGTTACCTAAGAATAAATTTGACCAAGGAGTTGAAAGATCTCTACAATGAAAGCTATTTAAGCACTGATGAAAAAAATTGAAGAGGATACACATAAATGGAAAGATATCCTGAGTTCATGGGCTGAAAGAATTATTATTATTAAAATGTTCATACTACCCAAGTGATCTATAGATTCAATGCAATCCCTATTAAAATACCAGTGACATTCTTTACAAAAGTAGAAAAACAATCTTAAAATTCATATAGAACCACAAAACAACCCAAACAGCCAAAGCAATTTTGTACAAAAAGAACAAAACTGGAGGCATCACATTACCTGACTCCAAAATATACTACAAGGTTATAGTAACCAAAACAGCATGGTACTTTTAGAAAAACAGACCCCAAGACCAACAGAATGAAATAGATAACACAAAAATAAATCCATACACTTACAGCGAACTGATTTTTGATAAAGGTGCCAAGAACACATATTGGGAAAAGGACATTCTCTTCAATAAATGGTCTCGCAAAACTAGATATCGCCATGCAGAAACATGAAACTAGACCCCCATCTCTCATCACATACAAAAATCAATTCAAACTGGATTAAAGACTTAAATGTAAAACGCCAAATGATAGAAGAAAACATAGAGGAAATGATTCATGACACTGGTCTAGGCAAGGGTTTTTTGGATAAGATCTTAAAAGTACAGGCAACAGAAATATATAAATAGACAGATAGGACTATACCAACCTAAAGAGCTTCTGCACAGAAAAGGAAATAATCAACAGAGTGAAGAGACAACCTACGGAATAGGAGAAAATATTTGCAAACTATGCATCCAACAAGGAGTTAATATACAGAATATATAAGCAACTTGAACAACTCAATAGCAAAGCAACAAATACTCTGATTTTAAAAATGAATAAAATGCCAAACAGACATTTCTTGGAAGACATACAAATGGCCAACCTGTATATGAAAAAATACTCAACATCACCAATCATCAGGAAAATGCAAATCAAAACCAAAATGAGATACCACTTCACCCCAATTAGAATAGCTACAAAAAATAATGAATGCTCATGATCATGTGGAGAAAGGGGAACTCTTATACACTGTTGGTGTAAATGCAAATTAGTATAGCCATTTTGGAAAACAGTATGGGGTTTACTAAAAAAATTAAAAATAGCACTACCATATGATCCAGCAATCCAAGTACTGGGTATATAGCCAAAGGAAATGCAATCACTATGTTGAAGAGATGTCTGTACTACCATGTTTACTGCAGCACTACTCACAACAGTCAAGATATGGAATCAACCTAAGTGTCCATCAACTGATGAATGGATAAAGAAAATGTGGTATATACACACAATGGAATATTAATTCTGCCATAAAAAAGGATGAAATTCTGTCATTTGCAGCAACATGGATGAATCTGGAAGACATTATGTTAGGTAAAATAAGCAGACACAGAAAAACAAATACAGCATGTTCTCACACATATGTGGGATCTAAAAAAGTTGATCTCATAGAAATAGAAAGTAGAATAGTGGTTCCCAGAGGCTGGAAAGGGGAGGGAGGAGGAGGGATAAAGAGAGACTGGCCAACAGGTACAAAGTTACAGTTAGATAGGAGGAGTAAGTCCTGATATTCTATTGCACAGTAGGGTAACTGTGTTTAACAATATTGTATTGTATATTTCAAAATAGCTAAAAGAGAGGCTTCTGAATGTTTTTACCACAAAGAAATGATAAATGTATGAGGCGACAGGTATGCTAAATACCCTGATTTGACCATGATGCAATGCACACATGTATCAAGACATCACACTATACCCCACAAGTATATACAGTTATTATATATCAATCAAAAACAAAATTAAGAAATGGCAAATTTTATGTATATTTTATCAAAATAAAAAAATATAAACATTAAAATGGCATGATTTCTAAATGAACGTGTTTTCATATGTCTTGTATTCTCTATTTCCCTGGTACTTTCCATTCATAAATACTAAAACTTTTAAAAGATGCATTTATCTAGCAAAGTGTCCTTTGGTGCTACTCTAGGAGATTTTGCACGAGGGTGCTCCGGTTTCTGGCAAGATCATAACTGTTTGGAAATTCGCTAGTGTCTGCCAACTTGTGAGCATCATCACTTTTTAGAGACTGCAAATATAGGATCTGATGATTACTTTGTAGGCAGAAGATGTCTTCATTCATGTTTTATTCCCAGTGCTTCAGTTTAGTGAAATCCCAAAGCAATCGCTATGTTAACTTATTTTCTCTTGGTTGCATTATCTTATGCATTATCTTGGTTGCATTAGTTTTCTTCCTCCATTATGCTGTTCAATTATAGAGTGTGAAGCTTTCAGTAAAAGAACCCACCTATCCCACTTCACTGCCCCCCTTAAATTACCTATGAGAAATGTATCAGATAACTAATTTCAGAAAGTAGTCATAATTATTTCCATTACCAACATGCAGCTGTAATTGCCTCTTCAGCAATTTTCGAAAGCAATGGAAAGGAGAGTAGGTTCCAGAGACATGGTCTGTTTGAATCTTTAATCTTGGAACTTGTATTATATGTAGTGGCATAGTTTAAGATTCTAGCATTCCTATAAGGTCAGATGGGAATGCTCAGGAGAGAAGGAGGGAAAGGAAGCAGCATGGACTGTGTTTCCTTGGTTGAACACACACTTTGGGTCACCTATTATAGATGCCAGGGTTGTGCCTGACAGTGGAGTGGGCAAGCCATCTGCACACACCTTGGGGGAGCATGGGCTTAGCACATATGAAAACTTTGCATTTATTATATGTCACAGGTTAAATTAAGTACTCCCAAAAAGATATGTCGAAGTCTTGACGTCAGTACCTCAGAGTGTGACCTTACTTGGAAAGAGTGTCTTTACAGGGATAATCACATTAAAATAAGGTCATGAGGGGGTCCTTACCTAATATGAATGGATGTCCTAATAAAAGGGAAAATTTGGGCTGGGCACGGAGACTCACATCTACAATCCCAGCACTTTGGGAGGCCAAGGCAGGCTAATCATGAGGTCAGGAGTTCGAGACCAGCCTGGCCAACATAGTGAAACCCCATTTCACTAAAAATGTAAAAACTTATCTGGGCGTAGTGGCAGGCGCCTGTAATCCTAGCAACTCAGGAGGCTGAGGCAGGAGAATCACTTGAACCCGGGAGGTGGAGGTTGCAGGAAGCCGAGATCGCTCTACTGTATTCCAGCCCAGGCAACAGAGTGAAACTCTATCTCAAAATAAATAAATAAATAAATAAAATAAAAGGGAAAATTTGGACACAAACACAGACACACACAGAGGGAAGATGGAGTATTGGAGTGATACAATGTACAAGCCAGGAAATGCCAAAGATTGCTGGCAAACCACTGAAAGTGAGGAAGAGGCAAGGGAGGCTTCCTTTACAGGTTTCAGAGGGAGTGTGGCCCTGTTGACACCTTGATTTCAGACTTCAACCTTCCAGAACTGTGAGACAATGAATTTCTTTTGCTTTAGGCCACCCAGTTTGTGGAACTCTGCTATGACAGCCCTAGGAAAACAATGTATTATTTCATTTCATTTCCACAATCACCCCATGGGATGATGTTATTATTTTCTCCTATTTCGCAGATGCAGAAACTGAGGCTCAGAAAGGTAAGGACTGAATCAAAAGTCATATGAGCAGCATGGCAACCCCTAGGCAGATGCTGCTTAGGACACCTGGGAAGGTCGGCAGGTGGCACCTGTGTTGGGGCTTGGAACTCGAGTAGATGTTTGCTGGGTGCAGAAGGGAGTGCACTCCAGGGTGAGGTGAAGGAAGAGGATTGTGGGGATCAGAAGTTCTGAGTGACTGGAGTATAGGATGAGTGGCAAAGAAGGGCATGAGGTGAGATTGGCAAGAGTGGCTGGAGCCGATTCTGAATGGCCGTGCATGACACACCAGGCAGTCCGGAGAGACTGGGGCCATGGTGCACCTGGGAGACTGGGCAGTCCTAATTCCAATTAGAAACGAGAGTTGGGATTAAGGCTGTAAAAGTCAGGTTAGGGAACTGGAGGTGTGTTTGTGTGCTGTTTTGGAGACAGAATCTAGAATGTTGGAAGTAGTTGGTAATGAGGGAGAAGGAGGTTTGAGTTTCACTTCTCCAGCCTGAGGAACATGTGGATGGTGATGGCTAAGAACGGCAATATGCAGGATGCCATGCACAAAAATGCTTCTCAGCTGAGCTACATGCTGGACTTGGTGACAGGCACACATCCCACTGTTCCTGCCTGTATAGCCCCCTGTATGCCAGCGTGAAGAGTGGGCACAGACACAGAGCTGCTGGCTACAGGGGCTTTCTTGAGGTGAGAAATCCAAGGACTTCTCAGCTGTCAGAAAGGAGAGCCCTTACACAGGGGTGGGACAAGCACGGGTGGGTGTCTAGATTGGGCCACCTGCCTGCATTCTACTTACAAGGAAGGTCTGGAAATCAGTTTCAGAATCTACTCAATACCCTTTGTTCTCTGCATTCCTCTATAAAAGGTAAGTTGCCAGGCATCCTCATTAGAGGGTGGGCTTTTTTCATGAAGAACAGAGTGGAAGAATATTGGCCACTTGGACTCTGTCTGATCGATGCGGAGAATGAGCAAAACCAGGTGCGCCAACTCCCCTTACCCCCAACACCATGCAGAAGGTGACCATAAACAGGCTCAATGCCATTGGTTTGTGTCTCCTGGGCCTGGATCTATGGAAAGAGCTTACTTCCAGTTTCTGATCACAGTGATGCCAAAGTGTCCCATGGATCCTATCTCAGGAGCTTTTCCGAAACGCCTTCTCTGCTTTTCCTCAGAGTTCTCCTTGCACTGTGGGGTCTAGAGGAGCTGCTTCTCATCTACGTCCCCCACCATTTGATTCCTTCCTCCCTCCCTCCCCCCCTCCCTCCCTCCCTCCCTCTCTTTCTCGCTTTCTTTCAACGGAGTCTCACTCTGTCGCCAGGCTAGAGTGCAGTGGCCCGATCTCGGCTCACTGCAACCTCTGCCTCCCTGCAACCTCCACCTCCCAGCTTCAAGCGATTCTCCTGACTCAGCCTCCCAAGTAGCTGGGACTACAGGCGCGTGCCACCACACCCAGGTAATTTTTGTATTTTTAGTAGAGAGGGGGTTTCACCATGTTGCCCAGGATGATCTCGACCTCTTGACCTTGTGATTCGCCCGCCATGGCCTCCCAAAGTGCTGGGATTACAGGTGTGAGCCACCGCTCCTGGCCCCCGACCTTTTTCTATAGGGCAGCTTGGCTCCAACAGCTTCCTTAGGAAAATTTCCCCCTAACCACTTCGGTGGCCCAACCTCTGAAAGTTTGTTAAGGGAAAGTTAACCAAAGCACCAATGTTTTCCCTTTCCCTGGGTCTTTCCCCGCTCAATTGATGATGACAAAGGATCTGACATCCTAGACACTCCATACTTCCCCAGGGCTGAAATCAAGGCACTGGTGCTTGGAGACTCAATAATACTTGCTTTTTGCGGAAATAGAAAACCAAATATTGCATGTTCTTACTTATAAGTGGGAGTTAACTCCTGGGTACACGTGGACATAAAGATGGGAACAATAGATGCTGGGGACTCCAAAAGAAAGTAGAGAGGGAGGGGGGCAAGGGCTGGAAAACTTCCCTCTGGGGACTATGCTCACTATCTTCGTGTTGGGATCAATAGAAGCCCAACCTCAGCATCACGCAATATACCCATGTAGCAAATCTGCACATGTACCCCTTGAATCTAAAATTTAAACTTAAATTTAAATTTAAAAATGTGTTTTTCTGATTATATTGATTTATTAGTGACAGGATTTAAGAGCCAGAGAACTTCCTGTCTACCTTTATTTACTTGAAACTGTACTGTTTCTTCAATCTTAGCTATTGTTTTTACAATTGAAAGTTTCTCCCAAAGCACATGCTGGGAGTTATGTTTTGAAAGAGAATTTTTTAAAAATTATTATTAGACTTTAAGTTTTAGGGTACATGTGCACAATGTACAGGTTAGTTACATATGTATACATGTGCCATGCTGGTGTGCTGCACCCATTAACTCGTCATTTAGCATTAGGTATATCTCCTAATGCTATCCCTCCCCCCTCCCCCTACCCCACAACAGTCCCCAGAGTGTGATGTTCCCCTTCCTGTGTCCATGTGTTCTCATTGTTCAATTCCCATCTATGACTGAGAACATGCGGTGTTTGGTTTTTTGTCCTTGCGATAGTTTACTGAGAATGATGATTTCCAATTTCATCCATGTCCCTACAAAGGACATGAACTCATCATTTTTTATGGATGCATAGTATTCCATGGTGTATATGTGCCACATTTTCTTAATCCAGTCTATCATTGTTGGACATTTGGGTTGGGTCCAAGTCTTTGCTATTGTGAATAGTGCCGCAATAAACATACGTGTGCATGTGTCTTTATAGCAGCATGATTTATAGTCCTTTGGGTATATACCCAGTAATGGGATGGCTGGGTCAAATGGTATTTCTAGTTCTAGATCCCTGAGGAATCGCCACACTGACTTCCACAATGGTTGAACTAGTTTACAGTTCCACCAACAGTGTAAAAGTGTTCCTATTTCTCCACATCCCCTCCAGCACCTGTTGTTTCCTGACTTTTTAATGATTGCCATTCTAACTGGTGTGAGATGATATCTCTTTGTGGTTTTGATTTGCATTTCTCTGATGGCCAGTGATGGTGAGCATATTTTCATGTGTCTTTTGGCTGCATAAATGTCTTCTTTTGAGAAGTGTCTGTTCATATCCTTTGCCCACTTTTTGATGGGGTTGTTTGTTTTTTTCTTGTAAATTTGTTTGAGTTCATTGCAGATTCTGGATATTAGCCCTTTGTCAGATGAGTAGGTTGCGAAAATTTTCTCCCATTTTCTGGTTGCCTGTTCACTCTGATGGTAGTTTCTTTTGCTGTGCAGAAGCTCTTTAGTTTAATTAGATCCCATTTGTCAATTTTGGCTTTTGTTGCCATTACTTTTGGTGTTTTAGACATGAAGTTCTTGCCCATGCCTATGTCCTGAATGGTAATGCCTAGGTTTTCTTCTAGGGTTTTTATGGTTTTAGGTCTAACGTTTAAGTCTTTAATCCATCTTGAATTAATTTTTGTATAAGGTGTAAGGAAGGGATCCAGTTTCAGCTTTCTACATATGGCTAGCCAGTTTTCCCAGCACCATTTATTAAATAGGGAATCCTTTCCCCATTGCTTGTTTTTCTCAGGTTTGTCAAAGATCAGATAGTTGTAGATATGCGGCGTTATTTCTGAGGGCTCTGTTCTGTTCCATTGATCTATATGTCTGTTTTGGTACCTGTACCATGCTGTTTTGGTTACTGTAGCCTTGTAGTATAGTTTGAAGTCAGGTAGCACGATGCCTCCAGCTTTGTTCTTTTGGCTTAGGATTGACTTGGCAATGCGGGCTCTTTTTTGTTTCCATATGAACTTTAAAGTAGTTTTTTCCAATTCAGTGAAGAAAGTCATTGGTAGCTTGATGGGGATGACACTGAATCTATAAATTACCTTGGGCAGTATGGCCATTTTCACGATATTGATTCTTCCTACCCATGAGCATGGAATGTTCTTCCATTTGTTTGTATCCTCTTTTATTTCATTGAGCAGTGGTTTGTAGTTCTCCTTGAAGAGGTCCTTCACGTCCCTTGTAGGTTGGATTCCTAAGTATTTTATTCTCTTTGAAGCAATTGTGAATGGGAGTTCACTCATGATTTGGCTCTCTGTTTGTCTGTTATTGGTGTGTAAGAATGCTTGTGATTTTTGTACATTGATTTTGTATCCTGAGACTTTGCTGAAGTTGCTTAAGAGCTTAAGGAGATTTTGGGCTGAGACAATGGGGTTTTCTAGATATACGATCATGTCATCTGCAAACAGGGACAATCTGACTTCCTGTTTTCCTAATTGAATACCCTTTATTTCCTTCTCCTGCCTAATTGCCCTGGCCAGAACTTCCAACACTATGTTGAATAGGAGTGGTGAGAGAGGGCATCCCTGTCTTGTGCCAGTTTTCAAAGGGAATGCTTCCAGTTTTTGCCTATTCAGTATGATATTGGCTGTGGGTTTGTCATAGATAGCTCTTATTATTTTGAGATACGTCCCATCAATACCTAATTTACTGAGAGTTTTTAGCATGAAGGGTTGTTGAATTTTGTCAAAGGCCTTTTCTGCATCTATTGAGATAATCATGTGGTTTTTGTCTTTGGTTCTGTTTATATGCTGGATTACATTTATTGATTTGCATATATTGAACCAGCCTTGCATCCCAGGGATGAAGCCCACTTGATCATGGTGGATAAGCTTTTTGATGTGCTGCTGGATTCGGTTTGCCAGTATTTTATTGAGGATTTTTGCATCAATGTTCATCAAGGATATTGGTCTAAAATTCTCTTTTTTGGTTGTGTCTCTGCCTGGCTTTGGTATCAGGATGATGCTGGCCTCATAAAATGAGTTAGGGAGGATTCCCTCTTTTTCTATTGATTGGAATAGTTTCAGAAGGAATGGTACCAGTTCCTCCTTGTACCTCTGGTAGAATTCGGCTGTGAATCCATCTGGTCCTGGACTCTTTTTGGTTGGTAAGCTATTGATTATTGCCACAATTTCAGATCCTGTTATTGGTCTATTCAGAGATTCAACTTCTTCCTGGTTTAGTCTTGGGAGAGTGTATGTGTTGAGGAATTTATCCATTTCTTCTAGATTTTCTAATTTATTTGCATAGAGGTGTTTGTAGTATTCTCTGATGGTAGTTTGTATTTCTGTGGGATCGGTGGTGATATCCCCTTTATCATTTTTTATTGTGTCTATTTGATTCTTCTCTCTTTTTTTCTTTATTAGTCTTGCTAGCGGTCTTGAAAGAGAATTTTTTATACGACTGGTTCAAATTAAATGTTAATGGACAAGAATAAATATTTTGGTAAGTAGTTTGAAGGTGAAATGAGAAGGTCACCAAATTCTTGAATACAACTGTTAGTTTACATTATATAAATTAAATTTGTTAAAAATAAGCAAAGTTGCCATAGTCATGCAGTTATTATAAATATTTTTTCAATATTTTTGTTTTTACTCTTTATAGTTTATTCCAAAAAGCATTCTAACTGTATAATCTTTTATTCATTTACATTTTTCATGGTTTTATCACTATAATTTTGTTGCCAACATAGGCTTCTCTAAGGCAGTGCCTTTAACTTTTCTGAAGCAACTAAAGTGTTACATTGAGAAAGTAGGTGACAAATTGCAATCTACTGAGGTAAAGGGAGGAGGGACCTAGTTAGTACTCACTGTTCCCCGATGATACTCTTTAAAAAAAAAAACAAACCAAGAAACCTCTAGTCTTACAGGCTTTTTCCAGTTGTCCATTGACATCCTCTTTGTGCTTCAAGATCCAATGCAGGGTACCATGTTATATTTAGTTGTCAGGTCTCCCCAGTCTCCTCTGGCCTGTGATAGTTTCCCAGTCTTTCTATGTTTTTCATGACCTTAAAATTCTGAGGAGTACTAGCCAGGTTACCTGTAGAATGCCCCTCCATCTAAGTTTTCCTGATGTTTTAATCTTGATTCGACGGGGTTATGAGTTTTTGGAAAGAACACCACAGAGGCAAACTGCCTGTCTCATCACATCCTATCAGAGGGTACATGACATCCACATGGCATCGCTGATAATGTTAACCTTCATCATTTGGTTAAGTCATGTTTTCTAGGTTTGTTCACTGTACAGTATTTTTCCATTTTTACACTCTGTTCTTTGGAAGCAAGTCACAGAGTCTAGCCCATCCTGGAGGCAAGGGGGAGGGTAGGGAAAGAGCAGAATTATGTTCCCCATCCTGGAGGGTGTGGAATATCTCTATATGTTATTTGAAATTCTTCCTTAAGAAAGATCTGAAATTCTTTTTTATTTTATTTTTTCTTCTCTTTGACTTGTCTAAGTTAGTGCTTCAGAATTTCTTGGCTAGTATCCTGCAAAATATCATATTCTCATACTTTCTCCCATCATCTCCCCTTCTTTCATTCCCTAAAATGTTTATAGTTTGCTTAAAGTTGTCTTTTCATCCTCATTATCAAGGAATTCTGGAAGGAGGGCAGTGGCTCTGACTTTGTCATTGCTCATTGTTTGACTAGAGTTGAGTGACTATTTGTTCAGTAAATATAATCTAAGTGCTAAGTCCTCTCCTTCTTGTTATAGAAGAAAATAATTTGGGAAAAGAGCTATACTGTCACTAAATAAATCACCTTTATTATCCTTTCTGCTTAAAAATAGGTCTTCCTAAAAATATATACTTAAGAATCCAAAAGTCCCACATTAGCAAATTGACTCAGTTGGTATGAATTTAGCCAATGTTTGAGAAACTCTATCTTGGAAATTTCAGTTTCAAGAATGTTTGGTGCCATAATACTTAGGATATTTATTTTCAGGGAGCTCCAAACTCAACAAAAGGTTTCTCCCCACTCCCAAAGTTGAGCTAAATAGGTGTTTTTGTTTTTTTTCAGCTAACATTTATTTATTGGGCTCCTATTACAGCTCTGTCCCTGAAAGCAGTCCTTGGATTCACTGAGGAATAAAATATTATGCTGGTCTCCAGGGGCTTCCTGGTTGGTAGGGAAGAAGGACAGAAAGGCCCCCTGGTCCAGAGGGAGGAGGCCAGATCAGGCTGACTGGGAAGACTCCAGCAGCTGAACTGTGATGGGAGTGGAGGAGGGATTAGCCTGGAGTCTCTATCTCTCTACAGTAGTGGGAGGATGATGAATCGACTAGTTCTTAATACATTTCTATTTGGTATTTATGACTTATCTCTAGCTGAGCAACTACTAAGTGCTGTGTTTTCTTAAAAACCACTGAATGGTTTCTTCCCTATGATCCTGGGTTATTTCTGGACTTCCTTCTTAAGTTTTCTCTGTAGCAATCATAATATTTAAATTTATCTCCAAATCTACCATCTAAATGTTTTTCCGAAGCACTAGCTTTTCTGTAATCTGATCTAACAACAACCCCCTCTCCCCCACCCCCACACACACACCCCAACTCCTCATCCTCTTCATAACCGTATGGATCCCATGGAACCCAGCCTTTTGCTGGATCAGAAATAAAATCTGTAAAGTTTTTCTTCTGCAGAAAATTGATTTTGCTGGAAACATTTCCATTTCCAGGATTTTTTTTTTATAGTTTAAAAATAAAGAATAAAATAAGTTGAATGACGATTTGAACGGCTCCTGGATGTCTCATCCTCATATTACAGCAAATTATCCCTCCTGGCAGAGATAATGTTTGAAAATGAGCATATAGGCATGTTACTGACGGAAAGTTGTGGCACATCGAGCAGGTTTGCTCAGCCACGAGACGGGAATTTTGCAAAGCTCACGCTGCTGGGATAATCTGCTGCTCCCCACGGCTCACACAGCTGCCAGAACCACTTCTGCTGGCAAACGGCCAGGCCCGGGCACTCTGTGATTCCTTGGCTGTAGGAGCTGCTCCTTGGTCATAGGGTTTTTTTTTTTTTTTTTTTCACTGATTGAGCACAAGACAGTACCTGGGTTTCCTTTGTAAAACAAAACAAAATAAAACAAAGCCAAACTAGAACTTTTTCTCTTGCCATGCCTTTAGGTCCATGTCAGCAAACTTTTTCTGTAAGGCACCCACATCATAAAGGTTTTAGGCTTGGTAGTTATCTGGTCCCTGTTGCTACTTATATTCAACAGCCCACAAACAGCCAAACACAATATGTAAATGAAAGAGCAAGACTGGGTTCCAATAAAACTTTATCCAAGGACACCGAAATGTGAATTTCATATAGTTTTCATGTCTCATGAGTGCTTTTCTCCTTTTGAATTTTTTCAACCATTTAAAAATGTAAAAACCATTCTTAGCTCACAGGTATACAATAATAGGTGGGGACCTGGATCTAGGGCTGCTGGTCGTGGTTGGGTCACCACTGATCTACATTGAGGGATACACTACCCAGCTGGCCCCTGGCTAGAGAAGAGACTGCTCTGTGTTCTGTGGGGTGTGTGAGGGCAAAGCTAACTGGGCCAGGACTCTGACAGAGAATCCTAGAATCCTCAAGGCGGAAGGGGTCTTGTAGAACACTGGAATGAAACAGCCTTTTGAAGCCAAGGGGAAGAAAGTGAGCCTCGAAGTTACTAGCTGAATTGAAGTTATGTCACTAATTGGGGCCAGAATATTGGTGGTTTGATTCTGTAATCTAGGAGGGTTTCTATCCATCCACATTCTAGAGATGTGTAAGCTAATTGATAGAAAGATAAAGTTTGAGTGCACCAGGGGACTCCGCGACCCTCCAGGCCTCATAGTGACCAGCAAAAATCAATGTTCCATTGTAGCTTGATTTCCTAGCATGACAAGATCCAGGTTTAGGCTGTGGAGGTGATAAAAGCCCCACATACACTTCATTACCTGCAAACACTTGTGCACCCTCCCTTACCTTCCACTCTGCAGGAGAAGAGAAGCGAAGAGACTAAAAATAGCAATAACAATAATAACAACTGCCATTTACTAAATCCATTTCCTTGAGGCAATATAGCATGTGTTAAAAGCATGATCTCTGACATCAAACTGTCTGGATTCAAGTCGCCTATCACATACTTCCTATGGCAAATCCTTTAACCTCTCTGTGCCTCAGTTTCCTCATCTGTAAAATAAAATTGTTCTAAAGATTCAGTCTGTATCTACAAAGCACCCATGGTGCTACTTCATGTGTTTGCTCCCTCATGTCATCCTCAGAATGACTCTTAAAGACAGGCATTATTAATCACGTGTCACAAGTCACATGGATACCACGTGTATGGATACCAAGCCTTAGGCATGTGACTTGTCAATGGTCTCCCCCGCTGGAATTTGAAGCTAAGTCTGCTCATTCCTATATCTGTGATGGTGCCCTGTCTCTCAAAGACAGGGAGAAATAAACGAGATCTACAGGGAAACACCCTCAAGTGCTCTTCTGTACACAGTTATGAGTCCTTTCTTCATGACTTTTGTTTTAACTATACTACTGATAAAACATCTTCCTATTATTGGAAAATATTGAGAGCTCGTCTTGACTTAGTCCTGACATTGAAATTCCAGCCTTGATGAGTCTGGAATGGGATGGTGTGATTTTGTCTACTTTATCTTGGATGGTCTTCACAATAGCAACACACATACAGTCAATATGGCCCATGATTATATGACCCTCACACTGTGATGCCACATTTTTCCATGCAAGCAATACACAAAAGAGGGTTTCCCAAGCTCCTGGCTTGCACCAAGAAGTGAACACAAAGCCCTAGCAGGCTTCACTTCAACAGGCTCAGGGGGTGCTTGCAGAGGACCTGCCAGGCAACCAGTCCTGCCTCAAACTCTAAAAAAGAGGCACCTGGGAAGGCAGATTCTATGACCTGAATCTATAGGAGCTGATGAAGAAAGAACCACTTATAGGATGAGAAGACGCATGGTAAATTAAAGGGAATAGCTTAGCCTCAACTATCCAGCTTGTCAGCTGGTGGAGGCCAAGACAGGCTTCCAGCCCTGCCGCCCAGCCGACCATCTGTATCTGGTGGGGGTGTTGGGGGGCTGTCACAGGACTGGGGAGGGTCCCAGGCAGCATTTCAAGAGAATCAAGGCCTTTCTCCTGACCCCTTTACTAGGAGGAACTGTCCAGGAAGAGTCAACATCACGCTGAAATGAGACAACCCATGTGCCAGGAGTGGCTGATGCTGCACCTGGCTTGAGGTGAAGGCTGTGTGTGCGCCAGCCTGAAACCTTCCTTCTCTCCCCTGGGGTCAGTGGTTCTCACCCACATCACACCCACACCATTTCTTTATAACACATACTTCATAACACTCCCTTACTAGCCTGAATTGAAACAATATAACCTACCTACACACAGACTTTCTAAAAAAATCAATATAACCCCTCAACTATAACAAAAAAGAAATAAAAGGAAGCTAATTTATAATAAAATACCATGTATTTCCATCTGTAAATGCTCATGCATGGCTATGCTGAAAGATGTAGTGACTTTTTGTACTTATAAACAGAGTCCTGTGAGGATTACAACTATTAATCAGAGGGATCCAGGAGCATGGGATTAGCAACTTAAATACCCCCGGCAACACTTGAAGTGGAGACTTATTTAAAGTGGTGAAAACTCTCAGTCACTCTGGTGGCAAATCTGAATAAAACAAAATTTAGCCCTCTCCTGATGTCAAGGGTGGTTGCATTCCTGGAAAATGTAATGTGTATTAATTCTGTATAAAAAGATTGTTTGGATTTATATATAAAGTGGACTTAAGGTTCTCTGCTCACATCATCATAGAAAGATTTTTCCATGAGCGTGAGTGTCTGGCAGGACAGTCAAGAGCCACGCTGTATCCATCTTCATGTGCAAGGCTGGCCACATGTTAGCTTCTCTTTCCCTTACCTATTTTTCTACGGAATACAAAGTGACAAAGGAGCTCTTTTTAAACACTGCCATTTGGAGTGCCCTATAGACACTTCTGCTTGAGCAACTTAACAGCAGTTCTATCTCTCCGCTTAAAAAAAGCCACTGAAAGTCATCAAGCACCTTCCGCCTCAGTACTTTATGTACTGCCATCCTTCTGCTGGTGTAAGCCATCACCCTGACATGTTTTGTATGATTGTCCCACAAGTACAGACACTCATAAAGATAACATCAGGCAGATCTAAACTGGCACCAATTAGTGTCCCTGCACCGAAATTCCAGCTTGGGTGGGTGCAGAATGGGCAATGTGATTTTATTTTATCTACATTCCATTATCTTTGATGGACTTTACAGCAGCAACAAAATCACAGTCAATCTGGGCACGTGACTGTGTGACTTTCACACTCTGTTGCCACATCTCCCTATGCAGACAACACATAAAAACATGGTGTATTATCTCAGGGGCTGAAATTGACAAAGTCATCAAAAGCGAATGCTTCTCTGGAATTAGTATATTTTAAGGAGAAGCTTGTCTGTGGGATTGCTGTGGGGTGCACCTTCAGGATCAATCTGAGTAACCCCTTCCAGTCAAACTCTCCTCACAAGCAAGCTGTGTGTTACCCACCTTAGGAAAAGACTGACAGATAGACAAAGGGCTTGGGGAGGGTAAACCTCATAGTATGAATAAATTAAATACTGAAATTAAATTAAATTCTGACATGAGGAATGAAGAGTGTCAGCAGACTAGCTAATTAGGGTTAACAGTGTGTGCTCAGTTAAACTTCAGAAATTTTAGTCAGGTGCAATGGCCCACACCTGAACTCCCAGCTATTCAGGAGGCTGAAGTGGGAGGATCCCTTGAGCGTAGGAGTTTGAGGCCAGACTGGGAAACATAGCAAGACCTTGCCTCTAAAAAAAAAAAATAAATAAAATATTTTTAAATGTATGAAAAGTTAACAGCTAGTACTCATTCATTAAGCGTATTACTTTGCAGAAGAATATCTTTTCCAAATCATGTAAATTATAAAATGTCACTGGGATTCTCCCTATGTCAGGTTTGTCACAAATTGGCCCTATCCAGGATATTCAGTGACAGGCAACAGATGCGGGGCTCCCTGCTGCCTCCCTAGGGCCTGGCACATGTCTGGCTTAGAAATATACACTCAATGAACATTTATTGAATACATAAATGAATTAATTCCTGAACGATTGAAAATAAGGGGTGCTCAAAGGATAAGAAAACTACAGAAAATGACACTTGTATATCTGAAGAGCAGAGAATCCAAGAGCCCAATCCCATTTGCTTTTCCTACACTGTAATTTTATGGGCGTCTGTGTGTGTGTTCTCTTTCCTATTCCACAGCCTCCTCCCGTAGTTCTATTCACCCCTTATTTTTAACTTGCCTCTTCTTTAGTTTTCTAGACTTTTGCCGTTTTCTTCTCCAATTATGTTATTCAAACAAGCACACCATCCCTGGAGCCCTCCAAAATAATTCTTGGTCATGTTAGTGATAAAATGCAAGGCAGCTTATTTACAAAATATAGAATCTTCATTTCAAAATCACTACGCAGGGGAAGAGGTTGGTCAACAGGTACAAAGTTACCACTACATAGGGGGAATAAGTTCTGGTGTTCTATTGCCCAGTAGGGTGACTATGGTTAACAGGAAAGTATTGTATATTACAAAATAGCTAGAAGACAGGCTTTTGAATATTCTCACTACAAAGAAATGATAAATGCATGAGGTGATGAGTACGCTAACTACCCTGATTTGACTATTATACAACATATATATATCAAAATGTTAAATTGTACCCCATAAATATATGCATTTACAATGTGTCAATTCAAAAAAAAAAAAAAAAAAAGGCCAGGTGCGGTGGCTCATGCCTGTAATCTCATCAACTCAAGAGGCTGAAGCAGGAGGATCGCTGGAGCCCAGGAGGTCAAGGCTATGGTGAGCTATGATCACACCATTGTGCCCCAGCTTAGGCAACATAGCAAGTCCCCATTCCCCCTAAAAAGAGAAAGAAATAAGAAAGAAAATAAAATCACCACACAGGGAGATGCAAGGGACCAATCCCTGGGCTGGGTTGAGGGTGATTCCATAAGGCTACGTAAACACTGCCAAGGAGGGCCTGAGCATTTTGCCCTTCTGTGATTTCCTGGGGAAATTGGCTTATTCAGGAGCTCTTTGCTGATCAACTACCACATCCTTGTGGTGCAAAACGATGTTGATGTTGACCCTGAACCCTTCTTCCTGGTCAATGCAGACGTGTATCTGATCCTGTTCACATGGATATCCTCCGCCTCCAATAAAGTTATCTTTTTTGGACACTTTTTAAGCATAAAAACTTTTTAAAAATCTCCTGTGGCTCTTTGCCAAGGGAACTTCCCTGATGGTTCAGACAGAAACCCAGCTGGATTCCAATCCATGAAAAAGGCCTGGTGAATCAGTGTGTTCATGGGATGCTTCCCTCCCAGTGGGTGAGATGCTTTGATACATCTGAAAACCTCCACTTCCGAGGAGAAGGCAGACCAGCCTTTCTCTTCCCATTATTATTGATATCTTAGCAATTAGAAAATGTACGGACTTTGAACATGAAGGGTTAAACAGACTTTAACTGATAAGGGAGAATTCATCCTGGAAACTCCTTGGAGACACTTGTAATTAATTTGATCTTCTTCAGTCATTAACTCAGACTCATAGTGAGTCGTCTGCACACCGCTCTATTAATTCACTGGAGATCACTTCCTGGGATTCATTTAGTTAAGCAGCACTGTAGGATTACATTTTAAAACCCTTAAAACTGGTTGTAATTGATGTCTGTTTATAGAAGCTTACTTTAATGGAGTCAAAGCGAGATGGAAATCTCTTCTGGCAGCCTGAGATGCTACCTTCCAGCATAAAACCCAGCTCTGGCGGTACCAGGTTGGGGAAAAAACTATGGCCGATTGAAATAAATTATTATTTTAATTTTGATAGCACATTCTAAAATGTGGAGTATTTCAACGGTAAAACTATGGATAACTTATTTGAAACCACATGCCCCTCTTGAAATGCACATGTAAACGTTTAAATGTATTAAGAAAAGTACATACTTTCAAATGAGCCAAACATAAGTAATAATAATGTGGGTTAGGTGTGAGATTTGGGAAACTCTGGTTTTCTCTCTGAGGGAAGTTGGGGTGGAGGGACAGTAATGCTTTTTGTTAGACTTCCTCAAAGCCCATCTGGCTCCAGAAGCTCTGGTAAGGCAGGCTGGCCTGGGTGGGTAGTCCTGTGCTTGGGGTATGGCCGAGCAGTTTAAACACCTTCACCCCAGACCTGGGGGATCACACAGGCTTGGATTTCCTATCCCAAATTCAGAACCAGAGGGTCCCAGAATTTTTACTAGGGTGTGTATGTGTTGGGGGTGGGGGAGAGTATCTTTATATTTTCTATAAAACAGCAAAGTGAGAACTGCCTGAGGTATACATTCTGACCTTTTCTGTTTATTTCACCAGGCTGGCTTTTCTCTGCCTGGCCAGATTTTACCTTTCCTTCAAAGTTCAGCTCAAGGCCTAACAACCTCCTTTAATAATCCTTCTCTGACCATGCCTGACAATAAGAGCAAATACTTTTTTGATGTGTAGACATTTGCAGTTTTTCCAACCAATTTTGGGTACTTTCTTGGATTTATTCTTTAGAACAGTTCTTTGTGGTATGCAGGGAGTATATATATTAGCCGTCTCCACACACACATACATATGTGTATATATATCTGTACACACATATATGTATGTATATATGCATATATTATGCATATTTGCACATATATCCTCTGAACACCTAAATTATATATTGAATGTACTTATTTATTTACTGATTCATTCAACATTTATTGACTACTTAGCCTGTGGCAGATACTAAGCTAGGCACCAGGAGTATAGGCTTACACCATAGGAGGGGAGCCAGACGGGTAAATAACTGATGACCTCACCACATCTTAGTCTGTCAGAGGACTGAGTGGCCAGGTTTGGCAGAATTATAGAGATGAACAAAGTTTAGACACCAGCTGGGACTCTCACCATCCCAAATGATACACTCAGGAAATAATCTTGGGGCCACAATCCCACTCTTGCAGTCAGAATGGTTTCCTCAAATCTTCATTATAACAGGGATTGAATCATCTAACCAGGCCATAACTCAGTAGGGCCCAGTTGGATGGCTGGGCGTCCAAGTGCATTTGAATGACGGGTCCACATTCTTACTTCCTTGCTCCCTGGTTTCCTTCACTAACAGCTAACACCAATAGAGCACTTACTGTATGCCAGGCCTCATTCTAAGAGCTTTATGGACACTAAATCATTGAATGCTCCCACAGCTGAGGTGGGTGAATTGCCCACACAGCCCAGGTAGAAGTGGGGAAGCTGGGCTCAGACGCTGGAAGTCAGCTCTAGGGCCCATGGTCCTCACCACCATGCTGAGAGGCCTGGACTTCCATTTTGATGTCTTAGGGGCCTTGAGACCGTCAAGAAGTACCTCCTAATGCCAGTCCTTCCTGCCATTGAGCAGAAAATTAGCAAGTTGACATTGGAAGTCAGACTGAGGAGCTGGGAGAACTGAGAGAATTCAGGACAGGAAATGGCCATGCACACATCTTTATTCTATCAGCACTTATTGAAAGGCTGCCTCTGTAGTGCCAGGCACTGTTAGAGGCTCTGGAGAGACAACAGTGAAGTAAAAACAGTTCCTGCCTTCGGGGAGGTCACATCTGGACATGGACCATGGTGATAGGGGCTGGGGGAAAATAGACAATAAAAAAATGCTGTTCTGCATTCTATCAGGTTGCAATAAGGGTAATTAGAAAGATGAAGTGGGGCGTGTGACTTGTGTGTGTGTGTGTGCGTGTGTGTGCGTGAACACGCATGCACACACATGTAATTGTATGCATGTCCAGTAGGCTTCACAACACAAAAGCCAATACAAATTATAATATCCTCTTTTGACTTTTTCTATTTTTCTTTGTTCAGAACATTGTATCCAAAAGATACCCAAATTATACAACCGTGTGTATCTTAATTAAACAAAGACACAATCCTCTGATCTTAAAAGGTCTAGTGAAGTTTAGACCAAAGGTACAGCTTCAGGAATACATTCAGAATAAGATGCTAAAAGAAAAAAACCTTGACTGCTATAGAAGGTGTGATTTAAACTTTTAAAAACGTGGGTCCACTACGTGTGATTAGATAAAATATTGAAAGGAGGAACACCAAAACATTATCAGTAGATAAGTCTGAGTTATAAAACTCTGGGTGATTTCAAAACACATATTTTATTTTAATACTGAAAAGAGAAAAAAGAAAGTAACATTTTCCTTAATCTTATGACAAATTAGGGATGTTTCTAGTTTTCTTTTTAATACTTTTTTACATTTTTGAATTTTAAAATTGTGCATATGTGTCTTTATAATAATAAAAAGCACACAAAAGAGGTCTCTAAAAATGTGGCCTGAATTTCTGGGGACAGCATGTGGTTTCACAACAAGAGGATACAAATTGCCACAATCATCTTTAACGTGATCTTATATCAGATGAGCAGAACATGGTACCTTAGGAAACCCGTCTGTTTTCAGTCAAATAAAAGTGATGGGAAATGGTGATTTTCTGAGCAATAGCACTCTTGTTGTCAGAAAAGAAGGGAAAGGGAACTGGGTACTATTCACAGAAAATGCACTGGGTAATTTTGTTAAGTATATGTTATAGGTTCCAATGCATTTTATGTTTTTAAAAAAAGTCCGACTCCGTGATTCATGTTGGTTGGAAAAAACAACAACAACAACAAACTACAACTATGCTATAAATAAAATGCATACCACAAGACCTGAAAGTAAAGATGCTTATGTTCTGATATGGCAATTCTACTCATTTTGAAGATAATAACTTTAAAGTTTCCCCAGTGTGATATTGATCAGTATATTATTATGCTTTTCTTAAATATTAAAAAACCCTAGTCATTTATAAAAAGAAGGAGCACAAAATTGCTCTACACAGTTGTATAGCAGTTGTTGCATGTTCGGCATTTGTAGAATGAAGAGTTGAACAGTGATCCAATGTGGATGCCATCATTGAACTTTTACAAAATCAGGCTCTGAGAAAAAGAAAATGGATATAAAACTGAGTTCCAGTAAGCATCTGCTGGGACTTGGGCTTGTCAGGATCTCCAGCCGCTGTGACTATGGGCACAAGCTCACTGGAGCCGTTCAGATCCACCATTCATTCCTGTTTTGTAAGGCCATCCTTTCCCCATGTTTGACAGTTGCCAGTTAGGTCTCTTCCTCTTGATGTCCCACCAAGGTCTCATAACAACCTTGTTTTCCTACTGCAAACAGGAACCTTATGAACCACTGTTTCAGCATAATGATGTAATATATGAAGCTTACATTTGGCTATAAACTGGTCTAAGGTGAAAGATTTTGAACCTTTACAGATCTCCCCAAACTGGCACCATTGAGCAACTTTTTTTTGTTGTTCCCAGACCCCTTTTCCAGTGTTTCTCCACCCTTCCATATTGCTTCCCGCAGCAGCCAACTCAGAAAACACATTTCAAGCTCTCCCTCCCAGCTGATTCCCACAGGCCTAAAATCACGATGAGAGAAAACACTGAATGTGTTTTAGATTTACTGGCTCATTTCCTTTACATCTACTCTGATGTCTTAAAGACATAAGTACTAGTGAATTTTCTAGTTAAACCAGAAAATATGCAATCTGCATAAACATGACAAAAATGAAAACTCATTTACCTGAACAACATAGTAGAAAACAAATCACAGAACTACGGAGATGAAAAGGGCCCTAGAAATTATGAGGTCCATTTTGCCATTCTTAGATGGGAAATGACAGCATGGTGTAGTGTGGTCAGGTCCAAGTTCAAATCCCGCCTCTGCCACTTACAGGCTGTGTGACCTTGAACAAGGCACGTAAACATTCTGTGCCTGTTTTCTCATCTGTAAAACAGGGTTGATAACGGTTCCTACCTGAGGATTGTGGGGAAGATTCAATGAGATACTTAAAATAAATGGATGAGAACAATGCCTTATAAAAAGTGAGAGCCAGAAAAGCTGATTCTTCATCATGGCCAAAAATGGAAAGTCAGTTTCAAGCAACTAGACAAATCCACATTATGACTTGGATATGTTCTAAGAGGCAACCACTGGAATGACCTACTTTAATAAGGTGACCTAAGGAGTTAACAGAGAAGATGTGATGGAGGAAGGAGGATTCAGGGAAATGCCTGGGTGTCGGAAGAAGAGCTGGCAGTGCAGGAAGAGCATCCCAGTGGAGCAGGTTCCTGCAGGAGCAGGAGAGGTGGCCTGGCTGAGCCCTGGCAGTTGTGGAATTAGTGGTCACAGAACCTTTGCCTAACTTTGTCTCTGTGGCAGCTTTCATTGTTGACCAAAGGAAGCAGGAGACAGATCTGTGGCGTGGGGTGTGTGTGTGTGTGTGTGTGTGTGTGCATGTGTGTATGTGTTATGTAGATGTGTGGTATGTGTGTAGTGTGTATGTGTGATACATGTGCTGTGCTGTGATGTGTGTGTGATATGAATGGTGGTGGGTGTGGTGTGCATGTGATGTAGGGTGTGTGTATGTGTGAGATGTGTATAATATGATATATATGTGTAGGTGGCGTGTATGGTGTGTGGAGTCTGTGGTATGTGGTGTGGTACCTATGTGTGCATTGTGTGTGTCTGTGGTATGTGTAATGTGATGTATGTATGTCATATATGTGTGTTTAAGTGTTGTGTGTGGTATATGTGGTATGTGGCATGGTGTCTGTGTGTTGTGTGCAGGTGGTGTAGTATATGTGGTGTGCGGTATGTATGCTTGTGGTATATGTGTGGCATCTGGTGTGTATGGTGTGGTATGTGTATGCATGTGATGTATGTGTGGTGTGTGGTGTCTGTATTGTGTGTATGGTGTGTGTGTGGTATGTGGTATGTGTGTGGAATGTGGTATGTGTGTGGAATGTGGTGTGTGTGGAACGTGGTATGTGTGTGGAATGTGGTGTGGTGTGTGTGAAGCATGATGTGTGTGTGGCTTGTGTGTGGTATGGTGTGTATGTGTGTGGTATGTATGTGTATGGGGTGTGTGTATATGTGTGTTTCTGGTGTGTGGTGTCTGTGTGTGTGGTGTGAGCAAGGTATGGAATGTGTGTGTGGTATGTGTGTTGTATGTGTATAGAGTGTGTGGTGTGTGCATGGTATTGTGTGTGTGGTGTGAACATGGTATGGAGAGTGTGTGTGGTGTATGCATGGTATGGAGTGTGTGTGTCGGGGGTGTGGTGTGTGTATTGCATGTGTATAGTGTGTGGTGTGTGTGGTATTGTGTGTGTGGTGTGAGCACAGTATGGAGTGTGTGCGGTGTGTGTATGAGTACAGAGTGTGTGGTGTGTGTGGTATTGTGTGTGTGGTGTGAGCATGGTATGGAGAATGCGTGTGGTGTGTGTATCGTATGTGTATGGATTATGTAGTGTGTACGTGGTATTGTATGTGTGGTGTGAGCATGGTATGGTGTGGTGTGGTGTGTGCTTGTGGTGACTGTGTGTGTGTATGTGTGTGTGTGGTGCATGTACGTGTAGGGCATGCACACACACAGGACTCCCACCCTCCAGTGTCCCACAGGCCGGAGGCTGCAGCAACACTTAGAAGCCAGACCCTGGGCGTCTGGGCTCTGTCTGCATGGTGCCTAGGAAAGCTGAGAGCTGGGGCAGGCTCATGGGCTGTGGGGAGCAGCCCACAGATTTCCCGAAGGAGCAGGGGAGGCTGTTGGAGAGGACGAGGAGGCCAGCAGAGAGAGAATCTGGAGCAGCCCAGGGAGGATGCTGAGATAAAAAGTTTTAGTGCATACACAAGTGTGCTCTTACCGCCCAGGAAAGTTAGGAATGCACAGGCCCAGGCTCCCTGTGTGTCCCTGTGCCGCCTG
Source organism: Homo sapiens (assembly GCF_000001405.40). Classification (NCBI taxonomy): domain Eukaryota; kingdom Metazoa; phylum Chordata; class Mammalia; order Primates; family Hominidae; genus Homo; species Homo sapiens. The sequence goes on along the minus strand of NC_000007.14, from coordinate 39,259,599 downwards.
ATCATCCTTTGACTCCAGGAGGGCAACACGGCCCTTGGAACGTGCTCAAGGAGGAATGTGGCTCCTGGAGCTCAGGGCTGGGTGTCCTGCTCTCTCTGCTTCTCGCTTGCCTTTTGACTTCCCACAGTCTTTGGACTCCTCAGTCATCTCCCTACTCGGGGCCCAACAGGCCATTTTGTTTTTCTCTCTGTTCAAGGACAAGTTATGTCGTTTGTGCATGTTTTAGGGGGATGATCTGTTTCCAAAGGCCGGAAACTTCTCAATACAAAGTCAGGCCGAATAACTTACCCAGGATTACATCTGAGTAAACAGTTGGCTTAAAAAGCTGCCCACTGTTTTATTTTTTTCTCGATAGAGAACAACATTGAAACTGGAAAACAAAAATCAGCTGCCGCTTAAGTTTATAAAATGTATTGTGATGGAGGCAGAACTGGGCTCTTAATATCTATAGTCTTTAAATGTCTTTGCTTAATGTGGCTTCTAGATAATCATCCAACTTTTGATAGAGTGATTACCAGGTAATGCTATCAAATAACAATCATGATTAAACAAGTTACATGAGCCTTCAGGCCCTGAAGCAATTTCTGTGAAGAATGAGTTTGTCCTTCAAATGGCATAATAAGAAAAAAATTAGGTGCAATTCACCCAGAACGCTACGTTATACTGGGAGAAGTGTAATATGTTTACCCATTCCTAACAGTTACAAATGGCCTGCAATTAGCTTCCTTTCTTTTCAGCTTCCTTCCTTTCCATTTACCTTTGCATTCTTTGTCACGTGAAATGAGCAAGGTGGTTTGTAGCTGCCACTGTGATTTTCTGCCCACCTGGACCACTTTACAATATCACAGATTCTGCGGTGCCCCTACCACCTTCTTCTTCTTCTTCTTTTTTTTTTTTTAAACATCTAGAGTAAAAATCCAAAAAGCAGACAGAAAACAATTTGTGGCTATTGGTGAATTTTACACCTGAAATGTCAAAAAAGCTATTAAACATAATTTGAGCCCAGAAAGAAATTAGCAACCAACAATTGTGTTACCACAACAGAAGGATCTCTATGGAATGAAGCAACCAGGAAAAAGGTGGGTTGATTAATTTATCATATACAGGGTCTAGGCATAAGATTCTTAAATGTGAAACTTGTGGCTTATACCAGCTACCAATGAGGACAGAATAATGTGACACACACTTTAAAACCAGTATGTGAAAATGTCTGGATAAAATCCCAGGCTCCAGAACACAGTTTTTAATATTTCTCTTTTTCTCAGTGAATGCTCTCAAAAAGTAAAAGGTAGAGCTGCCGCCTTCAAATCTCTCAGAGTCCAGTATAGTGCTGTTGCCTCTGGGTATTTATTTTTATATTGGGAGACAAATCAATAAAAAAATAAAAATATGTAACTACTGTTTCTGTTGTGAGTTACAGTCATAACCAAGTCATCTACGTGGTATTATCTGAAAGTTAATTCCACTACCCAAGGATATGAGAGCTAAGAATTTGTGATGTATTTAATCTATGTTCAGCCTCAATTTATAGCACATTCTTCTCCCCAGGTAATCTTGCATCTGTAGGAAATGGGGGGAAACAGTGGTGGCCCAAACAATGTAGTTTCAAAAATGTACACGTAAATAGTATTAAGCACTGGTACTTTCTTTTAAGAATTTTATGTTCCCTCTGCATAAAAGTTATAGATATCTGAAAGCTTTGATATACATGAAACACGTCTATGGGGAAAAATGTAGAGTAAGTGTGGCAGTGCCATGCATGTATAAATTTCCCCCGTGTGTACCCTGCCTCAATGGGCACACAGAACTTCAGAAGTGTGGGTTTTCTCGGTGGAATTTGTGATGCTGTATGTGATGTTGATTCAAATGCATAAGTATTATCTTTTTATCTCAGATGCTTTAGGCTTGGAGTTGTAGTTGAAAGCTCCATTCTAAGCCTAGTTCTCTTGCCTTCTTAGTTTTACTTTTTCTTTGCAAGTATGTGTCTTCACAAAGCAGGGTGGGTACATATGGAGCACGAGTTTGTGCCTTTGACACCCACCCTGAGCTGGTTTGTGGGTGTATAATCCTACGGAGACACAATGTAAGCGGCTTAAAGCTTTTGTTTCTAGATAACAAACAATTATTTTCAGATGTGCTAACAGGAAAAGCAAAACCAATACGAATAGGAATTTAAAAGTTCACTGTAACAAGAAGATTTTTTTTCCCTTCAAAAATGGAAAATTTTATCTAAGGCATATTAAATAATTTGAAATTCTAACTAGGCTTTACAATGACTAAATAATTTCTAGGTTTTTCAGAAGTTGTTACTCCTAACTCCAAGTGCATGTATTTCCCCAAAGTATTAGGAAGTATATTAGTCAGGATCCTAGAAAGTGGAAAGTCTCAAAGTCTCCACCTTTTCCTTCCCTTGGGTACCATGCTCCTTTGTATCTGCACTATTTCCCAAAATATAAATGTATGCGGCTTGTGAGCTTAGCTTAGCTTGTGGCAATAAACAGATGCAACAAACCTTCCATTGAGAGGGTTGACGGGAGTTCCTCATAAGTGAGCTGGTAAACTTTTAGGTATACATGTGCTATGTAGTTAATAATAGACTCCTATGCGGTATTAGTTTGCTATTTGCTGCTATTAACAACACAAATCTGTGATCTTACATTTCTGGAAGTAAAACATGCAAAATGGGTTTTAATGGGTTTTAATGGGCTAACATCAAGTGTCGGCTGGGCTATGTTTCTTCCTGGAGGCTCTATAGGAGAATCTGTTTCCTTGCCTTTTTCAGCTTCTAGACTGCCCATGTTCTTTGGAAGGGGCTCTATTCGTCCAACTTCAAAGGCAGCAGCGGCTGGGCCAGTCTTTCTACACTGGTTGACTCTGATCTGCTGCCATCATCACACCTTCTTTAATTGGGACTTTTTTCTGCCTCCTTCTGCTTTAAAGGACCTTGTGATTACATTGAGTCCACTCGATAATCCTGGATAATCTCTCTACTTTAAGGTGAGCAGATTAGCAGATTTATTTCCATTCACAACCTTAATTTTTATTTACCTTTTAACAACCTGTTCACAGGTTCTGGAGGTTAGGACATAGACATCTTTGGTGAGGGAGCATTTTTCTTCCTATTGCATGAAGAGGGAGTTTAATGAGGAATTAATTCCACTCTGATCTTCCCAGCTCACCTCTTTCCCCCTAAAGAATTAGTACTGTCCCTCTTTTTCCCCCAGCCTGATGGGATCCTCTCCTGGGGATTTTGATACCCCGGTCTTCCTATGCTTATTGGCCTATGGGCATGTTGTCCTTTTGCCCCACCAGATTCCACCCTTCTTGTTCTAAGCACTCGTTGAGGGCCTGCTGTGTGCAAGGTCACATGCTTTATGAAAGGAAGTAGATGCATACATATAACAAGGTGAGAGTAATGAAAGCTATGGAAGAGCAAAATGGCAGGGTTCAAAAAAAAAAAAAGCAGTGTATCAGACAATCTCAATGTGGAACAGAGAAACATCTGGGGGATTCAAGGAATGTACCCGGGAAAGGCAGAAATCATTCTCACGCTTGTAACCTTCTTGAATCCATCAATCCATTGGTAAATGTACATTGAGACCCTATTCTTTACTACTAGGTGATTTTTTAATGTAGCTTCTGTGTGGAGCAATCTATTAATTCAGCAAACTTCTAGGCAGGTGCTAGAGGCTAGAAAAGCAGAAGATACAGTTGCTCACCTGGAGGAGCTCATGGCTGGAAATTTGAGAGGGGCAGTACTGCTTTTAAAGGAGATTTGAGAAGACAAATTCACATACACAGACTTTTAAAAATGAAGTCATCTGGAATCTGCCAGAAGGCCCTCAGCTTCAGACACACTGCCCTAAATCCCTTTCCTCACCCAGGGTCGTTACTGTCACTTCTAAAGTTAGACGGCTTATGATGACTTATTTGGCAACCGATTAATCCAAACCAGGCATTTAGCTCACTTAATTTTTAAATAACTTGAGTTAAAACCTTTATACTTTCCAAAGTAGTTTGCATTCTGCTCCATTTCCCGAAATATTAAGACTGCAGTCATTTATTATTAATACCCCAAACATTTATTGACCACCAAATACATGTCAGCTTCTTCATGTGACACCAGACACACAAAGATGAGAAAGGCGTGCTTCTTTGTCCTGAGTCGTAACACGAAGAATAAAGTGTCTTCTTTCCATGAGGCATATGTAAGAATTTAGTGGAGCATATTCTCATCTACTCTGGGCAGGAATACTTTCATAATTTAAATTTTCCTGTTTTGGTCTTTTAATAGCTCTAATATAATAGCTGTGACCTTCTCATTCACCACGTATTATTTCCAATTAAAATAATTTTCACAACAGTAAATGTTTATCATTAAGAAGGCACTTGTATTTAGAGGAACCACATTAATTTTTTAAAGTGATCATTTGTTTAGAATCAAAGTGTCATTGTTTTAGGAATGCTTCAAACTAACTTTTCATTTGTATATTCAATTATAATAAAAGGATATAGTCATACTCAAAGTTGTCTAGGATATATATAAAGGATATATATAAAAGGATATTCACACTCAAAAGTTGTTTAGACATTTTACAAATCTACCCATTATTTACATTCTCTTAGATTAATCTGTATTGTTTTTCTTGGGCTGTCAAATGACCCGGGTGAGTTCAGTAGAATCACAAGAAGATCTGGAAACACTTGTGTTGTGTACGCTGCTGCTGCGGCCCTAAACTGGGCCCACTTTCTTCAGCTCAAAATTAATCCTCTCTTAGAAGATACATGTGTTGTGGCTGAAATGCATGAGCAGGGCAGATCATATTTCTCTCTAAAATTTGAAATTAGGTACCGAGAGACCTTTTGCAACAGACACCAAAGCTGAAGTTATGGGAAGGAGCCAGAAAACAGATTGAGGATGGCCAAAATGGTATGGAAGCCAAAAATATAGGAGAAATTATGAAGAGTCAGAGTCCTACAGTTTGCTAAGGAGGGCAAGGGATGAGATGCTGTGATAAGGAGCTTGCGGATGCTGGAAGCGTGACATTGGTTCCTGGTGGCTTCTCAAGGTTGGTTCCCTGAGACTCGATTGCTCTGTAGTATCTTTAGATTCCCAGGAGATCCTCATTAGTATTTATAATGGACACCCTCTTTCTTGAAGCAGCTTAAGTGAACCTCTGCTTCTCACACTAAAATCCAGACTAGCATGGAAACAGGAGTGGGCCCATTCTACAAACCTTGACTCTTCCATTTTCTTTTTGGTACTGCAAGAGCTGCCCTCTTTTCTGATGGGACGGTATTTTAATGGATATCAGGCCGTTGCGAATGTTTAAACAAAAAAATAAGAAAGAGGCAAATCTCACTGTCATTGGCCTCCAAATTACTCAGTCTTCCAGCTTTTCTGCAAATATTTGTGAGCCTTTTTATATGCAAGAATCTGTGCTGAGGGTCACAAATCCAGTGCCTATCTCTGGAGCTGTCTGAGCTCTGGGGAGGGTTTGGGTAGGTTGCACAGAGTGAGAAAATTATGACACGAGGTAGCATGTGCAATGACAGAAGGAAGCAGAGATCAATGGACACTCTCCTTGTACTGATTTTCCAATGGCCCTTAAGTGTCCTGACTTTCAAATGGGCTTATGACAACTCCTTATAGTTGGTCAGGTATCGCATTCTAGGCAAGATAAAGTTTAGCCCAGATACCAAGAGGCAGGATGTTGATAATGACTAAACTCTAAGAGAAAAATATAATGGTTTGGCTATCGTAAAGAAGCATAATAGGAAACAAACTGTTAAATAACTTCATCAGAAGCTTAGCCGAGAAAGAAAATAGAAGTTTCTTTGCAGTGCCCCAATTTCAGCAGTTGCTCTAGGCATCACTGTGCCTCATCTCCTCCCTGCTCTGTGCCCTCCTCTACCCGACCCTCCACTTTGCATGACGCTGGGGTCTTCAGCTTCTCAATATTGTGACCTACATTACATGCTTCTCATTTAGGCGATGGGCAGCAGTGATCAGCTGTTGTTCTGGGATTGGTAGCAATTCTGTAATTTCATTCCCTCATTAGAAGCTGTGTGTTTATTTATTAAAGCCGCACACTGCCCAAAGGCAATGTACAAAAAATACAGAAATACCAAAATTAAATAAAGGCTATTATTGCTGTTATTTTACAAAGCTTGTCTATCACAAGCCACCATGTGCATTTATAGGGTAGAGGCTCTGTTAACCAGGTGCTCCCCAGCACCTCACTCAACAAACCTTCTACTACCCTGCTTCTTGCCTCTGTGAGCACACAGGTCCTCTCTATTCCAGATTCTAGCATGAGGCAAAGAAGGCAGGAGATACATCTAAATTCCTGCAACTTTTTGGAAATTCTCCACCCTCCAAACCACCCTTCCATGTAGCTCCTGGGAGCGGTTCTGCTGAGCTCAACACCACAGAGCAGCAGCTCAGGAATTTAACAAATATTTCTGCCTCTGCGTGGGTTCTTTCCTCTGTGCTGGAGAAGGGATAATAGCAAGCCGTGGATGCATTCCTTCCTGCACTAACGTTCATGGAATGCCCACTATGAGAGGTGTCTCTGAAGCTGGGAAGCCAGCAGAGACCACACACAGTCATGGCCCTGCTGGAGCTTACATTCTTTGGGGGCTAGGAGGTGGTACAGAAAATGGACAAATACTCAGGGAAATACATGGTCTATCGCATAGTGTTAAGAGCTATAGCTAAAATAAAGCAGGGTCAGGGCATAAGGTGTGCCTGTGGGGTGGGAGTTTGGGGGTGCCGTTTTCTACATAGTGGTTCAAGGAGTTCTCACTGATAAGATGCCATGAGCGGACCTCTGGAGGGACTGAGCCAGCAAGCCATGTGCCCATCTGAGGGAAAAGCATTCCAAGGGAAGGAACAGCAAGCACAAAGACTCTGAACATGTGTGGCAAAAAAGCAGAGGCTGTTAGGTTTCTCCAAACACAAATGTTCAACCTCTGCAAACAGGAAGCTCATTTATAACTTGATGTTAAGGACCCTCTCCATAGGAGAGAAAGTTGCGTGAACCCTCAAACATGCTTTGGGTTAATGCTTTTCATTTCACAGTGGCAAAGATGTCTCTATTTCAAGCTGTTGGTTAGTTAGATTTTATTCAGATATTTTTCTAGTGTTGCTCAGGATTCCGTGTGTGTGTGTGTGTGTGTGTGTGTGTGTGTGTGTGTCTGTCTGTCTGTCTGTATGTGTGTGTGTTTGTGTGGTGACTCTGGAGAGGCTGCAAAACTTATGAATCTAAACTTTGTAACTGGTTTGTAGGATTATCCCAACATCTTCGGGGTCCTCTTTGGCTCAGTTGGAAGGGGACCCACACTCAAACAGAGGACAGGTAAATAGAGGACAGGCCAGACGCCAGTGATGAGTGGTCCTCCTGGAGCTGCAGGGACAGACCCTGTCTGTCAACTCCTTTAGTGTTCTTTCTCATGATGTGCTGATCTTTCCACAGAGATCTGAGGAGCATGAGAGAAACAACAGGGATAGCCACACACTCGCGGCATGTAGAGCTGGCCCTCCCATTTCAGATAGAAATTGGGCGGACAGGAACAATTTTTAGACACAGGGATGGATCAGAGGCAACAGGCACTGATGTGAACCACTGAAGATTCTGCTACTAGCCCTTTCATATATTTTGAGTCCCTTTACTTTTCTCCCCTGGTTATGATCAAACTTCAGGGTAGGGATTGTAAGGGTGGTCAAAGGAGGGAAGAAAGAAATGAAAAAGGAGGAACTCTCCCTGCAACACGTCTGTGCCCATGCTGGGGGTCTGGTGGGCAGACTGTGGTGTCCGGAGCATGTAATCTTAGTGCATGTCCAAGGCCCCGGTGTCTTTGTGCAACATCTCCCAGGATGCTACAGTTCAGACTGCATTTGCTACATGAGGAGAGGAGTCTCAGAAACAGGAGCTCAGCTGGGCTGGGGAGATGTCTTCTTATTTTTATTTCTTTCTACTTAACATTAAACACGCATGCATCTTTATGCTAACCAGTTAGCATTTGAGCCTATTTTAAAGGTAGGGGCCATCAAATAAAGCATTAACAAGAAAGCTTACTGCATTTTCTCCACAGATTTTTAGTTTCCTATAAAGAACAAACAAACCAGCTCTTCCTCCTCCACACTCTGGCCTGGAGACCCAGCTCTTCTCCAAGCTTAGGCTCACAAGTGTCATTTTGTTCATTCTCTTTGGCCAAAACTCATTTCAGAGAACACTGCTCACTATAATAACTTGGGTTTTAAGTGGAAATATCTCCTGTGATGCCATCAACTGGAAATAAAAAGAATAATTCTCAAAACTCTCTTCAAACAGCAAGCAGCACAGACCAGGCTGATCACAAAAAGCAGGCAGCCTCTTCTGGAGAGGGGAAACATTAAAAGAATTAAAAATGATAGAGCCCATATCTCTTTTCTGAGCAATGGAGAGATTCCAGATGAATGTGGGACCACTTAGCTTTAAAAATAAACCAAATCGTGTTTAGATTTACGTAAATGAATGTTGCCTATGTGTGAAGTTTAGACCCTTAATTAGATGCTGCAGAAGTTTCAAGTGTTTAATTTTGAGCCTAGCATCTTTCTCCCTCCAGGTTAGCAGGCCTCAAGGTGAATGCTATTATTGTTATTCCAAATGGAGACGCAAAGCAAAAACATGAACGCATTTGCAGTTATTCATGATAGCAAGTTCCTGCTTGGCACCGTGATTTTTTACTGAAAAGAAAATGTTGGTTGACTCTATCTGGCCAACAGGGATTTATTCTTTTATATAAAGATAATTTTTCCCTCAGGCCAATTCAACTTAATCTTGAGAATCCTTCATATCATAATATGAATTAATTACATGAAATGGCCGAGGTGAATGTGACTGAGCAGAGTAGCGGTGGCTAAGCAATTCTGCCATCTGGGATTAAGGTGCTATCAGCCCCATGGGGGTAGGATTATACTCTCCTCTCTCGTTTCCACTGGCAAAATCTTGAAACAGAATGATTGCACTTCAAACAGAACATTTTCTATCATAAAGAGATGAGATAAAGAACTATTAGTGAATAAGGAGATCTCAAACAGGGCCAAAGTAGGTTAAATGGAAGGTGGCTATTAAGAAGGGTTTGTTTTCCTTGTACCTGTGTATCAGTGAGCCACATCTTTAGATAAGGCTTTCTCATCAGGATACCAGATCTTATCCAATGTTGTTACACACTATTTAGTCTCTAGGGCCAGCGACACAAAAGAAATGACATCCCCAACAGAACACACACAAAAACAACCTGGAGAAAACCAAAGGCGGTGCAATGAGAGGGTTTGGGTGGGCTGCACAGTCAAGATCACGGTCACTGTTTTCCATAAAGCTGAGTTTTACCTGAAGTGGGTGCAGATGATAAGATGCGTGCAAGTGAGTGGGTGTGTGTGGGTTGCAGGGGTTTTCTGAATAAGACACGTGAAAATGCAGGAGAGAAGTAGAAAATAAAATTGCACGCGGGCTGCCAAGATGGAGCTGATATTTGTTTCTCTGGCACTGCTGATGCGGCCCTCTCTCGATCCAGCTTTTGTCCTTCAGTGCTGCGAGAGCCCACGCTTTAATGCCTGCAGATTGACCATGCATTGTTATTATACAGTCTTCATGTTCACATCATGTGTCATCTGACCAAAGGAGAGTCTACAAAGTGAAAGGCTCATGCAAAATTTATGCTTATATGGCTGTTTCAGTCAGTGGAAAAATCAATACTGCAGGTTTGATGCACAGAAATGACTGAGTACTCTCTGACTGACACTAAAAGCACCGGGAGATTGAGAGCTGCATTTGCTGTTCAAGGAATCGAGTGTATTAGAGCTCTTATAATAGTCTGCTCACCTTATATTAGCCTTTCCTTGGGATTATTTTTTGATAACAATTATGATTGTGGGGTTTAAGGCAATTACACTATTACAAAGAAAAAGCTGCTTTTTATGTCCTGTAAAGCTGTCATATATTTCACACCGCAACTGGCTTCCAATTATTTTGCTACAATGCACTTTGCAAGCAAAATGTCCTAACTGATATATATTAGTCCTTTATGTTTTATAAATAAAAATCAAAGGCGTAATGTAATCCTTCAAAAGGAGCTTCTCAGTTTCCCCAGACATGATTTGAGAAAGAGCAGAAATGTGGTGGGTGCTGTACGTTTTAAGAGAGATGCATTATAGCGTCTGTGGTTCCCTGGAAGGGCACACATTCCAGGGGTGCTGCAGAGCTCAGGAGAGAGACCAGGGCCGAACCCAGGTTTAAAATGCTAATAGCATCTGTTAAGTGGAGGGTTAGGGAGGCTTACAGTTGGCATTTAATGATGAAGCAGAAAAACAATCCTTAAAATTAATTCATTCTGAAAGGAACTCAAAGATTGTTGTGACAGCACATTAAGGAGTCAGCAACAATGCAGATAAGATTTTCTTTTAGTCTTCAAACCCTGTTGCAATGAAGATTTTACAGCCACACTGGGGCCTAGATGTCAGGAGGCATGGATGGGTGGAATATGGAGACCTGCATGGGGAACAAATATATACCAGGTAGAAAGAAAAAATTCATGGGCTAAAATGAGTCATTGTCACAGGGATCTGGCAGTTAAACTGTGGCCTGAGAAAGCTCCTTGGGGGTGAGCCATGAAAAAGCATGCTTCTGTGTTAATGTCCCAGGGGCAGTGTGAGAAATGCTATTGTTTCTGACTCTGAAAACCACTGAGCAAGATGGGCAAAGTCGGCTCAGTGGGGATAGGGACTAACTGGGCTAACCTGTCTCTACCACCCACGTGACACGTAACTACTCTGGGACAATGGGGCAAGTAGTTTAGTCTCTAAATTAATGGTATTAAGGTTGCTTTGTGTTTGCACTCCAACAGTAAACAACAGAATTGCCCCAAACTACTGGAAGCACAATGGTTATTCTGATGATAAGGATTTAAATATGGATGTGGCACATACTGTGGGTGTATTTCATGAAAATTACCCACCTAAGAATTTTATCCATGCATGCACAGAGAAGATCCTTTGGGGATTAAGAATTCAATGCAGAAAGGATTTCTGTGATCTCTGGGCGCCCGCTGTAGTGGAGAGGCACAGACATCTGGACACACCCAGTAGCAGCCTCATGCAGGAGTTCTGTGATGGGCTGAGGAGGGGAAAGGCGATGGGGGCAGCAAGGATGATTCTCTGGCCTTCCTTGAACACATCTCATCATTTTGATTTTATTATCTCCCTGATCAGAATTCTTTCTCAAGCTGTTTTGTTTGGCTTTGTTTTGTTTAATTAGGAAGATGCCATTTTAGCAACTTTCCCTTTGTTGATGCTTAGTCTGAGAGTGAGCTCATTAGCCAGAAATGCTATCTTAATCCCATATCCTGTTAAATATCTTTACGGCACTTAAAATGTCAACAATATCTCTTAACAAGTCAATATGTCCACTTCTCCCAGAGTAGTAATGCCACTGTGCTTTCTTTCTTTTTTTTTTCCTGGAAAAGAGAACAGTTACTGGGAAGTCTACCAAAATCAACACACTAAATCCTGTCTTTAATATTGGATGTATTTTGAGGCATCCACCTGGGATACATACTAAGAAATTAAATGTACTGTATAATTTCTTAGGAAAAGGATCCATCCCAGATTGTCAGGAAAGACCTACCTCTACCCAGAAAGAAGAGTGGAAAATAAAGATTGTAGAGATGCTAAGAAAACCGCGGAAACTTCCAGGCTCTGACAGGGGTCCTACCTATTAGCTGCCCTGGAATACTGTGTTACAGTTGACCATTAACTTAAAAGTCTGTGACTTCTTGATTTGCTTGAAGTAAGTCCTAGCCTGGGGGATAGGGTGACTTCTGGAGTTCCTTCATGGTCTCTTATGAAAGTGGGATTGGTCATTAAATAGTAGCTGACAAGTACCCATATATCAATGAATGGGCTGATACTTCAGTGACTACGTTACAGCAGAAAGAGCATTGGATTTGAGGTTCTGAGTCCTCAAGTTGAATCCTTCTCTGTCATTTATTAGCCATATGACACTAAGAAAACTTCTTGAGCCTCCGCTTACTTGTTTGCTTGCTTGCTTTCTCTCTCTCTGTCTCTTTCTTTCTTTCTTCTTTCTCTCTTTCTTTCTTTTTTCTTTGAGACAGAGTCTCACTCTGTCTCCCAGGCTGGAGTGCAGAGGTGAGATCTTGGCTCACTGTAACCTCCGCCTACTGGGCTTAGGCGATTCTCATGTCTCAGCCTCCCGAGTAGCTAGGATCACAGACGTAATTTTTGTATTTTTAGTAGAGATGAGGTTTTGCCATGTTGACCAGTCTGGTCTTGAACTCCTGGCCTCAAGCAGTCCACTTGCCTCAGCCTCCCAAAGTGCTGGGATTACAGGCATGATACACCATGCTTGGCCTCCATTTATTTATCTGTAGATTGAAAATAATAATCCTTAACCACAAATCGTTGTAAATTACATGGTAATATTCAAGGAGGAAGCACCCACGCACAGAGCTTGGACCATCAGGAGCACTGAAGACTTGTTCATTATTCAATTTGTTTCTCAGTCAGAGTGGTTACAGGCTAACAAAGCCACCCTGGAGATGGAGGTTGCAGTGAGCCGAGATCGCGCCATTGCACTCAAGCTTGGGCAACAAGAACAAAACTCCGTCGCAAAAAAAAAAAAAAAAAAAAAAAGCCACCCTGGATTTGGGGTGAGCTGGATTGTGTCTCAAAACAGCAGAGAGAAGACTATCAGTCTCTCTCTCTCTTTGGCTAGAAATATTCATAGACTAATTGGCTAAGTAAACACTGAATGAAAAAAAAAAATGTCCTGGTTCATGAATGAGATTCTTAGGGCCCCAGTTTATGACTGCTATTACTGCTGACAATTACACCATGGATGATGAGGATGGTGGTTATAGCTGATATTTATTAAACCATTGAGAGGAATTAGCTCATTCTCAGAGTCATCCCATCAATTTCATGGGATAGTTAGGTTGTTCTTTTATCCCAATTTTACATACAGGAGTCAAGGCTCACACAGGTTAAATAACTTGCCTAAGGTCAAAGGAGGGCTGGGGTTGACACCTGATGCCAGACAGCTTGGCTTAACCACTTGGTCACATCTTCCACTAATGTTCCTTAAAAGTCGCTTTCAGTAGGGGGTCAGCTTAAACCATCTCAATCTACACTGTGTCCTCTATTTTCTCTGTCCTGACACTGTTTTCCCCTTTGGTAGTACTAATCACAATTTGCAATTATGTGCTGTCTGTGCACATCTTTAGTTAAATGTCAGCCCTCCCAGCAGAATGTCCCCTCAGAAACCAGGCCTTCCTTGGTCTCCTCCTGTCGTCCCAGTGCCCATCACCATGCCTGACACATAGGAGGGGCTCAGAACATATTTGCTTGTGGAAGTCAAACATGATTTCATAGATTATATTCCTAAAGGTTGACCAACATTTCTCCAATGAGACAATTTTAAAAGGTAGTAGCAGGTGACAGAAAAGCCTTGGGTTCACTTTCAACTTGGTTAACGTCTTGTTTCTTTCTCTCTGAGCATTTATCCCAAGACTTCCTGATATATGGCTCCCTGAAATGGTCAGTGAGAGGAAAGCAAAGTAGCTAAATCATGAATAATATTTCAGTGTCTCATCTATATATCTAGTGCTTATCTCAAAATGCCATCTGGACTTTGCTGCCATCACTATGCTTGTGGAAAAAGGGTTGGAAATAGTGGTGAGGGCAGCAACAAAAGGCATCAGAACCATGATCTTCTTGGTCAAATTACGTGGTCTTCTTTCTACTTTTTCAGGATTCTTTCCCCACTGATGCTCCTATTGAATCTAGCTGGAACTATGTGCAGTCCCATGTATTATATACTGGAGACCTCTAAGGTTTTACTGCAGATGATAACATGATTTCATGCAAAAACTAAGTTCCTCCTAGATGGAAAGAGACTTGCATTAGTGTTCAGTCCTAATCCAGCATGTAGAACTAATAGTCTTTCCAACAAACTGAATGATGTGACGCAGACAGGAGCCTCTTCTTAATAAGTCTAAGAAGAAGGTAAAAAGTTGATAAAAAACCAAGTCATAAAATAAGATTTTCTTTCTAACTGGTAGATATTGCTATCAAGACAACCTCTTGGGCCAATGGCTCAGCTAATATTTTCCCAGTGGGTCTAAATAATAAACAGAATGAAGAGACCCCAATGCCTAGGTGTAAAAGTGAAAGGTAGATAATCATATGTCATTTTCACTTTTCAGAATTCAGAACTAGAGGAGAACTAGTCAGTACTTATGAAAATTCTACTTGGGTCAAGTTTTACGAAGCTGTCTGCTCACTTTTGAATAAGTTAATTTGCTATTATCTTCAACTCAAGATCTTAATGCAGGGCCAGATATTTTCTCCAAGCAGGTTTAAACTTTAAAGATACTCATTTCTGTGATTTATAGACCCAAAGTAGGCTTTAGCTTTGCTTGATGGTAACTCACTCAACAAAATCCTTAACTTCGCTAATTCATTATCTAAGCCCCACATTATTTCTGTGAAATACCTATAAGGTTATAGACTTTGGACATCTCCAGGATAGCTTTTTTCATGGGCTGCTGTGAAGTTCAGAGATTTCTCATATCCCTCTGGAAATATTAAAGGCCATTTGGAGTATTCGTGGCTGTTACTGAATTCTTCTGGTTCATTAAAATGTATAATTTTTATAAATGATATCCTTTTCAATGGAAGAATCATTTCTGGGTAAGGGGCAGCTGTGAAGTTAATGCCAAGGAAGAACTGATGGTAAGCTTAGATCCTCTGAGTTGGGGATGGTGATTCTGTTCATGGTAAGCATAAATGAGAACCATGATTTTAACACCTGGCTCAGAATGTGGACCTTCATGGGATAGATGACCACAGGCTATGATTTTTCTATATTAACATTACACTGCTTGTATGAAATGCGTGTGTGTGAGTGTACATACAGAAATGAATGATTAGTTGATGGAATTTCTTGGGATTTCATGATATTGTAATTTTAGGGAAAAGGAGCTACCAATAACTACCACCAGTAAGTTAATACCAGTTCCAGCTATTTCTCATACATTGATGTATTTAATCCCCACAATGACTCTAAACATAAATATTCTTATTCCTGCTTTATAGAAGAGGAAATTCAGTTTCAGAGAAAGAAATTCATCATGGTCACACGGGCAACGAGTGGTACTCAGGCTCAGCTCTTGCCACAGAATCAGACTGTTTCCACAGTGAACCCAACTGTAGTTGTGAGATGTTTTTGCAGCGTGGGCATGGTTTGGGGGCAAAATGCTGTTTTCTGTCTTCCTTTTAGAAGCACCTTAAAATATGCCTATGCCTCAGAAAGACATCACAATCTAAAGTTAATGACAGTACTTGAAATTTATTCTAATGTCTCATGACAAAAATGTTTTTTTTATATGAAGTTTTAATTGAATTTCTCTTTTTCTATTTTGTAGTCCCACTTCCTCTGGAAATACAGTAAACCAACATTTTTCCCTTGAGAGAACCTGTCTCTAATCTTATAATGGACATTACCAGGGAAAGACTGCCATTAATGGAAAGTTATCAAATATGAATACCTTTTTGATCAAAAACTTCAAGTCTCCTCTCTCAACAAGCTTTAAGAACTTGAAGACAACACTGTAGGTCTGGAACTGTCAATGACCTGTAGGACTTTCCAGCACTAAAAATAGGCTGTACTTCAAAGTTGGTACTTAGTTTTAAAAAATGGGCAAATTCTGAGTTTTCCAACTGACCAAGAGACAAATCAGATGGATTCTGGGGACTTCATTTCTGGGGATTAGAGTACTATCCTAACAGAGCTGGGTTTTCACACCCTTACAATATAAAACCTCTAAAAATGTGTTTATTTTGATCTAGTAGCATGAACTGTCTTGGTTCCTAGAATAAATTACTGATACTACAATTAGCATCTCTTATCTCTTCTTGGAGAACTCAGTAAAATAACTCTCCTAGAGCTGAGCCAAGAAATAAGGATTAAAGGGCTTTTTGTTATATTTTTTCTTTGTTTGCTCTCATCCTTCTAGCTCTGCAGAAGTGGTTTCAAAGGTGGATGCTCTCATACCCTGGCAGGGCATAATTGTTCCCAAGCAATGAGGCTGGGTCTTCCATTGGTGAGTGGAGTGGAAAGAGCCTGCATCCAGCTGACTGAGGAAATGGCTCAATTATGCCCTGGTTAAGGGGTGCAGGGGGTGCAGTGGAGGTATGTCCCCAAAGTAGCCTGTATTTAGTGGTCCTTGCCTTTCCATCACTGGGAGGACAGTTTTGAGAAAGAACCACAGGAAATGGATAATGAACCCTATAGTCTGCTACTTTTGGGGGCCACCACTCTTGATCCAGTTGGTAAATAAGGAAGAATACTGCCATTTTATTATTGTTCAAATAATATAATATGTGCTATGTGTTATTGAGAAGAGTTTCATTTAGTGTGTTTGTCAAACCAGTTTTGATTCTAAGAAACAGAACTATGAAATAGGTATGCTTGGTGATTTCTTATAGTTTTAAAATTCATTTAATTCAACAAACATTAATGGAGGTACTTCTATGAGGACAGTATTGTGTGGTGGTTACAGAGTTCCAATCCTCCAGATGTCACTTACTCTTAATAGCTGTATGAACTTAAGTGAGTGATTTTCTTCTCTGTACTTCGGTTTCCTCATATGAAGGGTAGAGGAGAGAACTAGAACCTGATGGAGGTGGTGTGAAGATTAAGTTACTTCATACCTGTGACTGTGTACACGTGTGCCTGCATGTATCTGGTACATCATACATGGCAGTAATTATTATTTTCAGTATACTGGCAGGCACAGTGCAAGGTGTTTTCTCTGTTCAGTGTCTATTTGTTAGAACAAATATGGTATGTAATTATAGGTATACTACCCTTCTCATCCCCTCAGACTTGGTTTATGCATTAGCTTCCTATCTGATTTTCATAACAAGACCCTAATTCCAGCCCACGTTTGTCTTTCTAAAGCTTTGATTTTACCATATCATGACCCCCCCCAAAAAAGCCTTTCTTTTTAGACACTTTACTGAAAAAGATACAGAGTAGACAAATAAGTACAAGAAAAATGGTCAACATTATTAGTCATTAGAGAAATGAAAGTTAAAGCCAATAGATGCTTAGTGCGATGGCTAAACTAAAGACAAGAAAAGAAAAAAAAAAAAGCAAAACAAAAACTGACAACATGAAGTGCTGACAGGATGTGGAGGAACTAGAATGCTCATACCCTGCCGGTGGGATTGCAAAGCAGCACAACCACTTTTGAAAGCTGTTTGGCAGTTAACACACACTTACCATATAACCCAGGAATTCCACTCCTAAGTATTTACCCAAAATAAATAAAAATTTATGTTCACAGAAAAACCTATATGCAAACGTTTACAGTGGGTTTATCATTGCCAAAATAAAAGGGAAACCATCTAAATATCCTTCAACTGGCAAATGGATTAACAAACTGTGGTATATCCACACAGTGAAACCTTACTCACAGAAAAAGGAACTAACCTGTTACATACAACATAGATGAATCTCAAATATGTATTTTAAGGGAAAGCAGCTAGACTCAAAAGGCTACACATGACGTTCAGAAAAAGGCAAAACTATAGAGACAGAAAACAGATCAGTGGTCACTCAGGCTGGTGGTCAAGGAAGAGTTAATTACAAAGGGGATGAGAAAATATTTGAGGAATTTGTCTCTATCTTGTATCACAGTTACACCAACTGTGTGTGTTTGTCAAAACTCATGGAACTGTATACTGAAAAGAGTGGATTTTGCTTTATGTAAAGTATAGCTCAACACATTTAACTAAAAAAATACTTCCCATTACCAATAGAATAAGGCCTAATCAAAGAGCCAAGTTATAAAAATTTATTTTTCCAAACTGATCCTTAATAACTGTCCCCTACTGACCTCTCCTCTCTTCATTCAGTGTCTCTCTTCCTACGAATACATGTTATATATGTTTCTACTTCCCTTCATTGGATCAAACTCTCCCCACAAATGAAATGCCTTCACCAGCTCTTCACCCATATCCAGACCATCCAAGTTCAGGCCATGTGCCACTATCCGAGTGACACCTTCACCACACCAGCACACAGTGACATCTTCAGAAAATCCCTCTGTCACTTAATCTTTGGATCATCCATTTGGCATTTTAACATCTGACTTTTTATCTTGATGCCATTTGTTTCTATATTCATTCATTCTTTCTTTTACTTATTGAACAGCTATTTATTAAACAGATATTTAATTCTGGAGCAATCACTCTCCATTGATTATGTAAATCTATTCCTCTGCCTCCTTCTTTCTAAGAAAACCTTGATTTTGTTCAGGGAACATACCCATTTCTCCTAAACTACCTAAGACAATTACATATCCCAGACCTCTTGCCAGGAATAGGTTAAGAGTACGCATGCGACCTAATTCCAGCCAATAAGAAGTGAGA
The DNA here is from genome assembly GCF_000001405.40 of Homo sapiens. Taxonomy (NCBI): domain Eukaryota; kingdom Metazoa; phylum Chordata; class Mammalia; order Primates; family Hominidae; genus Homo; species Homo sapiens. The sequence continues at coordinate 39,241,100 of NC_000007.14, read as the reverse complement.
AGTCTGCTGAAGTCTTGCGGGGAAGGGAGAAGGTTACATGATGTTGCAAATGCAGCAGCTGTTTGGCAACCACAAGGTGAGTCAGCTGCAAGAAAGTTAATATGCCCAAGAAGGTGGGCAGAGGAAGGAAGAAACCTAGGTCTTTAGTGACACTGTTGAGCCAATAAAAATGCCAATAAATGAGCCAATAAAGATGCTGTCTCCCTTTTGAATTCTTAACATATGAGATGAGACATTTTCCTGGTAAATAATTTTGAGCTGCGATTTTCTGTATGGCTGAAAATATCATATCTTTTACTCGCAAGAGTCATTAAATAACAAAAACTTCATTAGTATTTATTTATCAAAGAAACTATTATTGTCTCAGTAACAGATCTATTATTAAAATAGTCATTCTTTCATGCAGCAATACTTTTTTAGTACCTACTTTGTGCCAGTTGCTATTTTAGATACTGGGGATGCCAGAGTAAACAAAACAAGGTTGTATTTTAAATCAATAAGCATTTTGTAAAGTTTCTCATTCTGTAGATTCCTCCGGTCTTATGCAGGAGTTTGAGTTGATTGGTAGGAACTGGTTTCTGGCCTTACAAAATTGGGGCAGTTAGAATTCACAGAATTGAGAGGCATATTAGAAATCAACTTTCCATTTATAAGGCCCTTTCGATTTACAAATGAGGAAACTGAGGCACAAAGGGATTCTGTGGTTTGTCTAAGGTCACCCAGCAAGTAGTGGCAGATGTAAGAACCAGAATTTGGTACTCAGAGCCACTGCCCTTTCCATAAAGTTCTTTAGATTATTTTTAGACACAACATCCTTTTGAAGGATCATTTATGTGACTTGCTTCTCCCTTAATTTTTCCTTTCCTTGTCCCGATTTGGGGTAATTTCCTTGCACATGGCCACCTTAATTCCGGTACAAACAAAGATGTCAGAGACAGAGGGGTCCTTTCAGTAGAATGCTTCAAATACACACAGCCCAGCAGGAATGCTGGAAATGGAGTATTTTTAAAACTCAGGTAGAATCAGCACTAAATAAAACTCCTTTCCTGGTCCTTCAAAGAAACCCTCATATTCTGTTTAAGAATACTTAGCAGTTTCTCATCATAGTGGAAGTGTCTACTTGGAGATGTGACAGAAAACAGCCTCTCATAAGATAGTCCCATTTGTGAAGTTATCCTGAGTGATAATTCAGGACTTTGCCCCCTTTATGAAGCCACAGTTTTCCACCTCTTTGTCATGAAGTTTGCTCAAGGGAAGGTTTATAGGCTACTGTCTTTAGAAATTTGACTCCTGATAGTTTCCATAATTAGTGTCATCTGGCCCTAAGGAAAACAGTTGTCATACACTTCCTTGGAGTGGGAGCAGAAATCACAATTAATAATATTAGTCTTCGTTAAGTGCTTTGCATGAGACAGGCATTGTTCTAAGTGCTCTTCAGTTGTAATTTTATTTAATCCTCATAAACTCCATGAGGCAGATATAAGTCCACAATCCCTTCCCTAATGATCTTGGTCCAGAAATTTTGGATTCAGAATTTTTAATATTTTAGAAAATTAATATGGAAAACATATACCACATATTAATAATACTCCCAGTATCATCTGTAGCAGCATTCCACAATGAAGCACATTAATATTTCTGCAACAAGACCTATGACTTTTCATACTAAGTGGGATAAATAAAAACCATAAATATTCTGATACAAGTTAAGGTCAGTCGTGCTGCTAAATCAGTTATGAAAACACCTTCGCTTTTCAGAGATTTTTTTGGATTTTGGAATTGTAGATAAGGAAATTTAAACCTACTCAACCATTTGGCCATTCTACATTGAGGAAACTGAGGCACTATGAAGACAGCTGTCCCAAGTCTTATCACTAGTCAGTGGTGGAAAATCAGGATCTGACCCTTGACAGCCTCAGCCCAGAGCATTCTCTTCTCTGTCTCTCTGTCTTTCATATTATTCCACTTCAGATACAACCTCCCAAGTGCAGAAAGTACATTAATTTTAAATATATAGCTCAAAAATGTCTACATATGTAATTACCATCTTGTGCTAAGTAATGGAGGTATAGAATGCTTCAACAGCCCAGAGGTTTCCCTCCCTACTCTGACTTGCATCACCAAGAGTTAGTTTTATATGTTCTAAGAACATATAAATGTGACCGTACATTATGTACCCTTCTATGTTCAGTTTTCTTTGCTGGTCCCACGTTTCTGTGTGTAGCAATAGCTCATTCTTTTTATTACTGTACTCTTTGACTGCACAAATACTACACCACAACGTATTCACCCATTTTCCTCTTGATAGACATTTGAATTGATTCCAATTTGGAGCTGGAGTCTTCACTATCAGACCTTGCTGCCAACAACTGTCAGTATCTACCTCAGATCCAACCTCCAAACAGGGCATGGTCACAATAGCAATAAACAGATGCCTCCAATCAGGAGGAAGGGAACTGCCTGCAAATGCTGTTGACTTGGATTAAGAGCTATAGAGCAAGTGTTGGCAAACTTTTTCCGGAAAAGGCCAGATGGCAATTATTTTTGGTTTTGCGAGCCACATAATCTTTGTTACAACTATTCAACTCTGCCATTGTAGCACAAAAGCAGCCGCAAACAATACGTAAACAAATGGATGTGGCTGTATTCCAGTAAAGCTTTATCTAGAAAAACAGGTGGTAGATGAGATTCCGCCGGCAGACTGAAGTTTGCCAAGCCCTGTTTTCTAGTTGATGACTTTGCTTTCTGGTAAGTTAGTCTAAGGAGGGAGAGGAAACAGACACTGGCGAAGCAACTACCATGTGTCAGGCGGCGTTTGTCCTTATATGTTCATTGTCTCTAATCTCCGCTGCAGCCCACTTGGCGAGTACTATCTTTGTGCTCATTTTACAGATGCTCAAACTGAGTTTAGAGAGGCTTAATAAACTGCCTCAGTTTGTAACTGGTGATTTGAATCCAGTGCTCTTTCCATGCACATTTAGGGACCCGTGAGCGAACCTCAGAGTATTTATACCCCCCTGAAATTACATGCAGACATCTGTGTCTTTCAGGGGATGTGCGCTTTTTTCTGTAGGGAAGATCCACAGCTTTCATTCACATCTCAAAGACTGCGATTCAAAGAGCAAGAACAACCAGGGCCTAGAGAGAGTTCCATCAACACGAGAAATGGAGAAAACCAAATGGTTTGTTGCTGTATATTTAGTAAGGGCTTTTTCACAGTGGCCAGAAGTAATGTTACATTTAAATTCTGCATCCCAATCCCGCATTTCAGAAAGGGACATGCTTTTTTATTAAAAAAAAATGTTTAAAAGTGAGTTTTCATTTGAGAGGCTCTTCCCTTTTGTATGGGTGCCCCCTGCAAGGCCGGGTCTAGCTGAGTCGTATTTACAGGTATAGAAGTGAGTTGCTGCTGAAATGCACCATGTTGAAATACACTAACTGTTGTTTCTGAGGGGCAGTAGTCCTATATGGATAAAAATGTCCAGGCCTCCATCTATGGACACCTTTCTACAAGTGTCCATAGCTCTTATCTGTCTATGGGTTCCACTCAGCTAAAGTACTTCCTGGACCATAAAGAAAGGGACACAGCGAACACGTAATTGTTAGCTGTATTTCATGTTCACAATTCCTTTGAGAAAGGTCCTAATTAGTCTAAGCAGTGTTTAATGTAAATCAAGTTTCACTTTCAAAATTTCAAGGGCCCCATTCTGACAGAATGTAGATTTTTTAATGCTACACATAAAACATGGGTGCTAGTAAAACATTGCATTGACAGGCAGGGGAAAAGCAGAAATCAATAGAGGAAAAGTTACTGAAATTAGGTAGGCCCAGCATCCTGGAGCAGCCTAGGAAAATAACCCTTTTAAAAAGAAGACTTTCCAAGCACACGCTTAGAGCTTTGTTTTCCTTGGTTTTCCATTTGCTGATGCGCCTTCTCTCTCCAGCTTCATTCAGGCTTCTGCAAGTGTTGGCTCTGACTTAGGGCTGTTTTCCCTCAAGGCAAAAGGAGGAAAATGTTGAAGTGCTTCTGTGTGTGAGGAGTGTAGCACCAGACGGCCCCTGAGACACTGCTGGGATTCCCAATACCCTGATTTATTTCACAATGTGATCCAGTTATTGAAAATAGCGTCTTTATATCTTCCAATTCTCTTATACACCAAATCACAAAAGCCAAGATCTTCCTATTCATGTTTGATAGCATGTGGTTAGCAGTTTTATAAAAAATAAAGGATACTTACAGTTTTAGTATAAACTACGATTAATTTTTGTTAAGAGGATACATTTGTGTATCATAAAGTGACAATTTACTTGAAGATCTTTTTTTTTCTGTGAGTTGGGTAGTTTCCCTTTGTGCAGAATGCAGAATTGTATATGAGATATTTGAGTGTCTAAAACGATGTATGATAAATGAAGTAGCATGCTACTTATACGCTTATCATGTTCCCTGACTAGCAACAGGTTCAGCAAAGGGCACAGCCAGTAAATGAAATTTTCCACCAGGACAATATATCATCACAAGAAATGTATGCACTGGAAACTTACAAGCTTGCTCAAGATGCGGACAAGGTGTGAAATGGTAAAAAATGAAAAGCGGCAGCATCATACAGCAAATTTCAAATTCAAGTGCATATTGGTTGGGGCTGATGCTTTAACTATTTCAAACCACAAAGATGAGAAAAAAAATGCAAACACAATCTGAAGGCAGGAATACGTTTCCATTATTACCAATGCCATGGAAGCAGAGAAAAATGACAGGTACTGAAATGTATATAAGTGCTATGATATTAATTTTAGAGGCGCTTAGTTATATTCTCAGAGTACTCATCACTGTGTTTAACCTTGAATGCATCCATTAATATTTCTGTACCTCAATTTCTTTAGCTGTGATGTAGAAGGTGGGGACAAATAATTTCTGAAGTGTGTTCTATTTAAAGAAAATTCCGTGGTTCTCTGAGTCTTACCTTTGAGTCCTCAAAGGAAGTGGTGAGTGCAGTTTGGTTTTCAATATGTATTATATTAATAGTTTCTTGGGAAAATGTTGCAATTGCATTTTGCTACTTAACCAAAGAATAAAAGATCTACTCCAGAGACGTTCCAGAAAATGCAGACGCACCTGTTCAGTAATCTATTTCAATAATGATCATATCTTAGGAGTTATTTATCTCATCTTCTGGCTCCTTCAAAGTCATCAAATGATGCTCTCGATTGGAAAGAAGACATCTGTGTGATCCAGGAGGTACAGGCTCATTTTCCCCCACATGTGTTTGCATCAAGTGACACCAAGGTCCTCTGTTGATGGGCACCATGCATATGATTTCCGTTTGCTAGCTACTTCTGGTGACGGTGGAAAGTGACAGTTTGCAAAGGTGAATTATCTGCAGCATAGTGTCAATAGGTATAAATTACAATACGCCTAGGTGACAGCTATTCTAAGGAAGGGCTCCCCATATGTTAAAAAGCTCAGGGGATACAAGGCACAGAGAGTAAAGGGATAAAATGCAATCTGATCTAGACTGAGGTCTTGTCAACACCAAGGACCTCAGAGGGGAAACAGGCTGAAACTTTGACTCTCAGGGGAGAAAGCCCAGTGGACTGGCAGGAGAAGGGGCAGGGTGGCCCGGTGGTGAAGGCAGGGAGACCTTGGCTTTCATCTCAGCACCACCAATTACCAGGTGTGTGACCTTAAACAAGCGAAATGGAGATGATAACAACTACCTCATAAAATCATTATGTGTATAAATGAGATAATAATATGAAAAGTTCTAACCACAGTACTTGATATTCAGGAGCTATTTTTATTATGATCTGCCCAGATACATCTATTATGCTGCCTTTGTTGCCTCCTTTTCCTTTTCTAAAAATGAGTGGCTGTAGATCTGGGTCAGGCAAAGGCAGGCTACTAAGAAGATGAGCATGTGAGCAGCAGGTAGTTACACAGCAAGGAAAGGAAAAGATGGTGTAATATTAATTAAGAAGGTAAAAGTAGCAAATCCTGGAACATAAGGGGCTGACCCCAAAGCACCTTGGTGGTGTAGAGTTTAGCATCCTAAAGACAGCAGAGACAGAATCTACAAGGCGCTACAAACGCATAAACTGAAAGTGGGAAGGCACTTGTTCTGTTGCATTAGAGTGAAAGAAATGGCTTCTGAACATAGGGAGAAAGCCACGCCTAGGGAGGAATGCCTAAGAGAATTTCACTCAGTTAGCAGTCTGGCAAAAGAATTATTTTGATGCCCTATCTGGATAGTTTTACTTCTAGAATAACATTATAGCAGAATGTAACAAAAATGGAACAATGGTACTATTGATGCATGAGAAATCCAGTGTGTTGGCAAGAAAATTGACATTAGTAGAAAATGAATTTCTAACAGTCCCTATAAAATAGTAGTTCGCTCCTATGAAGAGGGGGTCAGTGGAATCATTGGAACAAAAGATGCTTTTGCACCTAGAGATAGGTTGCATATGAAGCAGCCAATAGACAAACAAAACACAAAAGAGAGGTGAGTTTCCAGAAGGATCACACTGTGATCTTGTTCCTTTACTTTGTCTCCTTCCCAGAGATAAACACACAGCAACATGGCTGCATTTTGTCTTCACCTGAAAAAAAAAATCACTAAATCCAATAACTCATTGATATTAACTTTCTGCAGGTCAAAACTCATAGAGTCTAAGGCTTAAGAGCACTCAGGGCCTCAGCACTGCACAATACCAGGAGGCACCATGTCTACCGTGTTCTCTGGGACAGGGTTGGGGAGAGTAGGGGACTGTCACTTTGTAAGAATACAGTGACAGCTGCTCAACCAGGCAGTACTGAAAGCATCCAAGTGCCAATCAGAGGCCAGAAAATATTTCCATTCAGAGTCCTTTTTTTCCCTTAATAATCTAATTTTAATCATAAAGACTCCCAAGGGTACCATCTTATTCAATACTTGAACAGACTGATTTATCATTAAAAGGGAAACATGCATTTTATCTAACAGAGGGATTACAATATCCTGGGCTGATTGTCTACAAAATGGGGCTCTTATAGTGCTGTATGCTTAGCATATGCGTGCCAAAGATGTAGTTTCCATAAAATTTATGTTAAAACAAGCAGGATAGAAGGCCCACATGACTATTGGTAGCAGAACATTAAAGATTCAGCAATGCCTTTCTCTGCGCCGAATACCATTTAATGAAAAGCCTCAGAGGAAATATCCCCATGCTCTGATTTCACAACCAGAAGCCCGGAAAACACAAGAGGAGGACAACCACGCAGATGGATTGATATAATTAAAGTGACCGGGTTTTACACTTTCTGAAAGACTCTGCTATGCTGGAGAAAATGAGTTACCAGGAAGTTCGGTAATGTGTACATATTGTGTGTTGGGGGGTGGCATTCACATGCTGGCTTTCTCTGGGGGTCCGCTAACAATCACAGGACTCTGGCCAGTGGCATTAGTAGTGCAGCCATGTGGAGGGAGCCTGGGAAGAGATGAAGAAACCCAGGTCCTAATTCCACTTTGCCATAACCCAGATCATCATCCTCTAGCCCTCCGGACAGGATTCCTCCTATGTGCTGGGAGGGAGGGAAGTAGATCAGCCTCGGGACAGACCCTTCCTACAAGTCCCAGAGAATGAGAATGTAGCAATGCAAGAAGCTTTGCAGTATCTTATTTCTAAAATAGTTATTAATTAAATTATTGATAATATTGGCACCTTAATTACTTAATTAATAAGGCAGCTAGTGATAATGTTGAGAAAAGCCAAATGCTAAATTCAGACTGGATACTACTTAGCAGAATTTTTTTTTTTTTTTGGTAAAACAGATAATACCACTATTTCTTTAGTTCTTATTTTACAATATTCTATCAAATTATTTTGCAAATTACCTGTTTTCAGGTCTACCTTCCTCACTAAACTATGACCTCTGTATTACTCACACTAGAATATAATATTGAGAATGTGGGCTGAGGTTCCAGACAACTGGTATACCTGAGCACAGCATAGGATAAGTGGTTAATAAAACACCTGATAAATAAATGAATTAATTAATAAATTGCACGTAATTTGTCAGAAAACATTTAAAATATATAATATGCTACAATGTGATCTAAATAAGCTAAAATATTGTTGACAATAAGCTTAAAAGCTTAAAAACCAAGGAATAGTCCTGGAGAGAATGGAAATATATTACACACAGAGTCAAATTCTGTAGATGTCCTTGAGAGAGCACAAAACTTCATTTCATGGGCAAGTCCTTAGTTTAATGCCATGGAAATTGATCCCAAATCAGAAGATTCCTTGCCTTTAGCATGTGCATTAGTTCAGGCAAACGACATGGGCCATAACTACTTCTGATCTTAGCATGTCATGGCAACATTAAATGATTGCCACTGCAATAATATTTGCTTGATATGTTGAGTTCAATAAAATCATTGGTAGCAAGAAGTTAAAGGAAACCTACCAACAAATTCAGTATGTATTCATTCTGGTTAGATCTTCTAACTGCAATAATATAAATATTCAGATTAATTTAGTAAGTATTTGAATACCGTCTATATGCTGGAGGGAGCTACACACATTCTTAAAAAATTGGATGTTTTCTATTAAAGGGTTCTCAACCTAGTGACCATGAGTGATAGTCTTTTTAGAGACACCTCCTTTGTTCTCCTCCTTGGAAGTAAAATGATTGTCTTTCTAGTTGATAACTTTGATCATTCATCAAGAGTCAGTGTTTTATTTTGGTTTGGAATAGAAACAGGTAAGCAGCACTTGGTTATCTTCTCTCCATTTTTTTTTTCCTAAAAACCTTTTGTTATCTATTTACTTGTCCTTTGTGCTTGGAAAGAAGAACAGCTAACAAACATCTAGTTAATATCAGAAGAACATGTAAAGAATAGCATCTATTCACATGTAATCATAAACATCATACATTTTTATCTGCTTCTAAAATTGTTGAATATTTATATACTTCAGGGACATATTTGTATCAATTTATATCTCTATAATGAGAAAATTCAATGATAATTTTATACTTTGACTTTTCTATCTAGAAGAAATGCAGGGAAAATTATAGACATCTTTTTACAACTGTTTCTTGAAAATAATTTGTACTTGTTTTGAAATGGCTTATAATCATTTATTCGTAACACAATGTAGTCATCATGGACAGGGGCTCTGGGATTAGAAAAACATAGATTCAAATTCCAGCTTATTTAAAGCCCCATGTATTAATTAGGGCATTTCAACTGCTCCAAGAAACAACCCCAACTTTTAGTAGATAAATACAATAATTTTTTTTTCTTTCACATCTATGTCCAGCGAGGGCCAGTGGGGCGCACACAGTCATTCAGGGATCCAGGCTATTCCCTAGGACCCCTGAGTCCGCCACTGGATCCGAAGGAAGAGAGAACATGCAGGGGATTGAATAGAAGGAATTTTTAGGAGCCAGTTCTGGAAGAACATATCGTATTGTACCCACATTCTATTGGCCAGGATCAGTCATAGAGACCCGCTTAACTCTAAGAAAGGATGGAAAATAGGGTCTATGTGTCAATCAGGAAAAGGAAATGAAGTGATCAGAACAGAAATATCTCTGCCATACCACTTAATCTCTTATAGCAATTTTTTAATCATATATAAAAGGGTATAATTATATATATTTCATAGAGTTGTGATGATTAAATATGATGTCAATAAAGCATATAGTAAATGCCTGGCATGCCGTAGGGGTCAAAAACTGCTACCTATTATCATTGCTGTTTTCCTGGAAGTTAATTCCATCCCTGCTTAAAATTTATCATAAGGTCAATCCCATTAGACTGTGAAGAATACTGAAATAATTTTTCAGTCATGCTAACAATATTAAGATGCTTTTCTTATCACAATTTCTAGCCAGAACACACTTACACTTTCAGATTGTAAAGTCAATTAGGCTTCTTTACCCTTTGTTATTTTTTCACCCTCAACATTAGTTCTTTGATCCAAGGTTTCTCAATCTCAGCACAATTGACATTTGGGGCTAGATAATTTTTTGTTTTGATGTTGTCCTGTGCCTCACAGGGTATTTAGCTGCATCACTGGTCTCTACCCTCTAGATGCCAGTAGCACCACCACCACCAATTACAACAACAAAAAGTGCTTCCAGACATTGCCAAGTGACCCTGGGGGAGTAGGGGAAGACTCACCCCCAGTTGAAAACTACTGTGCTTATTCTTTGTCTAGCACCTTCTGACCCCATTAGCACACAAATCTATTTGGGATGCATTGGGGGGGCTTGTATTCTAATTAAAATTTTAGTAATGACATTCATCAGACACAGAAAAGTGTGTGTCTATATATTGAGTATATTGACCAGTACTAACTGGCATTCTCCCTTCACTTATTCATTTTAAGAATGGCAGAAACTATTTGTATCAATTCTGATATTTCTGTTGGGCCCTTTATGATTTTCCCCCTTTCTAGATTTACCTGCAAATTCTTCTATTGCTATGGGAAGGAGACGTATTTAGAGGCATGAGGTTGTTCCAGTTAATCAATTCATCTGGTTTTATTGAGCAAGTATTACTATCTCAGCATACCAAAATTTTGTAATCAAACCATGCTATCTTGAACTTTTTTTTTTTTTTTCTTTTTAAAACAGGGTCTTATGCTGTCACCCAGGCTGGAGTGTAGTGGTGTGATCATAGCTCACTGCAGCCTCGAATTCCTGGGCTCATGTGGTCCTTTGCCTCAGTCTCCAAAATAGCTGAGGCTATAGGCATGCACCACTACACCCAGCTAAATTTTTTTTTTTAATTTTTGGTAGAGACAGGGTCTCACTATGTTGCTCAGGTTGGTCTTGGACTCTGGCCTCGAGGAATCCTCCTGTCTCAGCCTCCCAAAATGCTGGGATTACAGGCATGAGCCACCATGCCTGGCCTACCTTGAACTTCTTGTAGATCTTGTGGGAGCCACTTTAAATGTTCCAAACCAGTAGCAGGTAAACCTGATTCCCAGTTACTGGAGCAATGGAAGGGACAGGGCATCTCTGCCAGACAGCCCAAGTTCAAACTTGGACTCCACTGCTTCCTAGTTTTATTATTTTGGAAAAATCTCTTAATCGCATCTGTGCCTTGGTTGACTACCACGAACAGTGAGGAGGATAATGCCTGGACAGGGTGCCTGTGGCAAGTAAGTGAGATGAGTTTTGAGAGTGCTCAGAATTTAGTATGTGCTCAATAAACGTGAGCTGCATGTGAGTCCACACACGAACATCGAGATCCTCAAAACGTCAGTTAGTATCTCCCCTTGTCTCCCAATCCCAATGTCCAGGATTACACACATTGTTTAGGGCAAAGATTGCAAAGTAAATGGAGAGACTTATTGCTGTTAAGAGATACCTGCCTGTTTCTTTAACACACTTTCCATGTGAATGGAATCTTTTGTGTAGGTAATATTTGGATCATTACTGAGAAAACTTTAACATCAGTGTCTCACAAACTAGTATCTTACTAGTGAAGTCATATAGGCTATAGGATAAGGGTATGAGGGGGAGGAGGTTTTTCTCTTTTCCTAAATAATTCCCAAATCCAGTTACCTGATGGCTGGCCCAAGCTGCTGCTTTCCTGTACGTGTTTCTGGAATCATTGTTGGGAAATTAAACCTCGGGATGAGCAAGTGCATTGGGACTTTTCTCTAGAGGAGGTTTAGACCAAGGAGAGAAGGCAGAATGGCCCAGACAGTTGATGCCAGATGAGAAGGGGAGAGAGGGAGCATTGCTAATGAGGGCAAAGGAAAGTCCGAGGTCGGGAAACAAACCACAATTTTGCCTGTGGCTGATCCTTCAGACAAGCTTGCCAGCTCTTAAAGACAGCCTACTGAAGTGGGGCTGGAGGATGCGCAAACAAATGCTGCCCTATTGTTTTCTCTTTCTTGAGCTCTTTATGTATTCACAGGCAAATGTCAAGAGGGCTGCTGTTTTCTAACCAGAGCCATCAATCCACTGGAAACAGCATGCATTTAAGGCTCTCTTGACTAAACAGGAACTTGGTGCTGAAATGGATCTCCTCATCCAATTCCACAACCATGGCTCACTACTTTGTGGTCTATGGAGATGGCTATCTGATCAGCAGGGATGTACTTGTGGTGAGGAAAAAATGGGGCCAGGAGGCTCTCAGTGCCTAAGCCTGGTCCCCAGAGTGTGTTTACCCCATTGACACTTTCTGCAGAGCCCGAAAGACATTCCCAGAACAGCAATTGCAAACTCATCCATGAGCCTGGGAGCAAGGGTCCCAGGTTTAGCAGCTATTAATTAAGGTAATTATTCCCAGGGCTGCAATTACAACCCAAAAGGTTCCACTTAGCATCTCTTCTTGAATCTCTTGTTTCTGTAATGCTGATGTCTCCAAAAGATTCATTTGCGACTACTTACTGATTACATTTACTCCAGTATATTGTTTCAGATGGACAGGATGGAAAGCCAATAAGGAATATTGACCTCGGCGGCATCCTGTGATTACATGGGCTGTCCCAGCTATCATTAACCACCCCGCTTTATTTTCTGAGTGCCACAAACACTGCTGGTGACAGATCCGTGACCTTTTCCCTAGAAATGTTATGAACCGAATATGCAGCAGAAATGACAGGAGGGATGGATGTCAAATGGTTGCTTAAATGCTACATCAGCACCCACAGCTACAGCCTTGGGTTTTGACGTTAGAGGACGTTTTGGTGGGAGGGCTATGTGCTTTCTACTTCAAGAAAACAACAAAAAACCAAGTCAAAAGGATGGCGTCAATAGGCCATCCTCTGCCTACAAAAACAGACATTTCTAGCCAGCTCTCAGGAAAAAGTTTTAAAATATTTTATATTAAATTGGGATAGAAATCTCAATTCAAGTCATCAAACCTACACAAAAACAATGGACTCAAAGTATATATTTTGAGCCGGTGATTTGAAAATGCAATTAAATAAATAATGCATAATTCTCCTATAACCTATTTGTGTATGTGTATTTAGGTCAAAGACACAAATCCAGATATTGTGAGTCAAACAACTATTCCTAGAATGTAAAAGCTGCATAGAGGAAGAGTAGAGTTGTGTCTTCTGGTAAGGCAGGGATGAATCCAGGCCCACCAACCCCGTCCTCTCTCCTTCCCTTCCTCACCTAAAATAGAGCAACTTCACAAAGGGTTTCCCTACCACCTGCTCTTACAGAGCTGTGGTCTCAACCCTGGCTGCACAGGACACTCAACCAGGGAGTTTTTTAAAGGTACCAATGTTGCCGGGCACGGTGGCTCATGCCTGTAATCCCAGCACTTTGGGAGGCCGAGGCAGGCAGATCATGAGGTCAGAAGATCGAGACCATCCTCGCTAACACAGTGAAACCCCGTATCTACTAAAAATACAAAACAAAATTAGCCAAGCGTGGTGGCGGATGCCTGTAGCCCCAGCTACTCGGGAGGCTGAGGCAGGAGAATGGCGTGAACCCGGGTGGCAGAGGTTGCAGTGAGCTGAGATCGCGCCACTGCACTCCAGCCTGGGTGACAGAGCGAGACTCCGTCTCAAAAAAAAAAAAAAAAAAAAAGGTACCAATGTCACGAGGTACCTCAGATTCATTACATCAGAACTCCATGAAGGGGCCTAGGAGTTGCTCTTTTTTACAAAGCCCAGGTGATGCTACATGGGCAGCCCCACCTGAGAAGCACCTCTGTAGTTACAGAGCTAGGAAGCTGCCACTCTGGTTGAAATCAACATGATACAATTTTAACTTCCTGAAATGACTAGCACTTTTCTTATTAGAGAAAATAGAAAAATAAAGACGAGAAAACTTCACAAAAGAACAAAACTCGATGGAAAAAAAAAGGAAAATAAAAGAGGACGTTCTAAGCAATCTATCCTAAAAGTAAGATTTCTCACATTTAGTGGATTTATTTAAATATAGTACAAGTAACAATTTAGCCAAAGACCTTAATAGTTAGAATTTTTAGAAGTTCTACCTATATTCAGCTGTGGTTCATGGAGGAAGAGATGAAAGCAGGGAAAAGAAAAGAGACAGAAAATGGATTTTGAAATTCGAAGGCAAATAATTTCACAGCTTATGCTTTAGTACAAGGTCAAAGTATTTACATTTTATCAAATATTTAAGGCACAATAATTTAGAAGTGATATATTTCAAAAAGTCGTGACCATCTGTCAAAAATAGTCAGTGTAAAGGGAAGAAGAATAGCATGTGAAATTAAGCCCGCAACTCATTCCCGTTCAAAATTCACATCAGCTCATTACTATTGAAATATGATAGGTATTTATTTTTTATCAAACAGAAAAGGAAGAGTCTTGGCCTTTCTTTCCTAGAACACTCTTCTCTGATCATGGAAACAATTATGAGTACTTTTACAAAATTGGAATAAAAAGGGAGAAAAATGGGCAACTTCTGAATGACCTACTTTCAGGAAGATATAAATTTACCATACTGCTAACATGTTCTAGGTTTTTGGTGAGGTGTTAATCATACTTTTGAAACAAACAAAAAAATGGTTTAAAGTGAAAGCTTTACATTCAATGCACTTGCTTCTTTCATGTACATTTTAAAGGGTCTTTCTTAGACATTACCTAAACAATGAAGAACTAAGGAGAAGCTTCTGTGTTGCTTTTAAATGTGTGGTTAGATTGTATTTGTGAGCATTTGATGTTCTTCTAATAACCTCAAGTAAAAGGCTGAATGCATTCAACAACAGTAGCTGAAAAAAGTGCAATGAGTCATATTATAGGAAAATGGAGAAAAGGATACAGGCCTCTCCACTGAACACAATCCTATATTGTAGGCAATCTGTGATAACACCCTTTTCATTTCAGTTCAGTCCCATAAAATTACCACTAACATTACAACTCATGCAGAACACAGATAAATGTAAAAATGTCACAGAATTCTTCCAGATGGGACTTTTAGTTCCACTAGATCACCATCTACTTTTTTACTTGTCTAATATTTCATTACAACCTTCCATAAGTTAATTTTCTTTCCACTGACCATGTAAATCACAAATCAATTTTCATTTAAAATGCCTGACTACAGATTGCTCCCGAAAGCTCAGAACATATGCTTCAGTGAATTCTCCAACATCCTTAATGTACATTAGAAAAATGTTGGTTTTTTTTAAAAAAAAACAACCTTTTTTTTTTAAAGGAATTAATTCTACATTAAAACCTGGCATGAGACCTGAAGCATTCTATTTTCCCCCAAAAACGCGGGTGTGTTTTTATGGCATGAAATCACATGTGGTCAAACATTTGTTATGACAAAATTAACGAATATGGCAACATTTTATACCTGCATAAAGTACAACAGTTTTGCTGAAGAACACACGCACATTCACATACATCTATTACATACACAGCATGTGGCTATATCATTTAGTTTTTAAGAGAAAATTATAGATCAAATTTTAGACAAAGTCTCTTTTATACCTGATAATTCTATGAATGTCGTGGATGTGGAATTTTTCCCTTCATGGGAACATGCTTTGAAATCCATGTTTCCCTTTGGTGGGGGGTGAAGAAATTCAACCCCAGTACATTGAGAATTCTTCAGAAATATTCAGACAGAAAAGGTAACATGCTTCGAAATCCAGGTTTCCCTTTGGTAGGGGATGAAGAAATTCAACCCCAGTACACTGAGAATTTTTCAGAAATATTCAGTTAGAAAAGGTAATCTTGTGCTTTTGTTATGAGAGTTCAACATAGCCTGATTAAAACAACTTTAAGTTAGGGGAAAGTTGGGCAGTTAGGAACCAAAAAAAATGTATTATAAAACAGCCCTCTTTTCGAGCTTTAGCTCCTTAATTAAAAGCTTATTATTTTACACTTGAACCCAGGAGGCAGAGGTTGAAGTGAGCCAAGATGGCACCACTGCACTCCAGCCTGGTTGACAGAGTGAGACACTGTCTCAAAAAAAAAAGAAAGTTTATTATTTTAATGCTATTTTGAATTAAATAGATGTTTATGTTTGATAACATTCCTGATTTCTCCCAAGAGTCTATGAAATTCAAAGTGGTTTGAGGTTTTTGTTTTTTAATTCATTCATAAATGGTATTTCTATGTGAACACAATATTGAAATATTTCAAGTGAGAAGTGGTTGGAGTTCTCCATCTTAAAAAACAGTTGGCAGCTGGCTGCAAATCAGTAAATCACATGGTCATATGATATTCTGGAACATTCAAGAGGCAAGCACTGACAAGGCTGTCCCAGGTTTCAGAGAGAAACTTTCACTTACAGACTCAGTCACATCTGCTGAGGGGCCCTCCAGAATTCTGGAAAAGCTGTGGTGGGAAATAGGCATGTCCTTTTTCTGTGCCCACTGTGTGAATGAATGTGCTGTCAGTCATTACAGACATTCATGAGGCTGATCAACTGGTGTGGGGTAATTGTTTTTCTTCTAGTAGCAGTGATTGTTTTTGCTTTTTTTCTGCCTGTATTTCATAATATTATCACCCTTTTGACCAATAAATAAATTTTCAAGTTTGCTAACTGGCGTAAAGTAAAGCAGTCATTGGTGGTTCTAAGATGTGTGTTGAGGGAGTGGAACCCCTGAACGTGGACCCACTGAACTCTCAGTAGCATTCTGCTCCAACTGCCTCATCCTCATTTCCAAAGACTTGGAGAATTTAGCTAAGAAGACATAACTGCCCAAGACATAACCTGGGCAGAAATGCTGGAGCAGTTTGGGGTTTCAATAGCTTTATTTCCTCTTTTTTTTTTTTTTGGTTTTAAGTGAAGAAATGCAAGAGCATTAATGATTTGAAATGCAAATATTCTCAGAGCCAGGCTTTCGCAGTTGGAAAAGTACTACCTAGGAAACACACAACTTTCTGGCTGGAAGTTGGCCAAAAAATTAATGTTATTTTATGACCCATTCATTAATCTCCTGAAAAAGTATGCAATATCATTTTATGAGCACCAGTGACTTTATGATTTTGAGGGGCTTTTGTACACCAATTCTTTTCTTTTGAGGTGACCTGGCTACCTTATCCTGCATTCTATTTGTGGCTAGAGTATGGGGCAGCCTGTACAGATGATATAAATGTCAAACGCTTGCTGGTGAAGTGCAGCTCTACTAACTGCACATCACACTTGACTTAAACAAAATCATCTATTGCATGTGAAAACTCTAAACACAAAATACACCAAAAATGTCTAATAGATATATAGGATTGGATAGAAGTGCTCAAGTGAAGAACCAACTTAATTTTGTTACTATAACTTGAAGGCTTTAACTACAAAAATTAAGGCTAGAGTAAAACAAGAGTTAGAATAGAAAATTTACTAGAAAAGTAAACATTATACTTCAAACTGATGAGAGAGTAGCTCCCACTAGGCTAAAGCATGAATATGGCAGACACGTTCTTGACATTCAAAGCAGAAAATAAGGCAATACTCTGGCATGGAAGAAATTCTTGTGATTCAGGAAGGGATTTAGATAGCTCTCAAAGGTAGGGAAGATTTCAAGGTTGGGGAAAAATGCTGCAAAGAAAAACAGGATGATTGTTTAGGTCCTCTGTTGAATTCCAACAGTCAGGATTTTACTGAGCAAGTCACAACTTGAAAATCTTTAAGGAAAAATTTCCTCAAATCTCTAAGTATTTTATTTGTTGTCCAGTGTAGCCTTTAACTGTATTGGAGTTCAATAGAAAAAGAGGATTTGCATTGCAAGAATTTCTTTCATGGTAAAAAGAAATGTTCTTTCACGTGAGTATCCACCTGCATATATAACACAGTTGTATATACCTAAAGTGTAAATCCAACTGCAATTATATAAATACCGTAATGATGATATTTACAATTTGAAGGGCACAAAGCAGAAGTAACACAACTTCTGAAGCGTGCCTTCTCCTCAGGTTATTTTAATATTTGATATCATACTTGAATGTGATTAAGCCATATTAGGAGAAGTCAGTAAGTAACTGTTCTCTCAAAAATGCTCCTTCAACCATAATGAGATATCACTTCACACCCAACAGGATAGCTACTATAAAACAAAACAAAACAAGAAGCCTCCAAAACAAACCAAAAAACTTCAGAAAATTGTAAATGTTGTTAAGGATGTGGAGAAACTGGCATCCTTGTGCACTGTTGGTGGGAATGTAAAATGGCACAGCTGCTATGGAAAATAGTATGGCAACTCGCCAAATGATTAGATGTAGAATTACCGTATGATCTAGCATTCCTCTTCTGGGTATATACCCCAAACAATTGAAAGCTGATACAAATAGATATTTCTACACCCATGTTTGTAGCAGCATCATCCACAATAGTCAAATAGTGGAAACAACACAAGTGTCCATTCCACAGATGAGTAGCTATACATACAATGGAATATTATTTAGTCTTCAAAAAGAAGACAATTCTGACATATGCTACAACATGAATGAACCTTGAAAACATTATGCTAAGCAAAACAAGCCAGTTACAAAAGGACGAATACTATATGATTCCACTTCTATGAGGTACCCAGAGTGGTCAAATTCATAGAGACAGAAAGTAGAATGGTGGTTGCCAGGGACTGGGGGAGGGGGATGGGGAGTTGTGTTTTAATGGGTACAGAGTTTCAGCTGGGGAGGATGAAAAAGTTCTAGAGAGATGGATGGTGATGATGATTGCACAGAAATGT
Source organism: Homo sapiens (assembly GCF_000001405.40). NCBI lineage: Eukaryota > Metazoa > Chordata > Mammalia > Primates > Hominidae > Homo > Homo sapiens. The sequence goes on along the minus strand of NC_000007.14, from coordinate 39,222,471 downwards.
AAATGTACTTGGTGCCACAGAACTGTACACTTAAAAATGGTTAAGATGATAAATTTTATGTTAGGTATATTTTACTCCAATTTTGCCATGGAAAGTCTCTTCTCTTCCTTTTGTCAACTTCTCTAACTAGACCAGACTGAATAATGGATCCTTAGCAAATAGATAACTCCTAAAATTTTCAAGCATTCAACTGAATTTGGTAGTTCATTTAATTTTTTTTCTGGAACTTTCAGAAATCTGCAAATACCCTTTGTGGAATTATTGGAAGCTTTTAGCAAAAGAAAGCAACAGGCCCCTTGCAAATATGTCTGATGTTGTGGTCTAGCATTCCCTCTGAAACATTCTTTAGTGACAGCATTGCCTATGGTTCTTTTTAAACAAACCAAATTCTGTGTGGATGCCTAGGCTTTTATTCAGCTAACTTTTGGTGGTGAAAATAAGTAACTAACAGAGATTGCAAATGAGTTAAGACTTTTTTTTAATCCCAGAAAAAAATATAGCTTATTTGTTAATTTATTAAGGATATAGAAGGATAATTCTTAAGGAGCATTTTAAAACGTTTTAATGTTTTTTATTTTAAAATATTTAAACCATAAAGACAACTATAATGAATAACATACAGAGGGCCTGTGTACTCATCACACTGTTCTCACAAATTCTAACATTTTGTCCTTCTTGCTTTATATTGTTTTTGTAAAATATTACAAATACAGTTGAAGCACATAATTTCTCTATATTTCACAGTAAAAAGCGTACTAATTTTTAAAAAGACAAGATCATTTTTAGGCCAGGTGCGATGGCTCACACTTGTAATCCCAGCACTTTGGAAGGCCGAGGTGAGTGGATCACTGAGGTTAGGAGTTCGAGACCAGCCTGGCCAACATGGTGAAACCCCGGTCTCTACTAAAAATACAAAAATTAGGTGTGGTGGCACACACCTGTAATCCTAGCTACTGGGGAGGCTAAGGCAGGAGAATTGCTTGAACCTGGGCAGTGGAGGTTGCAGTGAGCTGAGATCATGCCACCGCACTCCAGTCTGGAGGACAGAGCGAGACACTGTCTCAAAAAAAAAAAAAAAAAAAAAAAAGAGAGAGAGAGAATTTTAGATTCTGATCAATGGAAATTGCGCATAAAACTGCATCCCAAGTAGTTCCTATACTATGGCAGAGAGCCTACAAAATGTGTTGTCTCTAATTTGTGTTACCAAAGTGGATCCTTTGTGATTTTCTGCTTGAAGGTCCACAATTTACATGTACCTGTTATTTTTATTTTTAATGAACATAGCTTTTAACCAGTGCCATTTGTATAGGCAGATCCTCTAGGCCTGTGTTGCCCAAGAGAAACATAATGTAAGCTGCAAATGGGAGCCACCCATGCAATTTAAAATTTTCTGGTGTCCATATTTTAAAAAAATTTAAAGCTGAAATTATTTTTAATAAGATATTGTATTTAACTCAATATATCCAAAATATCATTTCAACACATTATCAATATATAAATATTCATGAGATATTTTGCATTTGTGTGAATTTTACACTTACAGCATATCTCAGTTTCAATTATCCACATTTTAAATGCCCAATAGCCATGTGTGGCTCATGGCTACCATATTGGATTTTGCAGCTCTAAATAACAAAAGTAGCCATCATTCATTGTGCACTTACTAAGTATCAGGCACCATGCTAGGTATGTTCCATATAGTATCACATTTAACTTTTAAAACAACCCTAAAAAATAGACAAGCAAAGCAAATCTCAGAAATCAGAGTGCCTTGTCTAGGCTACATAGCCAGCAAGCAGAAGGGCTGGAAGTAAATCTGGTCAGTGTGATTCACAGGCCACTCTATTAATTACCATGATCCATGTTTGCCTGAGTGCAGAGTCTTTGTCCTAACTGATCCTCTCCTGACCATGTAGCTTCTGTATTAACTAAACATCTCAGATCTTATTCTTACCAGGTGCTCGGGTTTTCGGTTGCATAAATGCCTTATCTGGTCCCAGAGATGGTGCCAAGTACACCCCTCTTTTTCCCCCATCTCTTGTCAAGGGGCTGGAAAATGCTTTGACTCAGAATCACTTCACAATGAGACAAAATGTACTAGGGCATCAAGTTGCAAAAGAAAGAGAGAGACTGATATAATTTAGCTTGGTATGCTACTGCCATCTTAGATTCTTTTGTCTATAACCATTGTTCAGCTATTTGACAAACTCCTATTTCTATTCTTTCCATAAAAGTCTCCCTAGTTGGGGAAGTGGCACACCTTTCACGGTTTCATAATAAACTGGAAGTGAGTAACAGAACCAAATCAAAGGAAATAAAACTCCAGTCGCGGCTGCTGCTGGGGTTGCCTTCTGAATGTGGCTTATACAATATTTCATCTGTGCTGACACCTTTCACTCTCAATTATTTGGCTGCTGTCAAAACAAATCAATCAAATTATAGCACTGTGTCTTCATGTTACCATTCTATTGCAAGTTAGCAGCATTAACTTTGAAATATATGGAAGTATAAATTTTATCTCTATTATTTATTTAATGCAACTTTCTCCCGTGTGAGTTATTTTCCAAGCACAGCAAAATCAAATTATCTTATGTCAAATGTTGTATATATATATATGTTCTGCTAAGAATTTCTAAAATAATGCCACACAAGGGAACTGAGATGCATAAAAATGTGTTAATGGACCTGTATATTTGCGCTAATCCTAATCCAGTGACAAATGACAAACATACTGTGTTCTTTTTTATTTTTTTAGTTTTGGCTATAAACTTGGTAAGCACAGTTGGGAGGAGATAACACTAAACCAAAGTAAAAGGTTAACGTGGAGCCAAGTATTTTTCAGAGATTACGTTTGCTTACAATATTAATAAAATATAGTTTTCAAGGGAAATTGTTTCAGAAAATTAAAACTGTGTTATTTAAACCACAGTTTTTACAAGCACAAATATCCTTCCCTATAGCACCAGATCTAAACATAATGGTGCCATTTCCACTGCCCTACATGAGGACAGCAGGCATGACCCAAAGGTTCTTTAAAAAGAAGAAAGGAAGGGAAAAAAGGACTCAAACATTTTCATTTTCAGATTTTAAGGCTACAACTACGTTTTTTAAATAATAGATTTAATTCAGTTGAGTTACTTTTCAGCAAAAGAGCAAACACTGTTGAAACTTTTATGTAGACGCTCTTAAAATAGCTTCTTTATACATGGAAACCTGGCAAATCCTTAGAAGATTAAAAAGCAAACTGACATACTTTTTTGGGGGGCTCCTTCTTGTTGCATTCCGGCTAAATAAGGGGTAAGCAACAATCAAAAAGACCCACATTAATGCGGAGATTATGTCCATGAAAGAGAATTCAAACGCAAGAGGTATCTACAGGAGCCCCACATAACCTGGTGCACAACGATTAGACAAGTTGAAAACGCTTCCTTAGCCTCCATTGTGCCTGTCCCTTCCTCTTCCAGGGCTTGAAGAATGGTGCTCCTTCCCTAACCTCTTCTCCCCCAGAAATCTCTTCCCTCCCTAGCTTCAGTCATGGTTTCTTCAGTCACTGGTTTTCTCTAGTATAAATCTTTTTCTGAGTTCTAGATCTAGGTATTACTAACTGGCTAGTGGTATCTCCATCTCAGTATTCTACAGCAAATTTGAACGAATCATGGTCAGCTTAAAGTAGGGATCTCCTCTCTCTTTCCTCTTATCCCTCTACATTTAACCCATCACCAAGTCTTATCAAACCCACCTTGTTAACGCCTCCTAAATCAGTCCCCTGCTCTCCATCATTGCCACCAGGACCTCTTCTCCTTGGATTCCTGCAATGGTTTCCTAACTAGATTGGAGTGCCTACTATAGTGCCTGGCAAATAGCAGATGCTTAGTAAGTATTTGTGAAATCGATCAACCAATCTTTGGGCACAATTCATAGGAGGAAATGAAGTTTAGCTTTTCCCGAGAGGGAGCTGAGAAATAATAGCTGTGACCTCTCACTAGGAATCTACCCTGCAAGAATTACACACGTAAGAGAAGATACGGTTTTCTTGGAGAGCATTAGCTCTCCATTCTCTAAACAGTGGGCCAAGAATAATTGGGAACTGTCTCCGATTTTCTTATTTTCAATAACCCCCCCACTCTCTGTCCCCACACTTCCCTCAGATGGAGAAATTCTCTGAATTTTGGTTCCAGAAGAGAAGTGAGCAAGTAAACCTGCTTCCCTTCCATCCATGGTAATGGAGTGAGATTGTGAATTTCAAACACAGTCTTTTCCTTTTTTAGGCATCAGTGACAGTCTAGTGGCAGCCATCTTGGAAAAGAGCTACTCACTTTTGCCAACTCGGATGGCTGGCTTGGAATCTAATCTAGTTTGCACATCCTAGTGTAGAATCATTGCTAGGTTCCATCAGAAGCCCTGATTTACAGCCTTATTATGTGCAAACTGGGGATCACATTACTTTCCTGCATTTTGCTTTGAAAATAAATGCTTTGGCTTTGCTTTGACATTTATGTGGCAGCTGGAAACCATTATCCTTTGACAATGCTTTATTCCATTGACAGTATCTCTTAAATACGCAGTATACTAGTCATACTCCTCATTCATGTGCTTCCAGTTTAATCCATGCCCCAGTGCCTCAGTGACACCCGCTTCAAGGATAATGTACTACAGAACAGGCTCTCCAGGTATTTTAAATAAAAAGTCTAAAGCCTCAGAGATACAGAGGTTTGAAAAACTGCCAAAGTAAGACACATTGCAACTACTTTTCATAACTTCTTTATGGTGGATTTGGTATTATTGTATGGCGTGTCTTGTGAAGCTCTTCTCAATAACACTGTGAATATGAATTTATGCACTAGGTATTTTCAATATTGAGCTTTGTGACAGCAAGCCACGTATCATTGCATACTAAGAACCAAAGTCCTTTCTTCTCATTTCTGTGGCAGGTACTGCATGGCCCTTTTCTGTGAGTGGTAACGGATCTCTGCTGTCAAGTTCATGATGTCAGCGGAGATGCAACTTTCTGAGTGTGGTCATCACTAGAATAGCACAAAATTAAATCACAAGAAAAAGTGGTGCATCTGGCCACCTACTTGTCTTCCTCAAGAATGGTACCAGAAGGTTTAGCACATATTTCCATCCCCACCCACCCACTCCCTGCCAGCAATTTCTCCTTCGATCAACAAAATCAAGCACATTTAAAGACAATTTTATTAATATTAAATACTGTTCATACATAATGAATGCATAGAATTGCTTTGCGGTTGTATTCTTTTTAATCTGAGAATTAATGCACTTTGTGTTGAGAGTTGCTTTTTTAAAGAAGGTGGTTAGAAGGTCAAGACAGCAGACCCATAAACCGAACCTTGGCAACACTAGTAATTATGTTGTGGATATGGCCTTCCACCTTAATGAATAGAAAGTATTCGGATTTCAAAATAAAACCTATTAATATAAGAATTTCTCATTGTCTGGCACCTACCAGTAATACTTTGTTATATACAGTATTTATCTTTTATCATTTCCTCCCTCTCTCTGTGGGTGTGTGTGTGGGTGGGGAGGGGGCTTCCTTTAAACAATTGGGATCAAATTACAGGCATCTGAAGTCTTGATTATTTTACTGTCAGCTTCTGTATCTGAGAAACTGAGCAAACAACACTGTTTAATGGGGAACCTGAGTCTCCCATTTCCATAAAGATTTTCCTAGTTTCAATTTCATTAGCAGTTTTGTATTTAAACTTTTTTTATGTTTTAAAGAAAGTTGGTATTTTGTGAAGCCCTAGAGCATTCACTTATATTTTCTCCTTTTGGGGAAAAACTGAAACATATTTTGTATACCATAAAATTCCCCCTTTTTGTACAAATTTGACAAACACAAATAGTGAACCATCACCACGATCTAGACAGAGAACAGTTGCATCAGCCCCCAAATTCCCTTGTACTCCTTTAAATTCACCTGTCCCCCACTTCAGCAACCACTGATCTGCTTGTCATCCCTCTACTTTTGCCTTGTCCTGAATGTTACATTAATGAATTCATTCTTTCGTATGCCCTAATTTGCTATTTTAAACCGTCTCCAATTGGCCCATATATTCGTTACCCATTTTTACATTTATCATTTGAATTCTATGGTTAGAAATTGTTAATGTGTGTGTTCTGAAAAACCACATGAATAGACCATGTGATCTAATGGGTTCACCTAATAGAATTCTAGAATCTCAGTGTTGGAAAGAATCACCTAAGTCAAATACTTCTGTAGTGTATCGTTAATGCAATGACTGTTGGACACAGCGCCTTGTCATATAGTTTCCAATTTTGTGCTCCTCCTCTCTTCCTTTAGGGTTATTTATTTTCCTCCTCCACACCACTAGCAGCTGGCTTGACCAGGTGACTTGTCTGGCCAACAGCGTGTGAGTGGAAGTGATGTGAGCAGCTCTTGAGCTGAAGCTTTAAGAGCCACTGCAGTTCTGGCATTCCCTGCTCCCTTTGTAACGAAAAAAACATATCCCAGACAGGGGCTGCTTCTTCTGCCTGGATCCTAGAAGGTGAAGGATGTGCAGCAGAGTCACTGCACACCTATGACCCATATGTAATATGAAATCAACAAAGAAACACACCTTCCTGTTGGAGATTTTGAGATTTTGTGCTTAGCACTTAGGACTTCTCCCTGGGACACTCTTTCTTCAGATATTGGACAGCTTAATCCCTCTCATCCATTGGGTCTCTGTGCAGTGTAGAGACCACAACTTATGACCTTGCATAAAATGCATCACATCCCCATCCCTGCCACGCTTCCCCACCTCCATCTACTTCACTCCCCCAGTAGCGTATATGTGCATTAAGGAACTCTTTGTTTATTGCTATGTCCTAAGTCCAGATCACTACCTCTAATGCTTTGAAAGTTCAGTAAATATTCATTGAACAAATGAATAAATGTTGCCTTAATAGAAAAACAAAAATAAATAGGTCTGTTTCTTATCAAACTGGTGTGGTCTTTTACTGTCAGATAATTAAAACTATATAACTCGATATATAGTTCTGATTTGTCTTCTAGTTCCAAAACTTACTCTAGGTTTTTTCTTTTTCTATTAAAAAGATTTTGCTCTTTCTCGCTTCTTGTTTTTATTTATTTATTTATTTTTGAGATGGAGTCTCACTCTGTTGCCCAGGCTGGAGTCCAGTGGCGTGATCTCAGCTCACTGCAACTTCCGCCTCCCAAGTACAAGCGATTCTCATGCCTCAGCCTCCTGAATAGCTGGGACTATAGGTGCCCACCATGATGTCCTGCTAAATTTTGTATTTTTAGTAGAGATGGGGTTTTGCCATGTTGGCCAGGCTGGTCTTGAACTTGTGACCTCAGGTAATTGGCCTGCCTCAGCCTCCCAAAGTGCTGGGATTACAGGCATGAGCTACCACTTTCGGCCTCCTTCCTGCTTCTTACATTACAAGCTGCTTCAAATTCTTGAGATTACCCAGGCATAAGTAAGTAAATGCAAACATATATCCATGAAAAATTATAGCATAACTGCATTGTTTTTAAGTATGTTCATCTCTAACATTTCAGGCTCTATGATGGCCACGCTCACACACAGGCAAAGCATACAAGGTCCTCAGTGTTGCCTTCTTCCCGCTCCTGTAGTCTGATTTCTTGCCACCTTGGATTCCCAATTTTCATTGAACAGACAGAGCTATTGATAGAACCTGTAGACTCTAGTCTCCTCATGCCTTCTTCTCTACACTGAATGCTCTCTTTACTTCTCTTTACTGGACTCTTAGTCTTTAAAATTCACTCATTCACACTTGAGCACCTTTTACAAGTAAGCTAGGCACTTTCTCTGTTCTTGGGCCACTTTATTGAACCAAATAAAGATGCCTGTCACAGGGCTTCCATTCTAGGGGCAGAGTCAGACATAAATGATGCACATTAGCAATACATCATACACAGAGATTCTCCTCTACAGCAGCAGGCCCAAGCATCACAATGCTGCTGACCTTGCCCTCGATGGCTACAGTAGGCATCACCCAAAATGCTCAGAAAGGCCAAATAAAGAAAACCAAACACTTTTGAGATTTTGTAAAAGGTCCTAAGTGTTAGGGAAAAAGAAAATGCAGAAAGCGAGTAAGGGAGACAGGAGTGCTGGGGCAGGGGAGGAGGAGGAAGGAAGGCTTGATGCTTTCTGGGTGGGAACAGAGTGCTTCAGGCAGAGGGAACAGCCTGTGCAAAAGGCCCTGGGCTAGGAGTACGTGCAAAGAACACCAAGGAGGCCAGAATGCCCTCACATCAAGGCTGATTTAATTGAAAGAGAAGGGTGTAGGGAACAAGAAAGCAAAATAAATTAGATTCAAGATGTCTGTCTTGGAAAAAACTTTGGCACAGGGAACTGACTGGAAGCAGAAAGAAAAGAAGCATTCCCTTTTCTGAGGGACTGCATTTTCAAAGGAGCTACACATCCCTATCTGTTGGAAACATCAAGCAGCCCATTAGATCTCCAGCATCTATAAGCTATACAGGGACTGAGAAACTCCCCGAAGAAAGGTATATTCCTCAACTTCCTCATCAGATGTGGCCAAGGAAGATAACGGACAGGAAAGAATCTCCCAGGGGTGTGGCCAAGGGCCAAAGAGAACAGTGGCCAAAGGTGCTTCCCTAGAGACACCCAATCAAGGAACCTCCGTGATGTCTGCCCACTGGGATGTTGGAATGGTCATAGATAAACAAAATGTAGCATATTTTTATGATGAAACACTGCTTGGAAATTAACAGAAAGGAACTACTATACTGTTGTATACACGACAACATGGATGAACCTCAAAAACATTATGCCGAATGAGAAAAGCCAGACACAAAAGAATACATATAATATGAATCCATTTATGTGAAGTTCTAGAACAGGAAAAAAACAGATTACCTGGTTGGATGGAGGGGACTGACTGCAAAGGGACACAGAGGAATCTTTTAGAGATAATTAAATGTTTTCTGTATTGATGGAGCCTGCATGGGTGGATGCAATTATCAAAACTCATTTAACTAAGCAAGTAAGGTCCATGCATTTTCTTGTATGTAAAGGATACCTCAGTGAAAACAACAATCATACAAACAAAATGGAATATAATGTAACTTGCACATGAAATCCCTAATCCCCAAACTATTCCCAGGTACTTCAGCATCCACAGGCTTTAATTTGGGGAGTCAGAGAAAACCGGGGCAGGTTTCCTGCTAGAGTGAAGGGAAGAAAAACCATCCTTGGCCTTGATTTTTCAACTGGCCTTGAACCTAATTGCTTTTCCATGTTCAGGTTTAGCAGCACTCTTTAATGTATTTTTGGTCATTAATTTAAATGTTATGCTTGACTTAACTGGAATGTTCACACTTTGACATAAATCTCCTATGTAGCACATTTATATTCTCCATTCATGTTGCCTACAGTGATTAGTAGGTCATTCTGGCCTGTGCTGTGAGAACAAGTCACTAACCTGAACCATCTGTCCCAGAAGTAGACTCAGCTCTACCGTTCCATTAACCCTTTTGCTGCCTGTTGTCACTCACATCGAGGCTGTATATATCTTCATTTCCTGCCTATGTTTCAAAAAAGCAAAGGATCCAACACATTTGCATGAGCTCCATAAAGGGGATTTTATTTTGCTACATCAACTAACAACCTCTGTTTTTACCCTAGGACTGCACATCTTTAGTACAGCTATCTGTGTTCCAAAGTAATAGTAAAAGGGAAGACACTGACTTTTCAAGGAGCTTATGGAATATGTGACAGAGCAAGCTTAATTATCTTCTTTCTTTGGAGTTTATGGCTATTATTCGTCTTATTTCACAGGTGTGTGCTTGCTTACAGTCATCAGAGGCCAAAGCCCAATAAACATGGGATAAAGGACGCAGGGATGGAGAGACCCAGTGTAGCTGATGATGGATGGTACTTGGAAGGGGAAAGGGGCACTCAAGGCAAGGTACGAGAGGGCACAGAACTCACTTATTTCACATAGGGACACAGGGCTTTGAGGAGGAGGTCATTTCTAGATCTCATCTGAATGCTCTGAGTAGAGCATTTCTGAATCCCACCCAGAGCTTCCAAGGTCTTCGTTCAAAACACTCAGAACCTAAACCTCACCATTGGCATCTCCTGAGCTCAGAATTTGTTTCAGTCCTTGCTCATAAGAGGCCCTACTGGCTTTTACTGTTCCCAAGAGAAAGGCCAATGTCCAGCCTGCCTTACCTGCCACCCCTTCTGCTGATGAGAGAGGCTCAGCTTGTTTCTTAAGCTCGCTTGTCCATGTTCCATACCACATCATTCTGGCTTCCCACTTCCCACCCACATCATAGCCAAGAGGACAGAAACGAACATCTCAGTCTGGGGGCAGTCAATCTCCAGTCTGGCCAGTGACATGAGATAGCTTAAATTAAAAGGCTCAGCCTCATGGTAATTTCTCTCTTGGATAGTCAGAATTTTAGACAGACATGGAGATAAGGATAAAGATGATGGAGACAGAGAAAAATGGAGAGTTCCTGACAGGTACATGAATTGGAAAGATGCCTGACCTTAGAGGAGACAAAATGGAACATGAGTGAACCGGAATCATGGTTCAGCCAAAAGCCATCCAATGCAGTAGAGAAACGTCCTGGAGGGCGCAGGAGAAGACAGGGAGATGGGTCATTAGTCATTCTGGGTGTGGGGATTAGATGCCTGCCTCCTGCAGAGGAGAGGATGATACAGCCTGCAGCCTTGTGGTTTGCTGGATGCTCTAATGCCCAAATTCATTCCAGGTTCCAATGAGGCTGGGTTACAGGGCTGTTCCTAGGATCCTGCAAGATGTCTAACTCCTTACAACTGTGTATCTTCTTACAATAAGAACTCATCACTGATGAGACAGGAATCAATCTCTTTCTTGCTGGGAAGGATCTGAGAGAAAGATAAAATAATTCCCAGGCCACACATACAGGTTTTCTGCTGAGTTATAAGGTCTTTTTATCAGCAAAGCAAAACTTTCATTGGATAAAATCTCAGAGCAAGGACTTCAAGAGGGCTTCCACTATGTAAGAGAACTTCCCTTGGTCTTGAGGATATGAAACTCCTAACAGAAGCAAAAACGTTCCCACACATTATTCCTTTCTGTCATTCTCATCTGGAGGCCTGGGGTGGTGAGTGAGAGCGGGAGCATTAATAAGGACATTCACTGCCTTCATGTGGGTCATCCATTGTCATAAGAGTCTCTGATTCTGGCTGCTGGTGATATTGGGGGATGCCATGGACTGGGTGTTTGTTCCTCCCAACCCACCAAGTTTTTATGTTGAAATCCTAACCCCCAAGGTGATGGTATCAGCAGGTGAGGCCTCTGGGAGTTGATTAGGTCATAAGGGTGGAGCCCTCATGACGAAATTAGTGCCTTTATAAAAGGAACCCTGAGAGTTCTCTCATACCTTCTGTGGTGGGAGGACACAGTAAAAAGACAGACATCTATGAACCAGGAAGTGGGCCTTCACCAGAACCAAATCTGCCTGTGCCTTGATCCTGGACTTCCCAGGCTGCAGCACTGTGAGGAATACAATCTGTTGTTTATAAACCACCCTACCTATGGTTTTTATGTTATAGCAGCCCAAACAGACTAAGGCAGGGAGTTGCCTAATGAACTTTGAATAATCTCCCTAGATCAGCATTTCTTAAACTTTAATGTGCATGGGGATTATCTGGGGATCTTTTAAAAATGCAGATTCTGTTCCGAGAGTCTTGGGTATCTCGGGTAGAGCCTGAGATCCTGTATTTCCAGCAAGCTCCCAGGAGACATTGATGCCGCTGGTCTGGGGACCATGTTTTAAGAGGAGATTGTGATATGACCCCCGCTGTCAGAGTCGAGAAGAGCTGCTCTCAGTGTAACAGCATGTCATGAGTGCTCATTAAAATACATGTGTAAATCATGGCCTCCAAGGCTCTGAGAGCTATTCTGTGTGACTTGATAGGGGATGTAAATGAACACGCTCTCAATCACTTCAGTAAAAAGGAAAATATTTGAAAACTTATCCCTGAATTCCAAACCATTAAGAGACTGATGTCAGCAACTTTTTTTTTTCCTTTCATCCTAGCAAATTTGTGACTTTTGAGCTAGAAGAATAGACAGGCTAGAGGGCTGGGTAGGAAGGCTGGAGATAATTCCAGTTGGCCGAACTGTTTCATGAATAAAAGCTTAACACTTCACAATGAGGAAAAGGGCACTATTCATGACCAAGCATGTTACATGGTAACAGGCTGTGCTTCAGACTAGGTGTGCAGACTAGGTATGAAACCTGCCCCTCACAATGACCCACCAAATATGTTTTATAAAATCACTGGAGAAGTGGGGTGTTTATTATAGACGAGCAGACTTAAGAGTTGTTTTTAAAGACTCTGAAAAGCCTTGGGTTGATAAATACTGTATTTATTGTACAGGAAAGAGATGGGGGAAAGGAAACAGCCTTCTCCCCTCGCTGTTGACTGCATGAATGCATGTAAGGATTCCTTCTAAGGTACTGATAGTCCATTTACAAGACTCTCACCCTTAACTCTCACCTTTGAGAGAGGATGAGATTTGAGGTCATCCTGAAGACTAGCTCAGTCTCAGAACCCCTGCAGATGACCTTTCAGCCTGTCAGACATTCACTCACCATCCCGAGTCCCACTGCTTCTGCAACATAACCTGGAAAGCTCCACAAGCCATTGATTCTGCCTAGGGATTATCAAGGGCTGTGCAATAGGTCGCCTAAAGGTGGGAAAATCAGCTTTGGGATGGCTGCTGGTGGATTGATTACAAGGTGACCACTGGCTTTGCCCTTTAGGTGGTGGACATTTATCTTGGGCACTTTTGAGGCATGAGACTTTCCTGATTACCATCCTTATTGCCCTTGAACTTCTCGTTAGGATGACCACCTCTTTCTGGGTTACCTGAGACTTATACTAATTAGAAAGCTTTTCCTATAACCAGCTGATTTGCAACTGGGAGGTGATTTATTCTAATAACCTCATCACCTTCCCTCCAACGTCAGTCAAATTTCAAAGAGGAAGACAAAGGGGGAAATGTTCACTTGTGCTTGTGTAGCAGACAAGAGCTTGGGCGTCAACTCCAACCCACTTCTGAAGATGATGCTGAGAGGGAAATTGTGTCAGAAGTGCCCAGGGATAAGAAAAGCAAGAACTTTTGTTTCCCCTACTTAATCAGGCTACAAAGCTTGGGATTCCTTTTCTGAAACCAGAGGTGACTCAAAGAACCAAACTCCAAACTATACGCTAATAATGAACTTTGATATTTACAACAAACAAAAACAAAAGGGAAAATCTTGGTGGAAGAAGTCCACGTTGGACCAATCATTAATTTTGAACCCTTAAAAAAACAGGTACTAATATCTTAAGAATATCAAACTATGATCAAGAAATAACAAGCCTACTTTTTTTTTAAACTCTGATTTTTGGCAACCATCTTAACCAAGCAGGATTAATTCATGGCCTAGGAGCTCTTTGAGCTTATGTTTATTTATAATATTCAATATTCCCATAAGCACAAATGTTCCAAACGGAAGGCTGCATTTTGATAATGCCCATTTCTTCATTAAGATTTCATCATCCACCTACATTAAAACGCCTCTCCCTACACTTTGTTGCTTCGGCTTTCACCTTGTGTATTCCTGCTTTATTTGCTTAATCTTGAGATCTGGCTTCCCAGGCACTCTCAAATTTGAAACAAGCAAAGTTTGTGCATTAGCGTATCCTGGGCATGCATGATTTATGAATGGCAGGTTTCTTGGCACAATTTAATGGTACAAGAGAGACTTCGTTTTAAACATCAAAATGGAAGTCAAGAAGTGGCAACAATGGGTGGGGTAACAGAACATAGAGAACGGAAAGAAGTTTGGGTCAAGAGTGAACAGTTCTTACTTGGTCTGTTTCTTAGTCTTGTGGACTGATTCTCCGATAAATTATATGAAGCCCTAACATTTGACCAGCTAAAAAAGTATTTTAAATTGCTATTCTGATAACTTACCCAGACAGGCCCTCATTCTGCAAAAATTTTAATTGTTAATTTTATATATATATGAAGAAAACAAACATCTTTGACTAGTCCAAAATAAATTCATTTTCTCTTTAGCAGGCATCCTATTTATATTCAGGTCATTTTCCACCAAAATAATTACTCCTCTGACAGAATCTTTTGTAAATCAATCTATCAGTCAATGCTACCAAATCTTTTAAAGAAAAGTCAAAACCTTCATAATATCAAGACAACTACCCTTCCTAAGTAAAATTAGAGTCTGACTTGTTATATGTCCCTGTAGTATAAAGGCTCAACATACAAGTCTATTTTTCTCATTGCAAAATATGAGCTCAAATAACACAATTTTTGTTTAATAACTATAACTAAAACATACTTTGTAGAGCAAAATAATCATTAATAAATTATTCCAAATAATATCTTGTATTTGAGATGTTCCAATCACTTCAAACACAAAAAAGCAACCTCTAACTTTTCTTTACCCATGGCTAAATTGAAGAATTGGTGAGATGATAACTCAGGTCTTCAAATAACAACACAGGAATTTTACTTTTAAGTTTCTGATATGTCATGCAATGATGACTCATAAATGCTTCCAGGAGTCCTGAAAAGTTTTGATACCAATGTTAGGAAATGAGGATTGATAAAACCAATGGCTTGTGCAGGCTCAGGATTCACAGACAACTGAAAATTTTGCTTCCTGTGGAAGCCTTCCATATCATTTAGGGCAGAAGCAACTCTGAACCACATTCACCATTCTAGGCACATTTTTTTTTGCCCACTTCAGAGAATACTGGCCAACGGGTAGAGCCTTACGTGGCGCATGGACATTATGGATTACCTTGTAGATTTTGCAGTGGCAGAGTCATAATGCCTCCGGCTGCAGCTGCTGCCACCAGCCCTTGGATGTTGGTGAGATTCGCTGTTGGCAGTGTGAGAACCAGTCCTTGCTGGCCTCCTAGCTGTCCCGCCATGTTGAAGGGAATGAGGATTGGCTGGTTGAGGGCTGGGGGGCCTCCCGGCATCACGCCGGCCACAGCAGAAGCTAACTGCTGTGCCGTCAGAAGTGGCTGCAAGGAAACAGATACAGCTAGCTCACTTTCCTGTGGAACCAAGGCATGGGTTTTAAAAACATCTTCTTTCCACTTAAGTAGGGTCAGAAAGTTCCCGAAGAAGTACCAAAAAACATGCCCTATCTCATTAAAAAAAAATGATTGGTAGAAAAAAATTTTCAAAGTTGCATTTCATTGATTTCTTTGGAAAATTTCATTTGGTTTGGACTTCTTGTGAGGAACTCAAATATCTTTACAAGTAATAACTTACGTTTATATGCTACTCTTCCATTGAGTTTCCATTTGATCCTATCTTCATATATTTGAAGCTCTCAGCTAATTTATTCTCTGTTGTTCCAGAAAGAACTCATTGGGATCAGTGGGATTTTTTGATTCAAAAAGAGCAACGAAATACTACTTTTGACTTTTAAATTAACAAAAATAATGTAGAAAATTTACTCAATGCTGGAAAGTCTGTATTGACACCATTATGCAGATCTATGGCTGGGGGACATGTACACTAGCATAATCCTTTTGGAAAGCAATTTAGAAATAGATTATCAAGAGCTGCAAAAATATTTATCCCCCTTTAACTCAGAATATACTCCTAGGATATAGCTTGAAGATATTATTCAAAAGGAAATAAGATAACTGCATAAAAACATGTATTGTTTCAAAATACATAAATATTGAAAATAGCTTATTACAGTACTAAACTAGATGAAATATTGCATAGTCATTAAAATGGATCATTATGACACCTCTTTAGAAAAATAGAAAATGTTTATAATATGAGAATAAAATAGAAAGTAAGCTGGATAACTATTAAGTAAACTTGAATGATTATTGTTAAAATGGTAGAATTATGTATGTACAATGACAAGATCTAAAACAGAATGTAAGACATAAAAATATTTGATGTGGATAAAACTTAAAATCTTTGAAAATAATTCTTTTGTTATTACTCTAACATCATTTGCCCAATTAAAATGATATTATACAAACACATGTTTACATCCACTATGGATGGAACAGCCCTTCTCTGGTAGGGAAAGGCAACTGCTCGGCATGTTTTGAGTGCAGCACGTGGGCTCTTCACCAGGATGACATGGGAAGGATTCCTGCCCTGGTCAAGCCAGATGACCACAAGAGTCATTTGATCTTAGAGTCCTTGATTCAGGACTTTCATTGCAGCCTTGTGGGAGCCATGTGGAACATAATAATCCTGTATCTGTTGTTCTTCTACAAGAACCAATGCAAAACTCTTATGTGAGGGGTAGGAAATTAAATACAGGCATACTACTAAGCTCAATGTATAATAGCCAGGCACTATTCTAATGCTGTAGTTAATCTACCAATGAGATACAGAGAGGTTAGTAACTTGCCCAAGTCCCATGTCTAGTTGAGAGGGGGTTCAAGTTCAAGCCCAGGAAGGCTGCTCCACAGCCCATGTTTTACCCCTTTCTTGTATCCCCTCCAATACAAAGAACAGATTTAGAGAAGTGGGGCTGCTTTATCTGAAGAATGAGGGGAGGTGTGGAGAGGGCTAAGCCCATACTTGGCCATTCCCTGCAGTGTTCCTTTCAGGACCCTTTGGGGGAGACTCTGCAGAGCCCTAGGATTCTGCACAGCTGAGTTTAGAACTGCTGCTTTAGACCCCACAGGCCTTGCTCCTAATGTATTTGTGCACTTTGCTAAATTCACACCAAGTAACTGTGCTTCCCTTTTTAAAAAAATACAGTTATTCTAATGAGCAAAATAAATATACTTCGGGAATGTATACAAAATTATATGCTGGCCCTCAGATTCCAGGTGTTACATCACTGCCAATAGTGATATTATGGTAAGAGGGAAGGCAAATAAGTAGCTCTCAGACCATATATGGGTCATAGATTTGGGGGTTTTGGCCTGCAGCATTTTAAAAATAGGATTTGTGGGCTCAAGGCAGGGCATGCACTCTCCAGTTTGTCGGAGGGCCACCACTCCTCACTGACCTGGGCCTGTGGGGCTGCCTACCCAACCTGAAGGCATTAGAGTGTGTTACCCCCAGTATGTTCACAGGCAGGTGTGCAGACATACACACACACAGACACACATAATTACATGAACACACACACAATGTTACAAGCATAAAATTATAAAGCGTATGACACCAAAAATCCTGTTCCTGAGAGTCCCAGGAAAACTCTCTAGGCTTCCATAAGCCAGCAGACATTTCCCCAGGCTTTCTGTCCACAGGCACAGAGTGATCTGTCCTCCGAGATGGACTACGGGATCTGAGGCCATAGGGAGTCTTGGTGGCGAGTGGAATAAGAATGTCAAGGCCAACCCTCACTCTAAACTTGGGTGAGCCCTCAATGTGCTTAAAGTCATTAACTTCCAGGAGCAATAATGACAATAAAAGGGAGAGAAAGGCCCAAGTCTCAGCTTCTCTTTCCAAAAAAGCAGGATGAACTCTGAAAGCTTCACACTAAATGATAGAGGTAAAAAGGAAAAAAAAAAAAAAAAGCCCAGCCTTTTATAATTGTGTTCTACATCTCCATATAGCCCACACCAGGCTGCAAAAAACAAATATTGGACTTTAAAAAATAATGATTGTATTTCTTTATTAATGCAAGAGCTATGTGTGATGTACAGTATTGTCAAACCCAATAAGCTGAACTTGCATTAAAATTGCATTAACTTTTTTATATTAAATCACATCTTCTATTTCAAAAATGGCTATAGTAAGGTTGAAATAACTTAATTTTCTTCACACTCCAGTCATTAAAGTTTTACTTTCCAGGAAACTGCACGGTAACCAACAGCACAATTGTAGTGGGTTTTAAGATAAAAAAAAAAAAGTGTTTCCACATGATTAAAGCCAACCTTTCCTTTAAGAAGAGAGAAGAGTTTTGCAAACACATATTTTCTTGGTGGTATTTAATAAATAATGTAGTCATACAGCTTTTCATACGAAAATTTATTACCATCTTTGCTCTGTTGGAGTCAATTGGATTTAACTCATTATTATTTATTTGGTGATTTATATGGTTAAACCATCCTAAATGCAGCCCAGTGGAAAGCAGTTGAGAGATACTGACCTGTGGCCCAACTGGAAATGGGGGGTGGGTCTGACTGGCCTGGTGTTGGTCAGGAGTGCCTGGGTCTGATAATGCTGGGTTTCCTCTAGCCCCTGGAATTCAAAAGAGAAATACTCCCTTAATATATGATCCAGCTTGGGAACTGATGTCACATAACATTAAGGCATAGATGATATGACAGAGTGGTTTATCAATATCTCCAGTGCTCAAATCACTTATCAACTGCATACATAATGATGAGAGACATTCAGGATGGCCAAGTTCATCAAGAGGTAGAAGAATAGAACAGCAGGGAATGTAGCACAGTCAGTTTGCATAGAGTATGCCAGTGTGTTGTATGTGTGGGAAGCTGCAACCTTTAAGTACAGGCGAGCCACAGCTAATCTAGTTTCCTAAAATTAAACAAAATGTGATCTCAGATATGACCAAGTCTATCAATATTTCCCCTAATATGGCTTTCCCCATCTCCTTCATATTCCCTAATATGGCTTTCCCCATCTCCTTCATACTCCCAAGTTCTTATTCCGTACTCTTTGAACACTGAATCTTATGACATCGCTTTCCTGAAAACAAAGCCTTTTTCCATATCACCTTATAAAATGTTCTAAAAAGAATATGGCTCTCCCCAAGCAAGTGTCCCAGGTGCTAATTGAAACAGTAGGAATCCCGCAATAGCTCCAGGGAGCTCCGCCATGCTAAGCACAGAACACAACTTGCTTCCTTTACCAGAATCCTACTGGACAGCAAAGCAGAAAAAATGAAATTCCACCAAAGAGCAAATCCTTCAAACCCTTTTATCATGGTCATTTCTCTACGTGTGTTTCTGTGCTTTGTTTCAGGACAAACTATAGCAGGTAAGATAGTGGTAGAAACAATAGATACACAAACAAACAAACAAAACAAATAAAACCAGTGGCAATTTTTGAGAATTTCTACTTGGTAGCTTTGTTTCCTTGGAGTTTTCTAATGGGTGGTTGAAATCCAATTCCAAGCAAACCTTAACAAGATCCTTTTTCCTGATGTTTGTCCTATGAATAACAAGTGGAAGACAATTCAAACCCTGTTTACCGGCATGCCATGGACAACCCAGAAAAAAAGATATGACTCTGTCACACTTATAAATTTTAAAGAAGGTATTATTGGCTCATTTAAAACAAATTCTCCTATATATTCTCCAAAGGGACAGACTTATAAATAATGGAAATGGGGGAAAATACTTCAGCACATTAAGCTACAAATAAAATTGACTGCTACATATTATTCAATTGACTTCTATCTCTACCACAATGTGTCAATCATAACAGCATTTTATAATAGGATTAAGCAATAAATGTGCAAAGCCATTATGCAGAAATCTGAAAATCTGATTAATTTGTAATATTTTTTGTGCAGAAAGTCAGGAATGGACATTGCTTGGAGAATACTTACAAGCATTCTATTGAAATTTCTAAATTGATTTGGAACAAACTAATAAAAACACAGACTTGCTGACATTTTATAAAGTGAATTCTGACAAAATATGTTTGGCATTTTAATGATTGCTGTCATTTAATAACAAGGGTAAGATGACCCATCATAAGATGCCAACCACTTCCTCATAATGTGCAGAAGACCTTTCTTCTAAATTTTTTAGATGTGATTTACCTATTATGCTTAAAAGCACGGCATTTGAAGCTGGGAGATGGCTTGTGCAGTGCAAACCTTGCAAGTCTCTGTTCTTTCTTATATACCCAAGTCCAATTTTGCCCTAAAATTCTCAGCAGAAATTTATGTACTTCAAAGAGCTTATGAGGTTTCAAAGTGATGTTTTGGTCAAATATTCAGATTAGGCAAATTCTCAAATGGCTAAAAATGCACAATTTTTTAAAAATTTGGTTGTTTTCCCATACTTGCCAGGCATGGGTTTTTATACCAGACTATGAAAAGAGTGTTTTTACAATGCACAGAAAAATAGAAAAGCCCTTTTAAGCAATTAGAAAATGAATACCTGCATTCTAAAAAATTTCTATACCATGCCAAGCCCTTCTGTCTCTTTTTTCTTTCATGCATACCAAGCCCACTTTTTGACTCTGTTTCTAATGCATGCCATTGTAATGTTTAGGATTGGTCTCACACAGGCACTGTGTCAACAAGATTGTGCATTTGTTCCCCTCAACTTTACACAGATTACATTTGCTTACATTTATTCTTTGTTGCTTTGAGGCCTAGCTGGTGCTCAGTAGCTTGTTCTGAGGCTGGTTAATTCTCAAAAACCACGTTCAGTGCAGTCCAGGGCAATTCCACACAATTTCATGTGTAAAATGAAGTCTTTCACAGGCTCTAGAGGAGATTATGTATGCTCTCCTGCCTGGATCCAAAAGTAATGTTTCTTCTTAGTGTGCATCCCCATTTTCCCCAAACAGATGTATCACGCATAACCTTGCAGGACCATAAACTAATCCGTCTGGTTGGAAGGCGGCTCTGGAATCAGGGGCCTTCTCAGAGCCAGAGGGGGAATCAGGAAGTCAGAATGAATAAATGGCGTTGGCTAAGGGTTTCAGAGAGATTTGAAGCAACACTTAGCTGAACGTTTGCAGAGAATTTGACATTGGATATTTTCATGGGCACAGATATGAAAACACAAACTTGAATGGGTTGGGTGGGTTCCTCCTGACCAGGAGCCTAGGAAACATGTTACATCTCTGAGACCAAGGAATTCCAGGAAAGCTCTCTGAAGTCTGTTCTGAAGTTAGCAGCCTATGCTTTTGAGGCAGCAACTATGAGCTCTATGGGACAGGGGCTGTGCTGCTGGTTCATCACTTTATGCTGTCATTTCATTCACATTTCTTTTTCAATAGAAATAGGGGTCTGGCTTTTAATTCAGCAGTGATATAATTCCTTTAAGATAGGTACTGGCATCCACGTGACTACTCACTGTTGTTTAACATAAACCTTTGAAATATCTTTAAATTATTAGCTTATTGGCAAATTCCACCTCGATTCCAATTTAGATATTAAAAGCCGTTTGGTGTAAGAGTTAAAACCAAGAACTCTAAAAAAATTTAAACTCTGCCTGGGTTTAAATTTAGCACTACCACTTAACTGAGAATGTGAACTCTGGCTTGTTTTCCAACTTCATGCATCACGTTGTAAAAGTCAGGGATAACAACAGTACCCCTCTCACAGCATTGCTGTTGTGAAGATTAAATGAACTAATATGTATGTAACTTTCATGAAACAGCGCATGCTTGCCATATAAGTGCTATTTCTCTTGATTATTATTATTTAATGAAAATATTTAATTTGTATTTTTTTTTGAGAGAGACAGTATCTCACTCTGTTGCTCCAGCGAGAGTGCAGTGGTGTGACCATTGCTCACTGCAACCTTGATCTCCTGGGCTCAAGCAATCCTCCTGCTTCAGCCTTCTGAGTAGCTGAGACTACAGGAGCGAGCCACTACACCCAGCTAATTTTTTCTTTTTTTTTCTTTTTTTCTTGTTGGTACAGAAATCATCTCACTCCATTGCCCATACTGGTCTTGAACTCCTGGCCTCAAGTGATCCTCCCACATTAGCCTCCCAAAGTGCTGGGATTTTAGGCATGAGCCACAATGCCCAGCCTAAATTGTATTTAATCTAATAATATTTAATATTATTTGTCTATAATAGTGACCTGCCCCAAGTCAACTCAATTCATATTCCTGCCCCTCTGTCCCTTTGTGTGGAATTTACATTCTCTTGCACACTGACTAAAGGTGGCCACTGTGCGCTGACTCTAACTCTGTCCTTGGCACCACTGGATGAACGTTTGGAACTCGACTAAATAGTTGGGTCCTGAAGAGCCTACAAAGCAAGATGTTTACATATAGAGTTGCTTCCTTTAGTCCATGGTAGCATAATCAGGAAATATGGCACAAAGATAGTGGCAAAGTTTCCAAATTTTTACATATACCATGGCTTATAGAAGTGGTTTTCACCCAGGCCTGCGAATCATTTGTGGAGCTTCCTGAACACAGAGGTTGATATCCCTCATGAGGCTACTGACAGAGCATCTAAAGCGTAGCTCACGTGAATGTTTTATGAAACTCTACCTGTGACTGAAGACCACAGGGAGCCAGCAGTGGCTTAGACGTTACCCAGGCAAGGCTGAATCTCCTTTGCGCTAAGACTGCCATATGCAATCCGTTTTCTGAATGGCAGATGGGTCTGCAGCTAGTGTAATCCCCTTGGCCTTCCAAGCTTCTTTATCTGCACCATTCTTTCATCATAATCCTGACTGACTTCTAGCTTAGCAAGGGAGGAATCATCTCAGATACATCTGTTTTGTAATTGTGATTTGTTCACAGGTAATTTTAAAAATATAATAACTGATTTTAAAGGGATCATAATATAAAATTTAAAATAGCTACATAATAGAAGTTAATTCTCTGCAAATACAAGAAACCCTGTTTTGAATCTATTATGGAAATGATAGGTCATAAATGGTGAAGACATCAAAATACTGATTAGGAGTTTGGATGGTACACTTGGATACAACTTATTATTAATTGTTATAAGACCTGGTTGTCAGAGGGCATTTGTTCACTCAACACCATTGGTCCCAGGGTTGATCTCACATCTGAAACCCACAGGGTGCCTGCAGATCCCTCTGCTCTGAAGGGACTGTGACCCACAGAGGTGAGGGGGTGACCACCTGAGCACGACACTCCTTTCTTCAGTGCCCTCCTGAGGACCAAGCCTCCCACACTCCATTCTCTCCACCCAGCTCAAGCTGAGTCCCTGAAGAACCGTCACCAATAACTGTCACCGCACTCCTCATAGCAAGTTCATTTTTGTTTTCCAATTCTTTTAAAAAAAAATTGGTACAACAGATTTTCATTCACCAAGGGAAACCAGTCTCAGCATCTCTTAGCTACACTAAAAGTAAAATAGATGTTCACTCTTGCACAGAGTTTTGAATTGTTCCCTCTTTTTGGAGTTGACTCTTCCAAGTAAGTCATTTTAAGAAACACATATACTCTTTTTAATCCCGAGAGTATATACTCCTTTCTGGAGCCTTACCCTTTGCAAAGAGGATATGACGGCCAGGGCAGATTGAGAAAGGAACAGAACTGCAAATACGAATTGCTCATCCCAAGCAAAACAACTCCACTTCCTCCCATGTGTCAGCGATCCCTCCAAAGTACAGTGCTTAAGATTCCCTGGTTAATGACCAATGCATTTTTTATGAATTGGGTTCTTTGGATAGAGAGTTTGGGTTTCTGTGCTCTCTGCATTAGCACAAACATAATCACATGAAGGTCACAGAGATCCCTCAGCTTTCTCTGGTATTCATACCTTTCTCACCGACTGTTTGCAGTTTCCACCAGTGAAGGAGGTGACACAAAGGTTACTTATTCTAAGACGGACAGTTGGATGCATTATTATTTCATGTTGGGTGTGAGAATCCCAGCTAAGCAGAGCAAAAGTCCCCTCTAAATTAAACTTTTCTTCCTTTCAATTTTTTCAAGATTACTAAATGCCAAGGAGGGAGTGGAGGTGTCTATAAAAATCTCTGCTGAGCTACTGCCACTGTTTGCCACTTTTTATTGCCAGTTAGAATTTCTTTATGATACTGGTCACACAGGTATTTATGTACAGAACACTGTAGAGACCCTTAGTAGAATCTGAGACTCTAAGGCTAATTCTACAAGCCATGCTTGGAAATCAAACATTCATTAATCCACAAAATGGTTTGTACGTTTTTGCAAATTACATTGTCAGGTACTTGTAAATTCACCTATTGAGACCTGGAGAACCAAGACTGTCTGATTACATTAATATGAAAAATGCATTTCTTTATTCTTACAGTGAGTGACTTATCTGGCTCCAGCAGAAGGAAGTCCAGCTTTCTTTGGGTGAGGGGTCTAGGTCCTAAGTGGTTCTAAATCTTTATTTTAAGGCTGCATCTACACATGAAAAGCCAAAGGGAGATTTGGGACAGTTAGATAAACTACAAAAAGAAATTCTACAAATCTCTTATTTGGACTGAAGATGTTTTTGTACTTTCTGCCAAAATTCCTCAATAATTGCTTCATTTTTTATAGGTAGATTTAGTCTGTGCTATAGAAGACTTTAATGACTTTTTTCTTCAAAATTTACTAAACATCCCTCAGTCTTCCTCCAATAATTTTTTATCATTTGTTTTCACATCTATCTAATAAAAGCAGAGCGAAACTCCTGTGATATCCAGCCCAATAAAGGTCTCATTTTCTGTAAATACTTTTTCTCAGAGAGACAGGAAAAAAGGAGATAGTCATCAAATGTATTTTGGCAAAATTCCATGACATACTTTAGGCAGTTAGAGAACTTTGGGAGTAGAAATTATTCCTTGAGTACTGCTATCTCTACAAGAGTGTAAGTTCTTTCAGGGAAAAGTCTCTAACTCATTTTGTATCTCCCACAGGCCAGCTCCAGGCCTTCATATGTAAGAATATACATATGTATGTATCTCTATATGTATGTGTGTATGGTGGTGTTGAGGTACATCACAGTGAGTTCAAATCCTTAAAATGATAGAGGTGTGTGTCAGAATCAGCGGAACGAAGTCAGACACAGATTTTAGAGCATTCAAAAATAGTTTGTCTGATTTTTAAAATGCCTTTTTAAGTCTAAGAAGCCTTGCTCATTTCAACACAGTTCTCCCAGGAAATGCACACTTGCTCTGACAAGGTCATTGCTAGGAGGCACCCTCAACACTGCGCTCCATCCCTGGATAGTCTCCTTACAACTGATAGCTGGGCTCTGGAATCCACAGATGGTGCAGCCACACATGTTCTGGGCTTTCATGCCCATCTAAGCAGCCTCCCTCTTGCTTCGTCCTTGCTCAACCCTGTGCCAATGGGGTTAAATAATTTGTGGGGATCAGTGCAAATTACAAACGCAGGTCCTGGCCTGCGGCTGGTAAATCAATCCCTCCTTCCCCAAGGCACCACCCCAACCTATCGCACATGGGCGAACCCAAGGGATTGTAACCTTCCGGCTGGGATGTGTTGGAGACCTGGATCGGGTTGGACAGGAAGACCCTTGAGGAGTTGCATGCTGAGCATATGACCTTCCCCTCACCTGAGCCCAAGCCCCCTGAGAAGGGCAGAGTGGAGCATGTGACAGCCACACTGAGGCTTCCAGGGGCAGAGAGTGGGCAGCCAGAGCCCGTCCTGTCCTGGGGAGGTGAGGAAACTCTAAGCCCCCTCCACCCTCCTACACGCTCAGATGTCCCATTGGACTTTACTCATAAAACACAAATTCACAGACAAATTCTAAAGAAATTCAGGATGGTGACCTCAGGGCATTAAATCCCAGCCATGGGGTTCTGGGGGCTGCCGGGCTCTGTGAGACTGCAGCCATCACCTGCTCGTGAAAGGGGCCCTCCCCATAGCTCGCTGCCGATTCCACTGACTCGGTTTCCATACAATTTTGGGTTACTAGTTTTCCTTCAAGAAACCTCAGAAAGGATCCTCAAATTTTGAAAATTGTCCCTGCACTTGAAACTGCTTCAAGAAAGTTGCTTTTCTAAATCAGTGCAAATTCTTTTTTCTTTTTTTTTTTCTTGAGATGGAGTCTCGCTCTGTGGCCCAGGCTAGGGTGTAGTGGCTTGATCTCAGCTCACTGCAACTTCCATCTCCTGGGTTCAAGCGATTCTCCTGTCTCAGCCTCCTGAGTAGCTGGAATTACAGGCACACACCACCACACCTGGCTAATGTTTGTATTTTTAGTAGAGACAGTGTTTTTCCATGTTGGCCAGGCTGGTCTGGAACTCCTAACCTCAGGTGATCTGCCTGCCTCAGACTCTCAAAAGTGCTGGGATTACAGGCGTGAGCCACTGCGCCCGGCCCAAATTAGTGCAAATTCTTAAGAATGCTTATATCTACAGAGGAATTTAAACATGGCTTTTTTTCCCCAATAAGAAATCAAATCTACAAATCATCAACATGTCTATTACAGGTCATTATGAATGACCTCCTAAACATATCATTTGGTGGGAAATTGATAAAATACGATTTTGTTTTCTAACTCATTATCTATGCTGATAATAGAGAGACAAGGTATGAATTCTTCAAAAAAGGAAGCATTCGAAAGGTGTCACCTGCCTTTCTTCAGCTGTAGATCTACCTTTGTAACAGTGTTTCGCTTTCACTACCACCACCACAGATTTTTCTCTCCTGGCTGGCCGCCGAATCACTGTGGAGCTTGACAAGGGGACAAGATCTAGATTCTGCAAGGCAGTGTAATTGGCCTAGTTTTAAATTGTTTTCAGTTTACCTACCTATAGTAAAACAGTCAAGAATTACCAAGAGCTGGCT
The DNA here is from genome assembly GCF_000001405.40 of Homo sapiens. Taxonomy (NCBI): domain Eukaryota; kingdom Metazoa; phylum Chordata; class Mammalia; order Primates; family Hominidae; genus Homo; species Homo sapiens. Next base: position 39,196,006 of record NC_000007.14, on the reverse strand, counting down.
TTAAATGTGCTTGAAAAATGGCCAAAGCTGTTAAATAATCTTTGAAATTGTGGGACTAGCTTAGGTGAGGAGAGAGAGAGAGAAGAGCGTTTTGGGGGTGAGGAGATGTGGGCGAAGTGAGGAGAGCTAGTCCATGTTTTCTTACCTGCTACCTGCATTACAGTACTGTGATGTGGAAATGGCAAGGCTAGAGAACGCTGTAGTTCTTTTTGCAAGATCCCACCCTTCAGCCCACTTCTAAAACATTCTGATTTGTGTTCTAATATCTCCAAGGCTCTCTTTGCAGCCTTACAGACCTACAGGACTTCCCCATCTGACACCTTCTTACGAGATTTTCAACTGTTTTTACTCACCGAGACTGTTAACCAAGTGGCCCCACATGGATACTGGAAACCGAAGCCTAAAGAGGAGATGGGGACTGAACAGAGATCCCTGTGTTGTGGTGACATGAATCCGCACGCTTGGCTCAGACCAAAATTATCGTGAGAATGACAGTGATATCTCATTCCCCTCTTCTCCTCCAAGACCCCAGATGCCTTCCAGAAGTCTGAACGCTGCACAACCCTTCAGCAGCAAGGAGGGTACTAATCTGTCATGCAGAATATGATTTAAGCATGAGTTACAACAGAATAAGCCATTATTTCAATTGAAAATGATAGCCTCTGGGTGCAGTCACTTCTGCTAATATGCATGGTACAAGACCTCAGAGACCTTCAACACAGAAGACAGTGGTTCTTCCTGGGCAGTAGCTGCATTTGTGTCTGCAAAGGGCAGGTGATTAAATGATCACAGACCGTGGACCTGCCCAGATTTTGAGATTTCACAGTGCAGTCAAATTAAATGAGAACATTAATAATTGGGACAATAGGAATATGAATCTTGAAATTTAATTTTTCCAAGAAAAAAATTTTAATTGTCATGTGCTACTGTGTCCAGAATTGGTTCCTTCCGCTGGGTTCTTGGTCTGGCTGACTTCAAGAATGAAACCGCGGACCCTCGTGGTGAGTGTTACAGTTCTTAAAGATGGTGTGTGCGGAGTTTGTTCCTTCAGATGTGTCCGGAGTTTCTCCTTCTGGTGGGTTCTTGGTCTCGCCGGCTTCAGAAGTGAAGCTGCAGACCTTCACAGTGTTAAGCTCTTAAAGGTGGCACGTCCAGAATTGCTTCTTCCTCCCCGGGGGGGTTCGTGGTCTCGCTGACTTAAGGAGTGAAGCTGCAGACCTTCGCGGTGAGTGTTACAGCTCATAAAGGTAGTGCGGAAGCAAAGAGGGAGCACCAGCAAAAGTTACTGTGAAGAACGAAAGAACAAATATCCCACAGCGTAGAAGGGGACCGGAGTGGGTTACCACTGCTAGCTCAGGTGGCCAGCTTTTATTCCTTTCTTTGGCCCAGCCCACATCCTGCTGATTGGTCCATTTTACAGAGCGCTGATTGGTCCACTTTACAGAGCGCTGATTGGTCCACTTTACAGAGTGCTGATTGCTCCGTTTTTACAGAGTGCTGATTGGTGTGTTTACAAACCTTTAGCTAGATACAGAGCGCTGATTGGTGCATTTACAATCCTTTAGCTAGACAGAAAACTTCTCCAAGTCCCCACCTGACCCAGAAGCCCAGCTGGCTTCACCTCTCACTATCATGATCAAACAAGACATTTTTAATGCCCTTCTCCCACCCCAAGGATGTGTTCTCGATCTCAAGACAATCCTTTAAAATGAAGAATTTCAGCCTAATGAAAAACTCGCAGCATCCTGCTTTCTTTTTCACTTTCCTTTTGACCAGTGACTGTTTCATCGTAGATGGACCCTGGTCTGTTTGGAGTGTTTGGGAGTTTCATGTGTTTCATGTGAGCAAGGTAGGATTTGAGGAATCACAGCATGCTCACTGCTTTTATTCTTCTAGGCACAGGAATGTGTGGCCAACACTCCTCTTTATTCAAAATAATTTTGAATAAAGAATTCCTTTCTTCCCTTAATCCTTATTTTTAAGAGACAAAAATATAATTTCCTTCATATATACACATTTCTATGTGCCAGGTCATACACTAATGACTTTGTATATATTATTTCTTCAACTCTTACAATAACCCTATTAGGTGTTTATGATTATTCCATTCATTTATACAGGAAACAAAACTGTATAAACTGTCTAAATAAATAGACAGAAATTAACTCACTGCCTGTTTGGCACAATGAGGAAGCAGCAGAGAGATGAGTGTATCCGGGCTTTCTCACTGATGGCAGGATCACGTCTTTATCCAATTAGGTTTCTCTACTGCTCAAACATTTTGCAATAGCTGCCATCGACTCAATACTTACCATGTGCCAGCCACTATACTCAGTATTTTATATCTGTTTTCTCATTAAATCTTCACAGAAGGTCTGTGTAATCAGGACCATCATTCCCATTTTGCAGATGTGGAAACTAAGGTTTAGACAGGTTAAGTAATTCACGTGTGGTCACAGTTAGTGAGTGATAGAGTTGGGATCTGAATGCAATTCCATTTGACTTCAAGACTACACTACATTATACATAAAATGCAAATATTTCAAAAAGACAGACCACAATAAATCACCAATATCATGATACAAATTGCATTTTTCAGATATTTTCCTCTGCATCTAATGGAACCTGGCCCCAGAGCACTCTACATTCCCAGTATGGTGGGTGGAGGGGAAATGGCAGAGAAGTGGGGGAAGGGGAAGAGTGGGTCCCACCAGAGACATCCTTTTCCTGTGCCCCATTTTTTTCCCCAGGAAAACTTGACCAAATTCCTAAGAAATAAGCACCCCCCGCAATCGTCTTTAAAAAAATGTTAATAATGAGCTAAGTGCAGCTGCATTCTTAGTTTAGGGTCTCCATAGTCAAGTGTGACCCCTGGGCCAGCAGCATTGGCATCCCTTGGGACCTTGTGAGAAAGGCAGATGCTCAGGTCCCAGTCAAGCCAGGCCTCAGACCCGCCAAATCAGAATCTACATTATAACAAAGCCCCTAGGTGATGCACAATGCCCACGGTAAAGTGCAAGAAGCACTGGGTTTGAGTTCATAATTCTTTCCCTTTCTCCTTGTCCTTCCTCTCTTCCTTCCTCCATCCTTTTCTCCTTCACTCCTCCCTTTCTTGTTTCCTTTCTCTCTTTTTCATTCCTTCCTTCTTCCTCCCTTTCTTTTTTATTTGAGCAGTACTAAAAGCAGGAATGCACCCACAGCTCCTAACTTGTATCAGACATTTGCAGTAGACTCTTAAATCCTATCCCACAAAAGTCAAGGGGGAGGCGTGAGAATGTGGAGAAAGAAAATGTGCTGGAGGAATGCTCTCAATCACAGTAATAACCTGGGCCACTTCTCACCCCATGCAACCTGCTGGGAGGATGCCCAAGGAAGAGGTTCACAGCAGGAAGAGCTGCTCCCATATTCTCTTAAAGGGAACCATATTTATCCTTTTTAAAACACAACAAAACTGGTGCCAAATGTAGCCCAATATCATTGCTCTCTTATTTATGGCAATTTTCCTGACCACTTTCTCCTTCCATATCCATATCTTTACTTTTCCATTTGTGAGGGTCCATGAAGATAAGAGTCTGGCCTATCCATTTCAGTTATTTGCTCTCAGAACACCACATTCTTTACAAAAGTAGCCAAAGCACCACTTTAAATTAGGGGAATGAAAATTTTAAATCCCTTAAAGCAGAAATAAAACAGCATTTCTACACAGATACTCCAAAAGGGTAGCATTTGCAATCCACTCTTGTGTGCAACTCAAAATTGGTGAAAGGAGGGTCATTTAGAACTCAGTAAAGGACAGGAAGGAAATACCTACCCCCAGAGGAATTACATTGCATGAAATTGTAGCATCACACCTAGTTAGCAAACCCTTATGGTAATAGAGCTTCTATAACAGACAACACCACAAAATTGATCAGGAAGAGAAAGATGTCGCACAACTCACTACAAGCAAATTACCAAGAGTTTCAAACCTTCTTCAAAGATGGGGTAACAAAATATTGCATTCCTACGAAGATTAAGTAGATCTAGAATATGAAAACTCAAATTAATGTCTCATCAAGAGATTGTTGGAGACTTTTTTCCTTCCCAAGAGTTGGTTATAAAAAACCAACCAGCCAAACAATTAGTCCAATTCATGTGTCTCTTACCATTTTCCCTCACTTAGTCTATTTCTTCACATTACTATAATTGAAAAAGTATCTATTGCTAAAAGATGCTATTAACTTGAGTGCATTCATAGAGTGTTATATTACTAATAGACTTAGGTCATATTCTTTTATCCTTTTAGCAAAGCATTATTTTGTTGTCCTCTTGTTCTGAAGATTATGTTCCACTTAAAGTCAAATAGAACAAAAGCTCCACAGAACTTGTTCAGATTATTTTTTATCATTATTTTAACACCATTACATGATAGTATCAATTGTGTAGCAATTTCCATTTGTTATATCAACTTATTTTTGGGTCTGTGTCAGAGCTCATCTTATGTAAATATCCCTACTAACCATGACTTGGACTCTGATTATAACTTACAGGTTTTCAGTCCAAATTCTTAAAAAATTTACTTCTTGAGTTTACATTTGATTTTAGAACTTTAGGGTCAGAATTGAAATAAGACACAGACAATGACCCTAAATACAATGGTGAAAAGGTGAAATAATAAAAAAAAGTATCCAATAGTTTAAAAATAGATGTCATATTTTATTAAATCCAAGATGTTATTGATGTAAAATTCATGAATATTTTGTTCCACAAGGAAAGAAACAAAGCTGCCAGTTAAACCATGACATGCCGCTAATTATAAGGCACATCCCAATTTGCATCCCCAAATCTTCCTTTTAAGATGCCTTATTAAAGTGTTGGTTAAAAGGCCGTATATCTTAGAATGAATAAAATACGTTAGTACTCATTAGTCAATGGGCTTTATATATCAGTGAGTTATGGCACAGACAATAGGAAGTCGAACAAACTGGAGATTTTGACGTACAATTTCTAAAGATCCTCAAGGTTTGGTGGGTTAAAATGTCTTTCTGGAGTATGGCAGTTGGGTAAAATGCCTTATTAGAAGAAGTTGACTCAGCTGGGCGTGGTGGTTCATGCCTGTAATCCCAGCACTTTGGGAGCTGAGGCAGGCAGATCACGAGGTCAGGAGTTCGAGACCAGCCTGACCAACATGGTGAAACCTCGTCTCTGCTAAAAATACAAAAATTAACCAGGCATGGTGGTGCATGCCTGTAATCCCAGCTACTCAGGAGGCTGAGGCAGGAGGATCACTTAAACCTAGGAGTTGGAGGTTGCAGTGAGCCGAGATCATGCTATTACACTCCAGCCTGGGTGACAGAGCGAGACTCCATCAAAAAAAAAAAAAAAAAAAAAAAAAAGAAGTTGACTCAAACAAGAAGGGATCAGGGAAAGAAACACCCAGTCCTTGAGCATCAGCCTAGAATCTGGCAATATTCTATCTAGAAAATTCTGCATCTGTGATCTCATTTAATCTTCATAACAAACCTATGATATTAGAATATTAGAATTAAGGGTTAGAAAATTCAAGTAACTGACTCAAACCTTTTTTTTTTTTTTTTTTTTTTTTTTTTTAAGAAAAGGAGGAGGAGGAAAAGGAAGAGTTGGGATTCAAACCTGAGGCTGGTCAAGTTCTTGTGCTCTTTCAATCCCAAGCTGCATTGTACACAAATCTATGTATTATATGCAAGTCTATCAATGTGTATCATGAGGAGCATTTAGGTATGTCAATGTACTTTAGTCACAGACCACCAGGTGGTGGAGCACATTCTGATTTATAGATTCACTGAAAGGAAGGGTCAGGCACAGTGGCTCACACCTGTAATCCCAGCACTTTGGAAGGTAAAGGCAGGAGGATCGCTTGAGCTCAGGAGATTGAGACCAGCCTGGACAACATGGCAAAACCCCATCTCTACAAAAAACACAAAAAAATTAGTCAGGCATGGTGGCACATGCCTGTAGTCCCAGCTACTCGGGAGGCTGGGGTGGGAGAATCACCTGAGCTTGGGCAGTCGGGGCTTTGGTGAGCTATGATCGAGCCACTGCACTCCAGCCTGGGTGAGGGAGTGAGGCCCTGTCGACATACATACACCATGGGGGCATCTCAGTAGGAAGGGGGTAGAAGGAATGATTGATAGGATTTGGGCTTGCATTCAGTGATTTTGGAAAGAGTTCAAGGAAGTGGAGCTTCACTCTGGATTGGATGATGCTTTCTGAAAGTGGGACAATGTTATGACTGAATAATAATTCTTCTGCAGGAGGTAGGAAAAATGAAGCCAATTTAAAACTATTTGGCTGGGCATGGTGGCTCACACCTGTAATCCCAGCACTTTGCAAGCCCGAGGAGGGCAGATCATGAGGTCAGGAGATCAAGACCATCCTGGCCACATGGTGAAATCCTGTCTCTACTAAAAATATCTTTAAAAATTAGCTGGGCGTGGTGGCACGTGCCTGTAGTCCCAGCTACTCGGGAGGCTGAGGCAGGAGAATAGCTTGAACCTGGGAGGCTGAGGTTGCAGTGAGCAGAGATTATGCAACTGCACTCCAGCCTATGCAACTGCACTCCGGCCTGGCGACAGAGCGAGACTCCGTCTCAAACAAACAAACAAACAAACACACAAACAAAAAATACCACAAAAACAAACTATTTGATAAAAGAACACTTTGCACTCATATCAGTCAGAATGAGTGACTATTTGGTCATTTTGTGGTTTGGACAATGTTGGTTTTTTGTCTGTCTTCAGGCATGATAATGGAGTGCACCTGGTTTTGCCATGGTCCATCCTGGTCAGAGTGGCCTTGTCTGATGTTGTGGCCTCATCTGATGTTGATATTCTATGAAATTGTGCTCAGTGGGACAATATCAAGACCTCAGTTGTGAGCACCAGGCCAGGTCCTAGGTGTTAGGGGCTGCTCTTCTCTTTCTCAGTTAAAGAGTACAAGGTTCATTTTGAGAGTATATGATGGACCCCAAACCATGTGGGAGGTATGGATAATGCTATCTAATGCTAATTATACAATTTTTGTACAGGGAGATACATTTGGTAATGAAGAGCTTCTCTTGGAAATGTCAGCTGAAAGCAGAATACCTGATAAATTTCTGGTTGACCTGTCTGACAGTTTCATCTCTCTGGAGAGTTCAGGGAGCACAGTCTAGACTTAATTCTGAACAACTGGGCCACGTTGCTGTAATAGGATCCTTAGGATAATGTGACTGAATATCCTTAGACGGGTTGTTTATCCAGAAAGGGAATGCGAGGCAGAGGCAGATGTGCCTAGACTTTAGAAAATTAGATTCTGCAAAATTCAGGAAGATCATTCACATAATCCCGTAACCAGAACCCTTAGAAGATAAAAAGAGTCTCTAAAAATCAGATTCTGGCCCAGCATGGTGGCTCATGCCTGTACTCCCAGCACTTTGGGGGGCCAAGGTGGGTGGATTACTTGAGGCCAGGAGTTTGTGACCAGCTTGGGCAACATGGCGAAACCCTGTTTCTACTAAAAATGCAAAAATTAGCCAGGGGTGGTGGTGTGCACCTGCAATCCCAGCTACTTGGGAAGCTGAGGCATAAGACTTATTTGAGCCCAGGAGGCGGAAGTTGTAGTGAGCCAAGATTATGCCACTGCACTCCAGCCTGGGCAACAGAGCGAGACTCTGTCTCAAAAAAAATTTTAAAAAAAGATTCTGACCACCATGTAGAATCTGACTGACTTGTGCTTTCCTTTTTGCTTCACATGCACTGCCTGTGTGATTTTTGATAAGTTATTTAACCTCCCTGACCTTTAGTTTCTTCAACTCTAAAATGGAGGTAATAATAGCACCTGCATCATAATTGTGAGACTTAAAGAGATTACTGAATAAAAAGAGCCCAGCTCTGTGCCTGGAACATAATAAATACTCAACAAATGTTGGCTGTCATTATCAATTATTTTTACAAGTGACATTGACATACAATTGTTCAATCACAAATGGTCATGATAAAGAAGGAAAGAAGGAAGCATTGAAGAAATCACTGTGGCCACAGAGGATGCCTTCTAACAAGGCGACACTTTAGTGGAACCTGTAAAATCAAAGACTCATATGGCTAATATGTAAGAATTAACTCAGGCATATGGAAAAAAATGTAGGAAGACCAGAGGACAAGGGGGTTTCAAATTGAAATGGCCACATCTAAAAACTCCTCTGAGCTTGTATCCGGTGTTCCGAAACAGCGTAATCTCCCACAGGTCCAAAAAAACTCGGCATTTTCTTCTCAAAAGCTCTGGTTCCTCCTAATTTCACATTTCCATTCATGTTCATCTTTCTAATCCACATATGCTCAAAAAGCCCATCTGTCAGTTACCTTTGCCTGGTTTCTCTGCCTCACCCCCAGAAGTAGCGGCTCTCAAATCCAAAATGCTGCATGCTACTGTTGCTGGTAGCTGTCCCCCGGCCCCTTCAGCGGCCCTCGGTGACGTGCAGACCACAAGCATAGCTGCATGCCTCTGCTCTGTCCTGTCTCTTGTCCACCCTACCCTCTGATGGCAGTAAAGACTTGTCCATGCCACCACGGAGTGAAGCCTAGCCAATGCCTGCAACTTTGGTGCTTACTCTCAGACAGCTGAGTCAGGAGATTGAGCAGTCAGGGTTTGGGGTTTGGGGTGGAACAGGCAGGCGAAGACACAGCCTCCATCAGGATGCCTGTCAGTGGTTAAGCACCAGCCCCAGGCAGGGATCTAGCAAGAGCCTTAGGACGAGGAGCACAGGCTCTGAGGGCGGATTGCCTGTCTCCACCACTTAATGGACATGGGACCTCCAGCAAGCTGCTTAATCTTTCTTGGCTCAGTTTTGTCATCTCTAAATTGAAATAAAAATGCTACCTCCTTCATAGAGTGAGGATGCAGTGCGCTAAATAAATAAATTGCATAATTGCAGTTTCTGGCACATAGTAAACACACAATAAATGTAAGCTTTCTTATTGTTACCTTATATTTGAAGGGAGACAAGAGACCACCTTGGCGATCACATTAGTAGGCATGTCACCCAGCAGGGCTCCAGAACACAGAGCAGGCGGCAGGCCTGGGAAACCGGGTCACAGCTGTTTGATCTGACAAGATACTGAGATTCTGAGCATTAGCCTCAAGCATTGTCAATGCCTGGGGGCAGGGTAGAGCCCACAGGTGTGTCAGGAGGGGAAGAAACAGAGCTGGGGAAGGAGCAGACCCTGACAGCACCTCCCCCAGTGATTTGCAAAGAATCTGCGGGAGGGGAGATGACAGGCACTACTCAGGGCTCAGAGACAAGGGACATAGAGCTCAGGACAGAAATCCATGCAGTCCTGTATGAGCGGTAGTGGAAGAAGAATGAAAGGAATTATATTTCCGGTGCGGAAGATATCATTTTCAGGGCAATGTCTCACAGGGATGGTTTTGGGCAAAAATGGCTCGGTTGGTGCTGAGGAATCTATACAAAGGCTGAGGTGGTGTCTGAATGTGCATCCCCAAAATAACTCAGGTCCTAAGTGGAGCATAAGCACACATGTAGATATAGGTGGACTGTAATGATAGGGGCCATATAAATAAACAAAGACCAGGGAGACAGCCACCAGGGAGGTAGTGACAGCCTGCATGCTTAACCAAGTAGCAAACGCTTGCTCAGAGCCCAGGCTGGATTCTGCTGGTATTTTCTTGCAGCTGTCATTTATCTACCTGCACTCCATTCCCAGTAGCTCTCAGTCCTTGCCCCGCAGGAGAGCTATGCTTGGGGATTCCCAGTTCTAAGACCCTGGTCTGAGTTCCAAGTTCACTACTGACTATGAGCTCTAGTCATAGTCATCATCTGAAATTTGTTCATTTGTTCATTCAACATGATATTTATTAAGTTCTTGCCAGGTGGAACGTATTTTGCAACATGCTAGGGATACATAAAAAATATACCAGCCACGCGTGGTAGTGAGTGCCTGTAATCCCAGCTACTCAGGAGGCTGAGGTGGGAGAATCCCTTGAACCTGGGAGGCGGAGATTGCAGTGAGCCAAGATCGTGCTGCTGCACTCCACCCTGGGCAACAGAGCAAAACTCCATCTCAAATATACATATACATATACATATATATACATATACATATAAATATATACATATACATATATACATATATACACATACATATACATATACATATACATATACATATACATATACATATACATATATATATGTATACCAAGTTGTCATACTTCTCATTACTTAATTAATTTACTAATTCCCAAAAATATTTACTGAATGATGGCCAGATATGCTCCCTGAGCCTCTGGGGCCTACAACCTGGCAATGAAGCTACCATTAAACTAATGGTTAAACAAGGAATTATTTCAGGAGATCACCTGAAAGAGGATCTAGGAAATTCCAGGGAACGCAGGGCAGCACTAGAATATTCCCCTACATGTCTACCAGTTGCCCCATCAAGAGAAGATATTTGGGAATACCTGGTTCTATTTTTATAAAACCTTCTTTGAGACGTAGGCTTTGTTTTTAGACATATCCTTCATAAACTTCGGTTTTAAGTCATTAGCATTATATTTCAGGGTTTGTAAAAACAGTTAAAACAGAAGTTTAAAAACCTGGTTGCTTGAACCCAACTGTCTCCATTGACAATTTTCCTGGTTGTCATGTTATGGTGGGAGGGAGGACAATCCAGTGGCGCTGTCCTGGATCTGATTAGCCCAGGAGTATTTGCTGTATATCGTCACTGGACTGAGCATTCTTGTCCTTAGTACACTATTGTCCTTCACCCCCCTCCCCCATCCCGCCACCCATCCTATTGTAATGCTGTTCTAATGACTTTACACTGAAGTGTACTTGCAGCCATCATAACTTCTTTAGGTAACAATGGATAAACATCAGCTTGAAAAATTCCAGGTCTATATTATTTATGAAGCTGCAATTCTCCTGTAAATAACCCAGTTGTTAAAATGATATGTATCTATGTAATTGAGTCTTCCGTATACAAATAAATAAGACTTCATTGCAATGTCAGAAGTTAACAGACCAGTCAATAAAATCAATAACTCACTTTTTCTTGCTTGTATATCTAACTTTTTTCCACCTTTCCTATGTCCTCTGTTTGTTCTGGTTACATATTACTGCTCAAAAGAAAATACAGCTCTTATGCTACTGTTTATTAAACTGTAGGTGAGGGTGGAGGTGGCAGACAAAGGGAAAAAGAAAACCATTAAATCTCCCACCCATTTGGTGTGTTTCATATTTCACATATATTTATGTAAGAAAACCAAAGAGGAGAGAAAAATGTCTTGTAAGTCAGAGTGCAGATATTTTGAGCATGAGTGCCCCACCCAAGCCACAAACAAATCAGGTGACAGCCACGGGCTTAGTAAGCTTCAGCAAACTGTTGCCTTGCCGCACAGTTGCTGTCCAAAGAGCCCTGCTGGATTAAAGCTGCACCATTTTGCTACCAGGGCTGAGACTGTGTCAGCATTTCCCTTTTAAATCCCTAGTGTTGAGAAGCTGGTAATTCAGCTGGAAAAATGTGCTGGGCGTAAATTTAGGCATATACCACCTCTGAAATAGGGAAGAGGTTTGTTTGGAGTTAGTAGATTATTTTTTAAAGCAATTTGCTTAATTGATTTGGCCCTTGTTGAGCTCACTCAAAAAGCTTAAAAGGACTACTTGATATTTTTTGTGGTTATTTTAAAAATCCAATTAAACAAATTGGCACTGATTCAATTTTTTCTGCACCTGAAGGGGGAAAGATAACCAAAATAGAGAAAAAGAAAAATTAACAGATTGGGTCACTGTAATCTTTATGATGATTCTATTGCTGTGCAAATAAATCCATAATTTATTGGCCTATTTGCATGGACCAGCTTGTCCTTTCCCATAGACTAAACACATGAATTTGCCCCTCTTTAGTATCTATCAAAACAGAACTGGGCCTCTTAGGAAGGGAGGACCCTGGCATTTGCAAGACTTAATGGGGAATGCAGGTGTCAGCCTGGACTTACGGACCTTAATCAGGTGGTTGGAATGTTGGACTCTGAGTGGATTTTATGTTGGAAATATGAAAATGTTTGTACTTTGGCTTGGAGCATGATATAATAATCTAGATTTGCATAGTGTGTTTTGTGTTATAATGATGAGGAATTATATTTGTTATTGTGGATAACGAATAGTTGCATAAACTTAAAATTCACTCTTTGTCAATGGAAGCTATAGAAAAAGGTGGTTTGTATGAACTCTTGGCATTATTAGGGCTAAGAAATGTGAGAATTATTGGTCTAGAGCAGCAGTTCCCAAACTTTTTGCTACCAGGGACCAGTTTTGTGGAAGACAATTTTTCCACAGACCAAAGAGGGTGGTGATCTGGTTAGTGTCTGTGTCCCTGCCCAAATCTCATGTCCAGTTATAATCCCCAATGTGGAAGAGGGACCTGGTGGGAGGTGATTGGATCATGGGGGCAGGTTTCCCCCTTGCTATTCTTGTAATGGTGAGTGAGTTCTCAAGAGATCTTGTTGTTTATAAAAGTGTGTAGCACCTCCCCCTTCTCTCTCTCTTCCTCCTTCTCCTGTTACATAAGAACTGTCTGCTCTCCTTTTGCCTCCTGCCACCATTGTAAGTTTCCTGAGGCCTCCGCAGCCATGCTTCCTTTGTAGTCTGTGGAACTGTGAGTCAATTAAACCTCTTTTCTTTACAAATTACCCAGTATCAGGTAGTTATTTATAGCAGTGTGAGAACAGACTAATACAGCAGGTGGGGGATGGTTTCGGGATGACACTCTCCCACCTCAGATCATCAGGCATTAGATTCTCATAAGGAGTGCACAGCCTAGATCCCTCGCATGCACAGTTCACAATAGGGTTCATGCTCCTATGAGAATCTAATGCAGCTGCTGATCTGACAGGAGGTGGAGCTCAAGCAGTAATGCTCACTTGCCTGCCTCTCACCTCCTGCTGTGCAGCCCAGTTTCTAACAGGCCATGAACTGGTCCCAGTCTGCAGCTTGGGAGTTGGGGACACCTAGTCTAAAGGATATGTCAATTGTTGCCAAGCAAGGTTCCCAGAAAACATGATTTTCCTTGCTGCATTTTTGCTGGAATAAAAATTTCAGGTTTGGGCATACTAAGTGTAAAGTGCCTATCGGACTCTGATGGTGATGTTGATACCACAAGATGCTCAAGAAAGAGACACAGACTCAGGGACAATCAACAAACAGGTGATACTTCAACCACAGAATGGATGAGCTCTCAGGAAGACTGGGTTAGAAAACAATGACTTAAGGATGCAATTCTGGGGAATACAATGGTTTACAATTGCAGCAGAAAAGAGCCCAGGAGTTAAACCGAGGAGAAACATTCAATTAGGTGAGATAAGAATCCAGAGAGTTAACAGTACACAGATTTTGCAAGAGGACAGTGCAGCTGGTCATCCCAAATGCTTTAAAGGGATCGAGAAAAGAAGAGAAAGATGCCTACTAGATTTGTTAATATGTTAACAAGTACTAAGTACTTAAAATATTATTTGTATGAATAAGCCCTAGCATGGGCAGTTCCATTGGAATAATGAGAATTGAGACTGCATTTCAGTGAGGGCTGAGATGCATAGGAAGTGAAGACATGTATACAATGTGTTTAAACAGGCAAAACAGGTTAGATCAATGATTTTCAAACTATAGGTTGTAGTCCATTTGAGGAATGTGAAAAAAGGTTTGTGAGTGGCAACCAGCATTTACAAAACATAGAATAGTAAAATATATAATAGAATGAAGTGGAATAAAATCAGAAATAACTGAGTGCTTAGCACATATTAAGGATAAATGTTATTTGCAATGTGTCATTCGTATTATTTAAAATGTGACATTTACAATGTCAATATTATAAGCAATGTGAAACATCTTATGTGCTTTAAGATGAAGTAAAAAAATTGAAATCTTCTGATTTATAAAGCAGAAAAGGATAATATGGAGTATAATATTTTGTTTTTGTTTCTGTTTTCTTTTTTAAGGAGTAGAGATTGTAATCTGAGGAGGTAGTTAAGAGAGAAAGGTTAAAAATATATGTAAGAAGTTCCTGATGGAATAAGCTTCTGAAAGAGGTGGGAAATGAACTGAGAGCTCACATGATAAGTTGGTTTTGAACAAGAGGAAGGAAACATCATCTTTGGGGCTGGAAGAGAAGAGAATGAGTGTGGATGGAGGGAGGTGATGGAAAAGCAACCTAATGACTTTAATTTTCTAAGGAATGAAGGACACCAGCTCATCTGCTGTGAGAGAGGTGGGGATGGCTTGAGTTGGAGAGGGGTGGTTGTGACGTTTTAGACAGTCATTGAAAGGAGTTGGAACAGGAGCTCTTTGTGAGCAAGTAACAGGATAGTTGAAGAGGTTGGAGACCATGGATTTTCTGTGGCTCCAATCTGCAAAGTTGCGCAAGTTGTGTAATGAGTTGAATGATTGCCTCCCAAAAGATATATCTGTTCCCTATTCGCCAAAGCAAGTGAATGTTCCTTTATTTGGGGTGGGAGAATAGATATGGTAGGAACAAAGATAGCACTGAGAGATGATGCAGAATAAGCCTAGGCTCCACATATGGTCTCTGGAGTAAAGAGTGCTGGGTAATAACAGAGTTAGAAATGAGAGTACGTATCCACAGAGAAGGTGAAGGCCGCCAGAGTTGAGGTGGCCAAAGAACATTGCCTTCAGTGACAGAAATGAGGCAAGAGATGCGGCATATCAGAGAGGAGCAAGGTTCTCAAAGGACCACAGTGGAGGAGTTATGGTGTGTTAGTGGCATCTGGGGGATGTGACAATCCCAACCTCCTTCTGATGCCATCATGTGTAGGGTGGACACGAGTGAACAGTCTCTTCCTGAAAGAACTGCAGAGAGCCATGTTCACAGAGAACAGCAAAGTTTTGCTTAAAGCCAGGAAGAGAAGATGCTTTCTGCAAACAGGACTGTTTTTCTCTACCCTGAATGGGGGCACATTAGAATCACATGCACATCATCACAGAAATACACAGCCCCAGCAATTCTGCTCTAATTGTCTGGGGTAGGACTTAGACGTTAGTATTATTTAAAGTGCCTTAGTTGACACTGATGCTTAGTCAATGAGAACCATGGGTGGGAGGGGTTCTTATGGAAAGGTGCTCTGGAAGGCAAAGGGAAAAGGTTGGCAGGAGGGTCAGCAGTGGGCAGCTGGTAGGGAGAAGAGGGAAACTGAAGCCAGTAATGGGGCCCAGTGCAAAAACAAATGTGCTGGGTCCCTTGTTCAAAAATATCAAGCATTTCAGGACAGTGACAGCAGAGCATTGAACTAAACACAGAGCCCGTCTGAGCTTGGGGTCCTAAGCGCCTGCATGAATCACACAGCCATGAAGCCAGCCATGACCCAAAAAGGCAAATGACTGGGAATAGCGGAGACACGAGGCTGGAGTTTCCCATACAATTTTGGAATGAAGTCTTTGGCACAGACACAAGCTAATCCCTGGGAGCATCAAAGCCTGGTGGAGGCAGTAATTAGTGGCCAGGTGTTGGGAGGCTTCTTCTGTGCTGTGTGCCCAAGAAGTGGTGGGGGACACATTTGCTGATTGAGTGGCATTGAAAATACTGTGTAAAATAATTCCTCTATTGTCTTTGCATCCACTCAAAAAGCTTCGATTGAGATTTCAGATAGAATGTTCTACCTTCCCTTTTATGCTCTTTTTCTCTGGCTACTTAAAAAAAATCTAATATCTCATTAAATCTTCGGAATAGACCCTCCGCTGAGAAAGCATGCTAGTTTGCTTTGGCTCTCTGAATGCATGGATACACACCTGGGCGTATTTGCTTCTGTCTCTGTGCTGTTTCCTCCATTAGCAGTTACTGCTACATTGGAATAACAGCCAATTTGCCTCTCCAGCCTCCTTCAAACCTCAGCTCAGAATTTACTCTTCTGGGGAGCTCTCCACTCCCAGTCAAATGTCCCCCAGTCCACCCCTCCTTCTGCTACTATTGATCCCTTTTCTATTGGGCAGCACTTTTAATTTTTCAAAGAGCTTTCACATACATTTTCTCATTTGACCCTTACAACAATCCCATGAAGTAGGTAGAGCAAGTATTATTATCCCCATTTGGAAGATGGGAGAAATGAAATACAACGTGCTTAAGTGGTGGGCCTTAAGTGATATAACGTGCAGCTAGTCAGGGCCAGAACCTCATCCTCCCAGCTCCCCACCAGCTCTGGGAACTTTCCAGTAGACAAGGAGTGATTATAACCAGAGCCACATTGATTTGTCACTCTTGCTAATATTTTCTGTAAACACATCTGCTCTCCATCTCTCCTACTCAAAGCATGGTCTATGAGCCGGCGGCAACTGCAGAGCCTCAGACCACCCCAGATCCAGTGGATCAAGATCTGCATTTTAAGATCCCCAGGTGGTTTCTATGTGTATCAAAGATCAGTTCTGTAGACTGTGTGCGTGTGTGTGTGTGTGTGCGCGCATGTGCGCGCGTGCGGTCTCAGTCCCATGCATAATAATAGCAAAGATTCAATTGGGCTTAGCAAGTGCCAGACTCTTCTAAATGCTTGACGTATTCTAACCCAGTTAACCCCCACAGCAACCCTAGCTAGGAGAGAGGAGGATACCACTACAACCTGCATGTTACAAACAACAAAAGCAAGGCCCTGGGAGGTAAAGTAACTTTGCCTAAGCCACTAAAAGTCGCAGAATTGGATTTGAACCCAGGCAGTGTGGCACCAACATGCACATTCTTAAGGATTATGCTGTTCCACCTCACCGGAAGAATGAAGGAGCATCCTCTCTGGTCTTTTGGGATCATTCCACGGCACTTAAGACAATCGTCTTGATATAGTAGCAGTGACTTTAAATTTTCTTCACTGACTGATAATGCTATAATAAGGTGGAATACAATCATGTTATCTTTATGGAATCTAAACTCCAGGTATCTGGAGGCCAGCATCCTTGAAACACAGGCTTCCAGAAGAGCTCCAGAGCAGAACCTATAGCTGATTAAAAAAACCGTCACGTCTCATCCCTTTAATGAGGAAAAAAGCAGCTTTTATTCACCTAATAAAACACAGCTGAGAATGCCCTGTACCCAAACAAACACTTGATCAGCTTGCCTCAGGTACAGAAAGGAATGCCCTGATGGGATGGAACTATCTGGAAAAGGACTAGCCTTCTTCCATCAGAGCCAACAAGTAGAAGGTAAACTGGCAGTCAACAGAGGACACGAGAGCCAGGCAGCCTTCTCAGTGCTCCTGTTTTTTATGAGGCCACCATCATCCAAGATCTGTTTTTTGGCTTTGCTGTCTCTGAACTTGATTACTATGATTCTCTTGGTTCATAGGGTGGAGATATTTTTCATGAAAAGACTCAACTTTATGAAGATCACAAGGTTTGTAGACACCAAAATGACAAGTTGTTAAATTAAATTTAAAAATAATACAGCCTCTCCGGGTAGGCTATCCTTCCCAATTGAGAGAGTTTCTGCATGGGTAGTTTTAAAAGCATATTTAATGTTATTACTCTTAATATAATTTGTATTATACTTATAAAATGTTATAATACTTAGAAAATAAAGACTACTTTTATAATCAAATTATAGAATGTAAAACTCAATGAATACTTTCTATATTCAATAGGGGCATATAGAAGAGAAACTCTTGTGGGATATTCAGGGAAGATTGAGGCATATAAAAATGGGGAATAGTAAAATGTTTATATCTGAAGAAAGTTTTTGTTTTTTTTGTTTTTGATGGAGTCTCACTCTGTTGCCCAGGCTGGAGTGCAGCGGCATGATCTCAGCTCACTGCAACCTCTGCCACCTGAGTTCAAGCAATTCTCCTGCCTCAGCCTCCCGAGTAGCTGGGATTACAGGTGCCTGTCACTGGGCCTGGCTAATTTTTGTATTTTTAGTAGAGACGGTGGTTCACCGTCTTGGCCAGGCTGGTCTTCAACTCCTGACCTTGTGATCCACCCACCTCGGCCTCCCAAAGTGCTATGATTACAGGCGTGATCCACCACGCCTGGCTGAAGAAAGTTTTAAAGCTTAAAAAAGACTGATACAGATATAATTATATGGAATACAAGTTACAGTTATAAACTTATGCTTGTGAATTTATAGCAAGAGGAGTAGAGTACCTATTGGGCTTTTCCTATTCAGGGAAATCATTAATTTTAAAATGTAGCATCAATATAATAACTTCTCATATTAAAATGCTGTATCAAAAGTAGAACTGATTATGAGACACCTCCTAACTTGAGAATGTTACAAATCTTAGAAAAACTGGGAATTTCATATTTGGTGGCATCAGTCTCTCTGAGTCCAAGCTCATTCAGAACTATAGGACCTTTCAGGCCAAGTTCACAGGCCATGCCAGCCCCTTCCGTGTGAAGTGCTTAGAAGGACACTACCAGCTTCAGATTAAGCCAGGAGGCAATGTAGATGAAATGCAACACAAATAGTGTTGATTTTAAACTTTACATCTCAGAAGGCATTTTTCTTTCGCTTCTTTCCCAATCCTTGGATTGTCTCATCCAGGTGTTCTTATCCCAGAGATGGCAATTTAGTGCGTTTGAGCTTCCACTCCCCCATATGGCCAATGGCAGACACTGGGAGTGAATCCTGATGCCCCATCAGAATTCCTCTAACACAGGTGCCCCCACTTGATCACGGTTGGCACGGAGGTTGAAAGAGATTTTCCATCCCTGCCCTGAACTCTGTGTGAAGGCAGAACTCAGGAAGTCCCAAGGAAATTCTTGTAGCTTCTGAATCATTAAAAGGAGGGTGGAGGCAAGGGGAGTGGACAAAAGGCCAGTGTCCTAGGGACAAATACATTGAATGATGGACACTGGGTTTTGCATGTGGATCCTCCTATAGTGACCTGATTTTCATTCTAAAAATAAACTATTTTATAAGAAAATGCAGTTAACTATGCATTGTGTTTGAAGAGTGGAAAAAAGATTTTAAACTGAGTGAGCCATAGCATAGAAGGAATAGGCTGGTTGAAGAGTAAGTCATGAGATGCGGCTGCAAAGGAATTCTGTGACTTTCTATGGGCAAGTTTCTAAATAAGGTCCATTCCTTCCAATGGTTTCATTATGCCCCTTAACTTTTATTTTGGTAGGCATCAACTTGTTTCTAGTTTTTAACAGACTAAGGCTACTGTGATTTATTTCTCATGCTTAATGTTATGGACTCTTCTAGCATGATGTTTTCACGGTATTTGGAAAACTTCAACATTCAGGAATTTGGAAAATGTGTTATTTCTTGCTAACACAAGATATGGGGTATGTGTTTGTATGCATGCATTTTCTTTTTGACCTTTCTTTGGTTCTATACTCATTTGTGAATAAAACAACATTTGAAGGCCATGATGTAAAAGTTATGATCAGTAGAGCAGCGATGATCCAGGAAGCATATTTTGGAAAGGAAAAGGCTCTCCCTATCTTTCTGGAAAAGACACGCTTCTCCCCTAGTGTTGCCTCATTGGTCCAACCTGTGGAGCAAATGGGAATTCATCAGATGAAATGTGAGAGCAGAGGGGGCTTCATGAGGGCATTGAGTAACCATCCACGCAGGCAATGTCTAGGCACTGTACAGAATTCTCATTCTCATTATTTGTAGCATTAAAGATAAAATTAACATTCCTTACAGAGCAATTTTTCCTCGAATTTAAGCATTAAGGATAATGTAGAAAAACATGAGGCTGCTTTGCCAGTTAAGTCATGCTCATTCTCTCTGACAAAGAGAGAAGCACCATCACCTGAATCTTGAAATGCTGAGAGATGCTCCTCACAGCCCAAGAACAAATTCACAGCAGGTGGTAGAGGAGACTGGGTCCTGCATGGAGAAGAGCCTGCAGGCCAGGGGTGGTTATTTGGCGGAGTTAAGCACTTTGTTGCTGGCCAATAAAAGCACTTGAAAGTTACAAAGGAAGAAGAGGGAATACACTGAAGGAAGAAAACAAAAAGAAAAATGAGAAAACATTTGGCCAAAGTCTGCTTCTTTGATTTGCTGATTGACCTAAGATAAAGGCAGCCATGGGCCAGTCTTCCTAGATGGAAGGAGAAGCTTAGGGAACTGTTGAGTCACAGGTAATCCTTCTGCTCAGTGGAGTGGGTGCTGAAGGGATGGGTGGAGGGGACTCAAGGATGATATCCAGGTTTCTGGAGTGGGGTCTTCTGAGTGAATGTGAGGATGCTAGTCTGCGAGATAAATCAAGAAAGGAAGCACATCTGGAGAAGTGGGTGTTAAGGGTGGCCATACATGAGGCCACATGATGATTTTCATGGTTTCTCTGGCACACTGGCCTTTGTGGGCCCCTTTCTTCATTAAAAAAATTCAAAATTATACTTTATGACTGCATTGATATAAAGACAGAGCTGGGTTCATTATTACTTTATTAGCAGTATATTAATTTTTCTTCTGATTTTAAACAAAATTAAAATGTTTTCAGGGGCCCCTAAAAGTATCATAACCATGGCCTGGGCACTGTGCTTGCTGTGCCTAAGGGACAAGTAGGCCCTAGACACCTGTCTTGATTTTCCTGGAACAGTATCTGTCTATGCCTATTGTTGTGGCATAATTACTAGTAGTACCTCTTTTTCACACTCAAAAGTTGACCTAGTTTGGACAATAAAATATATGGTCACCCTATACTGATGCACGAAATTTTGGACATGCTTAGTTTGAGGTGCCTACTGGGATGTCTGAATGAAAGTGTCTAGTAGAAAGCTGGAAGTATGGGTTGGAAGTCAGAAGAAAGACTTGGAGTTAAAGTATGGAGTGGAGTTATCAGTGTTTAATATCATTAAAGCCAAAGGAGTGAAGGTATAAGAAAAATAGAGGACAGAAAAGGGCACCCATTCAAGGGATGGATAGAGGAGGAGAACCTAGTAAACCAAAGAGGTAGGTGAACACACACACACACATACACATACACTGATAGTGTGGCACCATAACCAAAGGGAAAAAGTAATTTGATGATGGAGGGAATAGACAACAGCATCAAACACTGGAGAGAGGTCACAGGAGAAGAGAAATAAAGAGTACAAGGAGCACATGGCTGACCTGGGGAGAACAGTGCCATTGTGATGGTGGGTGGAATCCAGATCACAGGGGCTTGAGGAGTACATGGGGGTCAGGGCAGGGATGTCACAAGTGAGACCAGTTCTTGCAAGTATCAGGCTATGACAGAGAAGAGAGAGATCAGGCAACTGGAGAGGATGTGGGGTCCAGGAAGACAGAAAGGACTTGAGTGGTTGTAAGAACAGATGTGAAGGAGCCAAGTGATCAGGTGAAGACTGAGGAGAGAGGGGACTGAGGAGATCAGGTGAGTGATCAGGTGAAGACTGAGGAGAGAGGGGACAAGCCATGGGGTGAAGGAAGGAGGAGGTGGGCAGGAATGGGATTAAGGGCTTTGGCCGTGATAGGATACCTCTTGGAACAGGAGGAAAAGACACACGTGACTGCAGATAAGTTTGCAGGTGTTTTCAGCACTAAATGAAAATAAAGAGATCACAGTAATATATGAATACAATGAAAATCAGGTATAGATGGCTGTTCTCTAATTATAGTCACCCTTAAGAACAGTCCTGATCACACCCACAATATAAAAATATTGTGCACTAACACTCAATGATCAGGACACAAAAGTCAATACAGAGAAGTGGCAACCAACAAGAATTCAACAAAAGGTTCCAGGTGTGTTTTCTAACTGTGATGTGCCTGAAGACAGCCTGCCTGTTGGTCAGCAAGAGCATTTGCCTTTCATACAGCATTATCTGTGAGATTTGGTCACATTTTCTAAGTACAAAGGACTTGGGATTCCAGCCGGTGTCTTCCTGCTTAAAGAAATCCAACCCACCTCCAGGGTGAACTGAAGGGAGCCTTCTCCATCACACCCCCACTTGGTAGATCTTTCCCATCCTATGGCAGAACCACTGAGGCACATACACCTGGATCAGCATGAGAAGCAAGTTTTCTGGCTCAGAAATCTCTGCCAAACTCTCTTTTCAGTTATTTCTGTTTCAGCTCCATGCTGAGGCTGGAATATTAGAAGTTGAGAAGACAGGTAGAATAGCCCTAAATTTCCACTAAGTAACCCTTGCAAACTACCATGACAGCCACAGAGTATGTAGCCATGCTAAGAACCTGTGGTTCCCTCTACATTCCCATCCACCACTTGGAAGAGATCAGAACATATTGTCTGACAGGCCAGGAGGAAATAGTGTAGGCCTCTATTAGAGGAGGACCAAAAGGAGCCCTGGAGAAGCCCTGTCATCAACATAGATTAAACATTACAAAGAGGTACGTGATTCCACATTGCTTTGGGCATCTAGGCTATGGGTGAAATGTTAGTCCCTTTCTCCAGAGCATGAGAGCAGTGATTAGCTTCCAAATAATTCATTCTTACCAAAAACAGTGACAAGATGAAAGGGGAAGATGATAGGATGCTGAAAGTCATTGGTTAAGTTAGAGTAGGATCACTAGCTACACTTTTTCAACATTTCTTTACAGGACTTTTATTGAGCACTGTCTCCGTGGATTATCTCATCAAACTCTACAGCAACTCTACCCAATAGTTACTATGACTATTCCTGTTTTACAGACAGACAAACTGAAGCATAGAAAAGTTAAGTAACTTGCCTGAGGTTAGCTAATAAGCACAGAGCTAGTTGAAACTCCAGATGGAATCCACCTTATCTACCGCTTAAGCTAGCTCTCTACAGCTGTGCTATCCCAAGTAGTAGCAGCAGCTAGCTACATACAGCTACTGAGCCTTAAAATGTAGCTAGACTGAAAACAGATATGTGTTAAATATAGAATGCGTAGGTCCATTTCTAACACAAGAAGATTTATAAGATATCTCATTAGTAATTTTTATATCATTGCAGATTGAAATGATAATCTTTTGGGTATATTGCATTCAGCTCATTATTAAAATTAGTTTCCTCTTTTACTTTTTACATATGGCTACTAGAACATTTAAAAGTAACATCTGAGGGTTGCATTTGTGGTTCACATCATATTTCTATTGGACAGTACTTCTCTAAAGTATTAAAAAAAAAGGGACCTGGAGGCCAGGCACGATGGCACACGCCTGTAATGGCACAGCACTTTGGGAGGCCGAGGCGGGTGGATCATTTGAGCCCAGGAGTTCAAGACCAGCCTGGGCAACATGGAGAAACCCCGTCTCTACAAATAATACAAAAATTAGCCAGGCATGGTGGCAGGTGCCTGTAGTCCCAGCTACTTGGGAAACTAAGGTGGGAAGATCACTTGAGCCGGGGAGGTCGAGGTTGCAGTGAGTCAAGGTCACACCACTGCACTTCAGTCTGGGCAACAGCATGAATCTTTGCCTCAAAAAAAAAAAAAGGAGGGGGACCTGAAGAGTCAGGCCTCTGATAATTCTGATAATTTCTGTCTTCAATTTTCTAAAACATGAAGGTGGGGGTGGGGTGGGTAGTAATCTCAAGTATAATTTTCCTACAATTCCTGGGTTACAGATGTCTTGAAAATAACAAGATTCTAGTGAAGAATCACCTTCACTATGTTAAGTTCTATAGGGTAATTCAATAAATCCTATAGAATAAGCCACTATGTGACCAAGGAATTACTCTGTAGAAGTTCAGGTCCAAAATGATGTTACCTGGATGATGCAACAGCCTCAGTGACTCATAGGAGGAAATGGTTATGTAAATTATGGGATATAAGTGAGCTGGAATGTTAAGTAAAATGTTAAAAAGACTAAAGAGTTTACAACGATACTAAAAAATGTATGTGATCTAATGTTAAATATATAATATTATCTTAAATATGTGAACACAAATGTGCAAAGAAAAACTGGAAGACAGTACATCAAATATTAGTAATGACTATCTCTTGGGGAAGATGAGGTTTGAGATGATTTTAAAAGACAAATCTTTTTACACTTTTCTGATTTCTCTAAAAGGAGCAAGTGTTCCTTTTGTAAAAATGATGCTTTGGCAAAGTGAACCACTTTTCATTTTGCAGACTCTCTGTTCTCCTCCCCCACTCCAATAAGAACAAATAAACAAAAAAGCAATTCACAAAAATTGCCTGATGGCCCTACTCCTTAACAGTCATGAAACTGTTGAGCATGAAAGATGTAAGTTAAATATACAGAAGTCTCTCTTGACTTGAAAAGTTTTTTAACACTTAGATGTGTTACGAGACCGAAGTGATTTTCAAAGAGCAGATTGAGTGGATGGTGCTGCTGTCTACACAGGGCAAAGGACACTGTAGCATCCCTTCCTACCTGAGACTGCAGGAAAAGGAGCAATGATGGGTGTCCTATGGCTAAATGCTCCGAAATTTGGATTTCTTGCACAAGTCTATCAGGGATGGCCATTAACCAGTTGAGGGATTATTTTTGTTTTATAGGTGAACATCTTTTTTTCTTTTTAATCCAACCACTTCTGTTTCTCTCTTTTTGACTCAATATTTTGGGAAGATAGACAATACTGAGAGATGCTTGCTAACAATGTCTAAGAAAAATCTAAATCTAAATAAGAGACATCTTATCATTTACAGATTGTTTCCCTGATTAAAAGGAGCTCTGACACTTAAAAATTGGATATTCCACCTTTAAGTATAACTACTAAAACATTTTGACTAAGGAAAATTGTTTAATTTCTAATTAATAATTTTATAGCAGAACTTGCAGCAGTATTTTATAGCAGAACTTACAGGATAAATATATATTATAAAATACACATAAGATATATGTGAACTTATGGACACAGGGACGGGAACATCATACACCAGGGCCTGTTGGGGGATGGGGTAAAGGGGAGGGAGAACATTAGGACAAATACCTAATGCATGCAGGGCTTAAAACCTAGATGATGGGTTTATAGGTGCAGCAAACCACCATGGCATATGTATGCCTATGTAACAAACCTGCACGTTCTGCACATGTATCCCAGAACTTAAAGTAAAAAAAAAAAAAAAAAAAAAAAAAGATATATGTGAACTACATTTAAATTCTAATTCTTTAAAAATTGTTATTTATTTTTTATTGATATAGTTGTACATATTATTGGGTTACATGTGATTTTTTTTTGTAAAGTGAAAGCAAGTTTATTAAGAAAGTAAAGGAATAAAAGAATGGCTACTTCATAGGCAGAACGGCCACATGTGATATTTTGATACATGTATACAATGTGTAATGATCACATCAGGGTAATTGGGATACCTGTCGCCTCAAACATTTATCTTTTCTTTGCGTTGGGAACACTACAATTCTTCTCCTTTAGCTACTTTGAAATATATAATAAATTATTATTAACTATAATTTACCACTGTACTATAAAATTAATTCTGATTTTTGTTCCAGAGTTGCTTAAAAGTCATTTTAAATGGTTAATAATTTTATAGGATTATGCAGCTTCTTTGATTAGTTAAATGAGGATTAGGTAAGCCTTCATCTATTATATCTCTATTGTTCCTAGTTTATGATTAAATATATATAATGATATTGCAATACTGCATGGTTATGTTGTTCAAAGTTGGGAAATTGGGAAATTTTTAGTTGTCCTAGCCATATGAATTCATCTACAGACCTAGACCTGATGGTTTTAATAAAATTATTATTGCAACCAATATACAGCATGTAGTTTGCAAAGGATTCTGGGTATTTTCTAACTTTTTACTTCCTTTTTCTCTTTAAAAAAGACAAAATGTAAGAATATGTGTTTTTACCAATCTAACTCTCCAATCTGCAAAGTTAAGAAAGTATAGTAAGCAATAGAAATATGTAAAGACTAAACAAAAACAACGAATACAATTTTTTTTATTATTATTATTTTTTGAGACAGAATCTCGCTCTGTTGCCCAGGCTGGAGTGCAGTGGCAAGGTCTCGATTCACTGCAACCTCCACCTCCCAGGTTCAAGCGATTCTCCCTTCTCAGCTTCCTGAGTAGCTGGGATTACAGGTGCCTGCCACAACGCCCGGCTAGTAGAAACAGGGTTTCGCCATGTTGGCCAGGCTGGTCTCGAACTCCTGACCTCAAGTGATCCGCCCATCTTGGCCTCCCAAAGTGCTGGGATTACAGGCATGAGCCACCGCGCCCAGCCTTACCTTTGAATTCAATTTTATAATCACAAATGTGATTATAAATCACATTATAATTTCATAATGTGACATAACATTATGAAAAATAATTTTATTATAAAAAGTATAAATATTTTATCCTGAGTACTAACCCTTATTTTATTAATTTATCCAATCATTCAACCAATAATTGTTGTACCATCCTGGACATTGTTCTATGGGCTACTACAGATCAGTTTTCAAATGGTGTAGTGGAAGTTCCAGGTGTATTTAATCACAATCTGACAGTGAATGTTCTAGGTATATTTAGTTCAAGTCTGATCATGTGTCTACGTTAGGCCCAAAAAGAATGCAGAAATTACATTTTTACAATTGAGAGTTTTAAACATTGTATGACTTGATGAATTTTATTCACTGCAATGAGTGTGTACAGGTTAACTCTATTCCCTTTGAACAGGTTTTTGTTGTTGGTTGTTGGTTTTTGTTGTTTTGGAGGGGCCCAGACACTTTATGGGCGTGTTGCAGTTCACGCACAGGCTTAACAAGCCTAACAGTTCTTCTCCCAAAGACTTTCATTCTCAAAGCATAATGGCTTTAAAATAGTGAAGTAGTAAAGGAGAGAAATTAAAGGGAGTTTCAAGTCAACTTTTTAAAAGAATAAGAATTTTCTTCTGTGACTAAAAATCAGCAGGCATTAAAATAAAGGTGTTAAAGTTAGATGCTGGATCTAATCAGATCTAAAGTACAGTTGTTTGAACAAAATAAAACTTTCCTACTGTACAAAGTTCATCTTCCATAATTCACATTCTCTTCATAGTCCAGAATTTGTCATAGAATACTATCAAAATGTACAACTCAGTTAATTCCACAATGCAAGATTGTTAAACATAAAATAATGTACTGAGGTAGGGCATCCCACCATCCATCATAACAGTCAACTTGGGAAACAGAAAGGCACTGCATTTTCAGAGTAAAACGCAATCTAATGACCATTGCTTTGAAATGGATCAATCTGGCCACATGGGCGCAGCTGTACAGCATTCAAAGCAGCAATCACTGCCGGCTCTGGTGTGGTAGTTTTCTTCCCAATGTCATCTCATTTTATCCCCTCAGAAAATGGCAGTGGGGACAAAAAAACATGCAGGAGAGACACATCAGGTTTTTCTTTAGCGTCCTTTCTATTGTGTTAACAACTCTCAATTGTGCTAGCAATTTTCCACTGTCTTGTATTAGGAATTATACTGGCACAATTTGCACCACTCCAGTTAAGCCTGTATCGGACAACCACCCCAGACTCTTTCCAGCAGGCTTCCAACTCAGTCACAACCATTACGTCAGGCCAGAGGTGGGGAGAAAGGGCTCGTGACCAATGATTTTAACAAATCTGTATTGCTTAACTTATTTAAGCCTCTCACTTTGATTACAGTCAAGACTTTCTGCCCTGGGATTTCTCTGCATGTGGAATAACGCCTGGTAGAAAGGTTATGATTGTTACATTAGTAGAAAGAATACTGGAATGTAAACAGAGCTGTTTTCCAGAATCAACACAGCCATTAATTAGAGACCTTAGACAAGTCATTTAAAACAGATAATACTCCCTGCTCCATGTACCTCATATGGTTGTCATGATGCTGCAAATAGAGAACCCAGATACAAAAATGTTCGGACAATTTTAAGGTGCTACACAAATACAAAGCGCATTTTGTCATCTGAAGGCTCTCGAGAAATAAAAATAGGCTATTATTGATGCTTGGTCAAAATTCCTAATTTTGTTTTTTCCAAGACAAAAAAAATCTCTTATAAGATCTAATAAATTGTATTACCATTGTAGATATGTTTTCTGTGGTATCCTTCTCAATTTGAAAATTCTTAGATATGCCAGACACAAAAAAATAAATTCCAGCTGGATTAAATATCTATTTTTAAAAATAATAAATTTGAGAAAGTATCAAAAAAATATGGCAATAGTTTTACAGGCCTGAATTAGAAAAGGCCTTACTTAACATAACACAAAAGCCAAAACCTAAAAGCCAAAAATAAGTATAACATATGTGACTGTATAAAATATGTAACTTATCTGAGGCACAAATGAACTTTGAAGACAATGAAGAATTGGTATAAAATATATCTATATATATAATATTTAGAGCATTAATATTCATAAAATATAACATTGCCTATACACCAACAATACAAAGATAACCTAACAAAAAATTGGTAAAAGATATGAATAAACAATTTGTAAAAGAAATACAAGTAGCTAATAAAGAAAAAGATATTTAATATCACTAGTAATTAAAGAAGTGTATAAAATGCTACAGTCATGGGGAAGGGAAAGTTTGTAGTACCGACTTAAGTGAAAGATTTTCATGCATGATACCCAGGAATTCCATTTCTGGATGACCTTCTGGTAGTAATAGTCACACTGACGCAAAGATATCCATACAATGTTCATAGAAATATTGTACAGGTAAATTAATATTTGTAAATATTTTACAAATGACCCAAAGGTAAATTAATCAATAGAAAACTAAGTAAATTATGAGTAATTGCTAACATGGGATACTAGGATACTAGTACTATGTAGGATACTATGTGGCTGTTAAACAGTGAGCACTGCTATAGGCAGATATTAATGATGTTTTATGCAGTACAAAAGAAAAGTTTTTAATAACATGCATAAGACAAGTATGTTTTTTAGCCAAATAAAATTATATTCATATACATATGAGTGTAGGTATATATGTTTATATAATATACCTTATAGATATTATATATACAACATATTATCTGTCTGTCTTTATGCATATGAAGTTTGTTTGGATATACACAAAGTACTAAAGAATTTAAATCAAACTATTCTAAATGTTTGCTGGAGAATGGGGTGTGAGGTGTGAGGAAAGATGTCTATATTATTTGAATATGCTACAAAGAATATGTATTATTTTGAAATGAGTTAATAGCCAAACCCACAAAAATTTCCCAAAATGTAGTTTGTCTATTTCCATATAGAAAACTTACAGAGCTAACATTAGTCTACGGGAAAACCCCACTCAAATTTGGGACACTACTGGTCATGAAATGTGTCTTTTATCCCCCAAGAAGTGCACCTGCTTGGAAAGAGGCTTTCTGCCTTACTAGGGCGAGGTGAACATTCCAGCACTACCTTCCACAGGTAGGCTCAGCAGTTGGACAGGATCCATTAAGGTAAACAGGATAAACAAGGATCACAGTGGTAACAAAAAAGCTCCAGAGAGCCCCAGGGGTTAGAGAGGTAGGGACAAGCCCTCAGTCCCTTGGAAGTGTGACTTTCCTAAGGGCTAGTGACAGGCTCCGGCTTTCACAGATAACAGTCAGGCTGACACTTGGGCTTTGTCAAAATGATGCCCATTGTACCTCTTCCTAAACACACCCTCCTTCTCCAAAGAACTGTTTCCCAATCAGTGTCTTAGAGAACATTACTTCTCTGGTATCCATAATTCAGCAGGCGAAGAAAGTTTACGTGATCAAATAAGGTTGGGAGATACTAGAGGTCAAGCCAAATTGAACTTGGAGAGAAAGTCTAACTCCCGTTAATATGTAAAATGGACTGTGAATATGAGAAGGAATTATAGGATATAGCATTTTCCAAAGTTATTTTTAATTGTGGAACCAACCAAGTTTTCCACACTGTCTGTGGAATCCTTGTTTGAAAAACCAGACCTAAAAGTGATAAAATGTCTTAGGTTTTGGCAGCAAGACTCATTCATTTATTTATTAATTCAACCACTATTGGTGAAATATCTTGTTTGTGTTGGACATTATGCTGGACACAGAAAATGTCAAGACATAGGATACAGTCTGGTGGATAAGATGAACATGAACAGGTATTTGTGCTGCTGAGTAGTGAGGTGCAATGACAGGGATGATGTTAAACATCCTAGAGTAGGGAGAAGGAATGAATGGAAAAGGTTCTCCGAAGGATGTGGTTTGCTTACTACAAAGCAAGAATGATCACCTAGGAGCTGCAATGTACTACATGGATTTGGAAAGTTTGGGACTGAGAAAGTTTTACTCATGTGTGGCTGGTCAGTTCCTAATTTGTATTGTATTTATTGGCTAATTATTACTTTTTGCCTCTGGATTTTTATTCACCTTGATCCTCTATTTAGAAAACTCTCCTGTTTCCCCCCTCTTCTTTTTCTTAAGTTGCCAGGTTTTTTCCTCCATCAAGAGCTTGACTACTCTTTTATCTTAAGCATCTTGATCTTGGAAAACTTTTATGTCAAATAAACTGAACTTCTTTAAAGGTGATAATATTCTGATCTCATTTTTAATTTATCGAAACATATATGACTATCCTTCAGGGTTACAGATCAGCCTATTAAGCCACAAAAATAATATAACTTCAGCCTAATGAAAGAAATTTGATCTGTTAATTGTTTATCATGAGTAAATTCTTATTTGACGACTTTTGAAACAATAAAAATAGTTAACGAAACTGCCACTATTGGCTTCAGAATCTCTAGGGGTCCAGGGACTCATGTAAGGCATCACTGTCTTAGACAATTAATTTCATAGTTGGTCTAGTTTCAACGTTTCAAATTTTAGTGGAAATAAATTCATGGTCTTCAGTTGAGACTGAGGACAAAGAGTAAGCAACGTTGGGTAGCCACAGCCTGGCTTAAAAGGGTTAACAGATGAAGGAGGGGTTAGTCTCACCTGAGACACCACTTTATGAGGGGCTGGGGGGAGTGTAGTTGCCTTTTAATCAAGGGCATTAGATTATCACCAGGATGGAAAAGTCCTATGAAAACACTGAGTGCGCCGCCAGTCAGGGCAGGCTGTAATCCCCGGGGAAGCATGACATAATCATTGATCCTAGTGGAGTTGTAATCTTAGGAAATACAAACCCTTTGCATAATTTAAATAAATAGGCCAAGGATGACTTCAAAGAAATAAAAATAATGGGTGGCACCATGCTAATATTAATGAATAGGAAAAGTGGGACCATATCTAATGTACCTAATGCAGACTTGGGAATGGAGTGAATGAGGGTAAAGAAGACTTATCTGGCTTACTGGAGAGGATCAGCATCTCCTTGTAAAGCCTGCCGTAAAGAAATAACTTTCAGACACAAAATTCTTAGCAGATATTCACCTTTAACTACAGGAGTATTAGACTTTAGCTTCTCCTTCTCATCTTCATTCCTTTCCTTCGCTCACATGTGTGAGGCCAGCATGCTCTGTCCCTGGCTTCCCCCATGCTGGCCACAGCTCTTTTTGTGAACTCCACCCTGCTTCAGTGCACACCCTAAGGACCACCAGCAGCTCTGGATGGCAAATGCTTCCACAGCATCCCTTCCCATATGACACTGCACCCAGCACAAATTGTGACTTAGCACACCCAGAGCCTTATTGCTAATGGGGACCTTCCAGAACAATGGGTTCCTACCCTGCTCCATAGAGTCCTGCTGGAAGGTCACAGGGAGGGACAGGGTGGCAGAGTAGGTGGAACTCTGGGATGGAAGTGGGCTCAGAGTTCCACCTACCCTGCCACCCTGTCCCTCCCTGTGACCTTCCAGCAGGACTCTATGGAGTGCTTTTATCTACTTTATAGAAATGATTTCATTTGAAAAGCATGGATGTAGGAAGGAAAAGACGGTAAAAAAAAAATCGATGGTTTAACTGCTATGTTTGAAACTTACTATTATTTATTTTTTAATTGACAAATAAAATTTATGATATCATAAATATATACAACATGTTTTGAAATATGTATACATTGCGGAATGGCTAATTCAAGATAATGAATGTACACATTATAGTTAACTTTTTTGTGGTAAGAGCTCTTAAAAATTTACCCTCTTAGCAATTTTCAAGTATACAATGCATCATTATTAACTATGGTCACCATGATTTATAGTAGATCTCTTGAACTTACTTCTCCTGCCTAACTGGAATTTTGTATCCTTTGAACAACATCTCCCCTTCTCCCCGGACTTCATCCCTCTCCCAGCCTCTGGTAACCTGCACCTGGCTTATTTCTTTTAACATATTGTCCCTCTGGTTCATGCATGCTGTTACAAATGACAAGATTTCCTGCTTTTTTAAGGCTGAATAGTATTCCGTTGTGTATCTGTACCACATTTTCTTTATCCATTCATCCACTGATGGACACCTAGTTGTTTCCATTTCTGATCTATTGTAAATAGTGCTACAATGAACATGGGAGTGCAGACATCTCTTCAACATACTGATTTCATTTCCTTTGGAAATATATCCAGTAGTGAAATTGCTTTAACCGTTAAATTTTAAAGATGAAACTGAAACCAAGAGAGGTTTATTTATTTTTTATTTTAATAGAGAGTCTCTGGATCTGTTCTGTCCAAACACTATTGACGCAAGAGACAGATCCACAGGATGCCAAATGTGCTGTCCCAAAAGAGGTTTTAAGGGATTTGGTCAAAATCACCTCATAAGTGTCAAAGCAGGGAGTAGGCCCCCAAGTCTCTGAATCTCCATCCAGAACACTTCCCACTACAGATAATGCTTGATAATGCCGTGTTCTCTGTGTTACTCCTTCCATGAAACTACTTCCAGAAACTTCTCCACAATTTTCATAGCTACAATAGACAGCTTCTTAGCTCCACTAGAGATTCAAACATGAGAATTAAAGCAGATTTTCTGAGTCAATACTAATGGGTTAGATATGATTCTTGGGAGATATGATTTCTTGATTTTTAGAAATTATCTAATTAATTGTCCACAAAACTTCCTTAGGTAGATCAGGGCTTGATATTCTCTGTCAGATTCTAGCTGATCATATACTCTTTGACACATTGCATTTAAAATTGTCTTTGATTAAGAGAAAGGGGTTAAATTCATACTGGTATGAGTTAAAGCCAGACATCAGAAAGCAAAACAAGGTGCTTCTATGAATGATAGAGATTCTCCAGAGTGTGGGGTAATAGTAGAGACACACAGCTAAAAGGTTCTAACTTTGTTCATGCCCCAGTCGTCCCTAGAATGATATGACAAACCATGTTACAGATGCCTAGAAAACCCAGGCTCTATAACAGCATTTACCCAAGTAATTACTCAGTTTTCGGAATGATACTAAGGTAGTAGAAGAAATGTTTTATTTATTAAAATGTCTGGGAAATACTGAGTACTATCCCCACTTAGACATTTACCAGCATAATGGCATCATGGCTCTGAGAAAGCCAGAGTGTTTAACTTTGTTTATACTAAACTTCTTTGTCCACAGAACTATAGTTTGGCACGTTACTTATGAGCACCCTGGTGAAGTGGACCACCAAGGAACACACTTTGGGGAATATGGCTCCATTGGACTCACATCAAACTTGCATCATGGAGATTTATCTGACTTGCTAAATGGAGACTATCTGATCGTGGAAAAAGCAAAATTCAGGTACAACAAAACCTCACTGTGTGAATGAAATTTAAGTTAAGACCTATTCCGTTGAAACTATAGACCGTTTTGGAAGATGTAAAACTTTGTTGTATTTATTGGCATAGAGTAACTAGGTCTACCAGTTAAACCTTCTCAAGTTGGCATTGCAACCAAGCCTGCTTACTGAACGTGTACCACTCTTCTACAGAGCATCTGTTGTTAGAAATTAAAATACAAATTAAAATATCCTAACTACTGTAAATATTCCTCACTAAGTCTTATCTGCACACTTCTTATCTTCCCTCTGGAGCTCTTTTTCTATCACATGGCTTCATTTCCCAAGTTTCTTTTTCTCTCCTGCTACATACACTTAGGCTCTCTGTGTTCTACAGACACAGTCTTATCCACAGCCCCTGACCACATGTCCTATAAAAATGCCTCCTAGTCACCATGGAAACTCCATGAGAGGTTATAAATGGATCAGCAGAAAGGCATCCCCACAAATAGAAAAATACATCCAAAGCACGTGTTATGATGAATGGTGGGTCAAGTGCCTTATTTTCTGATCCAAGGACAGCGTTACTCTACCATGCAGGTGAAATAAACATTGGAGAAGATGGCCAGTATACCACGTAAGATGACGACACATGAGAAGACACCCAATTCTTGGTCCCTAAATGTCATGGCAAAATGTACTTAAACAGATGCAGGGCAGTCTACCTCCTGTTTTGCATAATCTATTTTTCTTTTCCCTTATTCTTCATTATTCTGTCTCCGGATGTTCTTCCCTGATTTGCATAGTACCGCTTTTGTATCATAAAATTGTGGGGAGACAAGGTGCCTGTCACTGACCAATAGAGCCATGAGCCAAGCAATACTCATATGGCTTTGGTCTGAGGATTTGAAAGATGCCTTATCAGTTTACATGGGCCGTTCCGAAGTCAGCTACCTTGAGCAAATCACTTGACCTCTCTGGGCTCCTATTTTCTCATCTATAAAACAAAGATACCAGCCTGGATCTGCCTGGCAGGGTTAATACCTACACCAACATATCTGTCATACAGCTGTCTTTGGAAGATTGAAAACTGGAGAAATACTAAATTCTAGTACTACAATTCTACTGACCTTTGCAGAAATGAGACTAAGTTAGAACAAAGAAATATACTTCAGGCAGACGGAAGTGACTCAAGTAGCGTATCAGTTTCAATGAGATGCATGTAAATGTTTTTCTGAAAAGATAAAGTACTACATGAAGTGGAAGGTATTAAACCATCTCCCTATAAAAAGATTTGTGAAGATGAATCTCAGCAGAGGAAAGAAAAGGCAAACAGGAGAAAAGAGAGAAGGCAAGAGATTGTAGTTAGGAATAGGTGGTGCCTGGAGTGGGTGATGATTAGAATAGATAACTAAGAAACAGGAAATCTCTCTGGTACTTACCCTTGTGCATTGGCTTCTCCTGGGCTCTCACAGTTCTGATAGTCTGACCCAGAACTTTCATCAGAATTTACTACTACTCTGTGCACAAAATATGAACTAAAAGGCTAATGAAAGATATCAACGGCTGCCATGAACTCAATTCAACATCTATTTAACAGGTAACTATTATGTGCAAAACACTGTGTTTGGCACTGAAAGAGGCACCCAAAAAAAGGTAATGCTCTCACTTAGCAAGTCACTGACAAAAATTATCCTCTGGACATTATAACACGTGGGCACTCCTTTAAGAGTCCTAAATCTAGCAAGGAGATTTACAAGTTCACAACTACCATACAAGATATAATATTATAAGTGCTAAGAATATTGAGGCAAGTTAATCCCAAAGAATTAATCAACAAAGTCTTCATGAAATAGGCTGATTTTTAAATAGGGCTGATGGTAGAGGCAGGGTTTCTACCAAGGGAGATGAGAATAGGCTGGAGCAAAAGTCCAGAAGCAGGAAAGCAGGAGGTCAGTTTTAGATGAATATCAGTTACAAATAAAGAAGCAGTGTCTCATGACACACAGAATGGCCCTCTCTTGTTGATAGCTGAGGTGTTTGTCATAGATGAGTGGCAACAAGGAGAATCATAGGTGCGGACTGGGACAGAGGCTCCAATCAGAAAGGCTAATTGGAGACCTTAAAGTAGAAGAAACCAGAAGAGTGTCTGTGGGACGGAAAAGTACAAGACGGACTGGAGGGACCCTTCTTGTAAACTGCTCCTACCAGAGCTCTGAAATAAGCCTTCCACCACTGGTTTACTGAAATTATAAAATCCATTTGGCTGTTCTCAGTCTTCCTCTACTGGATGCTCCATACAGAATTAGTAAATTATTTTAATAACTAGCATTCAGTAAGTGTTCACTGTGTGCTAGGAGCTCTATGACATATGCTCCATATTGGCCACAGCCTCCTTCGGAAACCCTCTCTCAACTTGGGACGCTGTCCTCTCCTATGTTTGCTGATAGTTCTTCAACTCGTACTTCCCAGTCTCCCTTGGTAATTCCACTTCTGTCCACACCATCAGAGACACTGAATCAAGATAGCGGCCCTCTCATGTTATGTCAGAATCTCAGGATTGGCTTATTTAAATTGCCCATGCCATCCAAAGATTCTGGGAAGGCGTGTCTTTCTGGTTGAGAGTCACAAGTCTACCTTCTCCTTTCTGACGGGTTTAGGTAGATATTTTTCTCTTCTCTGGCCTCACTTCCCTTCTCCTTTTTTTCTTTTCTTCCTCTTCTCTTCTGTTTCATTGACAAATTCATAGTTTCAAGAACACAGTTTGCCTATTTACTTCTTCCCTCCCTTCTTTCTTTTCCTTCCTACCCTCTTTACATCCCTTCTGTTACTATCTATTATCATCTTTTTGTTACCTCTTCCCACCACAGTACCTAGTATAATGCCCATTTTAATATATGTTCTATGCATTTTCTCCTGAGGTGCTTTGCACAGAGTAGGTATGCAATAATTATCTGGATTGAGCTAGATATGCTTATGTGTTTACCCAGCAGAAATGCGTGTACGTTTCAACACTTTAAAAAGACTACATAGAAATTAAATGTGGTAGTCAAAGCTATAAAAGTGTAAGTCTTTGGACAATAACTTCTGACTGGGTTAATTATATATTCAGGTGCTCCACGGTGCTTAGATGCAGGGGAGCTTTTGTCTAATACCTCTTCTTGGATGAGCGTTGAAGAATGGATTGGGGAAGAAACAGAGAAAGAAAAAGCGGTTATATATCTTTGTGTAATTATAAACTGCCAATGAAAGATAAGACATAGAACATAGACAAGAACATAATCCTATAGAAAAACAATAATGTGACACTGGAGGAGGGCATCTGAAATGGTTATTTTTTTTATTTTTTATTTTTTGAGACAGAATCTTGCTCTGTCACCTAGGCTGGAGTGAAGTGGCACCATCTCGGCTCACTACAACCTCCGCCTCCCAGGTTCAAGCAATTCTCCTGCCTCAGCCTCTTGAGTAGCTGGGATTACAGGCACGCACCACCACACCTGGCTAATTTTTTTTTTTTAATTGTTAGTATAGACGGGGTTTCATCATGTTGGCAAGGCTGGTCTCAAACTCCTGAGCTCAAGTGATCCGCCTGCCTTGGCCTCCCAAAGTGCTGGGATTACAGGTGTTAGCCACTGCACCCAGCCTGCAACGGTTAATTTTTTGATGTCAACTTGGCTAGATTAAGGAATACCCAGATAGCTGGTAAAGCATTATTTCTGGGGATGTCTGTGAGGGTGTTTCCAGAAAAGACGGCATTTCAATCAGCGAACTGAGTAAGGAAGATCCATCCTCATCCAATGTGGGTGGGCACCATCCAATTGGTGGGGGCCTGAATAGAACAAAAAGACAGAGGAAAGGCGAATTTCCTCTCCTGGAGTTGGAACACCCTTCTCTTGCCCTTGGATATGAGAACTTCAGGTTCTCTGGCCTTTGGACTCTGGGATTTCCACATGCTGTTTCCCAGTTCTCAGGCCTTCAGCCTCAGACCGAGAGTGATGCCACTGACCTTCCTGGTTATCCCGCTTGCAGATGGCCCATAATGGGACTTCTCAGCCTCCATAATCATATGATCCAAGCCCCCTAATAAATACACCCACATATGTCTATCTTTCTCTATATCCTATTGGTTATGTCCCTCTGAAAAACCTAATACTGTATCTAAATTCCTTGGCATTTCCCAATCATGTCTAGAAATTTTGCAAAATCTGTGAAACTTGAGGACTGCGATTCAACACTGTATCCTCAATCCTGCCAATTAGAATATTTAATAATCACTTACTGAATTCAGGAGTGAATGACGAATGCTTTTAAAAAATTACTAATAATTATTGAGTACTATGAGCAACATACTATGTTTTGTGCTTACTATATACGTTTCCTTTAATCTCAATCACAACATTCTAGGAAGAATGGAACATAGTTATCCACATTTTACAGATGAAGAAACTAAAGCGCAGAGAAATTACATGAATTGCTGAAGTTGGAAAAAATAAAATCCAGACAGCCTGCTTCAGATCCCTGCTCTTCAGCCTGTAGCATGCCTTCCTGAATGAACGGCTAGCATCCTGAATTTTTGTCTGCTATATTAAACATCTTACTCCAAGGAGATATTTCGGCTACTAACCATCCAGCATTCATTTTTACTGCTTTATTATAGGCCCCAGAAGGAATAACAGTTAACCATTTAGGGATCCCTCAAAACTTTGTCAGTTTATTGAAGTTGCACCTCCAACAATTCGTTGCCTGTTGAAAGAATGTATGTTTAACCCGACTTGATTATCTGCAGTTGTGCATGATTTCAGCTGTAGGACAGAATCACTTGCAGTCATCCAAACCATTAGCCAAAGGGGTTTCTTTAAAACATGCATTGCATGCAACAAAAGGGCAAAACCTTAATACGGTTTTATTTGCCAAGTAAATGTAGCTGTAAATTAATTCCTTACAATCACTGTTTATTAATATTTAATATATTTATATGAAGGATGCCACTTCACAATTCCCTATACACTCAGCATTTAATAATCTAGAAACAGCTTATCTTCTTTAACTCACTGAGACTGGATTTGCAATAACCAGTAATGTTAAATGTATTTTTAAAAAATCGATAATAAATAAATGCATAAGCACTTCCCTCTAGAATGCTTCTGATGATATTTACAAAATTAAAAAAAAAGATGACAGATCCACAAGGGACTTTATAACCATTTCATTACCACCTCCCTAATTGTGTATGGTGGAACTGCGTAATCTGTTTATTGAAATTGAAATCTTTGGAACGGATCCTCCCCACAGACATTAACAATAAGCATCTCATGCAATAACATAGTACTTAATGTAATATTAACATTATATGCACCAGGCCTTAACTGCTCACTGGTTCCCCCACCGGAATTGAACATTTTAACAGCCTGTGCTCTGCCTCGGTATTCAATTCTATATCTAATTTACAGGCTGTAAAACACAATATTCACAGATTACAATAAATACAAAGAAGTTCTAAAGACATATCTGGTGGCACTAGGAAAAGAGAGACTATTTTGTTTGCAGTAGAAACAAAAGAAAACTCCCCTTAAAGTTTTGACCATGAAGAAAACCATTCTGTTCAGTCCTGCCAGGCCAAGTGACACAAAAGCATTACTTTGATGCTAGGTGAAGGTTTGTGCACGTATGTGGTGCATGGTTGAAATCTAGACATTCCTCCCCAGCTTCCTTTTCCTGAAGAGGTAAGCAGGGAAGGGAAGAGCAATGAATGAGGGGTTGGGAACACTGGTTTTCATCTTGAATCTTCCTGAATGATCTTGCATGCTTTTGAGTCGTTTAACTTCTCTATACCTTAATTTTGTATCTTTAAATAAACAAGATGAATGACTGTCTAGAAGATTCCATCCAGCTATAAAACTCGAAAAATCTAGAAGGAAGTCCTCCATGTATTAAAGTTAGTTTGCAAATCCCACTCTGAGATTTTTTTCATTACCCTTTAAGCAGTATCTCTCAAATTTCTGGCTTTCTCAGTAATGGAGCAATTATAACAGCATTCATTTCATGCTGTATAGTTTCCTAAACTCTTTTTATATATTATCTCAATTAATCTAAAGCACAGTACTGACATAAACTACATAGCTGAAATGAAGACTAGAGACAGGGTTAAAAGGGAAAAAAACATGTGAAATTGCAAAATATCTACTGAATAATGGAAAAGCCTCAAAAGTCAATGAACACTTGCCCAATTCTTTCATGATCATTCAGCTAACTTAAATGATCTAATGGGGGTCTGTAGTCAATATGGTCTTTTGTAAAATACATGTTTACGATCATACTGTAATCCACTAATCTTAGACACAGCATAAACATTCCTTCATTGTTGGTGCTACATTCCTGTGTTAGGCAAGAAACTCACAATCTGGATTTTACCTGGTCATTTAGAGAGAGATATAGACATTTTCTTAGGTCATTATGTCTCTATCAGCCAAAATGTGTATTTAATATGTATTTTTTGGAAACTAACAGCTATTTAATATGAAAAATAATGTGACCCATCAAATTCAGGATAGGAGTTACATTTTGGGAGTAGGAAGGGGAATTTTCTCAAGAAGGAATCCTCAGGGGCTTCAACAATAGGTACTATTACATTGTTTAATATGGGTGGCTAATTGAATAGTGTTTGCCATATGGCTATTTACACATTTTATATAAAAATATATAGATAAAACTTTCATGCTAAAATAACAGATAAACTTTAAAAATAAATTTCTCTCTTTCAAGTCTATCTTCCTTTCAGAAAGCTTAGGGAACAAAAATTAAGACCACTGAATTATAATGTAAATTATAAAATTGGATGTTTGCCTTTTATTTATGCATCCTCTGACACAACATGTAGTTGTCTTGAGAGTAAAACATTTCAATACACATGAACCTGGTTTAAGACAAATACTACAGGATACATTTGATGTAGATTTGCTAGCAAAGTTTTTCAAAGGTATTTGCAACTTCAGAGCTTATGATTTGCAAGTTGAGTTTTTCTAAATGGGAATTATACTCCTCCAGATTGGTCTTCAACAAATCATTCTCTTATGCTCCTCCCTCTTTTCCCAAAAATAAAACCACTTTTCACAATTTTCACACAAGTTTGGAAAGCAAGGCATCCTGGCTATAGTGAAAAAGATTTTTAATACCCTTTCCATCTCACCCTCTTCATCTTCTTCCTCTCATATAAGGTTGCTCTATCTCATTACTAAGAAAAAAAAAGCTTTAGGACTGAACTCCCCCCCAACCCCCACCCCCCAAAAAAACTCAGTAATAGCAAGAGAAATATTTGTTTGGAATTATTTCTTTTTAAAAGTTGATCAGTTCCTTTCAGAACCCCCAAATGCTTTTTCTTTAATCTGATCTTGTTTTGCCTGCTTGGATATGAGATTGCTTTATCCCTCATTCCACCACACTGGTCATTGAGGAAAGTCACTACTCAACTTTCACTTTCAGGTGTGGTTCTTTTATGGATGAGAGGGGAGAACCTGTGTACCGGGATCATTTTATTCCACAGGTCCACCCCTCTTGAACAATTTCCAACTGTCCTACAACCTGAAAGCATGAATCAGCACATAGTATCAGTTGAACAGCACATGTTGAACTATTTTACTATTTCCGGGCCATGGGATTACTACAGAAACACAGCCACCTTCTCCATTTTGCTGGGGTTCTGCCTAGATTCACAGTAAACAAAGGGAAAGATTACTATGCCTTGAGCCAGGGCAGTCATCGGTACATTCATTGCAGTAGTGATATTCTCTTCCCCAGTTGTCATCTTTTTTTCAACTTGGCTAGGAGGCCCCACCCTCACCCACAGAGCCTATATACAAAAGAAGAGCATGAATTCATGTTTCATTCAGGGTTATCAACCCTAGAAAGTGGTTCTACCTGCGGTTGCAATTTCTAATCCAATTAATTTCAATAAAACGGATCAACTATTAGCAATGTGGGAAGTACTATAGAGAAGACCAAGGCATAAGCCTTGCCTTTAAGGATCTTAGATGTGAATGAACTTAGACATAATGCTCAGACACATGAGCACATAACAGTAACAGTGCTGTTAAGGGAGCACTTGCTGTGCTAGTAACTAAGCAAAGAGCTATATGTATATTTGCTCATTTAATTCTATAAATGCCTTATACAGGCATTATCACGCTGGGGCCAAGAGAGCTTATATACCGGGGTCCTAAAGCAAAGTGGAAGCAGGAAGCAAACCCAGGTCTACCTTACTCCAAAGCGCATGCTGCAGCTACTGTCTTAGATGCCCAGCACAGCTACTTGGCCAAGGAGACAGACAACAGAGTGTGGGAATGACTGGGGAAAGTAGGAAACACATCCCTTTAACTTGATTTTAAATGACTTAACCAGATTAATG
The DNA here is from genome assembly GCF_000001405.40 of Homo sapiens. Lineage (NCBI taxonomy): Eukaryota > Metazoa > Chordata > Mammalia > Primates > Hominidae > Homo > Homo sapiens. The sequence continues at coordinate 39,154,132 of NC_000007.14, read as the reverse complement.
TTTGTACTTTGAAATGTTTGGCTAACAAGGCTATGAGTAATGTATGCTATTCATTGTGTTTACAACAGTATTTCTCAAAATCTAAATCATCTTCCATTTTTAAAGCTAATTATCACTGTGAACAGCCAGATTTCTAACAGTTACTATTGATGTTTATGTGTCCCTACCACTTACTTGTGAACATTATAGGTGGCAGAGTTTATTAAATTAGCTGTCATCCATGTTTACACCAGTGGCAAGGGTACCCATCTGATCTCTCACCCTCCCAGCAACCCGGCTGTTTTTCCAAGTGCGTCCCCTTTGCCCGCAAGGCTTCTCATGGTACTGCACTCTTTGGCCTGGATGTTAAGGGACTCAACTACAGTACTGATTTTTACATTCCTACTCTTTAGAAAAACAAGCAACGTACAGAGATGAAGGGAAAAAACTGAATAAGTAGCACCACGACTTTATCTGGGCTGTTGAAATAAAAAAATCAGCTTAATCAGTGTATCTGTTCATTTCTTTTAATTAATCTTTTAATTAATTGTTAACTACAATAGTAGTATGAGGATAATGATTTCATTTCACTGATTTACCCTGAAATAAAAAGGCATCAAAACCCTTCTGTTGACATCTAGAATCTCTGGATATAAATGTAGATGTTTTGAAATGACTCCCTATTTTTTTCATGCTCTCGACCCCATTTTTCCCCCAAAGGGTGGGATGCGATCGTATTGTGTAGCAAAATCAGAAAAGCCACCATGTCTGAGATCCTGGGTCGGTGTAGAGAGATGCAAGGCATGTCACATCAATCCCAGCTTGTTGTCATGAATAAATGCCACATCAGTTCAAATACAGATCAATCTATTTTTTTAAAGCAATAGAAACTGCCATCATTGGTGTTGAATGCTCAGTATTGCTCTTCAACCCTCCAACCTTCATAATAATATATATATATATAAAATCTTTTCTCCATCAACATTATACTGGCTGCTAGTTTTGACACTAAGTCTCCCCAAACCACCTTTGTCCAACGCACATCACCGCAGAAACCATTTCTTATAGGCTAAAAGCAGATAAACCTGCCAAAAGCCAGTGCTTATTTCTTTCCCAAGAGACCTCACTTGAGTAAGCGTAAGCGAGCATAACTCTGTGTGTTTTCTTACCCAAAGTGACAGGCAGCCTGGGAACAGAAGATCTCCGTTTCTTAACTCGGCACCCTGGATTTGGATGATTTAACTATATATAAAGGCAGCACTAGGTTGATTTGAAAGATACATTTTATCAAGTTGTCAGCTTTCCAGGGCCAACTGTTTCAGAATCACTTATAAGTAAACTAGAAAATGATTTGGATTGTAGGAAATTTAAACCTTACTTTCCCAGAATGTTGCAGCAAATAGCTGAAAAATAGACATAGAATCAAACTCTGAAATTAAAGTGTCCTGAGTGTGTCTCGCTGGTGGTGAGAGGCTTCACGATCTAATGGATGGAGAGCTGGATGCCGAGTCAGGGGACCTAGGGAGTGATTTCCACTCTGGCAGCAAATCACTGAATGACCTTAGGAATCTCAGCCGATCCAGCCACAGGGAGAAGACCAGACTTCTTGGGCTGGCACCCCTCACTGCTTTGCCCATTTGCCACCTTTTATGGGGGTCTGCCAACAGGTATGGGAAACCTCTTAATACAGGGACGAGGGAGGAGAGGTTTGGATCGGGTAGAGAACTTTAATACCAGCCTTCCTTCGTATCTCTCTCCAGTGGCCAGGAGGAGAAGCAGGAACCTTTGGGGACAGAAAGGTTTTTTCCAGCCCAGTAAAATAAATAACTGCCACAGCCAGTCCCTAACAACTAGCTGGGGGGTCACTTATCCACCCACAGCCTGGAAGATAATTTGGCCTCTTGGTTGATTTGTCAGGAACTCTTGGAGGAGGATTAACCAGGTACTGACTATTGAGGAGTTTTTACAGGACCCTGAGCATCTCAATGATAAGAATCTTCATGATACTTTTGGACTCCAGTTTCAGACAAAGCCCTACCCAACTAAAACTCACGGTTCACTGCATTTTCCAACACTGCATGAGTATACAAGCATAAATAGGCAGTGTGGACAATGTCCTTGGCCTGCAGATCACCTTTTTCTCTATCGTGAGCCCTCTTGGCTACAGAAAGAAGATAAGCCACGCTGATGTTACTCTCATCCTGATAATCTTACCAGTCACAAGGCACAAACAGAAAAAATACAGACATTTTGTTACTGTCATTCAAAAGGGTTACCAGCGGTCCCCTTCCTTACTTTTTCCAGACTCCAGTCCTCTGCTGGAGTCTTGGAAGAACTGGATTTGAAAGCCTCCCTCTACCAAGCCCTCACAGAATGTTCACACAGTTAAGGGCATGGGATTATTGGCAAAGGGGCATCATTGCCCTGACATGGCATTTTAAGGAAATTAATGAATCTAATCATTTCAGAAGCCATATATCTGCCTTATTTGAGTTAGATGAAAAGAGAAGTTACTAGGGTAGGATCAGGCATTGTCTCCTTTTAAAAAAAGGGGTCATAGATCTTGTACTGCCACCGGAGAGCAGATGATGCATCATAGAAATCTCTGCACGACAAACTATGTGAAGCTCAATTTATCTACTTCAGGAAGACCAAGAGCTACATCAGCTCAACAGGGATTTGAACTTGTGGTCCCAGCGACTTCTGGACTAATGAAGCTGATGGTGAGATGACTAAGTCATCACCACTAGCTAATGGGCCCCCAGAGAGGATACATGTGATCAGAATGATTTATTGATCAATGCTGACCTCTAAAACTACTTTAGGACAGGCATTGGAAATGTAAAACCACTTTTACTGTGCCATGGCTCAGGCTGCTGTTACTTTGGCTTTGTAAAATGCTGTATGGGACTGGGATCAATCATTGCTAGGCCTTGCAGTTTGCTGACCTCCATTAGGAAAAGAACTCTCTAGAAGAAGCAGAAAACCCATGTTTAATAGCAAAGAAAGCAATGCCACTTCAGTAGTGCATTTGGAATCACGATGAAAACTTGGAGGGCAGAAGTCCCTACCTCCCATAGGTTGAAAGAGTTCTATGGAAAAAAAAAAGTGAAAAAAGTCAATTCCACATAGTTCACCAAGAATAAATTGCATTATCAGAAGAATTTTTTTTTCAGAATGAGGAATCTTTCTTCAATTCTATAAATAACCTCATATAAAGGCGCTCAACATCATTCATCATCAGGTAAATGCAAATTAATACCACTATGAGATATCATCTCATACCCATAAGGATAACCATTATCAAAAAGTCAAAAGATTACAGATGTTTGCGACAGTATGGAGAAAAGAGAACCCCAGTACACTGTTGATAGAAATGTAGATTGGGCTGGGCACAATGGCTCACACCTGTAATCCCAGCACTTTGGGAGGGTGAGGCAGGCAGATCACCTAAGGTCAGGAGTTCGAGACCAGCCTGGCCAACATGACGAAACCCCATCTGTACTAAAAATACAAAAAATAAGCCAGGCATGGTGGTGGGCGCCTGTAATCCCAGCTACTCAGGAGGCTGAGGCAGGAGAATCACTGGAACCTGGGAGGCAGAGGTTGTAGTGAGCCGAGATCACACAACTGCAGTCCAGCCTGGGAAACAGAGTGAGACTCTGTCTCAAAAAAAAAAAAAAAAAAAAAATGTAGCTTGGTACAGCTGTTATACAAAACAGTGTGGAGGTTCCCAAAGAAAATAAAAGTAAAACTATCATATGACCTGGCAATCCTTCTTCTGGGTGTTTACCCAAAGGAGATGAAATCACCACCTTGTAAAGATATCTACACTCCTATGTTCATTGCAGCATTAGTCACAATAGCCAATAGGTGAAAACAACCTAGATGCTACACACACACACACACACACACACACACACACACAGACATATTACTCAGCCTTAAAAAAGGAAATCTTGCGGCTGGGTCCGGTGGCTTACGCCTGTAATCTCAGCACTTTGAGAGGCCGAGGCAGGCGGATCACGAGGTCAGGAGATCGAGATTGAGACCATCTTGGCTAACAGGGTGAAACCCCGTCTCTACTAAAAATAAAAAAAATTAGCTGGGCGTGGTTGCGGGCCCCTGTAGTCCCAGCTACTCGGGAGGCTGAGGCAGGAGAATGGCGTGAACCCGGGAGGCGGGGCTTGCAGTGAGCCGAGATTGTGCCACTGCACTCCAGCCTGGGCGACAGAGCGAGACTCCGTCTCAAGAAAAAAAAAAAAAAAGGAAATCTTGCCATTTGCCACAAAATGGATGAAACTGAAAGGCATTATGCTAAGCGAAATAAGCCAGAAACACAAAAGTTTTGCTTGATCTCATTTATATGGGGAATATTTTGCTTGATCTCACATATATATATACACACACATATATATAAAGGGCTCAAATACACAGAGAATGAAACAGTGGTTACGATCGGCAGGAGGTAGAGGGTGAGGAAATGGGGAGATGTGGTTCAAAGGATACAAAATAGCAAATAAGTAGGATGAACAAGTTCAGAGACCTGATGTACAACGTGAGGACTAAAGTTAATAAAGTTGTCCTGTATTAAACATTTTTGTGAAATAAATAGATTTTAGCTGCTCTTATCACAAAAATTATAATTATGTGAGATGACAGATATGTTAGTCTGCTTCACTACAGCAGCCATTTCACTATCTTTATGTATCGCATAACATCAAGTTGTAAACTTCGATTATACACAATAAAATTTATTTTAAAAATTAACAAATAAATAAAAACACTGGATATTAATGCTTAAAAAAAGAAGTATTCTGATGAGATTTTGCCATAATATTCCCTGCAAGTAAGTACATGGCTGGATATAGACTGAACCTCTGCATAAGCTAATTGATGGAAGTTCATAATCAACAATAGATTGCAAAGTCCACATCTTGTCTAGAGATGGGGTGACTTGCCTGAGGTACCGAGGGAGACAGTGAGGAATGGAGTGAGAATAAGGCACCACATCATCCAGAACTCAGGAGAGCCTCAGCAAGTCTGATAACCCCTTGACCCCTTCTCTGCTGCTTCCTCAGAGTCCTCCCTCATCAACAATCCCCTCCCTCCCTCTCCTGGATCTTCAACTTCTCTATCAGTGCTTTCTCCTCAGCAAATAAATATGCTCAAGGTTCTACTATCAAAAAGTATGCCCTCATCCTTCCCAGGAAACTCCCCGTCCTTCCACACTTTACTGACAAAATTTTTACATGTCAGTATCCACAGGATCCACATCATCTCGCGATCACTACACAACTCCTGCCACTCAATGTTTCCCACAACCATTTTGATAATGCAGTATCTCTGGAGTAAGACACATGTTTGGAATGGCAGATCTGTGTTTCACTAGCTAGGTTAATTTAGACAAGTCACTTAACCTCTTTCATTGTTTCTCTTTTGCAAATGGGAGGATGACAATATTCTCTAATACAGTTGCCATGAACATCAGCTCATTTAGCAATATCCATGGACAGCATTCATGAAGTGGTAATCATCATTATCATCATCACCATCATTATCATCATTATCATCATCATCATCACCATCATTATCATTATCATCATCACCATTATCACTATCATCATCAACATCATTATCATCATAGTTAACACTATTCCTCTATTCCTGGGGAGGATATCCAAAATCAGTGTCAACCCAAGGAATAGATGCTGGGACAAGCACATGGTTATGCCAGAGATAACTAGAAATTATCGTATCAAAACTCAGAAGAAAAATGTGGGACTCTGAACCCAAGAAGTGGGTAGAAAATAAGAGGCAACCAGAGTTCAGAACATGATCAGAAGGTGAACTAGTTTCTGAACCTAGATGTCACAGGTTTGGCCCCTGGTCAAATCCTGTCAATTCTCAAGAAGGTCCAACCTGAACTTGTAAAGCCACCAGTCTACAGAAAAGTGCCCACTGGCAAAAAGGTCAACCATATCCTAGGTAAGATGAAAATTCCTTTCTGTTCTGTGCCAGCTTTTCTGCTGATGGGCAGAAGGGCCCACCCTAGTTGTTAAAAGGTTTCTCTTGTCCTGAGAGGGCTTCTGCCATATTCATGTATGGTGAAAGTAATTAAATAGGGCATGGTTGTGGGCAGTGCCTAGGGGTGGAAAGAAGTGATGCCTCCTTTGGAAAACATTTGAAGTATTTAAAAACTACTTTAGAAGATTTGGAGAGTGTGCATGAGTGTGTATGGTCATAGACTGCATAAAAGTGAGTGTGGGCTGCAGATTTCCATCTCTTCTAGGTGTGTGGGGCTCCTGCAGCAGGGAGGTCTCCCTGAAATGAAGTATAGGACACAAATCAGGCAATCTAAGACAAGCTATATCCCAAGGTTACCTGTTTGTACTCTGGTTTGAGAGAAGTTGATTTCCTCTGAAATTTCCAGAGCATCCCATGTTCCTCCAATAATCCAACTCTTCCCACTTCTCTAAGTTGCCATGTGAAGAGTTGGAAGAAGAACAGAAATGCAAAAACACTGGAGTGTTTTTACAATGGAAGACAAAAAAGGGAAAGAGATTGGAGAGAACCTACCCTGGCCTGGGACTTTCTCCATCCCTTTCAAAGTATGTTTCATAAAAATCAATGTTTACAAATGAAAACCTGTTTCCTTGTTCATTCTTTATTAGTTTACAAGCGACCTCAACTCCCATATAGGTTAAATTTGTATTTTTCCAGAATCTTTTTGTTCTGTACACTCATGTCCAAACAGCTCACACGTCTCCTACAAGTAAATACACATAAATATGCCCTATACTTGCAGTAGGATTCACTTGATTATGTTATACTTAGTTTTCCTGGAAATTTTATCAGACAGAAAATGTCCATTAGGTTTGTAAGAAAGTAATTGTGGTTTTTGCCATTAAAAGTGTGGCAAACACCCCAATTACTTTTGTACCAACCGAATATACAACCTAAGAATTTTTTAAATAATAACATTGTTATTGTAGAACATTTAGAAAGTATAAAAGAAAATAAAGAATTTGATAAACCCTGTCTGTAGTCCCACCACTCAGATAATATAATGTTTTAATACACATTCTTCTATGACTTTTTCTATGTGTATATGCAAATTCACATAGAAATATATGGAAATGTATTTATGCAGTTAAGCTCTTTTTTGTACCTATATTTTTATAACCTAATTTTTCCAGATAATATTATATATTTTTAAAAATATTCAAGCCATTAAGTTCTCTATAAAATTACTTAAATGGTATGAACTAATTATTTGGAGCATAGAAAGCAGCCTGGTGGAAAGACCCCTTGCCTGGGGATAAAGAGTCCACTGTGCGCTGAATATGTAGTGTGACCTTGGGCAACTCATTCTACTCCTGAGTCTCAGTTTCCTGTGCCTCGATGAGAATCAGAAATAAAATAATTTCTATCAACTCACCACCATCACCTTCACTGAAGAAACCCACAACTTGAAGCCCAGCCCTCCCTGGGGCCTTGAAGGGGCCTCCTAACTCAGGCTGAGCTACATCTCTTCCCAACCACTGCTAAGCACTTTCCTGCTTTTCTCTCTCTAAACTGCGATCCCAGCTATCAAACGTGGCTATCAAACTATACAGTTTAGATTTGGGTGTGCTCACCTTACCCAGAACTTCATTTTATCTTTCCTGTTTTCATTGTAAAACCAAATCTAATCATATCACTCTCCTGCTGTTGCCTCCAATGGCCCATGATGGCTCTTACAAAGAGGTTTCCTGAGCTGCCCCACCTACCCTCTGGCCTAGTTCCTCACCCTGCCTCCCTCTGCCTTCCTGCCCTCAGGCACCCTTTGCTTCCTCAAAAGCATCAAGTCCTGTGTCCCCTAGGCCTTGGCATCCATGGTTCCATTACAGTCACATTAACATTCTCCCACCACTACCATGCCCACCCTCCAAAAGCAGTTCATCCTTATTCAGCCTTCAGGGAAAGTTAATCATATGCCTCCTCCCTCCTTTGAAGTAAATTAGATCATCATTTCCAGTGCTCTTCCTCCCATAACATTTAGCACATGTGGTTATTTGATAAGCATTTGTTTCTCCCTTAGACTGTAAGCTCCATGCAAGAGAAGTGTTCAGCTCATCCCTGAAGCTTTACTGCTCAGCTCAATTCTGTGCACATAGCAGGCACTCAATAGGTATTTGTTTTAAAAATGAGTGCATTTTCTCTTTGTAATTTCCTCCTCTACCTATTTTAAATTGCAGTTTTCCTTGTGTGATCTCTGTGCAGGTAAGCTTCCTCATGCCCTTTCTGGATCCAGGATGAGAAAAGCAAATAAGTAAAAATGAATAGAGGATGGGTTATGTTATTCTTTCTCTCTCTTAAAGAAAACATAATACAATAAGAATCATCCACAACCCCACACCCTTAAAACTGTACAAAGCAGCTTCTGAGAAAGGGGTGAGAAGTCTGGGGTACCAACCTTTCCACTGGAGCTGTTCTTTCCCTACAAATTGCCCAAGGAACTCAAAATGCCCCAGACCCAAATACCTAACTGCAGTCAAAGGGTGAGAATATTTCGGAGCAAATAAAAACACTTGGAAAACCCTTTAAGAGTCATTCCAGTTACATTAGGACCTGTTAAAACCATTGCCGGTTAGAAGTAAGAAGGTTACAATGCAGGTCAGTCAACACTACACATTTGCAAATAGGCTCAACAAATGTGCCAAGGAGTTACTTCTCTCTGCTCAGGCAGGTTTTATTTGATTACTTATAATAAATGGCATACACTGGTCGAAACTGTGTGATCTGGTTCTCTCTCTCTCATAAACATCATATGCTCACCAATTCCAAGTATGTTCTAAAATGGCAATGTAGTTGTTTTCAAAGTAGATTTTTTTGTAAGCATAGTACCTTGTCTCACTGCAGATTTCTCAATGAACTTATTAATTCTTAACTTATGGAGGAAATAAACTCTTTGTTTTGATATTGAGTGAATTTTTGTAAAAAGACACTAGAGATACTCTAGAGTGGCAAAAAATAGTTTACTTTTTTATTTTCTCTTGAAATATCAGATTTAAGTGGAGAGAGAAATCTGAAGAAGGTGCCACTAAAAAATTGGCATGAAATGTCCACTCTAAGTGACCAAATGTGCTGCTATGTGAAGGAATGAAAGCGTTCATTGCAGAAGCCATCAATCTCTTGCCTGTAAATTGTAAATTCCGCATGAGTCAATAATGACCTGGGCCACTTGAACTCCAGTGGAGAAAGGAGGCTACCATAGATCAAATACTCCTCCAGGAGGAGCAAGGAGGACCCTTGAAATCTCCAGAGCTGTGTTCCTGCAGTGTGTCTAATGCCCTGGAAGAAGAATATACCCTTGGACAATTCTAAAGGATTTGCTATAATAATTACACCAAATGACAGTTTTGCCTGAGATCTTTCACATAAAAAGTAAGCATTTAGAAAGATAGTTGATGATTCCCGTGGAGGTACTAGAAAGCAGTAAACACCATTCAAACCATAAGAGAAACTCACAAAGGTGTTGCCTGATCATAGATGAATTATGGGTACTTATTCACACTCCAAAGGCCACTTGAACTTACAAGTAGTTCTTTAAACAGCAACTTTCCAAATAATCTAGTTATTTACTTATAGAGACACTTAGGGGATTAATAGAGAATGAAAATTGTGATAGAATAAGCCTAAAAGAAACTGATAGACACTATAGCATATTGAAAGGCCATCAACAATTAAGATATAGCTCCAAAGAAATTATAATGCATATCATAGGAAATAGGACACTACCTTGAAATTATTAGGTTTATCCATAGTTCTTCAGAACCAATTATGCAATATGAGAAACTTTTTAAAATAACAGACTCTTCCAGTCCAACATGGTTTTATTTCCTATATATGATGATAAGATCTCAATACTTCTTATCATAAGTGAGCTTTTTATATTATTTATCCTGTGACTTTATTCAGAAGCAAGGAGATACAGTAGTTTTCTTTTTAAAAGGCAAATTCTTAAAAGAGCCCAAGTTGTGTTCAATTTCGTATTCTCAGTGCCTGACACCTCAAAGGTACTTTATAAATATTTGAAGAAGGAAGGAAAGAGAGAAGGAAGGGAGGGAGGAAGAGAAATAAGAAGGAAGACCTATTTTGATGGGATGTGCTATTTGGCTTGTGGTTGTGATCCTCCTCTTTAGACTTCCTAAATATGTCAGCCTCTTTTGCTCCCTTGTCCATAGTTCCTTGATTCAACTTTTGAAATCTTTTGAAGATTTCTCAGGAATTCAGTTTCTTCAATAATTGACGTAGTTCAATAATCCTTCTACATAGAATAAAATAATAAATGTTTAAACTCTTCAATCTAACTGTCCAGATCCTCAATAAAGTTCCTCCTTTTACCCTCACCCCAGCCCATTTATTTTATTTTAAAAATTATCTGGGTGACTGCAATGGGCCCAAACTTGCCCTAGGTTGGTCCTGGAAGTTCAAAGACTAATACAAAAACCTCAGCTCTGGGAGTCTTCACTCCTTCAGCTCCCTCACTCCTTAAGTGCCTCTTATTCCCCAAATGTCCATCTCTGGTCAGTCAAGCCATCTTGCTTATAAAGCAGACACTGTTTGGGTAAACATTGCTATCTCTTTTGCATAGAATGCTATTTAATAAATTTAGAATTCTCTATCATCTTTGAAGTTTCTAATGAGCAGAGAGCTTCCCAGACAGCTTCACTGATCAACTAGACCTGGCTTCAACTCTTCTGCATGCTCCTTCAGCAGTTCTCAGGAAACCATAGTAAACATTTTATCTCCTCAATTAGGCCAAACCCTGTGAAGGTGAGCTCTGTATACGGAACTCGGTTTCTTGCCTTGCCCACAAAGAGAATAGTGCTTAACACAATGAGGTAATCATTTCGTTTTATCAGTTCACTAGGTCCTTTGGCAGCCTCTTTTGATGCTAAACTTGACCATTATGAGGACCAACTTGGAGACCACCAAAGGCGAGAGAACTTCCTAAAGTGGTTTTGATGCATAATATCCTCATTGCATGTACTTCTCTATGCCACAGCTACTTCTGATCTTGAGATTTTCTTCAGAAAAAAACAATCCACTAGAATGCAAATGAAGGCAGGGGTTTATACTAGTTTTGTTCCATGCTGTATCTTCAGCATCTAGAACAGAGATGATACATACAACAATTTCATAAAAAACTGTTTAGTTAGCAAATTATTGCTTTAACTGTCTGTTAGATAAATAAATGTACATATGATTTTATAGATCCATATACATTTACATGTTTTTTAATGTTTCAAAAGCATATGACATGTGGAAGATTACACACAAAACTGCTAACATTCATTAACTCGGGAATGAATTACAGGAAAGAAGGTGTAAGGGTGCTATAACTTTTTTTCTTTTATACTGTATTAAAGCAAAAGAGAAGCTCAAATAAGCAGGAATTTAACAAATACTAAGTTCTTTCAGGGCCAGGACTCAACGTATTTCTGAAAGCCAAGAGAATTTACAATTCAACAAAAAAATATCAATAAGGAAAGAAAATCAAAGGTTTATGAAGTTTCATGGAAAACCTAATTTCATTGTGTGCTGAACTTTATTAGGTAATATTTTTATTTGTTCCCAAAAAGCAGCTCTTACCTTTCTTTTCTTTTTCATTAGTTACCAAAGTGAATTCTTTCTCTTCCTTTAATACAGATTTGCAGCTAAATGCATAGGGACATCTACAAGCTTGTAAACAATTTTCAGCAGTTCATTACCCACCTCTCCTGCCCTACAGAAAATATAAACACAATGGTACAACAAATCACATGAACATTCTTTTCTACGGCTCACGGTATAATGTTCTGAGAACAATGAGCAGACCAATAACCAAGAGATTCCTGCAAAGGCACAGTGCAGCTGCCAGCCACAAGCCAGGCCTCCATGCTTCAGCATGTACCATTTGCTCTTCACAAAAGAGTTAAAGAGATGACCTTACATTAGAAGACATTTTGGAGTTTTATTAGAAGAGCAAGGCTTGGTTTGGTGTGACAATATTGTTTTTTTTTTGGTTGTTGTTTTTCTTTAGACCGAGTCTTGCTCTGTCACCTAGGCTGGAGTACAGTGGCACGATCTCCGCTCACTGCAACCTCCATCTCCTGAGTTCAAGTGATTATTCTGCCTCAGCCTCCTGAGTAGGTGGGACTACAGGTGTGGGCCACCCCACCTGGCTAATTTTTCGTATTTTTGGTAGAGATGGAGTTTCACCATATTGGCCAGGCTGGTCTTGATCTCCTGACCTCGTGATCCGCTCACCTCGGCCTCCCAAAGTGCTGGGATTACAGGCATGAGCCACCGTGCCCGGTCTGGTGTGACAATATTTTTAATACTTTTTTCAGTCTTCTTTCGTGGCATTCCTAAATTTCCATCTGTAAACATCTTTTTTAAAAATAATACAAATATTCATTATGGTTATTATTGATAGTTTATTTTGAGACTGAGAAAAGAAATTTAAGACCATGATATTTCATCCTTCCTAGCAGTATTAAGATATATACTTTTGGAACTATAGATAAGTTTTAAGGGTTGAAGTGGAAAGCATTAAAATTCTGTGGAACTGTGTTTAAGACATACAAAGAATGCAATAGACTTTAGTAAAATGAGGCCATTGATATCTTGCAGAATAAATATAAATCAGAGCTTTAGGCTGGCCTCTTCATCTTTCCTCATCAAACTGAGTAGGTTCAGATGTCTGGGTGTGAGCTGGGATTTGGAAAACTCCAAAGAACAGGGTAGACTTTGCCCACAGAGGGCAGGAAAATCTATTTCCCCCAAACTCCCTCCAACTGCTTCCTTATATCTGAAATCCCAACCAAGATGCTTTCCTAAGACTATGTTACTCATTCAATCAGAAATACTCCTGAAAAAGGTGAGATTTTGTATTGATAATCAATAATTATCAATAATGAGAGCTTTTATGCGCTCTCATTCTTTTCCAAGCAAAAGGAAGAGAACACAAAAACAGTTGCACCTCTTGCCAGAACACAACCCCCTGAATGTTTGACATTGAGGTTTAGAGGCCCTAGTGTGAGTTAAGTCAAAGCACCAGGAGGCTCAGGGAGTGCTCGGAATAACTTCTGACGTTAAGACTGGCCACAAGCTGCAGCCTCTCCACAATCCCAAAAGGGAGCACAAGGCTTCCTCCTACTTGTAGGCATGGGCCCCTGTGTTGCAGTGGTGTCCTAACCAGACATCCTGCCTCTGCTCCTGACCCTCGAGCCCACCTCCACAGACTCTTAAAACCCCTGGTGACTCCTCACTGCACTCAGGATACATTCCAAATACCTGAGCAAGGCTTAAATGATCTTTCGAGATCTTTCCATCTCCCTCTCCATGGCAGGCAGAATAGCGCCCCACAGAGATGGCCACTTCTGAATCCTTGCAACTTCTGAATGTTGTGGCAAAAAAGGGTCTTTGCAGATGTGATAAAGTTAAGACTCTTGAGATAGGAAGATTATCCTGGATTATCTAGGTAGGTCCTAAAAAGAGGGAGGCATAGGGAGATTTGACCACACACAAAGGATGAGGAAATAGGTCATGGAAAAAGAGACTGGGATGATGTGGCCACAAGCCAATGGCTGCCAGCAGCCACCAGAAACTGAAAGAGGAACAGATTGTCCCCTAGAGTCCCTAGAGGGAATCAACCCTGCTGACACTTTGATTTCTACTTCTCACCTCTAAACTGTGAAAGAATAAATTTCTGTTATTTTCAACCATCCAGTTTGAGGTGGTCCTTAGATAAAACTAATGCACTCCCCTATGCCCTAGCCATTTTGGAACTAAACAGATGGTGCCACTTTAGCCTCCACCCCTTAGCATATGCTATTCACTCTGCCAAGAGACTCCTGTCCACCTAAAATTGGGAGGTGGAGGGACACCAGGGTGGAAAATTGAAAAAAACTTTAATTCTGTGCTTAGATTTGTAAAAGTAGGCATCACAGAGTACAGCTCTGATACATTTGCAGGATTAATAAAGAGCTCTTTCCCATCCCATTTGATCCTTACAACAACCCTATGATGTGGGGAGGGATAAGTAACAAGATCACCCTTTATGTATGACAAAAACTGAGGCTCAGAGAGTGGATCTCACGGTAGCTGGTTAATGAAGCTATTAGTCTCCTGACTGTCTCTAATGTGAATTCCTGCCTTCTTCAATGCTATAAAAATGGCATTGACATCTACTTTTCAACCCTAGTCCAAATCATCTAGCTACTACTGATTGTTCTTGAGTCTTTCCTAGAGCCAGAATAGCCGTTAAGTGCAAACAAGACTCAAATACCTTTCCAGGAGGATCAATCTGCAAATCAAGAAGTCAGACCAAGTCAGGAAGGTGGGCCACATCCCTCATGTCCACACTGTCTGGATTTAGAGGCCATGTGGAACCACCCAGAAATCTGCCCTGATTCAAAGAAATCCTCTTCTGTTTGCACATTAAAGAGCTGCAAAAATCCTTCCCAGCCTGGCTTCTGAAATAGACATCACTTGAGAAGGAGAATCTAGCACAAATCGTGGCCGGAGTTGGTTCCAATCTTGCAAAACAGCATCCAGAGTATTAGGATTGGAAAACAGCAAAAGCCACCAAAACCAGGAGCAATGTGGCTTTTAGCAATTTATTTAGAAAACTAAGATAAAACAAATAGTAGTTTGCTTTTGTAGCAAGAGTGATGGTTGTTTCTATAAATAACTCAGGTAACAGACAGGGCAGGCAGAGCAGAAGAAATCTAAACTGGGACTCATAAAATCAACAGCAAACATCAGCCCATCAGCAGTGAAATGATCTCCTAAGCCCAGTCTCCCTAGATGCTGCCTCTCTGGGGCAAAGGCGGTTTTCTCAAATTATACACGAGCAAAGTTAGAAAAGTCAAACACCTCTAATGCCTCAATAATCTGGAAACTATTACATTTCTATCAGTGAGCATACCTTTCAGCAACTGCTAGGGATCAGTAAGATGGGATAGCTTACTTAACAGAAGTGGCTACATAATTTGCAGTGCCCAGTGCAAAATGAAGCTGCAGGGCCCCTGGTTCAAAAATTCTTAAAAAGCTCAAGAGGGTGACAACAGAGCATTCAACCACACACAGGCCCCTCTGTGCACAAGCCAAGCGACTGCACAGGTTTCTTGCCCATGAAGCTGACCCTGCAATGAATGATAGCTCTCTCTCCCAACAGGTGATAAATTCTAATTTACTAGGTTCAAGCAAGAGGAGGTGAAGGAGGGGAGAGTCAAATTATGACTCCATGACGTGAAAGGGAAAGATGAGCTGTGCCAATTAGATCACTGTAAATCAGCAATCCCAGGGACCAGTTTGGTGGAAGACCATTTCTTCCATGGACCTGGGGGGCAGGGGTGGTTTGGGGATGATTTAAGCACATTACATTTATTGTGTACTTTATTTCTATTATTATTACATTGTAACATATAATGAAATAATTATACAACTCACCATAATGTAGAATCAGTGGGAGCCCTGAGCTTGTTTTCTTTCAACTAGATGGTCCCATCTGGGGATGACGGGAGACAGTGACAGATCATCAGGCATTAGATTCTCATAAGAAGTGCACAACCTAGATCCCTCACACACACAGTTCACAATGGGGTTTGTGCTCCTATGAGAATCTAATGCTGCCGCTGATCTGACAGGAGGCGGAGCTCAGGTGGTAATGTGAGTGATGAAGAGTTGCTATAAATACAGATGAAGCTTCACTTGCTTGTCCACTGCTTACTCCTGCTGTGAGGCCTGGTTGCTAACAGGCTACTGACGAGTACTGATCCATGATCCAGGGGTTGGGGACCCCTATTTAAATAATAGAATTTTCTTGGTGATATATGTATTATGTAACAGACTGACTGTGGGCCAGGCACTTCGCCTACAAATTTGCATCACCTAATTTATTTCTCACCAACATCCACCTATAAGTAATATTGCTCTTCTCATTTTATAGTTTCATAAGGAAACAGAGGTTTATAAAGGTTAATTTTTCTAAGGTCTAATGTCTGAATGCTTTTCTTCTAATTATTACTTAATACTGTTTCCTTATATTCAAAAAGCATGCAGAAAAGTACTGTTGCCTAATTTAATAGCAAAATCTTACAGACCCCCAATTCCTGTAATACACATGATGACACCCACCAGATTTGTGCTCACATTACTCAGTCCTCAAGTTAGGTGTAGGCCTCTTCACAGGACTGTAGGCTTATAGGAATCTCTCTGCAGGGTTTTGTGATATTTCTCACAGGGACTTCCTGGTTAAGGCCTGCACCCCCAAGAAGCTTGGAAGTAAGTGGGAAGATCAATATGCACAGGTTGAACTGTAACTCATCCAGGAATGTAAAGTATGGGATTATAAAGAGGTACATAGGGTTTATAAAGAGTAATGCTATTGGGGAATCTCTGAAGAATTCAGAGAAGAGGTGATAGTTGAGCTGGGCATGAAATGACATCAGGAGTGTTTAATGTTTATTTTTCTGTATGTTGTCTTTTTTGTGACAACCAATTAAAATTTTTGAAAAGTTGAAAGCTCTTTAACTATAAAAGAATCTGTAAGGCCACCATCCTCTAAGTAATCACTGTTAACAACGTGTTATATTTCTCTCTATGATATTTCATGTGTGTATATTGATTGGAAGATGGAATTGTATAGCAAATATAGTTTTGAATCCTGCCCTTTCACTTAACAATATATTTGGGTCATTCAAATCATACTTTTTAAATAATTTCAAAATATTCCAATGTATGGAGGTGCTGTAATTTATTTGACATGTCCCTTGTTGCTTACCATTTAAGTCATTTCTTGGTGTGTGTACCTGGCTTCTTAACTTTCCTTTTTTCTTTTCAGTTGACTCATAATAATTGTACTTATTTATAAAATACAGAGTGATATTTTGATACAGTGTGTAATTATCAAATCAGGGTAATTAGCATATCCACCATTTCAAACATTAATCATTTCTTTGCTTGGTGAGCATTTAAAATCCTCTTTTAGCTTTCTGATAATATACAATAAATTATAGTTAATATTTAAGTTATTTTGAGTTTTAGTGCTTCTGTTAACAATGTTGTAAGGAACATCTCCACTCTTTTTTTTTTTTTTTTTTTTTGACAGGGTCTCACTCTGTCACCCAGGCTGGAGTGCAGTGGCACAATTGCAGCTGACTGCAGCCTTGACCTCCTGGGCTCAAGTGATCCTCCCATCTCAGCCTCCTGCATAGCTGGGACCCATCTCAGCCTCCTGAGTAGCTAGGACTACAGTCGTACACCACCACACCTGGCTTTTTTTTTTTTTAAGATGGGATCTTGCTATGTTGCTCAGGCTGACCTTGAACTCTTGGTCTCGAGTGATCCTCCCGTCTCAGCCTCCCAAAGTGCTGGGATTACAGGTGTGAGCTACCATGCCCAGCTACCTCCATTCTTAATAGCTGATCTGCACTATGGATTACATCCTTCTAAGATTATTTAAGGAACAATCATTGAGACAAAAAGCACTCTTTATCATATATTTAAAATTGCCTATTTTACAAGCATATTAAAATTGCCTTCTTAAAAGCCTGTACAAATGTGTACTAAACTTATTTACACCCCAGCCACATCAGCCTTCAGTTCTTTAACATTCCCACTGTTTTCTACCCCAGGACGTTGGTGCATACTATTTTAATAACACTGCCTGGAACATTCACATATCCTAGGATCTATCTCAGAAGTGTCTGTAACTGTTCTTTGATTTGACCTTTAGTTCTTGAGACGGTACCTTGCAGTTCCAGTGTTTATAGCACCACAATACATTTTGGTATCTGGTAGGGTAAGTTCTATTCCACCTTCACCCTAATAATTTACTTTTCAAATTTTTTACAGTATTTAAATTTTTTATTTTTTTATTTAGGTTTTGTCAAGCCAACCAGATAGTCCCCTATATATTTTGCTTGGAATTATGTGAAAATTGTTAATTTGGGCAAAAGTAACATCATATTATTTTACAGTACTCCCATGCAAGAATGCAATATACATTTCCATTTAGTCAAATATTCTTTCATATTGCTCAATAAAATTTTGTGGTTTTCTTCATATAGGTGTCACACATTCTTTGGTAATTCATAGTTGTAGTTGCTACTATATATTCTACAATGTTTATTGCTGCTATATAGAAATGTCATTGGTTCTTGTATATTTATCCTGCAGCCATTGTACTTTTGATGAACTTGCTTATTAATTCAAAACATTATTTAGCGGTGCTCCTGGATTGCCAAGGTATGTCTAATCATGCTGTCATCACAGAACCATAATTTTACTTCCCTTTTCTATAGTTATTCTTATTTTCATGGTTTATTGTATTTACTGGAACTTTCAGACAATACTAAATAACAATGGTGACAGTGAGAATTCATTTCTTTTCTCTGCTTTAAATGGAAATACCTTCACAATGAAATGTGATGTTGACCTTAGTTTCTATTTTCTTTATCAGGTTGAGAACGTATCCTCCTGTTAGTGTTCCAAGAGGTTTTTTATCAGGAATAGATATTCAATTTTATTGAATATCCACCGAGATAAACATTTTTTAAATTAGTAGGCTTATTGACTTGATGTATTAATGCATTGTTAAAAATATTAAACTATCATAACCCTGGAATGAGTGTGGATGAGTAGTCATTCTAAGGTACTTTTGAATATAGTTTCCTGGTCTTGTGCTTACATTTTTCCAACCCAATATATGTGATTGGGTTATTGCCCTCTGTATGTGGGCTGTCAGACTTAGGTTCACAGAAAGTAAATGCCACAATGGCTGAGATTTTTGCCTAATTTGTCCAGTGCTGGACCCTCTGCCTAGGTCAGTGCCTGATATATAGTAAGTACTTGATAAATATTTGAGTTAATAGACTATATCTGATATTTCTGAAGTTTTTGAGTCAATGCTCATAACTGCTTTCACATAAATTGTCTATTTCATCCAGATTTTCAGATATCTTGGCATATATTTTTGTTCATATATTTATCAGAAGCTCATGTCTTGTTAGTTTAAGAGCTGCTTCCTGGATTGAATTTTTCCTTCTATTTGTTTTTAGTTCTCTAAGTTACTGAATTTTACTCGTCTTCATTTTTATTTCAGTCTATACATTTTCTTTTATTGTTCTCTTCATAACTTTTTAAGGTTATTGCCTATTTCATTTATTTTTATTCATTCTTCTTTTATGAAGAAATATTACAAAATTATGAACTTGCCTTTGACTGTATCTTGCCCACATCTCATAAGTTGGTAGTTTAATGCACTTGCGAAGCTTTTAAAAAATACAGGACTCATTTGGGACCTATCAAATCAGAATCTCCGGAACAGAGACTAGCCATCTGTACTTTCTGAGAGCTCCTTGGGTGATTCTGATATATAGCCAGAGTTGGGGTACGTGGGTCTAAGCCTGCCTGGAGCTTGCACACAGATTGGAGTGGGGTATTGGAGAATGACTAGTGCCTTCCAAAGGTGGAAGATGGCTTCAAGCACCACATGAAAGAATTTGGACTTTGAGCTATAGATACAAGTAGTCATCAAAAGTTGGCAGCAGGATTAAAGTTTAGACCACACTTTCAAGACAGTAACTGAGCTCCAATGTAAAGACAGAATGAAGAAGGGAAGAGAAAGACTGTCACTGGCATGATCTCTCATCACCATTATCATTATCATGATCTGTGGATCTTACAGCAATGGTTCTGAAAGTGTGGCTCCAGAAGAGCAGCACCAGCATCCCCTAAGAAGGTTGCTGGTCCCACTCCAGACCTACTGAATCAGGGACCCCTGAGGGCAGGGCACAACTAGTCCTGCTTTTAAAAGCCTACCAGGTGATTCTCATATATGCTAAAAACCACTGCCTTATAGTTATTCATCATTCGGCAATAAAGTAAGTGATAGTTTCTGTCCACTGTAACATAAGAAAAATAATATCAGAAAAAATCTGGCTGGGCTTGGTGGCTCATGCCTGTAATACCAGCATTTTGGACGACAAAGGCAGGAGGATTGCTGGAGCCCAGGAGTTTGAAACCAGCCTGAGAGCAATATAGTGAAACTCTATCTCTACAAAAAATAAAAAATTAGCCGGTCATGGTGGTACACGCCTGTAGTTCCAGCTACTCAGGAGGCTGAGGTGGGAGGATCCCTTGAGCCCAAGAGGTCAAGGCTGTAGTGAGCCATGATCATGCCACTGTACTCCAGCCTGAGCAATGGGGCGAGACGGTCTAAAAAAACAGAAAGAAAAAAATTTATGCATTTATTTCTAAGGTATTTATTGAGTTTCTACTATGTTCCAGCCCCTCAGGGCTGCCATGTAGAGCTTACACAGGCTGTACATTGTGGTCTATGTGAATATCACATAGTACAGTGAATTGTACAGTGCACAGTCTACCAAGCCATAGGCTGTGGCTGTGCCCCTGGGTAGGTGTTAGGTTGACACTAAGGAGAACAAGACAATGTTATTGTATTCATGGAGTTTACATTCTACTGGGAGCAACACACATTAAACTGGTAAACAAATGCAGAAGATAATTATAGATTGTGAGAATGCTTTAAAGAAACTAAACAGGCAACATCGTAGAGAAAAACATTTCTTATCCAAATTCTTGAGTACATTCACCAACGAACCCATAATCATTTTGAAACCTAGTAAAGAAGGAGACCCAACTTTTGAAACACATCTCTTCTCTTGACTACTCATTGCAGATAAGACACTGACACAGCCCTGCTCTCTTTTACACAGCACTTTAGAAATCACAGCTATTGATGTTGGTGCTTTTGACTCACACCACAACACACAGGCTACATACATGCAGCAGCTGCCGCTCTCTGACAAGGGGACATTCTCGTATTAGTCACATGCGTGCCTGTGGCAGATGAAGCCCCAGCAACAGCTGACTACAACACTCAGAGACATCACAAGGAATGACACGGCCAGGCTCTCCTGGCCCAGGTAGTTTGCAATATTATCTGATTGCATGCAAATGACAGAAAACACTTTCAGAATTTATATTTGATAGGCAGGTCCTTGCTTGTAGGCAGTACTTACTATCTGACATAGTAGAATGTGATGTTTTATGAGCGGGATTGACTTGTTTCATTGTCCACAAGAATCTACAGGACTTTTGTCAAAGAGGTAATCTCATACACCATCAAGGAGATGTTCTTAATAGAGACAGATGTTAGTTCGACATCATATCTTAACTTTAAACTAGTCTCCATTTCCATGTCACTAATGAGGGGGAAAAAAGGCAGTCCTGAAAATGTGTTCCAGAGTGAAGTACGGTAAGTGAAGAAAAAAAAATCCATCTTAAGTAGGCGGAGCAAAATAATTCTCATGTTCCTTTCCCCTTCCCCTTCCTCGCCCCACACCTCTTCTCCATAAACACAGAGTCCAAAGGCTTCAGGCTACTTTTACTCTGAACTCTATTTTTGTCAGATCAATGACAAGCCACGTTAACAGCAGTGTTTAATTCTATCAATATGTGACCAATTGTGTTAGATTGTTCGGCCATTGATTTCACTTAGAGCTACAGTTGAGTCTGAAAGGAGCTGCTCTTCCTTGCCATACCTCACACGGTGACAAATGCTGAGTGCTGACTTTGTGCTGGGCTGGTACACACTGGTTCCACTTTAGGAACACTCGCTCACATGCCAAAGCTCAACCACAAATGATGCAAACATTATTTCTGAAATTGTAGGGTCATCATTTGCCTCTCTGATTAGCCTTGAACGAGAGTATGGCCTGAAATGAATGGATGAAGAGATAAAAAATTAGAAGGTATGAGAACTAAGCAACTGAAAAAAAATTCAGTGTTCTGACTGGCCACAACAAATGGAATTATGAGCAAATTTGAATTCAGATGGTTAAACTGTGATGCTCTTCTATTGCTGTAGTCTTACAGTTTTCCAAAATGACCAGACAAATTACATTTGATCTGGAACTATGGTCATTATCCGTTACTTTCACTCATTCCCTCTGTCTGGCACACACTTCCTTTGCTTCCAAAACAGATGCCTCTCATATGGCCTAGTATTTGATAGCATAACAGGGTGACTATAGTCAATAATAATTTAATTGTACATTTTAAAATAACTAAAAAGTATAATTGGATTGTTTGTAACACAAAGGATAAGTGCTTGAGGGGATGGATACCCCATCTTCCATGATGTGATTATTACGCATTGTGTGCCTGCATCAAAACATCTTATGCACCCCATAAAGATACACACCTACTATGTACCCACAACATTTAAAAATTTAAAAACATAAAAAAAAAATATAAAACAAAATAGATGCCTCTCATCGGAAGGGAAGCAAATCACTCTCTAGCCAGTCAAAGGAGCCTCTCCACTGTGCAGGAGAAAGATCAGAAGATAAAATAAAGGTTGTAATTTCCTGAATACCAACTCACAACCTCCTGACTTAGTGAATTTCTCAACATGGGCTATGGCACTTGAAATACCCATTTCACAGCCAGGATATAGAAAATGGGTCTAGCTCTTTAAGAAGGAGGAGATTCCAGCCACTCAGGATGGCCGTAGATTTAGGGTCTTTTCTCCTCCGACTCGACCGAATCAAGGGCTCTTCTTAAAGGGTGGCCGCCTCGGTCAGTTCAGGCAGTCAAAAAGAACACTCCCTTGATGGCAGCGAGGACCAGCAGCAGCGTGCCACCGCCAAAGTCCTCGGCCCTTGTGAGCCGTTACAGCACTCAGCTTATCAATTTACTTGCAAATGGCTCCCTGAAGTATTAACCCAGGTTAATTATTCGTCAAATATGATTATGCAATGGTAATGTAAAAAATCGGAAATGCGGGATGGAATTTTTCACTCCAGCAGTTTGGCAATTGTGGCAGCTGGTGGAGGAGCTGGAGTAATTACCAGGCCATTCCAGCTGGTGGATCACCACTCTGGTTCAGGAGGGGAAGGGGAAAAAAGCAATAAAGGACCGGAGGAGCGGGAATCTGAGCCGTGCCAATCGACGTGGGGAAAATTTCACAGCTGCTGGTGGTGATAAATGAGAAACGGTGGCCCTACTTCTAATCAATACATGTAAATGCTACTCATTACAGCCTTTATACACACTTCTCAATTAGCCTTTCCTCCCACTGGTAACAAGGAATGTCATGCTTTCTGGACTGTGAAAGTGGTTCAGCGCTGGGTTCACCTGCATCCGTGAGACGCAGCAACTAGGCTCCCGGCGCCCGTAGCAGCAGGTGGGAACGCCGAAAGGCCGGATTCCTCCTCCAGCCAAGGCGGCCAAATCCCAAGTGTACCCTTTTCATTAAACAGTGACTTTTCAGATACCACTTGTTCATTTGGGGTGACTGACAATTCCACCCAGACTCTACTTAGCATCCAAAAATGCAGGCACATTTGAGGACATGGCCCAGAAGAGATGTTTTTTAAACAAATTATTTTCCTCCTGTTTGAAAAAAAAAATCTGATTTTTAAAAGTGTTCTTCTGAGTAATAAACTCTATTATGATTCAGTGAGTTTTCCACATATATTTGCAGAACTTCTTTTTCAAGAAAAACACAATCTATGAAGGAATCCCTTATTTGCTGTATGTAGTTTCATTTTCCTTTTGTGTAGGGAGATAAAAGTCCAAGCCACAGCACACTTAGCTCAGCAGGTTGCTTGTGCTTACGTAGCTTCTCTCAAGTGAATTTTTTGCAGCTATGATGCTGTTCCATGTACTGTCAACTAAGTCATTTGGATGGCCCATGTGCGTCTAAATCAGGCATCCTGTATTTAAAGAGTTGAAATCCTTAAGGAAAAATGCAAGTCTCTAATTCTGTAACTGCAGTGTTCTCCTGCCTTCCGGGTGGTGAGTAATTATATGAATTTCATTACCTTCATTCATTTTGTTTCATCTGATATTAAATATAATTTTTCCTATAGTTAATAAATATCCTATAGAAAGGAAAAGACATTAAAACACACACACACACACACACACACACACACACACCTACCCCTTTCTTTACTTTAAAAAAAATGGTATTTTACTTAAGTGCATGCTGTGAAATTTTTTTTTTTTTTTTTTTTTTTTGAGATGGAGTCTCGCTCTGTCGCCCAGGCTAGAGTGCAGTGGCACGATTTTGGCTCGCTGCAAGCTCCACCTCCCGGGTTCATGCCATTCTCCTGCCTCAGCCTCCCAAGTGGCTGGGACTACAGGCACCTGCCACCACGCCCGGCTAATTTTTTTGTATTTTTTAGTAGAGTCGGGATTTCACACCGTGTTAGCCAGGATGGTTTCAATCTCCTGACCTCTTGGTCTGCCCGCCTCGGCCTCCCAAAGTGCTGGGATCCCAGGCGTGAGCCACAGCGCCCGGCCGAAAAAAATTTTTTAAATAATTATAATAATGCCCTTTGAAGTTTGAACTGTTGCCTAGTGAAAGATAAATCCTTCAAATTGTGTTAAAAAATGATGTGTATGGAGCCATCAGTCTATCTATCTATCTATCTATCTATCTATCTATCTATCTATCTATATATCTATTGTCTCTCAGCCACCTGGACACATGAAAAAAAATTGTTACCAGTTTGAGTATAATATCACAATTAACAAACAGGCATTGGGGTTAAATGCCAAAGAATGCCCATCATCTCAAAATTAAATTGTAAAAGTCCATTGTCAGTTAAGCTGAGGGCAAAGCTTTGGGAGGGTGTGAGAAGAGAGGAATCAGTTATACTTCTTAAGGTTTTCCTACATAACAATGTATATTTAAATCAGTTTAGGTCAAATTTCCTTTATCTGATATTCATAGAGCAACTACTATATGCTAAGCACCTTTCTAGGCAATAAGAATGCAATAGTGAACAAGATAGGCAGAATTTCTATTCTTATGAAGCTTGGGACTTGAACTCACATCTTTGGAGTTGCTAACCTTGAGATTCCCAAGGAGAAAGCCATTCTCCTAAGAAAGCAGAGAAATGATGGCCAGACACAACTCAAAAGACAATTTTTCTGAACACACTAAGAAATGACCAATTACTAAGATAAAGAATCTCCCTTTTGAATCCTTTGCCAGCACCGTTTACTCAGTCTGAACTCCTGAGGGGCATTCATGTCATTTCAGGTATGTTTATTTTCACCATGATATTCCAAAAGCAATATCCACTCTTATCCTGATCCTGAATTTCATCCTAACTGCATTAAGAGAGTCTTTTACTAAATAAGGATGCTAGCAAGAGATTTGTTCTTAGAGTCTAATATACTCCCACTGAATTTCAGTTGAATTCCTTTTCAGAGGTAAATGTACTTTCTTCACTCTACAGAAAACTTAAATTGGAGACCAGGAATAACTTGTGATTCTAATAGGAGATAAGAAATGGTTTCTATCTGGCTGCCAGACTGCCTGAGAACACATGGCGATCATAGATCCAAGCAACTGGATATCTTTGGTTTTCTTTCTTGTTTCCTAGCAATAAACACATTGAATAAGAATAAAATACCACCAATTTCATCCTGTGCACATTCGTCACTGATAATAATCAGACTTTTCTGTAAAGACTGACAGTAGACTAGAATTCTGCATTTACACACCAAAAAGTCCAAACATCCTTATGCAGGAATATTTCCCACAGATAATCATAAAATTAAGATATGCATCTATGGTAACCCATTTATATGTAATAATCCACATGTGCCAAATTTTGCTAATGCTCAGGCTAGCTGCCTAGCTCTGCACCACCCTAACATGCAATTTATGTCTAGGATTCAGCTCCTGTACATTTGGGAGGCAGATTTCACCATTAATTTTTTGGTTAATAATAGCATTGTTTTAGCAGAGTTCAGAAATGTGACTGAATTGAATATTGAATTTAATCTTATAGAAATGATGTAGTTAAAAGGGAAATAAATTTTTTAAAATATAAAAGTATGCATATACATATACATGATATTTTCTAAGCTGCTTCTTCTCCATGAAGCATCCAGATCTTGTCACATATTAGCTCAAAACTTTCCACTGGCGGCCGGGCACAGTGGCTCACACCTGTAATCCTAGCACTTTGGGAGGCCGAGGTGGGCGGATCACGAGGTCAGGGGATCGAGACCATCCTGGCTAACACGGTGAAACCCCATCTCTACTAAAACACAAAAAATTAGCCGGGCGTGGTGGTGGGCACCTGTGGTCCCAGCTACTTGGGAGGCTGAGGCAGGAGAATGCCGTGAACCCGGGAGGCAGAGTTTGCAGTGAGCAGAGATTGCACCACTGCACTCCAGCCTGGGCGACAGAGCAAGACTCCGTCTCAAAAAAAAAAAAAAAAAAAAAAAATTCCACTGGCTTTTCATCTTACTTAGAGTAAATTTAAATCCTAATCATGGCCTACAGGATCATATAAAATGCACCTTTCTGCCTCACAGCCTTTCCAGCTGCTTCCCGAAACAAACTTTCCCCACATCTCCACGTGACTCAATCTCTCCCTTCATTCAGGGCTCAGCTCAAATGTCCCCTTATGTGACACCTTGTCAGCCCCCGCTAATCTAGCATGGTACCCCCATCACGCTCCAGTTCTTCACACTGCTTTATTTTTCTTCATAGCCCTTGTCTCCATCTGATGGATTATATATTAGTTATCTCTTTCTTCCTGTCTCCCCCAGTAGGATGTCAGCTCATTGGTAGAAAAGATCTTGCTTGTCTTTTTCGTTTCTATACATGGTCCCCATTCTTTACTCCAGTGCCTAGTACATGATACACTTTGAATATTGCTTGAATGACTAAATGAATGAATAAATATTCCCTACCTAAGCCAAGATACTACCAAGATCCTCTTCATCATTTCTAAAATAGACACGTTTTTGGTAAGGAAACATGGCTTCTTATGAGTCACCATGTCTGTCTTATGCTGTGTTATTATCGCAGCCACAAGCCACATGTGGCTACTGAGCACTTAAAACGTCTCAAATTCAAGTGTGATATGCTATCAGTGTAAACTACATACTGGATTTCAAAGACCAAGTACAAAAGAGAATGTAAAATATCTCACTAATAATCTTTACATTTTTATCTAATGAATACATTTAATTTACATCTTCAAATGATAGCATTTTTATATATGAGGTTAAATAAAATATATTGTTAAAATTAATTCCTTGTTTGTCTTTAGTTATTTTTTTAATGTGGCTACTAGAAAGTTTAAAATTACATACTTGGCTTGCATTTAATTTCTACTGGGCTGTGATGGTCAAAACCATATTTCACTGCTTTTAAAGTCTTTAATCTATTTCTTTAGCCCACTGGTCTAATAAATTATTCTACTTACATTTGATTCCAATAAGCCACCTTGCAGATAAGCATGTGTTGGTATGGATTGTAAATATCTATGTGTATCTCTGATTTCCATATACATTTAAGACAAATTACATACGCTATTGGTTTTAGCTTTCTCACATGCAGCATTAGAGAGTGTTAGCTTTCAGGAGATAGATCTGAATCATCAATATACCGAGAATTTGGACCATCTTTGTTGGCTGAGGTCTGCTTAGGAAAATCTTAGGCCAGTCTTAATTATTTTCATTTCTAAACATAGACTGAGTATGGCAGAAATCTACAAATTTTGCTGTAGTTCATGCAGCCATTTCTAGAAGAAGTAAAAGAAACTCACAACACGTACTTAACTAGCAGGGACTGACTCAACATCCTACTTAATGACGGAGTGCTCATGGCCAAATATGACAGTCAAGACTAGACACCAGAACAAACCAAGGCACATCTCATTCACTTCCCAATCCACACCTGAAATTTGCATGCCCTTCTCACAGTTGGACCTTCCTCAGAAGTTCCCTGCCCTCCAAGTGGTGGCTTTTAACCAAACCAAAGTTTGCCTCCACTTTCCTTTTCCTTTCCCTATCCCCCTGGATATGAGATGATTTATAAGCATGCCCACAGTGCTGTATACCTTATACCTTAGCCAAGGCTGAATTCAGCTTACATGGTGACGAAGGTTAGGTCTAACATGCAGATAAAGACATCTGTCCTTGCTGTCTCGTGTAAGAGCTGATAATGAGCAAGACTGGAATGGAAGCTGTCACTTTGCATTGCATCACAGGGACCTGAACAATGTAAAGAAATTAAAAGCTCCCGGTGGCAATGGATCCCATTTCAGTCATTAGCTGCATGGGAGAGACAGGCACCATTCAGGAGATTGGAACCAGTGGGAGTCTTTGGTCCTTAAGGAATTTGCTGCTAATGCTGCTTTATGCCCCACTTCTTTTTAGTGCACCTCAAGAACAAATGAATTGCTATTCTTTGTTTTGATTATTATTTAGGTCCAGCTCCTGTGGATGGAAGGTGGAGGTTTGAAAAGGCAAGGCAAGGGAAGAGAGAAAGACCCAGTGCATTAATCTAGAAATCAATATTTTTTTTTAACAAATGTATATGCAAAAGTATATTTGTGTGTTCGTGTGAGAGATATTATAAGATAATAAATACAAAAAATGCAAAAATGGGCTTTCTTTATGCTTCCTCCTCTCTCTTTCTTGCTCTCTTTTTTGAAGCTGGCCTACTGAAAATGAATGAGACTAGAAAATCCAGAAATGATTCTTATTTCAGGCTCAGAAATATGAAAAAAATGTAATATATTTTTTAACAGAAACTCTGAGAATATATGCTTCAATCTTGGAGTTTCAAAAAAGGCAGCGAATCAGGCAGAAGGACAGAAGGTTACAGATTAGTACTGGTCATTGCTCAAAGAGTACAGGTTATAAATAATAAAGGAGGAAAGGGTGAAGGACACTAAAATATAACTGGGGACCCACAATGGAATAATCAAAGCAGAGAATCTAATTTCAGCTTTAAAAATACCATCTAACATTGAATTCTAGCTGTATAGGAATCTTTCTGCTAACACACTGCCACAGATACATAAATGCTCACCTCACAAACACATAGTTCAAAGTTTCAAGAGAAGTACCAGGCTAGTCCGTGATCTCAGGCCAAACAGTGTCGTATTGTTTCATTTGCAAACTGAATCAAAGTATTTTCTATACAAGTTAAAGTGCAATTTAAAAAAAGGAAAAGAAAAAAAGGATTGTGGTAGGTATTTTTATATCAAGGCCCAGTAGTAATTTTATATTTTATATAAATTATATAATACATAGACATATTAAAGGACATCTAACATTAAGGCCCTCATATTTTGGCAAATTTATCAATGTTCCTATAGGCAATATAAACTTGGCCTTCCTCCACACACAAACGCACATACAAAGAAAATATAAAGAACGGAAGAAGAGAAAAATAAAGGCTTAAGGATCTATCTGTGCTTCAACTAACTGTCCTAATCAAAATGAAGGCAAACTCAACTTCTGAAAAAGCTGGCTGTACAGAGATAGGAAAACCTGTAAGATGCACCTCTTCCACTAACAGGGTTGTTCTGTGGGGCACATAATTTGTGTCCCCGAAACGTGGTTGTTTTGTGGCAAGACTCAGTCTTCACCGGTGGGTTTTGCTTGTTGTTATTGCTGTTGTTATTGAATCTGCTTCTATGAAAGGAGGGCTCAGTATGAGTGTTTAAGCCCCCGGTAGGAGGAGAATAATATAATTAAACTCTTCAATACTTCCATACATCTCAGAAACTACTCTTGTCACCTAAGCGAAAACAGCTATAATGACAATAACAAGTCTTCCCACCGTCTGGGAAGTTATTCTTATTTATTTCAAAATACAATTTGGCTGTTTCATAAAAATATAGTTGTTGATCACCAAATACAACTTTTCATAGGACAATTTCATCTCTGAAAATGTGCACAGATAAATAGAATTGCCAGCTGGGTGCGGTGGCTTATGCCTGTAATCCCAGCACTTTGGGAGGCCAAGGCGGGTGGATCACAAGATCAGGAGTTCGAGACCAGCTTGACCAACATGGTGAAACCCCGTTTCTACTAAAAATACAAAAATTAGCCGGGTGTGGTGGTGCACGCCTGTAATCCCAGCTACTCGGGAGGTTGAGGCAGGAGAATCACTTGAACCCGGGAGGTGGAGGTTGCAGTGAGCCAAGATTGCGCCATTGCACTCCAGCCGGGGTGACAGAGCAAGACTCTGTCTCAAAAAAAAAAAAAAAAGGCCCAGTCTATGGATGAGGAAAGTAAGGTAAAACAAGGGTATGTAGCAATGAAGCATGTATTTGGTTTCTTAGTCATGTATAGTCACAGTGGTATGCAATTTATATTGCATCTATGCAATTTATATTCTGTATATGTATACAAATACTTTTGTTATCATGAATTTACAGATTTTACTACTAGTTACTTGATTTTTCTTCTTAACATATGTGAAGTTGTTGAAATGTCAGAAAAGATAACTGTAAATAAAATAAAGAATAAAAAAAAAAACCAAAGATCAGATCAAGGGAAGGTAAAACTCTCCAAGAAACTGAGGAGTCATTGCTATGAGGCAGTGCAGTCATAATAGAAGCCTTAAAAATACCCAAGACATCCTGAAAATGAGCAAGAGATAATAGAAGTGCTGTTAGTGTATTTTAAATCCTGGCCAAGCCATAAAGGACAATAGAGATGGCTCCAGAATAGTTTCTAAAATGCCCCAAATTAGCAAGCAACTGATGCTCTAATATCTGGGAAAATCATGCTTGACTGTAAGGAAGTATATTTTAGGAAAGGATGTTTTAATTCAGGCACAAACCAAAGAAAATTGAAGATATAATTTTCACAAGTATCTAATCAAACACATGTTCTATTTCTCACCAACTTTCTGAATGTTTGATTCCTTGGTTATTAACTCCTGTCTGTGTTTTGGATTGTCCTACTTCTCTGAAGAAGCACCCAACCTTTCAGTTTTCCCTAGGGGATGGAGAATGTGTATTCACTGCCATAGGAACATAAGATAATCAAGGCAGAGCAAGTGCACACTACATACAGTGCAATGAAACAATGGCTTCCATGGCCTCGAAAATTCATTTGCATAAATTTAGCATTGATTGAGGACCTACTATATTTGTCAATCATCATGACAGCTGATTTGCACACATCAGCTCTAGTCTGCTCAATAACTAACACCGTTTAGGTTCAGTATTTATATATGAGGAAACTGAGGCTCAGAGAAGTTAAATAACTTGCCCAAACCACACAGTGTGTAACTGGTGGCATGTTAAGAGGCATCCATATCACCGGGTGCGGTGGCTCATGCCTGTAATCCCAGCACTTTGGGAAGCTGAGGTCAGGAGTTTGAGACCAGCCTGGTCAACATGGCAAAACCCCGTCTCTACTAAAAATACAAAAATTAGCTGGGCATGGTGGCATGCACCTGTAATCTCAGCTACTCGGGAGACTGAGGCAGGAGAATCACTTGAACCTGGGAGGCAGAGGTTGCAGAGAGCCGAGATCACGCTACTGTACTCCAGCCTGGACCACAGAGTAAGATTCCATCTCCAAAAAAAAAAAAAAAAAAAATAGGCATGCATATTTATGACCTCCCCAGTTTAACTCTAAATTGGACCCCAATAAGCAAGCAGGTAAGCAGGTTAAGATAGCAGTCAATCTAAAATAAAGACAAAACAGAAAATGGAGCATCAGGGAAAGGCAATATTCCTTCTTCCTTAGATTGCCTCCCCTCTGCTGTTATATGCACACTTCATGCTGTCTTTTAAAATACTTGTGTTTGCTTATTCTGCATAAGGCTGTGTGCTAAATACTTTACACACTACTTGGCACCGGTGGCCTATGAACATGCCCATTCAGGTGATGGGAAAATTGAGTTTCTTTAGAGATTAACTTGTCCAAGTTTCACAGAGAGTGGTGAAGCTAGCTTTTGAGAGCTGGCCTGGCTGCACAAGAGCATGTGCTGTTTCCACTCAGTCATGCTGCTCCTCTTACTGTGTGTGTGAATTGTGCTAATTTCACACATTAGCCATGTTCTAAATGCACAAGTTAAGCTCACGACTTAAAGGTAATCTGTAGTCCATCTTTCAGGAAGTACAGAATCCTTCTGTAAAATACATATACACATTTCATAAAATGGCTTATTTGCCAAAAGATAGGTTTAAGATTACATTACAAATTAGGTGTGAGAATGGAAATGGCATCACATCCCTTGCTCTGGGTATATTATCAATGGTCACCATCATCACCTACACCTGATTATTAAATACTATCTGTAGGCTGGGTGTGGTGGCTCATGCCTATAATCCCAGAACTTTAGTAGGCTAATGCGGGTGGATCATTTGATGTCAAGAGTTTGAGACCAGCCTGGCCAGCATGGTGAAACCCCATCTCTACTAAAAATACAAAAGTTTGCTGGGCATGATGGCACATGCCTCTAGTCTCAGCTACTAGAGAGGCTGAGGCAGGAGAATCGCTTGAACCCGGGAGGTGGAGGTTGCAGTGAGCCAGGATCACACCACTGCACTCCAGCCTGGGTGACAAAGTGAGACTCCATCTCTAAATAAATAAATAATAATTAGTATCTCTATATGGCCTCATATACACTAAGTTGGTACACATTAATCTTTTTCTCCTAGGTAGATATACAAATTTCTGAAAAAAGTTATGCTGGCCAAAGAATAAATTAAAAAAGAAAACAGCAAATATAGTATGTACCTACTACAAGATAATGAGTGAGAAATAATAACGAGAAATACGTACTTTGACAGAGAATGTTGACCAATCTTTTCTAACCAGTTGGGAAAATCATTCCTAAACTGCCATTCTTAATTGTGCCACCTGGCAAAGGATTCTGGCAAGTGATAAGTATGGATGGGAGAATACATTTGGTAATGAAAGCCAGCATCTACTAAGGGCCTTCTCTACTGTGAGCTGGGAAAAATGTAACATGGATTATTATTGCATTTCATCTTGGCAAGAATCATCTGAGGAAGATATTATCATTCCCACTTAATGGATGAGGAAACGGAGATTCTAAGAGTAAGCAACTTTTCAGAGTTTACACAGCTTGTAACTGTTGCAACTAAGATTCATGTGTCAAAATTATGGTCTTAACAGACATTTTTGTGACTTTTTAAACCTTTCTCATACCAACATCTCTCTCTCTCTCAATTTGTCTCTCTGTTATATAGAACTAAAATAGAAGTTTCACAAAACAGTAATCACCCTTACTTACATATGATATATGCTGACATTTTTTTCACCGTGGGTAACAGTGAAAGCATTTTTTAAGTATTGAAAAACTAGCTTAGTGGCCTAGCAGAATCTTGCAAATGGACTAGAAAGAGCCACCAAGAATACTGCTGGCTTACCAATTTCTCCAGTTTATGTGATTCTCACCAGTCCTGGCACTCCTGTATCAGATTCCAATGAGGATCAAGGCTTTTGAAAAGTATAAAGGACAGGGTTTCTAGTAAGAAAGCAATATTGAATTGTGCAGTGTTTTTCCAATTACAGCCACAACTACTCAATTCTATTCATTCCAGAATATTCTGAAATATTGTATTTTATTTCATTTTAAAAAATAAATGCTGTTATTAACCTACTACATTGATTTCATGACACTGGATGGAAATCAACATTTTAAACATGAAATAGAGAAGAATGGAATAGAAACATGTTTAATACAAAGATCACCTTGTTGAGTTGTTAATAAATTATAAAATTTATGTTTTCTCTTAAGCTGTTTTATTACAGACTAGCTATGAAAATCAGTATGTTTCATTGCTCAACAGGTTGACATATTCCCAATAAATATATTATGTGTAGTATTGGGTTACTTTTAATTAAAGGTATGACTTTTCATGAAAGAGAGAGGTAATAGTTCATTGCATTGGTTAGTGCCCTATTCCTGTGCTTTAAATAATTATTTTTTATTTTAGTTATACACAGCATTAGAATCAGATACACAGGCTGGACATGGTGGCTCACACCTATAATCCCAGCACTTTCAGAGGCCAAAGCAAGAGGACTGCTTGAGCCCAGGAGTTTGAGACCAGCCTGAGCAGCATAGCGAGACCCTACCTCTATTAAAAAATGTTTTTAAATCAGATATATGAAGTATAATATAGAACTGAATTTATCTGATACAATACTCTGGTACCCAGACAATTAACAGGCTTCTGGTCATTAAGTGATGTGATATTTGTGAAACTCTTACAGACAAGTGCTGGTTTATAATCACTTCCTACCTGTGGCACTTTGACTTGGCTTGGATTTTATTTTATTTCATTTCAAACAGCATCAAATGAGAGCCTTGTGTTCCCCAACCCCAAGAACATCAATTCATCGTATGTGCCTTCTAATTCTGTGAATTGCAAGCCCTTTGTTTTAACGCATTGTCTCATGTTTGAACCAGGTATGACATATATTCTTATTGACCTGGAGAAATTATAGCAAAAGGAACCAAACCAACTATTAATTTATTTTGGGTCATAAATGAGAATACCTATTCTTTAGGTCTGGTTTTTAAAATTCATTTTTAATATTTACAAAAGTAATACAACACATTTTTAAAATCAAACAGTAAAATGCTTAAAGAGAAAACTGTTTATCTTGCCCAATCCTTCCTCACTCTTTAGTTCCCCTCCATGCCTGTATTTCTAAATAACAGGCTTGCCATGCTATTCCTTGATTATCTATTTTAGCCACTATTTATAGCTTTCTCTTTTGGAGGGTGAGAACTGAATTCTCTCCACCCCGTTTCCCCTCCCCTCTTCCAACCATCCTTCCATTTGACTCTCTCCCAAAGCAAATTATATCACCATCTTTGAATAAATCAATTTGTGATGTTTATATTACCATTATGTATTTATTTTTTACAATTAAGACACAGTGTACAGTGATATTTAATTATTTCTGACAGTTTGTTGGTAATTAATAATTGTCTATTTAGTAATTTTCTATCTGTAAATCATTATTTCTTCTTTCAAACTCTTTGCCAATTGCCCTCAACGTTGTTGAACATGTCAGGCATCTAATTGTGCCCTTTTCCCAGGGGCATCCCAGGGTTCTATTCCTAACAGGATTGGTTGCTGTCCAGACCTTGCCTCCCCTGTGTGGCTGGGAATTCCCTCCACCTCTTTCCTGGGTCCCGTCTCATTGTATGGCTCTCAGGCCTTCTTTCTTGGTTTATCCTCTCATTTTGCTGGAGCAAATCCTCCAGGAGCTTCCCAAGAAGCAGTACATAGGAGATGCAGTTGTTTAAAGTTGAACATGAGTGAATGAAAACTATGACTTGCTGCATAGATTGGCTGGACACATGGCTTGATCATTTTCTAACTTGTTGAGTTATTATTGAGAAAACTGATGTCACTCTAGTTCCTGATATACGCCCTTTTGTTGTTTCTGAAAATGATTAGAATCTTCTAAAATGTCATGGTCATTTACTTTGGTGTGATCTTTTTATGTTCGTTGTGTGTGGGTTACCTAGCCCTTTTGATCTGGCAGTTCATATCCTTTGTTTATGAGAAATTATTTTTGTATTATTTATTTGATAATTCCTCCCTTTCTCATTTGTCTGTTCTTCTTCTGTTACTCCTGTTAACCAGAGAATGAATTTTCTGGTTCTACCTCTAACTTTCTCATTAATTTTTTCTATCCTGTTTGATCTCTGTGTACAGCCTGAAAACAACTGGTAGATTTCAACTATCTCTTCTAAACCTTCTGTTGATTTTTTAATTTCAGTCATCATATTTTTTAATTTCCAAGAGCTCTTTCTTGGTCTTTGTCTCTTCTCTGTGGCATCCTTTTCCTGCTGCACAATTGTAGTATCTTATGTTGTTGAGGGGATTTTTTTTTCTCCAAGTTTTATGTTGCTGTATACATTGCTTCTATTTTTCCAGAGCTCCTCCTTCCATTCCTGTTTCTTTATTATCTATCTTTCATATTGAAGGCTTTCATCAAATACCTGGTAATCTTTGGCTATCAGTTGTTATTTAAAAGAAGGACACTAAAAAGCTGATTGGATGCTCTGTATGCATAGGTGAGATTTATTGACTTAGGATCTATTAGGCTGAGAAGGAGTCATTTTGCTGGAGAACACTCAATGTCAAAATCTGGAGGCCTTTTCTAGTGGACCAGCTCATTTCTCCAGAGAAGAACCCTGTAATTTTCTGCTAATTGGAGACATGGGAAAGGCGGTATTATAAGAGTCTAAGGATGGCTATCAGCATTCTACAAGGTGAGCAGGGGAAGGAAACTGAGGGTTCAACTTCTCCATTGGTGAACTCCATTGGAGTTCAACAACTCCAACCCTCCAAGTGAGGGTCCAGTTCTCACTCAGTGCCTTTGTTTTTGGCCCTTTGGGTTTCCTATGCTGGGCTGGGTGTCCCTGAGACTGGAACCTCTCTGTTTCAATCTCCCCAGACAGTAAGGCTCATGTCTCCGATAGGTGGGGGAGAGTTGCTCACCTTCTAAGAGAGAAGCAGGAGAGATCTTCATGCTCTGACTGCTTTTTATAGGTTTTCAACCAGTCCTCTTACTTTCAGCTGTACCTGAACACTTCCTGTGCAGAGGTACTAGGTGCCTCAGTTCCTGAGGGGACCAGTGGCTCTGCTGTGAGGACTGGTTCCCTCTTGTCGGCTTCTCCTCCTGCCTGCAGTAAGGGCTCACCTTTCTCTACTCAGCCAAGTCAGTTATTACTCATCCATTTTCCTTCTTCCAAAAGTTTGCTGAACTGTCTTGTTCAGGGTCATCTCTTTCCTGCTCCTCTTTGTCCTCGTAGGTTTATGTCTTTTTAGATCCCTTTATGGTTATGTTTATTGGGTTTCAGAAGACAGTGAAGAAAAATGCATGTTTTCAATCACCCATGTTTAACTCTGAGTCCACTCTAACATTTTTGGTTTTAATTTGTTTTGTCTAGCCCCTAGTAGTATCAATATGGGAGCTGGTTTGGTTTCCCTAGGAAGTATAATTTTGTAACTCAAGTTTGTACTGCCTTGTGAGGCATGGTTGTTTACTCTTCCCTTGCTCGACACCCCAAGCTGAAGCTTTCAGCAACCACACTAAAGATTTATTATCATAATGATTTTACTATGTAACAAGTGAAGCAATAATTCATTTGCTATTAAGTAATTTTCTGGGTATGCATTGCTGAATTCATTTGAAACATACCTATCTTTCAAAATGTATGAGATTGAAATGCAACTGCATAGGTGGTCCCTCTGGCTATAATTCACCTCAAAAAAGGAGCTCTCTCAGACTCACCATACAAACAAGAAGGTGCCACTACATAATGTCATTTCAGAGAAATCACGATAGGCTCCTAATATACCCCTGAACTTCCTAGTGCCTGTCTGACTTATTGATTAAAATTCTGTATTTAGTTTTAAAATTTCTTTTGCTTAAAAGTGATGTGCAATTTTACTCTTGGGAAGTGTAAAGACAAAAATCTTGGTGTAAATAAAAAAAAATCTGAAGATTTTTATTTGGAAGGAGGGAGGTCATCAGGATATCTAACACTGGAGGGAGGGGAGACAAAAATGTCATAGAGAAGAGGAAGAAGGTTGGTAGATTAGAAGACATCAAACACCCAAGCCATCTGGTTACACAGATAAATAGTTTAGTGGTTAAGAGAAAGCCTTTGGGGGCCAGAGAGACCTGAGTTCAAAACTCACTTCCATTTATTGGCTGCATAATATTAAACAGTTAGCCTCCCTATTTATTTTCTTATCTACAAAACAGGAATGATAATATTTATTTCAAAGGGATTAAATGAGGTTACATATGAAAAATGCTTAGCAAAGTACCTGGCACCTTGTAAACATTCAATAAACACTAGTTAATTATATGAGTGATAATGATAACTTGCTTCATGATTTTTTTTCTTTGAGACACAGTCTCACTCTGTCACTCAGGCTGGAGTACAGTGGCATGATCACGGCTTACTGCAGCCTCGACCTCCTAGGCTCAAGAGATCCTCCCACCTCAGTCTCCTGAGCAGTTGGGACTACAGGTGCATGCCACCATGCCCAGATAATTTTTAAATTTTTTATAGAGACAGAGTCTCACTATGTTGCCTAGGGTGGTCTTGAACTCCTGGGCTCAAGCGATCCTTCCATCTTGGCCTCCCAAAGTGCTGGAATTACAGATGTGAGCCACCATCCCGGCTCGCTTCATAATTTTAACTGGAGCTTGCCCTGAGTGCAGGAGAATAAAAAGATAATGTCCAGATGGAGAGGCGAGTCTGCTGAGTAGGTTTTGCCCAAATCCTCTGTAGGACAGTGAATGAGTTACTTAACCTCTGAACAATCTCTTACTTTATAATCTGCAAATGAGAGTAAAGTACTCAAATTTGAATTCAGTCTATAATCAAAGAAATATTTCTGTAATCCAGGAAAGAGAAGCTGTTGCCAGAGCTACATAAGTATACTATACAAACAGAGCATGTCTTTAAAAAAAAAAGATTTTATTTCACTTAATTTTTGCCAAATGCTCTACTTCTTCTACCTGTTTCAAATGGCGGCATCCAAAAAACAAACATACCAGGCCTGATACTGAGCTCCGGAAGCTTTGACTTGATCAATTCTCATCTTTCCCCAAAACCAACACACTGGCCCAAGTTAGGGGTTTCTTTGACTTTGCTCTCAGTAATATGTCAGTAAATACAGTTTCTGTTCTCACTTCTAAGATTTCCATGTAATCCTAGAAGTCTTTATGTAGTAGGCAAGACCTGGGCTGG
Organism: Homo sapiens; assembly: GCF_000001405.40. Classification (NCBI taxonomy): domain Eukaryota; kingdom Metazoa; phylum Chordata; class Mammalia; order Primates; family Hominidae; genus Homo; species Homo sapiens. The sequence goes on along the minus strand of NC_000007.14, from coordinate 39,115,533 downwards.
CTTTAAAGCCATAAGGAACTTCATGTGAAGGAGACCAGCAGGCTCTACTGGGCCCAGGGAACAGTGGCAGGACAGCAAGAAGGGACTCCTGAGAGAAGTCAACCTTGTTTGGAGCCCAAAGTACCAGAAAAGAAGTAGCAGAGAAGGAGTAGGAAGCAATGGAAATAGAAGGTACCTAAAATAAATAAATAAATAAGTTTTGAAGGTTTTAAAGAAAGCTGAGATTTAATGGGAGAGTGAAAAAAAATGGAAGTTTGTTAAGAAAAAAGATATGGTTACATGTCCCATCTCTGACATCTCTCCACACAATCACTGGAAGAGAGATGAGGACAGAAGACCCTGGCTGGGCCTGGCTCTCTTCTCTGGCTGTATGATCATGGGCATCCATCTGGATCTCCTATTTCTCATCTGCTGAATGAAAGGCAAAGCCAAAACCCTCAAAGGTTTGCTTTCCACACGCACCTGACATTGGGGAGATCACTTTTGTCTTTACACAACTGAGAATATAAATTGCTAATTATATATATTTTAACTAGTAATAGGCATTTTAGCTCCCTAAACCACTATGATTTATACCTATGTAAATCAAAGGAATATAGGCCTATATAATGCAAACACACACATGTCTATGTGCTCACCTATCTGTCTGCATGTGTACTCACATATGTATGTGAGTAACTAATATTATGCATCTTTTATAAAATTTAAAAATCTCCTTCAGCTGAGATACATGTGATGATTTCTCCAATTAGCAGCAAAGCGCTCACAATACAAAAAATATTATTAAACATTAAAAGATGATACTCTTCTTTTCATGCAAGGTTTAACAACTTCATTTTTATGGTATAAAAACTGTAATTTGGCACCTGACCAATGGCAATTTTTAAAATAAAATTGCTGGTCTTTAATACCATCAAAAATCAGTTTCATCTCTTTTTTACCCAGAAAAAAAAATCACCTTTTTATTAACTTCAAGTGGTGATTTCCATGTGAATGATATTGTTTATCAGTACTTTCCCCACATGTGACCTTATTTTCTTCTAAGAAATATGGAATATTGCTTTGGGCCTTTGAAAAGCAGCGGGCTGGAGGAAGTTCCTATTAAAATAATCTTCACTTAAAGGGGTTTTAAGACTCACCTATGCATTGACCCATGAAGGGTAAATGCTAAATTCCCACAGTCAAATACTCACTCTAACCCTGCAGAAGAGATGAATGAGCTTCCCTCTTATTTAAATTACCGTGAGATGGATAAGATTTTTACTATCAGTTGAAAAGTGATGATCATGACTACCATAACCATCACATGGCTGTTAACAATGATAAAAATGACAAAGAAATTTGGATTCACTCATTATCTTCCTTTGTAATGTTTATTTGTATGTGTGTAATCTCAGTACTAGCAATTCCATGTCAATATTCAGGATGTTTACCTATAGGTACATGCATGGATTCATGGTTGGTTTGTTTGTTTTTATAAACCGTATAGCCTAGGATCCTGCTGGGCCCCAAATTAGCGTTCAGTTAAACCATTTCTTAAGAGATACACTCTGCTGACTTCTAAATATTAAAAAAGTATGCTATGGACCTAGCCAGAAGGGTATTCCTTGAATTTTCCCCCAAATAATGGCCATGTCTTTTTGCTCTTTTCTCCACCCTTACTCACCTCCCATCAGCCCTTGTGACCAAGAGCAATGCACCATGTTGGAAGCAAATGTGCTCTCGTGAATCTCCATTATAAGCAACTCCATGTGTTCACAAATTATTTTGGTCCAGGGTAGATTTTGTGGAAATGAGGCATTTTCCTGGTTTGCAGAAACTAAAGATAAACTATTTCTGAGGCCCAGTCCCTAAACAGCCAATTTGCAATAAAAAGAAACAAACCTAAGAAGAGAGATGTAATAATATCACAACGACTTCTTCAAATTTCCAGATTGTTTCGAGTTGACTAGGTTGCTGGCCAGATCTTTAGAAGCCCTGATTTTATCTCTGTTTGTTTTAGCTCCTGTTTCGTCTATGTAACTTGAGGGAGAATGTTCTAATTCCTTGATTATGTCATTTCCTTGCATATTCTTCTGTCTTTTAATTTTGATTTGGGGAGAAAACATGAAGTTTGTTTTTCCCTTGGTGAGCTGCTCCAAGTAGTAGTCCCATTACTGTAGCCATGAACCTCTGAGCCAGTAACCCGGACCCCAGGATGAGATTGTCTGACAGTGTTGTTTTAAGGTTCTAGCAAATTTTATCCATTCATTTAACTTAGAGTATTTCTCTTTTCTTTTCCTGTTGCTTAAAAAATAAAATAAAACAGAACGAAAAAAACAGAGCACTTTCTCCTGGACTTTTGCAGGCAATGGTGATACATTCTCATAAAGTGGGTACCAAGAGGCCCTTCCTTGAGCATAGTTTTGGAATTTAAATTCAAGACAATGATATACTTCAAAAGTTTTTCTCATGTTTCTTTTTATATACTGTGTTTCTTTGGAATTTATATTCTAAGCTGACTCAAGGATAAAATCAAGATATTCGTGTGAGTTTTCTGGTCTCTGGAAATAATTTTTTTTTTGTAAAAATGCAATTAAAATTCAAAATTTTCAGCTGTCTTATAAAAATCAAGAATAGTTAATTAGGGGGTTAAAATATAAACATCTAATCCATAATAGCTTAAGATGGCAGTATCTTTTCTCTGGGGAACAGAAACTTTAGAAATCTGATTAGCATTGCTAATCAACACAAATCCTTTCAGCACACAGTTATTATATAGCTACGTAGCCAAGCCTAATTAATATTCCAGAGTGCCAGTCAAGTTTCATTTTTATTCATTTGATCTATGAACTTTCTCAAGTAAAACACTGATTGGGGGGCTATAATTGGCCCCTAGAGGGGATGATGTATTTTAAAAAGTAGAAGAAAAAAAAAACACTCAATTCTTATGCTGTAAGCAATTTCATGTGGATATTAACTGAAATAGCTTGCCAGTGGCAACTCAGTTTAAACAGCAGTTTTGAATGTTACTTCTCTGCCCTGCCTTTATTTTTGGTTATAAGCATATTGAAAAAAGAATGGACAACAGGGTATCTGTGATCAAGCAATAGTACCAATAGTATAAGCATGCAATAATATATTACGTACTGTTAATAGATCATAAAGTTTTGTGCTATGTGCTATTTCCAGTATACAGAAACATTTTGTTATAGCGAGCACTTCTTTGTAAGGGTATTTGTTCCAATGAGATTTTACCTGAATTCGCTCACTTAAAAGTAGTACTTTTAAGTTACCTGTATCATATTTAAAAGACTAATTTCAGTCCTTAAATTTCTGAACCAACATGTTCAGCCAGTTTTCAACTGTGCAGACACGTTGACAAGGGCTGGCTACTGCTTTGGGTTTAATACACAGGTGAGAAGTCAGGTACTTACAGAACTATAGAACTGGAAGGGTAAGAACAGAGGTCATCTGAATCCCATCTATAGCAACTATCATCCCTGCCTAAGGACTTCTAACGATGAAGAAATCACCACCTTCTCAACAGGCCACATTTAATTTTGAACGATTTTAGCTATTTTATAATTCTTCTTGCATCATGACAAATTCAATTCCCTAAAGCTTCCACCCATTGGGGTTTGGTAAGCCCTCTGAAACCACCCAGAATAAGTCCAGTCTTTCTCCAACATTAAAAAAAAAATCTGCCAATATTTGCAGATATTGGAAATACCTCCAATGGCTTTCTAAGTGTTCATTTCTGCAGGTTGACTGTTTCATTGTTCAGTCCTTGCGTGATATAATTGTAAAACCCTTTATCTTCCAAGGGTCATCTGAATGTACTATAGTTCTCCACTGTCCAAACTGAACGCTCTTCACTCTGAAGACCATGCAATGTCATTTTGTCTGTCTGCCTATATCTCTATATCTATTTTTTATCTGTACCTATATCTAATGTATTTAAGTATCTACAATTATGATGCAGCTATAAAATATGAAAATTCATTATTTTAATATTTGTTGAATGAATTATGCAGAGAACCATTAACAACAACAGCAAAAAGAACAAAACCCAAAATGGTTGGTCATATTTTGGTCATATAACTAAAAGGTCATATTTTTCTTAATCTGAGTAAAGGTAAAACTCTTCACTTTCGTTTTACCATCCACAGAAATCTAAATACTAAGAATAATTCATAAACAATTTCTCTCAAGAAAAAAAAGAAATTGGTGTTGGAGCTAAGATGCTACCATGATAATCCTGCCTAAATGCCTTCATGATGTTTCTGAGGTCAAAAAATTATTAGTAAAACTTCATCTCCTTGTGGGGCCTCACAAACCTAAAACTGATATGTTGGAACCAAAGTAGCAGACATTCCCAGAATTGTTTTTAGAATTAATAATATCCAACCAATTGTGTAGTGGTAATTGTTTAACAGCTAGCCTCCTGGGGACAAAAGTATACATATATACACATATACACATTTATCAAAAATTGATACACAGAATGTATAACACAATTTACAAAAATAACAAAATATACAATTTATTTAAAATTTTTTACACATATAATTCTGTGACATACTATTTCTTACAAAATCCACTATCAGTTTTTATAATTCTATCACCAATGATAGTGTTATAAAATCAGACTTCAAATAAATGTTGGATTGCTATCTGATTTAGCAAGAAGTCATTCACTCCATTGACAAACATTCTGTGTGAATGTTGATTGCTATTTTCATTTATGTCAACAAGATAAAAGTGAAATAACAAAGATATATATTAGAGCTTCACTCATTTATCAATGATGTAAGTGATTTCCTTGAAGAATTATATAACATCTTTTGATTACTGTAAAAGTATTTTCTAATTTCTTTGTGCTATTAATAGTATAATACCTATAGAGACAACACACTTTTAACTTTCATCTATATTATTAGTATTTCCTCTGTCACTTTTCTCAAGTTTAGACAATCAACCAAACAATAAATAAGGCATTTGCCTATTTCCATAGTGTAAATACTCTCTCCCTGGCCAATTTCAAGCTACCAACGTGACATAATTTAATGTAGGAATGGGAAAAGACATATAATAGCACATCATTATGTAGTATTCCTACCATGCAGATGCAATAAATGTGAGTAACCTCAAGAGGATAGAAACCAATAAAATAAAGTAAAATACTTAGAACATGATCAGTTTTCATATTTTTAGCTTTGTTTTTAATATAATTCATATAATTATAAGATTATATAATTTAATTCATTTTTTTTTTTTTTTTTTGAGACGGAGTTTCGCTCTGTCCCAGCCTGGAGTGCAGTGATGCGATCTCAGCTCACTGCAACCTCCACCTCCCAGGTTCAAGTGATTCTCCTGCCTCAGCCTCCTGAGTAGCTGGGATTACAGCCGCCCGCCACCAAACCCAGCTAATTTTTGTATTTTTAGTAGAGACGGGGTTTCGCCGTGTTGGCCAGGATGGTCTCAAACTCCTGACCTCAGGTGATCCGCCCTCCTCGGCCTCCCAAAGTGCTGGGATTACAGGCGTGAGCCTCCGCGCCCAGCCAATTATATAATTTAATTCTTAATAGCAGCTATATTTAACAATTAGCTCACAAAATTCCTAAAAATATAGCAATTATCTCTCACAAGCCAGCATGAGCTGGCTCCAGGACACCACTCATGGTAGAATTAGAGAGATACATAATTTTTCAAGAGCTACTTCGATCTACCAGACGCCTCTCTGAGCTCTGGAATCATTGATTCAAATCAGAAATATCACTCTAAATTTAAAGCCAATATAACTTCATCAGTAATGCTACCTATACGATTTACATTTTCCACTGTGTAATGAGTATACCAGACATACAGCTCTAATATTTATTCCACCAATAAATTACAGTATAAATTATACTATCAAACTAAACAATACTTTTTACCAATCCTATAAAAATATTATAAGCTCATACACCAGGACTAACTTAAGAGAATAAGCTAAAATCTCCATCAAGCAAATGGAAGGATGCCTCATTGGATGCAGGGTCACATTATGCTACCACTCATCAGGCAGAATTTATTCCTTTCCAAAGACCAACTCAGGTGAGACATCAGTGTCTTGGATTAATACCCAGCACATACAACTGTGGTGCTTTCATATGAGTATTAAAATGGTAATAATCGTATATGGAATTATTCTTACTTCATTCAAAATTAATAACTGGTTGAGTGTGGTGACTCACACCTATAATCCCAGCACTTCGGGAGGCTGAGGTTGGAAGTTTGCTTGAGCCCAGGAGTTCAAGACCAGCCCGGGCAACATAGCAAAGTCTCTACAAAAAATTAGCCAGATGCAGTGGCAGCACATGTCTGTAGTCCCAGCTACTCAGGAGGCTGAGACAGGAGGATTACTTGAGCCCAGCAGTTTGAGGCTGCAGTGAGTCATGATCACACCACTGCACTCCAACCTGTGTGACAGAGTGAGACCCTGTTTCAAAAAGTAAACACAAAAGCAAAACCAAAAACTAATAATTAACAGCAAAATTGGGGCACCCAATTTACAGACAACTAAAGACTCCCAATAAGTTTTTGTTGTTGTTATTGTTGTTTGCTTACAATTGTATACTTAACCTTTTTCCTCTAGTTTTGATTGGGAAATTCTTCTACTAATGTTTCATAAAAATATATACTTTGTGTTGCAAATTATAACCTAAAAACATCTCAAGAGTGCATATAAATCTGTTTGTTATTGCATACTCCATACACAAACTTCTCCACATATTTATTTCATTGGTTAATGATTGTTTTATCTAGAAAGAGAACATTAAAACTAGAATCTGTAGATAGATACTAAAGACTCATCTCATATGGTTAGTGTAGTAACAAAAAAAAACTTCCTCTTGGGGAATGCATTCACTGTATCTCATAATTTCTCTGGGCAAATGAAGATATCTCTAGGAAATATTCCCTGGGTGTACACAACCAGCCTAGGCTGGGGGAACATGATCAAGTTTCTGGGGATGTGGCACAGGGTACCCCAGAGCCTCCCCTGGGCCACTGATCAGAGGTGTAGACCCCTAGGGAGAGACACAGGTCTGTCTGGATGCTGTGTGGGAGCCATTGCCATGAGCAGTCCAGCTGAGGTCGAAGGAAAGAAAGAGGGTTGACCCCTGGTAATTTACACTGCTGGTACCTAGTTAAATCTCAACCAGCACCCAGGCTAGGATAGAAATTGGGATCATCAAAGGAGAGAAAAAAAGGGAAAGAGCAAAAAAAAAAATAATTGAAGGGAAACATTTCAACTTCCTTACACTCCCTCCTCCCAACAACTGCATCTAGACACTCCATGCCAAGACTATGCAAGTCCCTTCACTCTTTTGATTATCAGCATAACCAGATGAGGCGGTTACTATGGTCGCCCTCATCTTACAGATGAGGATCCCATGTTAAATAACAGTTTAATGTCCAGGCTGGAGAATTGAGAGCAATTTCAGAATCACAGTTATAGCCCATTGTGTTGAAACCATCTGTTGCTACAGATTTACACTCTACCCTTTCCACGTTGCTCTGTGTTCTGGGAGGCTGATCTCTATGGACTCTATCAAAGGCTTTTCTTGCTCTGCTGTTTCCACTTGGGTTTTGTCAAAGGAAGGGGAGAGAGAATAAAATTGGAACATTTATTCCTTTGTCTCTTTTCTGGTGGAGTCTTCTTGGGGATGGCTGCATCCCACAATAGAGGTGAACTTTTTCATCTGACTCTCTCCTTCTGGGTTTGGGTGTCTGCTTCTCCCTGGTCCCTTTCAGGTAAAGAGAGAGGACAAGGGCCCAAGGGCAATAAGGACACTGCATTACTTATGCTTGTGTGTTGTAGGGGGCGGGGGGTGGTTCCACTATCCCTTGTGTTACCCTACATTCTACTGAAAATTTTGTAAATAGTACCATTATTAAACTTTCCTCCATTTACCCAGTTTAAGTATGCCATCTCTTTCCTGCCAGAATCCTGACTACAAAAATACTATAATATTCTGCCACGTATAAACAAATTGTTGGTCTTTAGATAACTAGCCAATTCAAAAGAAAATATTTTTCTCATCATACTTTTGTTAATATGTTTTATTTGCTCTTATCTAACAGTCTACAAAAGTTGAAAAAACATGGGAAAAAATAATACTGGTGTCTTTTTTAATATGAAGAGCTCATATGAAACAATAAGAAGGTGGGCACAGTGGCTAATGCTTGTAATTCCAATACTTTGGGAGGCTTAGGTGGGAGGATCATTTGAGCCCAGGAATTGGAGACCAGCCTGGACAATGCAGGGCGATTCTGTCTCTACAAAAATTTAAAAAATTAGCCAAGCACAGTGGCACATGCCTGTGGTCCCAGCTACTTGGGAAGCTAAGGTGTGAGAATTACTTGGGCCCAGAAGGTCAAGGCTGCAGTGAGCTGTGATCACAACACTACACTCCAGCCTGGGCAACAGAGTAGGCCTTGTTTGAAAAAAAAGAAAAAAAAAAAAAAAGAAAGAAAGAAAAAGAAAAAAGGTGGATTTCCCAGCAAAAGAAGTGAAAAATAGGCAATTCACAGAAGAATTACCAATGGTCAAAAATCACAAAAAGAGCATTCAAGCCTAATTAGTAATCAAAGACAGGCAAAGTAAAAGAAATACTATTTCTCCTGTACCAAATTTTCCAACACCAAAAATACTGATAAAAATCAGATTTGGTGAGGAATCAAAAAACGGACAGTCTCAAATACTGTTCAGGCTTGAAACACTGTTCATAGTTGTATAAATTTGCATATCCTTTCTGAAGGGCCTTAAAATGTGAACACCTACTGATTTAGTAATTCTACTTCTATTAATTTATTCTAAGAAAATGATTAAAGATGAAAAAATAGTTTTATCTACAAAAATGTTCAATTTTAAACATTGGAAACAATCTAACTGTCCAATAATAGGAGTTTAATTTAATAAATGATAGCATGCCCATATGAGCAAAATACTTCACATCATTTAAGCTATTGCTACAAAATATGTCTGCATAGAAAAAATGTCCAATACTATAGTTTCAATAAAAACAAACTAAACATGAAAAAAGCAAACTACAAACCCATTTTATTACTGCATGACTATAGATTATTACAGCACAGTTATAGCATTAGGTTGTAGATTATTACACATCATCTGGAACATGGAGGGGATGTTGTGGGTGTTTGAAATTTATTCTGAGTTCAACAGGAAACCACCATAAGTCTCCAAGTAGTAGAGAGCAACAATGGTCATAATGGTATCAACTCTGTATTAGGTCTAATAGCCAGATCCTGGTAAATATCTGCCTCATGGAGTTTCTGTAAATGACAAAACTTCAAAAATGCTAGTCTATGCAATCATTATCATCATCACTATAAACATCTGGAAACAGTAAAGCCGAGTGTGTAGATGCACTTGGATATCTATTTTATTATGAAATTCTTACAATTGGGATTTAAGGAAGAGCTTTTGTGAAAAGTTCTGCAGACTGGCATTTCATATTGCATCTTTGCACCACACACCATGATCTACAGAGAGTGGTTACAAGCACTGAGCTTAACATGTTCTGGTACCCTACCCACCTCCCCACTTGGGAACATCCCTGGCTGTACTGTGTGTGAAGGCTGGCATCCAACTAGGTTCCATCTTGGCTTTCCATGTATCCCCTGGGTACTGGAGGGCTGGAGGATATTGATTCAGGAAAACAAGATTCCAGGCTAGAATTCTTAGAATAGTGAAAAGAATTCAGTACTAAGTTCATGACTTTTTCTGTTAATAAAAACTTCTTCGTCTGGCCACTATTTGAAAAACACATAGCAATTAAGCACATTTTAGTTTACCACGTCCATACTTAGAATAACTACAGATAATTCTGAGTCTTAATGGGATCTTTTGCACCACCCCCCACTTTAATCAACAGAGCCAGAAATTATTTGTATATCCTTCTATCTAAAGCACCAAGAATACTTATTCTTGCCTGTGCTGAGACTTCTTGATAGATATTATCACACATGGGGAAATGTGGCATCAACTTCTACAAGAATTCAAGACACTTGAAGAGCGAGTCTCTTAGATAAAACCAGGAAAAAAAAAAAACCTGAGGTTAAAAAAAATTCTAAAACATAGAACTTATTTAATTTAAAAATATTTATAGAAAATTATGACTTAGATGATCTTCTTATAAATAACAATTACATGAAATATCTTCAAACACACCAACTTGTTTTTCTCAGCCTATCCTTTTTTAGAATGTCTAGTGGTAGACATAAAGAGTTGGAAATGGTTTATTATAACAGAAATTTCTGTCTGTTATTACCAAAGAGAAATGTATTGAGCTTAATATGTTAGGTTTGGGAAATCTATTTTCATCTGCTATAACCAAAGGTCTATCATAAGTGTGACATGGTGGACTTCTAGATTCCATCTGCCCTCTGCTCTTGATGCCCTAAGATAGACTTCATGTTTTATATGCTTATTGAGTAAAAACCCAGATTCCAAAATTTAAACTAAACCTCTTAATGTCTGTGAGGAAAATAAAAGTGATAAAAAAGGTAACCTTCAGGAGAACTAAACATGCACATATCTATAAGACATTGAGCTATGCTCACTAAATGTTGCAGACATTATCTCCCATTTAACTCTGCTTCAAACAAGATCTTATCCATTCAAATATCTCTTCACTAATAAGAAGACACGGTCTCCAAAGTGCTTTCTTTTAAGTTTATGAGACAGAAAAGAAATAAATATGTAGAAGTAATATTACTTTTGTGGTGATTATAAAACCTGTCCATTAATTTGTTGACACTTATCAAAAGTAGAGTTTAATTCCCCTCTTCTCAAATATGGAACAGCCTTAATGACTTGACTCTCTAATAAGTAGACAGTGGTGGAAATGATGCTGTTGACTTCCAAGGCTAGGTTAGAAAAGTCTAGTTTATGAAAGCCAGAGTCAATGTAGTGCCTCTTCCCTTCCCCCTCCCCTGTCTCTCCATGCTTGCCCTGGGAACCCAGCCACCATATTGTGAAGAATCCCAGGTACATTGTGAGGAAACACATACAGCTACTCTGGCCACCAAGCCCAGCTAAGGTTCCAGCCACCGGGCAGATCAATCACAAGACTCGTGTGAGAACAAGACTTCAAATGATTCTAGCCCTCCACCCAAAACCTGCCACAGCTAACACTAAGTCAGACAGAAATGCACTATCTCTACCAGGCTTGCCAAAATTGAAGATTTGTAAGCAAAATGAATGTTGTCATCATGTAAACCTCTGTGTTCTGGAGTGGGTTTTAGTGCAGCAATAAATAATGGGAGCAACCCTATAATTGTAACTAGAGCACCTGCACTTTAAGAATCAGCTGTACTTCAAATAACACATTAGCAGAGGAGCATAGAGCTGGTGGTAGGTGCTCCCACCGTGTCTCAGGCTAAGCAGGGGGAATGAGCGGCAGCTCCAGAATTTCGAGCCTATCTAGTTTTGCTCTAGCTTTCCCAGTTTTGCTCATTCAGAAGGTAGATCTCAGTATTTGTCATTAACACTCTTCCTGGTCCTACCCCTTTTCCCATAAGGAAGCCCTAATTCTTTACTTCCCTTTAGGTAATTATAGCTGGACATAACTCTTTTCACTCTGTATATTTGTCCATGATGTTTGCCCTACCTGGGATGCCTTCTCTGTTCTAGCCTTGAAATATCAGTTTTAGAAAAATGTCTTATCTAAGTGAAGCCTGGAGGTCATGAACATACCAGTACAGGGGTTCGCCAGTACAGGGGTTTGCCAGTACAGGGGTTCTCCAGCTCCAAGTAACACAAAACTACCCTGGCTTACTAAAGCAAAAACTAGAAACAGAGAGAAAAGAATTTGTGGTAAGGGTTTAGGATGGATCACAGAATTCAAGGAAAAAGCTAAAGATCTAGTTTTCTCTGAAGAGATAGTAACCAAGACTCTTCCAGGAGTCAAGGTGGTAGAAACCAGTGGACATTTTCTAGGGGAACACCAGCTAGACACAGCCTCATGGCTTTTCAGTCTTTGGATCACTCAGTTCAAGAATTAGCTTCCCAGGAAAAAGCACTTTATTGCCTACTTTGGGCCATGTAACATCTCTTTGTCTAGGGGAAGATGGAGTGTCTTGATTGATCGTCCCACCAAGACTCCATCTCCCTCCAATGGGAGAGGAGTCATTTGCCAAAGTCACATCTACATATTGTCCACCCAGTGTCCACTACAACAGGCGATGCTACCAACAAAGTCATGAGCTCTCATTATTCATCCCTCTAGCTTCTGTCACTTCTCTTTTAGAACACTTCTCACAATGACAAATTATTAAATTTCTGGATAATCATTGCTTAAGATTTGAGTTTCCTATGAAGTCCACGAGAGGAGGGACCAATTCTGTCTAACTTCTCACCATAGTCTCAGCACCTAGTCCAATACTTAGCACCAAGGTGCTCAATAAATATTTGTTGGATATGTGAAAAGGCACTTTATCTTTGTTTTGTTATTATTTGTTGATATATACAGTTTACACCACAGAACAAAGTTTTGGTCAACAACAGACTGCACATATCATGGTGGTCCCATAAGATTATATCTTATTTTGTATTGTACGTTTTCTATGCTTAAACACACAAATACCAACATGTTACAATTGGCTACAGTATTTGTACAGTAACATGCTATACAGGTTTGTAGCCTAGGAGCAACAGGCTGTACCATACAAACCTAAGTGTGTAGTAGGCTCCACCATCTAGATTTACGTAAGTACACTCTATGACATTCACACAATGATGAAATTGCCTAACAACACATTTCTCAGAATGTATTCTTGTCATTAAGTGACACATCACTGTATGTATGTGTGTGTGTATATATATGCACATGCATACATATATAAACATATATATATATATTTACCTCTGTCCCTAGATAGGATAGTAGACTCCTGTGGGTAGAGTCTATTTTCCCTTAATATTCAGTAAATATTGGCTAAGTGTGGATGATGTCCAGAAACATCGAATTCAGAAGCAGTTCAATTAAAAAAACATTTATCTGGCACTTAATATATGCAAGATCTATTGTCTGTCCTCTAGGGGCTAGCTACCCAGCAAGGAGGCAGACAAATGCACGAGTCATGATAATACTAGGCAAACAGTGGAAATGGCTGCAAAAGAGGCTGTAAAAAATGAGAAAGTAGTTGGAAAGCAGCAGAAGGCAAGAGTCATTGTAATGTTGGAAATCAAAAAGCTTAGCCAGAATATTTTGACCACAAGAAAGGGGGAAGAGCAACTGGGGACACACTTAATAGGTGTTAATTTTTGAATAAATTAACCTCTCAATAAATTCATTATAAGCGACTTAGACAGCACGTCAAGATATTAAATGGTTATTTGCACCTGGCCCTTTCACCTAATTGAAACTGAAGTGTTATTAGCTAACAATGTACTGCTCTGATGATTCTGTGGATTTTTTCATAAAGGCTGATAGCTGTTAGGAAAAAAGAAATACATCTCTGGAGGATCAGAAGACCAAAAAATAAGGTGTCCTTCCAAAAGATAGTGTAAAAGTATTGCCATTTTCATGAGCAAATTGTTGTAAAGAAAGTCTTAGAGTGAGGAAGCCTATTTTAATATTTTTAATTAAAAAGGTAAGCTACAATTTTGTTTTAAATTTTTTAATTGACTAATAATAACCATATATATTTATGGAATACACTGTGATGTTTTGTTATATGTATACATTGTGGAATGATTAAATCAAGCAAATGAACACATCCATCATACCACATACTTATTTCTTTGTGGTGCAAACATTTAAAATATACTCTTTTGAGAATTTTGAAATATACAACACATGATTATTAACTATAGTTACCATGCTATTATTAACTATAGTCCCTGAAACATATTCCTCCTAACTGAAACTTTCTACCCTTTGACCGACATCTCCCCTTTCCCCACCCTAATCCCACAACCTGCAAATTCTCAGGGATGTCAAAGACCGTAAAAATTTCAAGGACCCCAAGGAAGGAAGATGTTTGAACCACCATGGAACATATAAGAGAAATCTGTACCAAAAAAAAAAAAAAAATCTTGCCTAGAAAAAGCAATTCTTCTCTTAAGTGCTGACTTTTAGTCAGGACTGATTATGAAAAGAATACACAGCCTGGCATGGCGGCTCACGCTTATGATCCCAGCACTTTGGGAAGGCTGAGGCGGACGGATCACCTGAGGTCAGGAGTTTGAGACCAGCCTGGCCAACATGGCGAAACCCCGTCTCTACCAAAAATACAAAAATTAGCTGGGTTTGGTGGCGGGTGGCTGTAATCCCAGCTACTCAGGAGGCTGAGGCAGGAGAATTGCTTGAACCCAGGAGTTGGAGGCTGCAGTGAACCAAGGTTGCGCCATTGCACTCCAGCCTGGGTGACAGGAGCAAAACTCTGTCTCAAAAAAAAAAAAAAAAAGAATACACTTAACTTTTATAAAAATATGAAAAATTGGAAGATCTAGATGGTGGTTGGAAATGAATGGTGTGGAAAGGCGGGTCAGAGCTGGGTGACAGGCTCAGTAAAGAAGGCTAGACCCAATTCATGCCATAGAATGAAGATGTGGATTTTCATTCCTGTGTACGAGGTAGCCCAACCTTGTATTTGTTTTCCCAACATCATTCTTTCCACGCTGACACTGCTCAGGGGTGCAGCCAAGTGGAGACAGATTTAAGTTTGGTTACCCAATGACAAAACCACAGAGGGAACAGTAGTAACATCTGGGACATCTAAGGGGCGATACAGCTATAAATTCAGTGAGGAAAGTCAAAACTGTCACATTATATGAAGGGGATGGTCATTGCCACTGGCTTAAAAGAGAGTTTGTCTCTTCTACTTAACATTAACACAAACATGTACATTAATTCAATCTGAAACCATGATTTAATATTTTTCAATATCACAATATATTTATTGACATTGATCGACACATGTTAAATGAGTGGTTTTAGAAGTGCCAATGATTTCTAAGAAATGAGCATAGGGCATGAATATGTAATTAAAAATGTGTGGGGTTGCCATGGCAACAACAACAACAACAGAAAGATGTTCTTTTACTGATCCTGATGACTTTGGTGTATATAAGAGGAACTAGGTTTTACGGATCTCAACCAAAATGTGTAAATATTCCCAACAAAGGTTATAACATGTTTCTTCCCAATGATGGCTCCAAATGTCAATTTAAGCTACTTAAATATTCACAGCATGTTCAAACCCTTGGAAGTGTGGCACTGATAGATTTTTTTGAGGTTGCCATCTTATTTTTGGTTTGTTCCTTTTGAAAAATATATGAAAAGGGTTCATTGTTGAAGATCTGAAAATTCCAATTAAACATTGGCTATGAAAATTCCTTAAGGAATGAGGACTCCATGAATTTCTAGTTGAAGGCATGTTCCCATGCCTAACACATAACTAACTTTTTGAGAGAAGCACTTCCATTTAGGGGCAGAAAAGAGCTCTCTGCTGGGACAGAGAAGACCCACAATCTAGTCAAATCCCTTGCTTCCAGAGCAAAGCTTATGCTCTCTACATCTAGCTTGAGTTTTGGCTTTCATGGAGAAAGCTACGTTGAGAAAAGAGATCTTAACGTTCAGAGCCCCTGCTGATCATTAATCTCTGATCCACGCTCCCAAGAGAACCCCCATCAGAATAAGTCACTTCTCAGACCTTGGAAAAATACGCATTGGGCTAAGAAGTGAGGGGAAGGGGCTTTCATTATTAAACACCACCATGTGCAGGCATCTTATTTGCCTTCCTTTACATAATCTTCAACATCCCATCAGATAGGTATTTTAACACTCATGTTTCAGAAGAGGAAACGGAGACATAAGCTCATAGCCTTGTGCCTAGGTCAAGGGTGGTGATTCAAACCCAGGTTACCATCGTTCTGCAGCACCATTTTTCTAAAATCGTCATAACACTTCAATGGAATGTTTCTCTCTCTCTGAAATTTTCTGTAGTTTACCCTGATTAGGTCACAAAAGCATCCTATGAAAGATCTCTGGACATTTAACTAGAGACAAATGCTCTGTTCCCAACATGGGCAACAGTGTGGTCAAGGCAGAGAGATAGAAGTGCTTGGCCTGGAGCTGGCAAATTCCCTTGGAGGGAGGGAGGGACAGCGGATGCCCCTGGGAGGAACTCCACCCAAAGGCAGGCTGCCCCCAGGGTATCTGACCACACCACCAGGGAGAAAGGCATTTGCTGCCGCCCACAGACATCTGGCTTCATAACACTTCTCAAGGCCAACATTATTTTTAAAATCGCTATTATTTGAAAGAATCACACCTTCCAACATTTTAAATTTAGAGAAGAGTGAGATGTGTAACTGCCCTGTTCCATCCTTGCTCACCACCTCACTTATGTACTCTCCATAAGATGAAGAGAGTGAACTATTGTCCCCTGTAGAACCTCCATTTATGAGTCTGAATTCTTTCCTGAATGAACTTGAAGAGAAAGCAAAGACTGAAGAAGGGGTGTTGCCATTAGGAAGCAAAGATCCCCAGAACCTTTCTTTGATCAGGAGGACCCTTGGGGGCTCATGTTTCCTTATGGAGAAGCATGGTTACTTCCAAAGGCCACAATTTTTGTTGGTTTTATGGTATCTGCTGCCCAAAATTAATCAGATTCTTTCTAAACATAGCAAGTACATTTTCAACTCTTAACAACGTGTGATATTCATTGAGCTCTGGTTACATTCCAGGTACTCTATAGGCTTTTACATGTGTCATTTCACTTCAAGCTCAAGATTGCCCTGTGGCGTACCAGCAATACCTCCATGCAGAGATGGGGAAGCTGAAGCTTCAACATGTTATTACCTTACCCAGCCAGTGAAAAAGTGGTAGAGCCGGACTCAAGCCCACACAACCTGACTCCAGAGCCTTGAAGCACTACTTTATAGTATAAGACAATGGCCAGGTGCAGTGGCTCATGCCTGTAATCCCAACAGTTTGAGAGACCAAGGTAGCAGGATAGCTTGAGGCCAGGAGTTCAAGACCAGCCTAAGCAACAAAGTGAGACCCCCCCTCTCTTGCAAATTAAAAAAAAAAAAATTAGCTGAGTGTGATGGTACACGCCTGTAGTACCAGCTACTCAGGAGGCTGAGGTGGGAGGATCGCTTGAGCCCAGGAGATTGAGGCTGCAGCCATGATCATACCACCGTACTCCAGCCTGGGTGATAGAGCAAGACCTTGTCTCAGAAAAATAATAAAAATAAAATAAATAAATGAATGAATAAATAAATAAAATGTATTGGCTTCTGAGAGAACACATGTAAAAACGTAAGTAAATAAAAATAAAAAAATAAAAAATATATAAGACAAACAAGAATTTTGGGAGGAGAATAAAGGCAGAAAAGACAGGCAGGAAGAAATAATCTAATTCATCCTCCTTTTGGACATGATTAAGAGACAATCCCTAAAGAAGAGCAATTGTGTTCCACGGCATATGCACCAAACCCTGTGACGAAAACATTGCTAATGTCATTTGTCACAAACCGCTTAATACTCCTTTCTTCTTCCCTACTTTTTGGAGATAATAGTTTTTTTCTCAAATGAGGTTTCTAACCAACAAACAACTCTTGAAAAGTATGGTTTCGAAGGCTTAAAATTGCCTAAAAAGCTACCAGAAATGATCAAGTAAAATAGAATGTCAATGTATGATGCTGATTGTGGGCTATTTCAGGGTGGGGTCCCCATGTCTTGTTCAGTTTTGCATCTTCAGTATACCTTTCAGTGGGTGAGCTAGGTGATCAATTCTATGTGGTGTCTTCTCTACTGAGTCCTCAGGACACAGCACAGCCCCTACCACAGAGCAGGTGCTCAACAAACATTTATTGAATGGATCAATTCACTGTTCCATGTTGAATACATAAACTGTATTGAATAGAAAAAACTCATTTAATAAATAGGGCAAATTATGGGTTTTCACTTCTATTCTACACTGTAACTACACAGTATATATGTACCTCTCCTTTGTTTTGAAAGTGGCACAAAAGTGAGAAATCCAGTTTCAAAACACTTCACAGCAAAGGAGAAAAACATAAGAAGTGGAGACAACAGAGAGTTGATGAAAATTCCTAGGAAAAGTAATTTCAAAGATTCAATATAGAAATGATCCCAGGATATCATGGTTTTATTTTCATCAATTGTTTTATTTTGAGAGGAAAAGATTGTTCTTCTAACTTCTATAAACATGCCCCTACCAAAATAGAATGTTTCTTTGTATGGCTTTGTGACTGTCAGAGAGCAAAGAAGGAAATGTGATGAATTTTGACAGAGAATAATAATAATAATAATAACCCTTTTATTTATTCTTTAGTACCCTCTCTGGAAAAGGGCATATATACTAAGAATGGCATAAAATGACAAATATAATGACACTGTAATTTCAAAGAGTGCAAAATGTTAAAAACTTGATAACCATTGTAAAACAGCTTCATAATTAAATTTATATTGAAAATGTCATCACTTTTTATCTATATATTAAAGATATGAAATCAATTTTTAAAGTATTTAAAAAATAATTCCACATATATATTTGTTTCACCTGATATGCACAGTTGTGCAATTTTGCTTTTATGTTGCATGAAGTATTTCATTATATAAGCTAATTTCAAATATTGTTAAACTAAAAGCTTTACATTATTTTTATGTTCACTTGCTAAACGTTCAAACATAGCCACATTAAAACAAACCATTTCGGCTTTCAGCCATCTATTTTTAAATTTTAAGTCATTTTTTTTTTCTAGGCTGCAAAAGTGTATTACCAAATAAACTGACAAAACATCTCAGCAACTAACGTAAATGTGCAATTTTAATGCCTTCTAATCACACAAATCAATATGAGATTTTTGTACTTGTGCATGACCTTCTTCAAATTATGCCCCCATTTTGGCTGAATCAGAACGAGTGTGGGCCATTTGATAAAAAACCCTAAGTGTGTGAAATAAGAGCCCTCGCTTCTTCTGCCAGACTCCTCTTGACAGAAAGATGATAGAAGCATCACATCCCTGGGAGAGTAAATGCAAACTGACAAGAGATGAGCCTTTAGATGTTGAATATAATCTTGAATTGTGCTTGAAGTGTCTTATTATCTTGTCTTTTGATGTCTGAAGGGGTGGCTCATTGTTAGAAAAAGGAAAACCCTCGTGCATCTTTGCCATCTTTAAAAATTGTTTGGCCTTTAACAACTGCTTTTCCAACTAATGTCCATTTCTCCTGACAATAAATATGGCAGGTCGTCGGCAAGTGACAAACAATTTACTTTACATGCCACACTTTTATGGGTTTTGAGAGCTCATGTGGAAGTATTTTAAAAAGCCCATAGAAATTAGCAGTATTACAAATGTTAAGAGGACTGAGCTCTCCGTGCAGATACTGATGTGAAGTTACTCATCGTGGTTATTTCCTGCTGTTTCTGGTTCTATATCTCACTGGTGCCAGATTCAAAATTCAAGTTCTTTATTTATCATTGACTAAAAATAGCCAGAGAAAATGAAAGAGCAACAATCAGTTCTGACAGATTCCATAAAGGAAATGCATGAATACAGATTTCCAACACACATTGCAATATTCAGAATGGTATATTAAAAAATGCTTATTTCTAAGTAGGAGATCAAGATCAACAATGGGCTTGCTGCATTTTGCCTTTTATCTAAGAATCTTCGGCACGTTTTAATTTTTGCTGCCACTTTGGGTACCCCTTACCCTTTGCATCTACCATTTGTTTTGTGGTTCTTGTTTTAACTTAAAAGTTTAATGATGTTCCTGGTCAACAGGATTTCTTAGCGGCTAAATCACAGTCCTGCTAGTTTTCTGTCACCCAGCCAGATTTTGTGAAAGCTTTCAAGATCTTTTCTCAGACCTCTGTCACTCTAAGAATCCATAAGAATTCTCAAAAGGACCATAAACCGTTACAGGGTTCAGGTTATTGTATCATTATAAAAACATATTGATACTCTACAGATGACAAGACGTGTAGCCACCATTCTAGGCTACTGCAACCACCTCGATGCCATCAGCAATCTCCAATGTGACCAGCTCTTTTTTTGTAAGCAGGCAGCTGTAGACATTAATTCCTTTTAGAACACGAGGCATAATTTTTAACACTTTTCTGATGGCCTGCAGATTCCAGTTGGCTTGTTAGAAAATTACTAGGAGTACAGGATATAATTAATGGGAGAAGTAAATATTCAAACTAGAGCAAAGAAATCAACTAGGCTACCTGAAAATTGGAGCAATTTCTTGGGTAAGGCTTAAGACTAAAACCTGCCTTCATCTTAGGAATCAGAATAAAATGAGCCAATCAACACTTAAAACAGTGACATATGTTCCTTCCAAAAGTTTGTGAAAGTTTTCCCTCATAACTGAGAGGATCCTTGTTCTGGATATTTACCCATTCATAGATTATAGAATAGTGTATGGATTTAATTAAATGGATCCGTTGAAATAGGAGTTTCATGCAATATTTTTTGCATGCTTCTCCTTTTGCAAATAGCAAGCGTCCTTTCTGACACATTTCTATTTTGCAATATTTTGGGAAATGATGTAGGTATATTGAAAAAAATGCCAGTTTTGATGAAGTGCATTTCACTCCCCACATGACTTCCATGTGTATACATTTTTAAATACAGGAACATGTGGGTTTCCATTTGACTTTTTATTCTCCTTTACCCTGGGTCAATTTGAGCAAAAAGTCATGTGCAATAATAATTTTTCATGCTTTTAAAACAGCTTCAAATATTTGCATTTTTAAATCATATTAACCCCTTAGCTTCTCTTCTGCTTTGAGAGTGATGATTCCCTCCTGCAGGAAGTCACCCCAAATCATTAATTTGTAAAAATAAATCTTGCCATATTGGTATTAAAAGACAAATCACCACATATGTGGTCATGAAGAACTGCAAAAGGAGATTAATAATACCACATTAATAGTAAATGTTTAAAATATGATTTCTTTATTGTACACCAATCACTCACTCTACCTTGATATATAGGCGCATATAATCCTTACAGGAATGTGTAACAAAAAATTGTGCTTAATAACTATTGAATAAAATGCCTTTGACTTAAAAAAAGAAAAGGATAAATATTTATATTGTGATATATGTCTATCCCAGAAATAGACAAATATTTAGATTCCCAATATTTAGATCCCAAGAGTCTTCCCTAGCTTGGGTAAGTTGGTATGCTTTAAAAATACATATATTTTCTATAAGTCAAGTTGTCCAAAAACCCCAGATTTCTTTACTGAATTAAACTGCGCAAATCCTGAGGAATCTTCTTGTCTCCCGTGCTCAGTAAATAGCAGCATCGAAGAAGACACTGGAACTTGGATTCTAGCCCAAGTATAGCTGAAGCAATACTACAGTATAACTAGTTTCCCTTTTTTGGTAAGCTATTAATTTTGATAAATTTATCAGGGAACTATTTTTTAAATATACAGGAGAAGTACATTTGAATGATGGATGGATAGCATGAACTAAAAGAAAGCTTATTATTATAAATAAGTCTTTGTTAGTTTTATAATAGAGAAAATACATACATACTACAGATTCAGTAAGACAATTTGAAGCATTATATGTGCATGAAGAAAATATGGAGAAAAGCAGACCATAGACACACACAAATATTTTATACAGATAGCATTACACTTTTTTCACTGTGCACTCACAGTGCCTAAGAAAGAAAATATAGGGAAACAAAAATAAAGTATGGAAGTGGTAAGGAAATGGATAAATTTGCATTGCTATTTTAAAACACTGTGTTAATATCAGTCTTTAAATATGAATTTCTTGGCTTTCACAAACTTCTGTCATAATTATGCTTTTTTTCTCATTAATAGGATGAAATTAAAGAAATACAAAATATTTGGAAGGTACATCAGTCAATCCCAAGAAACACTAATTATTTTACAGGAAAAGATGAAACACTAAGAAAACTACTTAATGCCAAACAATATATGGCAGGATACACGTATTCATTAAATTGTGAAACTGTTTCATGTTGGCTATCATTGGGACATCATAAGTATCCTAAAAATACCTTCATATTCTACTTCATTTGTGAGCTAAACTAACAGGTTTTATTTTGGTTATTTACTAAGAACATTTTTAACCATCTTAATGAATGCAGATTTCATTATACAGTCCCATTTTCAAATGGTCTTTTGTATAGAAAATCTCTGAAGCATTTAGTTCATGTATAATTATATTACTTAGTTTCTCTAATTATAATCTGATCATTTTCCCCTTATATTTTCAAATAGTTTTAATGGCAGTGTGGTCCTCCAATAATAGTGACTTGCTTTGACTATTAGTTATATTGTTCCAGGTAGCTAATTTTTTAATTTAAAAAAAATCACAATATATTCTTGTTACATATAAGACCTTAAAATCACTTAAGAAGGAAAAACTATAAGAGAAGTTTGGGCATGGATTTTCTTTTCCATCCTCAAATAAAATATAGACATTCATATAACATACTAGGAAATTTTTTAAAGTGGAAGCTAATTATTAAGAAGCGATCTTGGGGGTATGCATCTTGGTTAGGTAGTTTTAAAAAATTATCCTGGAATACTTATAAAACAAAGTTAATTTCCATTTCTCTGCGAATGACAAACTTTCTTTAGCCTCAAGAGATCTAATGTTATTCTTTCTGACCTCTGCATTCACACTAAAAGGGCTTAATCCATTTTTGATAGCTCATAAAGTGTCACAGCACAGAGTAGGAGATGTCTCCAAACAAGTCCACCCTTGTTTCCTTTTTATGAAATCTGACTTTGACAATCAGGAGGTGAAAGTTTACATTGAAAAGATTAAGAATCAGATCAACATGTTTAATAATCGACTTCATCAGAAGCCCCCATATTGTCAAAGCACAGATACTCCTTTATGAATAAATATTACTTGAAGGTATTCCCAAAGAAAAGCCCAGTGTTGATAGATTTAGAAGCTCATTCAGAGTCATAGCATGACAAAGTATATGTTCAACTACAAAATACCATATAAAAAATTAAAACAAATTATGCTTACTTGTTTCTCAAAGAAAAGACATTTGAAATTTAAAAAGATAAACATTTAAAAAGTAAGACTGAAATGGCATGAATAAAAGAAAAGCTGAACAAAAACACCAGCTAAGTACAGAACCCAGGAAGACAACAAACAAGAAAATTCCAGAGCCAGGCTGGATATTAAAGAGAAACCCATCCGCTGGAGAATGGCAACTGTTACTATGAGCTTTCTCTAGCTACCTCTGCCTTTGGATATTTTTTAAAAATTTATTAACCTGACAGCGGGAAACTTTATACAGATTGCCCCCTGACAGGGTGCCAGTTTGGTATAAACACTTTGCTATCTTTTTCTTTAGCATAAAAAATCAAGAAACATGTTAAATGGAGCCAGGTGCATATTTGGGCAAATGTGCCTGCTTCTCCGATTGCCTCTGCATTCCCAGGGAAGGCCTGAATAATCAGGGCAGCCCAGTAGCAGAACTGAACCTTCTACCCTTCCTCTTCACATTTACTTTCTCTTTAATGTGTGAATGTCTGATGTATTATTAATCCCCAAATATAAACCAGCAAGGTCGTCAATCAAAGAAAGTGCCAGTTCTCTCACAAATTAACTGTTGGCTGTCTCATAACAAACAAGGTCCACTTGAAACGGTCAAGTGAAATCTCAACGTTGAAGTGGGAGAAAAACGTATTTGGTCAATTCTTGAGAAGGGGAATGCTAGCTGTATAATTAAAGCAGGTAATTAAGAGCGAAAGCAATCTTCTTAAGGGCTGAGCCTTGGGAGCTTGAATCTGGAATGCACCTCTATTTATTAATTATGACATAAACTGGGCTGGGTGAACTACAAAAACACTGTAATACCATGTAACCTTTAAGTCAGAAACATCCAAGACATTCAAGAGACTAAAATGGGATCATTTAAAGGAGGGATGATGTACAGATTAATCTCATTTCTAATACCTTATTTCCTGTTGTTTTTAGGACCGTTTAATGACAACAACAAAATATAAGAATTACAGTAATCAAAATAAAAGGGGAGAAAAAAGTAAAACCATATCAGTATTTTGACTTGCTAATGTGCTACCATGGAGTATCCTTGGACACTGCAATATTGAACTTCCTGCTTTAAACAGAGGCCTGGCCTGAGCACCCCAGGCATAGCAAAGAGCTAGCAAAGGCAGGCACAAGGGAAGGTCCCCACTGACGATTCTGACACATATTGTGCACTGTCCCCCATTGAAGTGCACTTAGAAATGAGCAGCTCCACAAACAAATATGGTGAAAAGTTTGAACACCAGTGCCTCTCTCTATGGATTTATTTTTATTTCAAAGCTTACAAATGAATGTTATTTAAAGTGGATTTATTTATCAATGCAGCATTACGGTGGTTTTTCTGGGGCGGGGCGGGGAATCTACTAAACTAAAATTGTCCAAATGCACACAGCCTCTCACTGATTTTTTTAAAAATACCCCAGTGCATTAGATTTTCTTAAATGGAAGAACTGTATCCAAATGTGCATTTTTTTTTTCACTCAAGTAGTCAGCAGCATGACAAGGGTTTGTTTGACTATTAAACCATAACTGATTTTTGACAAATACCTTATGCATCTCACTTACTTCCACAAATACAGGTTTCTACAGATTTCTTTTAAATAACAGTTTTTGCATAAATCTATTACCAAATTATTTAGTTGATTTAAAAAATACACTTTTAATATTTCTTTAGCAAAACTTTCTTTGGTGAAAAGGGGTATAAATTTTCAATTGATATAGAAACTTTTAAAAATATAGAAGCATGATACATATTTTAAATAAATACATTTCTCTAGGGAATTTACCTCATCACCTCCAAGCTAAATCCCTCTTGGGTTTAAGCTCTTGGTACTGATTACTGGCTCCAGAATAGTTAATCAGAATATTATAAATACCCAAGGTACTGAAGCCTGGAGAGAGACGTTTAAATAAAGTAATGAAGACAGTGATCCCATAATGAAGGCCTCCACTGATGCATGGGCATGAGGCAGCCTCACCCCCAAGTGCAGTCCCCATAATGCCCTGCAATGACCTCCACGCTGACCTGCAGAGACCACTGTCTCAAGGGGTGACAATTTAGTTCTTTATCCTTTTGTCATTGAAAGCGACTCTACTGCCATAAATTCTAATCAAGTCAAACTGGATGGCAATTTGAAAGAAAAAAATCTTATAATGCATGTTTCTGTGAGAAAGATCACAGAAAGGAAAAGAAATACACAATATAGTACATTCTATAGCATGGAGGAATCCCTGAGCCAACTTTAAGGCCTTTTTCAACAGCTCACAGATAAATGGCATTGAAAATACCCACTCTTACAAGTATCATTGCATGCAATTTCTTTTATCCTAGGAAAGCACAATATCAGAAGAGAAAATCAACCACAAATTTTTTACTTTGGATGCAATGCTTATACGTGGTTTTGCAGTTCCATCTCAGCTCAAGGCTCTTAGCTGTGTGCCCAATTCATGCACAATGTAGTACAACTGAGAAGCCGGCCACCGAGACTAACACAGCCACCCAAGATAGCTGGGACTTAAAGGAAGGAAATCATGAGGTTTAACTTCAAACAATAAACATTTTCCCAGGAGAAACACTGTTAATAAATCATCTTTCAAATCTCAAATATATATGGGAGAAAATATTTAGGGCATGTTTTATGAGATCTCACTTCTTCGGCTGAGAGTGCATGGGAAAACTTTAGCACACATATTTTTTCCAAGGATATATATTACTTTTATCCTTTCTGTGATCATTTTCCCGACCAAGTTGTTGATGCTACCATTTGAATTTTAGCATCCAACTTGACTGAATGTGGAACACTGAATTCTTGATGGGCATAACTAAAAGTGAAGCACCACACTGACACGAGTACTATAAATGTCACTAGAGAAACACAGCAACCTCTTCCCTTTAAGATTGTTTGCCAAAGGCCAGTTTTGAGAATGGTTTCCAATATGTACATCACTAGTCACATATTAAATGACTGGCTCTATGTAGCATCACTCATCTGATCACACAGCTAAAGCCCTGTGAGACACAGCGCCAGATTCTCTGATAATCCCCCACCCCCAACCACATGCAAGCCTGTTCTCCTCTATACTGTTTCTTACAGCTCAGAGCTTAGCATAATACAGTCATGAACTGAAAAAGGAGATAGTTATCCTACAGGCTTTAGAAGAATAAATAATGCATCACTTAATGATATCACAGAGAACTACCTAACCACATGTTTCTCAGTGAAATGTGGATTCATCTCTCCTAAGTGTACTTTAGTTTCCATGGCTGTTCAAGTTAAGCAAAACGTTACCACTGATGTAATTACTTTATAAAACACAAGGGCCCTTTTCTGAACTTTCTACTTAGGCTGGCATATGGCTTCTCCTTTCTCCTTCTGGTATTCTGAGCTGCTCAGAGCACTGAAACATTCTGCACAGTATGTTTCCCTTTGGATGCTGTTAAGTGCAGAGGTGCAATTTAAGGAGAGGCATAAAAGGCCCAGTGGTTCCTGGAATTTCCTTTGTTTATCCATAGAGGGCATCAGTATTAGCCCTTCTCCTGCAGTTTTGGGCTGAAGGTACCATACTGTGAGGGAAACAGACTTGTCCTCTGGACTGCTAATTTGAACAGTACACAGATGGGAGAAGAGGCTTCAAAGAAATCCATTTATACTGAAATTTCAGGTACAATAAAAAAACCCTGAGCTCTGCTTGTCTCCTGTTGTTGGTTAATGTCTCTCCATGAAACTAAACATATCAAGATGCACATGATTTGTCATAATCTGGCCATCTCATTAGAGAAGCCCAATTTTCAATAATACGGTGTATATATAGAAGAATGACAGTTTGAGAAAGAAAGTATGTTAGAAAATTATTGTTTAGATAAAAACATAGATGCTGTCAACTACTCAGGAAGAATGCAATTCTTCATTATCAAGTAAAGGGTACAATCAGGACTACATCTAAAAACAAAAAACAGACTTGAACATATGCATATCAAAGAAAATCATAGTTCCTTAAATTGTGTCACCAAAGTTGCTAAAAATTCTGGGACAGAATTATTCTGGAAAGTTTTAGTCAGTTACGTAAACTAGAATTGCTAAGGCCAAGTCCCAGTAATATTAAAAAGTAAGAGCAAAACAGGCCCCTGCAAAGGAAACCTTATGAGAATATTAGAGTGTCTTCCTCCTGATCCTTTCTATTCTTTCTTTCTCATATTGTCTCTAATTTTTTCTCAAGTTCTCAAAACTGTTAATCTACTGCTTTCTTCTTGATCTAATTGGAAACTGGGAAATTCTCACATTGTGTTTGAAAAACAGTCTAGAGACCAAAGACAATTAAGTGAATTCAAAAGGAATGTAAGATGTAGGTTTTGCTGTGTTCTCTCACACAAACTCAGAAGTTGAGAATTTCAAAATGAAAAGTGGATTCCTTCTAAAATCCATTATGATTTTAACATTAAACTACAAATCCTTAGTAAATGCCATTAAACTTTTAATTCAAATCTCTTTGACCCTCTTGGAATTTTGAAGCTTTTTTCTCTACACATGCAAATCAGTAAGACGTAGCATAACAAATCTATAACAGTGTTCAACACTGGGAACCCTAAACAAATGAAAAAAATCAATCACCCCTCTTTTGGATTACTTGAAAGAAAACAAGTTAGAGGTCCAAGCTCAAGTCTACAAAATCCATTTGCTTTTATTTTAAATGCATGCAAAGTTTAGGAACAAAAATGTATTATCTGTAGCTTGTTGAACTCAAAATTGATTACTTTTTAAAAGTCAAAGTGCTTACTTAGCATACTCAACATTAGAGGGGCATGGGCATGGCTTTTACCTTTCTGTAATTTATCATTTTATCTGACTTTTCTCACTACCCTCCTAAAATTGAAGTAAAGGTTTTAGTACATAATTCTTCCTATATGGATAAAAACTTACACTATAAAAAATATTTCTTTAGGGTGAAAATGCTAAAACTCTAATGTGCAGGTTTGGAAATTCATGTCAGAGGTGGCATTGCTGCTTTTCAAAGAAGGGATGCTACCAAAATTTCTTGAAATTGGAATCTAGTATATTGTTAAGCATAAAACAGTATTGTACCCAGAGAAGATCTGAAAAGCAGAGTTTCTCTGTGACATCTCTCTAATGTTTGATTGAGTAAGCATTTAAAATTAGGGAAAAGATTGTCGGTTGAAGCACGCTAGCCTAGAGTTGCCAAACTCTCAGGGCAGCTTGCTTTCTGTCGGTTAAAATAAATAAATAAATAAATAAATAAATAAATAAATAAATTAATTAATTAATTAATAAAGCCTGTGTTTCAAGCCGAATTGCTGACTTTCTTAACAAAGTAGTAGTCTATGTAATGATTTTTTTTTTTTTTTTGAAGTTCAGGTGCTTGACTGTTTCTTACCTGAGACCAAGCAGTACTCTGCCTGATATATATATGTCAGGTTAGTATGTATATATATGTCTATGTGTGTGTGCACACACACGCACTTGAAAATAATTAAAAGCAAACGTTTCAGGAGCAATTGTTCTGAAAACCTAACGTCACTCTGTACCCTAAAGTGCTTCTCCAGCAGAGACATCCATTAACATCTATCACTCAGGCACGCGCCTCAACAACCCGCTCCCCTTTCTGATTAGAGATCACAGTTGCATGAGTTGGCTTACAGAGTGTCATCTGTTTGAATGACAGATGTCTTTGCTGGAGTGGCACTCTGCTTGTTCTTGTTTTGTTTATGAAACAAAGATTCCTAAAAGGTCTTGGGCTGCCTCTACTTTTAGTTATGATGCTATAAACACAATGTGGAAAAGGAGAGGGGTAGAGGAGGGAATCAGAGAACCTGTTTTCTTTCCTCATCACCTTTTTAAAAAAAGAAGAAATATTCATTCTGATTGTGATGACACAATGTTATTTCTCAGAGCAATTCCTGTGTCCACCTTTGTTTACCTGGCATAGCACGACTTGTATTGATATTTTTCAGTTCTCCTCTCCCATCTTTAGACGATAGATAATGTCTTTACTCACCTTCCCCTTAACAAAAGGCTGCGAAGCAACCTGAAACCGAGTCGATATTTACTCAATAAATGTTAACCAATTCTCACAATGGAACCGATTTCCTGATTATTATTACCACTTTCTATTTTTTTCCAAACAATTTCCAGCCTGGGGACTCTAGCAATATTTGACAAGTCAAAATGGGCAGCGAATAAGTTCCTTGTTGGTAAAAGTTTGGAGGACATCCTCCTAGCCGGCTGGAATCAGCTTCAGTGGCTTAGCACCTCCAAGATGCTCCTTTTTAGTACTTACGGGAAAACTGAATGAACAACAGAAAAAAAGGGGGGGTTGGGGGGGTTGGATTGCTCTTCCGGACAACATGGTAGTACTGAAATGAAATACCTAGACAGACTTACCGAAGAGCTTGCTGGGAGTGTCCTCGCTGTCATTTGATTCCACAGGCGCAAGCAGGGGCTCATTCAGCTCGCTGTCTGAAGTAGCAGCCTTGTCCTCACCTCTCAACTCCGCATTCATTTCACTCCGCACTGACAGCAAGGGCTTACTGACTTGTCCAGCTATCATTGGATCCTAGGATGGGCGAAAAGAGTGAAGGGGAGGAAAAAAAAAGTGGCAGATTTAGAGTGCGTGTCCTCTCTCTCCCTCTCCCTCTCTCTTCTCTCTCTCTCTTCCACACACACTCTCCCTCTCTCCTCTCTCTCTTATCTCTGGCTGCTCCCGCTGTTATTGCTGGCTGCAGTCAAGTGAAGAGCTATTACAGATCCGATGAGTTCTCCATTACTCCCCACCCTATTAAAGCTCAACTAGCATGTGAGAGATTCAGGAGGCTTCGGAGGAAAAAAAAAAAAAAAACTTCTTTGAAAGCAACCTAACCAACACAGCTTTAATTGTGGGATATGCTTTTGTGCGAATGTTTTTACACCTTGTTCTGTCTTTAATGCAGTAAGAAAAAAGAAAGTGCTGGGTTTGTACTTCAGCAACATACTAAAAAGGAAGAGCACCCTATGGAGGAACCACGGGCTATTTTAAGAAGCCTTCTCCCCGGGGGAGAAGCAATTAAACCCTATCCCAAGAGCAGAGAAAAAAGATAGGGAGAAAAGAGACCTCGAAAGGCTTTCAATGGAATAAAAGATATTTCTTATGTAAATTCTATAAGCACCCTTAGAAGTTGGCTTCACTGGTCCCAGATTGGGAACCGGAGCTGACCCCAAATCAAATGAACATTTTAAAGCAAATAATACACAACACAATACACGAAAATTGATTTAAATTTTTTTTAAGGAATTGGGAAAATACTTACAAACTGTGTTCAATAATTCGGATACCTAGAGCATCGTACACCCAGAGCATTAAAGAAAAAGAAAACAAAAATCGCCTTCAGAAAAGACAAACTTTCCCCCCTAATTATTTAGATCTGCTTTATCTTCAGCTCATTAAGGAGGGCATTTTAGGATCAGAAATATTTTCCAAGTGTAGTCTTTTATTCCATTTGCAAACTGAGATGCATAATATTGTTTTGGCACAATATCGGATGCAGAAGGAAAGGAGAGCAAGAAGTGCCCTTTTTGCGAGATCTGGGAGCTATTTATTGCCAAGTTCATGCCTAAATGGTTCCTGAGCAGGAAACAGGTGACCAGCACAGAAGCAGGTGGGGCGGCATGCTCCCGGGTCCCACCATTGCATTGGTTGCGGTATGCCTGTGTTTTATTTTTTTTTAATGTATTCATGCTTGAAAAGTGAATTTGATATGACACATGATAATCTATGAAAATGTTAATCAATACAAATAGTTTAAGCTGTCATCAAATGCACTTCTTTAGTCAATACTCATACCATTGAAAACAATGTCACTGTCACCAGGGCTTAATTTACACAGCACTTAAATATTGGACTCTGTGCATCAATGCACTTCTTCTTCAAATACTGTAGGTAAACACATTTTCTCCCTATTTAAGGCTGAAGCACTCAGCACGCATTTAGCTGAGCCGAATCCTCCCTTTTGAATACCTTGATAGGTCCACTGGAGGGCAAAATTAATACTTAATTGAATCTCACAGTCATCAAAATAATCAATACTTTTTTATTATTTATTCTTTACAGTCTGTTGACTGTTTCAAACCTCTGAGGGAATGGTGGAAAGGATTCATGGCTTTGAAACACTGTCATTTAACAAGGTAATTTTCAGTGGGGCATTAGGGGTTGTGAAACATATAATAAAACAAAAATGGTGGCTTATAATAGGAAGAAAGAAAAGAATTATATTTCTGCCATCTAACAAAACAGGATAAATAAAAAAGCAAGTGCAGAGAGAGACAGCGAGAAAGGAGGGGGATGAGGGAGAGAGAAAGACTGGCTTTTGAAGGGTTTTATCATATCAAGAGCAGAGCCGAGCTTTCATAATGCTGACATTTCTCATCCTGACAATCCTAAACAAGTGGAAAGGATGAGATCGCAGATATCATCTTTCATCACATTCCCCAGCTTAAGAACCAACATGACAGCTCCTTTCCCCTTTACACTGTTAATTACTAAATAAAATACTACTCTCTGTCAGCACCAGATTATTGCAGATAGCAACCACAAACATTTCTCCATTGTTTTCCCCCCTCAGAAATGGTGATACCTACCTTGAACTCTTTAGAAAAGAAATTAGACTTGTCTCACCATATTGTAAATATTTGAAATATAATCAATGTAATCAATGCGGTCGATTCACAGTATTGTCAGCTTGAATTTGCTAGTGATAGATTTGCATTTTGTTTACTGGGTCTTGTTGCTGGGATTTGGAGCGCTTGAAACTTGGGGTAGATGGGGGAGGCAGGCAGAAGGGAAAAGAGACACACAATTCTCAAGATTTCTCTGGATCTCTTTCCTAAATATCTAAGAAAGCATGCATGTTCGAGTTCTGATTCAGTTGGTGGGTGGGTGGGTAGGGAAGGGAACAACGCTCATTGGTTGACCTCGTGGCATTCCTAAGTATACTCGTCATGTGATGTCAAGATCCCAGGCTTACATTCTAGTCCACTCTTTTTACTTTTTAAAAGGTTGAATCCTCAGTCTCTCTAATCTAGAGGAAGGGGTGTGACCTATACCTTTAAGACACCCAGTCTCTGTCACTGTACTGCTCATCTGAGCATTTTTTAAGATAATGTTAATGATAAACTTATGTTGAGAATAGCAGTCTTATGATAAAACAGACATGATTATTAATGTGCCAGTGAATATCTGGGTAAACTTAAGAAAGAATATTCTACTCTTGCCTTATTTGTGAAGGGTCAAACTGAATCCCGAATCACACTGACGAGCTGAAATGCAGCTGCTGAGTTCAAGTGTACTTAAATCTTTAAGATGTTCTGTCTGGCTGATGTGTGCAAAACATGCACTGGCAGATGGTATATGTTCACTGACCATTAGCTCTTCTTCCTTAAATTACTTTTATGTACCTCATACATGGCTAGGTTCCCAACTAGTGCCTCTCACCAACTTGAGCTTTGAAAATCCAAGAGTTTGTCATTCAAGTACTCATTTAATTTTTTTTGTCTTACAAAACACTTTACGTTTTCCATAATGCAGCTCTAGCCCATATATATATTTGTGTGTGTGTGTGTGTGTGTGTGTGTGTGTGTGTGTGTGTGCATGACATGGTTAAACAGCAAACCCCTAGTGAGGCAGAGAGCAGACAGCTTTTAATCACAGCTGCAGCCACTGGGGGGTCCATTTGAAAATGTGTCACAAGCAGTAACCAGTGAGTACAGACTTATAAGTGATGGGGGAGTGCCTCTTTCAAGTAGCACTCGGCTTGGAAGTCATTCTCTCTCTGCCAAGAGCCATAGCAGTCTGTGAAATCCTTTCTGTCGTAGTGAAGAGAGGATTTTCCAACATGCATCTACGTAGGTGCTTGTAGAAATGTAAGAGACCTGCAACTTCAACCTGTACAAGGATCTCTGCAGCGGTAAACAGGAACAGAAGTAGCTAGTGCAGGTGAGAAGTAAAATAGAGCTGATGAAGTTTCTTACTTGAAACTCTGAAATTGTTACTATCACAATAGAAGATGTTGAGACTTCTTTGCAATTCATTTATCAATCCCGACAGAAGAAAGTGACTAGTCCACCATGGAACAGTATTGCATGTGTGCAATAGGATGTGGCATGTGCCAATACAGGACACTCACGGGGCCATCAGAGACCCAAGAACCAGACGGTGGAAAAAGGAGAAGCAGAAGTAGTTTCTATTAGCAAAATCACAACAAAAATTTTCACCGTGTCCTACAAAGAGAGGATTGCAATCTCCATCAGAAACTACACAGTGATTATCTGTCTCCTTCAAGCATTATGAAGGAATAAATATAGGTCCCACTTATTGAATGCCTTTACCAGACAGTCTCCTCAGATGGATCTAATGTTACCCCAGCTATGCAAGGTATTAGCCCCATTGTATGGGTAAGAGACGGAGGCTCAGTGGGCTAAATTTCTTGCCCCAAAGGCACGCAGCTAAGTGGTAAAGCTGCATTTTCAAACCTGGCCAATTCATCTCCAAAAGTCAGCACCTTTTTTACCCAGTAGGCGTTGAGTGAAAAATTCAAGGCTTATGGACTTAGTAATTCATGGGGTATCCCAGATTTTGGATGATGAGCCAGAGCCAGTGGCTGTGAAGGGTGTTAAAGCCTGGATAACCTAGTCCCAGACATACTGTGTGTAGTATTATCTTCCCTACAGAATGTAGGAACAAAACAGCTCTCTGGCTGACATTGCTTGAATGAAGTCTATGGGGCAATATGGTATAGTAGACAGGACATCAGATAGTGTTCAATACCCAGGCTTGCATTCAGCTTCACCCTCTAGATAAACATGGCAAGCCACTTAACCACCTTTGGCCTTGGTTTTCTTGTCTAGAAAATGAAAAGGCTATAATAAAACAATATTTCCCAAAGTACATTCCACAAAACACTTGCCCCAAAAGATACTCTACAATGAAAGAGTTCTGCAGTCATACCCATGTGGAAAACTCAGCAGGGAAGTCTACCAGGAAAGAAGTCGATCTAACTTTCTTATTCTAGCACTTTCCCAAGATTATCTGACCATGGGAGGTCTTTGCCTTATAACTCTTATATTATCTAATAGATCTGGAATGGGCAAGGTTCGATTATCTGTAAATTACTGCACTAATTTTTAATGATTCTATAATACTAAACTCAAACACTTCTACAAGTACATATTTGTGTAGTGCTTCTCACATTCTAACAACTTTTACCTAATTAATGTTTCTTAGTTTATTTATGTGTAGTTAGCATATATGATATATGATTTACTATATACTAACCATATATACTGTCATTATATGCTAACTTCTGATGTACTTTCATATAATTTTTAAATAGAGATGTCCCAGTGTACTTCTATCATAAAGCCTTTAAAGAGTAGATATGGGGTACTGTATTAAGAAGGAGAATTCATCTTGGGCTTTGTGTTTTTTTAACCACGCTGCTAAAAATAATACCACATAAACAAATATGTAATTTGGCTAAAGACCTTCAATAATTTAACCAACAGAGTTTTGATAAGCATATTCATTCTCATTTTATAGTCGGAGAAACTAAAGATAGCGAGATAATTAACTCAGCAAAGCATCCGTGTCCAGTGGCAGCCACATGATGGAAATACCCACATCTCTCTACACTGAGCTTGAAAGAGGTCCAGCATATTTTTATGTACGTGCAAACTAATGATGAAACAGTCCATCAGAACAGCTTTGAGGAAAATGCAAATAACACAGGCAGGCTTCAAAAATCCAGGGAAACAATTCATTTGGTTGTGAAGCACTCAAGTATGGTAAAGTTATACAATACACAACAGATTTATTCCTAGAATTCAATAGAAAAATTGCATTCATTATAAAGAAAAAAAATGTATTGGATTTTCCCTCCTCTCAAAATGCTACATTTCAACTTGGGAGAAAGGATAGAAACAAATTACCTACATCCAATTTAAGATGCAAACACACCGTCATATTTTGTGTTTAGTTTTTCCCACGGAGAAGAGGTAAAAATTGAAATCAAAAAGAATTAAGAGGAAGAAACAAGGCGTTGGTAGGTTTGGGGAAAGGGTAACTTCAAGTATGAATATCATTACCTTAGTCATGAAGAAAAACAAACTTTCTTTTATTAATTACCAAATATTATTAATTAGTTTAGCTCTTGATATGATATTTAATATGAGTATTTCTCCCAAAAGTTATAAAACATTTCTAATTTTTCATCATTCAATATTTCCTTACCTTTTCAGGACTTTTTTAAAATAAGAACTTCTATTTGACTTTCTGAAATAAGACCATATTTTATTTTTATGTGTTTTTTATTGACGTAAGTATACGTATTTATTGTAGAACATTTTGAAAATTTGGGAAGATCAAAGAAGGATGCTAAAAGTATTATAAATTCACCCACAACGGATTATTTTATTTTAAATTTCACTTTTTGGGCTGCAAACAAAAATTATTTTGGAAAAAAAGTGGAAAATCCCACATTTCTGGCAAATATTCAACAGACAAAAATTTCCATTATAATGCACTTCACTATAAAGCGTATACATGCACACCTTTGATTGCTCCACAGTAGATTTTCACAGCCAAATATTGATCCCAGCATGCACTTCCTTCCTCAACTCAACATTCCCAACTGCTATCTCTTTCTCTGTGTCTCTCCATTTTGCAGTTAGTGTGGCTGAAATTTTCTTTAATCCTATCCCAAAATATATAAGATTTCTGTGAAAATCAAGCAGGACATTCAAAATTAAAAATAAATGCTGCGTTTAACAGTGGCATACTAAAGAGGGGACCCCATGGATATTGCTTGTTTTAGCGCTAATTACTGGCAGGACCATGAATTGCTCTCTCTTCCATCTTGGTTCCCATACCAATGTGGCTTTCTATATCCCGTGAAGGATATTGTGAGACTTGGCCGGGCACGGTGGCTTAAGCCTGTAATCCCAGCACTTTGGGAGGCCTAGGCGGGCGGATCAGAAGGTCAGGACTGCGAGACCAGTCTGGCCAACACGGTGGAACTAAAAATACAAAAAATTAGTGGGGCGTGGTTGCGGGCGCCTGTAATCCCAGCTACTCGGGAGGCTAAGGCAGGAGAATCGCTTGAACTTGGGAGGCGGAGGTTGCAGTGAGCTGAGATCGCACCACTGCACTCCAGCCTGGGTGACAGGGTGAGACTCCGTCTCGGAAAAAAAAAAAAAAAAAAAAAAAAGATATTGTGAGACTCAAGTGAGATAATGTACAGATAATGTGTATGAATATGTTTTGAAAGATATAAAAGTATTACACAAATAGACTATTTTCTACAATACCGCTTCCCACATTAAGGTATCTAACTGACTGGGAGTTACTTTTCTCTCCACACTCTCAGTTTGGAGCACGAGTCACCAAATCATTGAAGTTGAAGACTCAAATAGATGCTGTAGGGGATGCTGTGGGGTACTGCCCAGATCCTCCCTTTATTTTTTATTTTTTGAGAAGGAGTCTTGCTCTGTCGCCAGGCTGGAGTGCAATGGCGCCTTTAGAACCAAGGCACTCATTTCCCAGTAGCCAGGCATGTTGCCCCTCAATGGCTCACAGCAGAGGAGTCCTTTCTCAGGAATTGCTCCTGCCTGAAAGTAGCTGCCTCTCTCAAGGTCATATCTGTTCCTCTGGGGCAGCCTGGATTTTGCTTTATGGCCTGCAAAGCCTGAAATATTTACCATTTACCTCTTTACAGAAAAAGTTTGCTGACCCGTGAGCTCCGCCCCAGGTTTGATCAGTTGCCTTAATTGATATTCATGCTCCAATACTAGCGTTCAATCACAAAAGCCACATTCCAGGCGTGGCCACTACAAACACAGTTCACTGACCACCACTCCTTCACCCTGCATTTTGCTGCTTAGTATCATTTATATTAATTTGGGTAGAATTAGTACCTTATTGACCAGCATTAATGGAGGTTAGAAATGGGTTCTCATTTGGTTAAATTAGTCATATTCAAAATATGTGTATTGGCTAAAATATTTTGGAGACCTTCCCCACCTTTGTATGCAAGCAGAGAATATTAATGGTCTAGCAAGTGTTTTTGCCTGTGCTTATAGATCTTGCTCCTAGAACTTTGCCATATCTACCTTAATGAACCTTCATGCAAGGTATGCTAGATTCATCTAAAATGACAGAGAACTATGACTTCATTAAGCTTTCAGACAAGTCAAGTAAACTATTTGGAAATAATTGGCAATAAAAGCGTGTTTAATAAATATCTGAATGTGTGGCAGCTCTTGGTCTGAGAGCTTGTTTTCATCATAACCAGAATGCAAGGCTTTGAGGACGATGTAGCAAACCCTCACTCATCTCTAACCATATGGTAGTTTTGGTGGCCTACCATTATCTACCAAAAATAACCTAATAGTTGTGCATACAAGTGTTGCCCCAGGCCATCTGCAACACAACCCACTGCACCGGGTGATGACCCCTAGTCAGATGAACACTGTATTAGAGGCAAGCAAGCTAGTTACACGGTAAAATAAGGTCTAGAGCTTCTGTTAAAAGGATGTCCTAGGCAAATTATACTATTTGCTATTCCCACTAATCCCCAATACTTTATCTAGGGAATATTTGGTTAAGGTGAATGTCCAGAATCATCTTGAAAGAAAAAAAATAATACAGCAAATATAGGATTTCCTTCGGTGTAACAGGATGCTATTTCATTACTAACAATGAGTGTGCACATATGGGCAGTTTAAGGGTCTCTTGTCTTTTTGTTGAACCTCAGATAAGTGTCCTCCTCTCCTGTCAGTATCCACACAGGGTCTCTATCCCTCTCCAAGTCCCACCATGAATGCCACGTCCTCTTAACTATGCTTATACTCTAGAGCCTACTCCAATTGATAATGAAAACAGATGCAGCTGTATTTAAACACAGACAAGCAATTAAGCCAAACCGCTCATCAATGCAAACCTGTAGACTGAAATAACAACATAACAATCAATCAGACAGGAGTTTGCCAGTTCTGGACTTCTACAAAGTATCTAGCACACAGTTGGACACACCTCCTCGGAATCCTCACCTTGAACCTCTACAAGCTTCTTTGGCCCTAGGAGGTTAAAATGACTGTATGAACCATGCTTCATGTATACTTATCTGGGAAGAAAGGGAGACACTGGTATTGACAACCTAATAGCACCATCAATTCAATTTCTGCTGCCTTTATGAAAAAGCATCAATATGAGTTCAATCCAGGCTCATCTAGATCTGGTCTTTTGGTAATGGGGTTATACAGCAGTATTGACATTGCATACGCATACCCTATATTCATACACTCTTCATAATCTGATGGCTTCAAATAGCTATCAGGATTTAATCAGAATACAACACAGATTAAAGTGAATTTACATTTAGCAATTTGAATGTAGAGTTGCTTGGGAGTTACAAAGAGAGAACATCTGATCTCTGTCCTAAAAAGAGCTTACTTTCTAGCATCTTAAAAACTCTAGCAGAGACTGTTAATTAATGTGTGTGTGTGTGTGTGTGTGTGTGTATCTCAACATTTGCAACCTTTTGCAAAAGTGAGATAGTTTCCAGAATGGAAAGACCTGTTCTCTAGTCCCAGCATTTTAAAACTGCTCTGAGAAGCCCTGAGGGTTTTAGAGAGGTGCCTCCAGGACCTCAAAGGGAGATAGGGGAAGACCTAAGTGCCCACTCCCAGTTTTTGAGACCATATTGGCTCCTCCCATCTATTTTACATGGAGTCTTTAGTGTACTTGAGGAAAGCGTTCCACAGATCTGCCCATATTGCATATTGGCAATGCATCACAGATGCGATAACAATCATGATACTTTGTCTGTTAGCTAACCATTTTCTTTTTCTTTTTCTTTTTAAAAATATAATTTATTTTTAGTTTAAGTTCCAGGATACATGTGCAGGACGTGCAGGTTTGTTACATAGGTAAATGCGTGCCACGAGGGTTTGCTGCACCTATCAATGATTTACTTTTCCAAAACACTTAGGTGTTAGACCCTACAGCTGAGATGTTTGAGTCCCTGGCAG
Organism: Homo sapiens; assembly: GCF_000001405.40. Classification (NCBI taxonomy): domain Eukaryota; kingdom Metazoa; phylum Chordata; class Mammalia; order Primates; family Hominidae; genus Homo; species Homo sapiens. The sequence continues at coordinate 39,076,359 of NC_000007.14, read as the reverse complement.
GCAGACATGTGTTGAAATTCCCAGTACTGGGCACTATGTCTGATACAAAATAGGCTCTCAGTAAGTGTGTTTGACTGGTTGATTGATAGGAAGGAAGGAAGGAAGGGAGGGAATGGAAGGGAGGAAAAGGAAGGAATGGAAGGAAGGAGAGAGGAAAGGAAAGGAAGAGAAGGGAAGGGAAGGGAGAAAAGGGAGAAAGGAAAGGAAAAAGGGAAGTTCAGAGCAAAGGTTAGCTTTGGTTGATATTTTCAGCATACATTCAGCTGTGTCTGAAACTACATAATATGAAGCCGAGGCCTCACCCAGCTATCTTACCTCTCTGACTCTGCACACACATACATACTGACCCATATGCTGCTTCCAGAAACAGAAGTGAGTTCAGCTTGTGTGACTGCATTACTTGTAACACAGGACAAGATGGAAGAATGTCATAGCTACACTGGAAAGGAAAAGGAAAGTCTCATTTTCCCCCAGGACTGAAGTTGAATGGGAGAAGAGCTACTACCAAGCTAGTCCGGGGATTAGTCCAACAAAGCAAAGGCAGTAGAGCCCCAGGGGAACCCAGGTGTGCACAGAGACCACGCCCCAAGGGCTCAGCCTTTGGGCTCTGTCTCCTTGTTCAGCTGGAAGCATCTTCATGTCACTGAGGGAAGCTGGCCACTGCCAGCACTACTACAGCACTAACTGTGGTCCCAGCCTCCCTGTGGCCTTCAGGAGCAGTATCATCAAACACACAGCGTATTAGAAGCGTGATTTTACTACAAGTGTTCTCTTGGTAGGATTTTTCTTAGAAGAAGAAGAGATTTATTTAAATGAATATTACATGAAATATGTGTATACATCTAATCCTGTCCTTCTGTTCTGATGACAAAGTTGAGAAGAAAAACTTTTTCTTCAAAAACCATCCAGCTCTTTATGGTTTCAGATTTCCATAAATAAATACAAAAATCCATCCTGCCCCCTGCTGACAGACTAATATTCCTAAAAATCCAGCTCAAAACTTGACTGTTTCCAGAGTAGTTTCTGAGTTGGGCCAGAACTCCAACCCACCATGCCAGGCCCTCCCCATTTGGAGCCTGGTCTAGCTTTCTTGGGCTGTGACATTGGACCGGGCACTTCAACACCAGGGAATGTGTTGTTCACATTATAATGATGGTAAAATTGCTAAGACAATTTTCTGTCATGTGGCAATTAAGTGTCCAGGTGCTTCCTGGTCTAGCTCCAAAGAGATGCCTTTTGACCTATAACAGACAGTCTGTGGCCAGCCTCACCTGCGACCTCGAACAGCCCCACACCCCAGTCCCACGGTGCCAGAGTGGGTGCTTGGGAACTGGAGCCCAAGAGCCTGTAGTTGGGTTCACCTTCTACTCACTGAAGGGCACAGTTCTCTGAGCCTTCATTTTCCCGAGAGGAAAATGGGGTAATAACAGTATATGCCTCATGGGATGGATGGGTTAGCAGATTAAATAAATAATTCACAAACAGTGCTCATAGCAGGCCGACTGCTTAGTAATAATAAGAAATTTTGATATTGCTTGCTCCCTGCTGTCCGCGACCCTTCCGACAAAGTGTGACTGTTTGTGTAGTTTATTGTGGAGAAGCTCCTTAGCCTTCATCAGATTTTAAAGGGATTCATGATCTGCTGCCTGATCTGCTCCCCACCCCACATCCCACCAAAAAAATTCAACAAGAAACCACTGCTAAAAAGGATACACTATCTTTATATCCACACACTTCAAATATTAGGACAGTGCTGGGCACATAATAAACTCTCACTAAATATCTATTGCTTTCATTTGAAAAACAAAAATAAGAATTGATATCTATAAAAGATAAAAGAAGAAAGACATTTTTTAAATTTAGATTTTTTTTTTTGAGGGGGGGACAAGTCTCACTCTGTCGTCCAGGCTGGAGTGCAGTGGCGTGATCTCGGCTCACTGCAACCTCTGCCTTCCGTGTTCAAGCAATTCTCCTGCCTCAGCCTCCCAAGTAGCTGGGACTACGCCTGCCACCACACCCAGCTAATTTTTTGTATTTTAGTAGAGATGGGATGTCACTATGTTGGCCAGACAGGTCTCGAACTCCTGACCTCAGGTGATCCACCCGCCTCAGCCTCGCAAAGTGCTGGGATTACAGGTGTGAGCCATTACGCCCAGCTAATTTTTTGTATTTTAGTAGAGATGGGGCTTCACTGTGTTGCCCTGGCTGGTCTCGAACTCTGGAGCTCAGGCAATCTGCCAGTCATGGGCTCTTAAAGTTCTAGGATTACAGGCGTAAGCCACCATGCCCGGCCAATTTAGATTTTTAAAAATAAAATTACTCAGAAGTCTTTTGAGAAGGAAACTCTATAAATCCTAACATCTTATGATTTTAAGAAATAAGTAACTATCAGGAGGCTGTAAATTCTGTAGAATTTTCTCTCTGAATTAAAACAGTATCTGGCTTTTAATTCTACAAGGTTCACAACTCCACATTCTCTAAATAAGCCAGTCCACTTCTGTTCAAAAGGCCACTGCCTAATTGATTTCACCAATAAGTGTTTTCCTTCCCTCTGTTCCCAAGCTGCAATAGCACACGCTGGGAACTGCTAATGTGGCTTGGTTGCTCCAGCGTTGCTTCCTGTGCTTCCCAGCAGTCTGGGCAGCTTTCTCTTGGCCAGCACCAGATACTATGGAGTTTTCCTCTCGTTCTCTGCCTTGGGTCTGTACACGGCTGCGCCCAGCGCCAGCTGCTCCGTCCCTCCCTCTCTTGTAATCCACTCTCCTTTAATATTCCAAGGGTGACCCTTGACTGTCCTTTGAATGCCACTCCAATTCAAAAGGCTTCTGAGCTTTTAAGACGAGCAGAGATAACATAATTCCAAGGAGATGGGGGTGGGGAGGAAGGAAGAATGTGATTGGAAAGATTAGCTAAATCTTCTCATTCCTGGGGATTTGGCTGCTCAGGAAAACATGAACTAGAAGGTTTTTTTTTTTTTTTTTTTAATAGGTTCTCCCCATTCCGTCAGCTATCTGTATTAGCTCCTATTAAAAATATTTTGCAGATTTGTTTCCAATTCAAACTATAAACAGAGGCTTAAGTAAATATTTCTTTAAATCTCTAGCCTTTGAAATTGAGGGCAATTAAAAAACCAGGCCAGCCTTTATTAATATTTACTTACATCCTCTTTAGTTTGCATGGATTGGGGATGGCTCTGAATCAGAGCCTACTTAAGACAAAACTGATGCAATTCAACAAATATTTATTGACAGTTCATCAGTACCAGGTGTTGTGCTAGGGACAATGAGAAATGTAAAGATCTAGAAACATTAGCTACCATAAAAAAAGTCACCATCTAGTAGACATCAGCAAAGGGAAGAGAGTAATTGTATTCGGCATCTTCTTTGTGCCTGTCTACTTTCACAGTAATAACATTTTCTTAGCACCCTGATCATGTTTACGCAATGTGTTCTATGTATGTAGATTAGGCATGTGCACACACAAACACAATGCCCTCTCTTGGAAGCACTGTCTTGACCTCATCATGGTTGCTAATAAATAAACATGTCGCTCCACGCAGGGAGTTTTGACTGGTTTTCTAGGCTTTGTTTCTCATTTTAGGGAGATAATCGGCAACTGACAACCCACCATCTCACACTCTGAAGCTCACACAGTGAAACGAGGTTTCCACACAGCCATTCAAGATTGGCACTGCTGGATGGAACAGATGAAGCATCTGAGTTGCTGTTTCTCCCTGCGTATTTGTAAAGAATTGCTGACTTAATATCCTCAAGCACCTAGAATGGCTAACGTGTTGTCAAGGGGAAAATCAGACCCATTTTAACAAGTCAGTAAGACACCTTCATAAAAGCATGTAAAAACAGGTGAGCCGAAGTCTTCATAAACAATTGGCTCTGTTAAGTGGGTTTAGGGGCTTATCCCATATCCACTTGCTAACATTAATTTGCTTAGACAAATTGTTTAAGGGAAAAATGCATCATAGATTGAAGAAAGACAACAACTCAATGCTGACTGAATTACCCAAATTTTAATATGTAAGCGAGGTCTGTTCCTATGAACTGATGTACCTGTGCCCCAAGAAAGCTTGATCCTCCACGGCTGGAATTTAGCCTCATTACACAATCAATCCTCTTTCATGCTACTCCACTGAGCTTCTGCACTATAACTCCACAGGGGCATGCACTTTGCCTGAAAAGTTTTCTGTTTCCCCACAACACAAATGAGAGATGAAATATTGCTGGGTTCTCCTACTTTCTCTCATACCTCAACTACAAGGGCCCATGTATCTACCTTTCTCCATGCAGCTGGTTCCTGTCCTGATGCCCTGTGAGATTTGAGCTCTGTCTGCAAGTCTTGCCCTTGGTGTTCCAATCTTGTGAGTACTTATTTCCTTAGTATGCCAAGCAAAACTCTAATCAAGCCTGCTGAATACTTCGTTAAAGTAAATCAGCAAGAAATCATCTTTTGAATTAAAATAAGCAGAAAAATCCGAATTAGTGTTAAGATAAACGAGGAAATAAATGCCCAAATTTTGATATAAAAATAGTCAACCTCAATAGACTTTTAAACCCTGAATACATTTTTAAAATCCAGTGGAAAACAGTTTGATTTGTTGTTGCACAAAGACTGTTAGAAATTTTTTCTCATTTAACTTTGATATTGTGTGTGTGTGTGTGTGTGTGTGTGTGTGTGTGTGTGTGTGTGTTTCTTTAGAGATGGGGTTTCACCATGTTGCCTGGGCTGGTCTTGAACTCCTGGGTTCAAGTGATCCTCCCACCTCAGCTTCCCAAAGTGCTGGGATTACAGGTGTCAGTCACCATACCTGGCTTTGGTAGTGTTTTTAATGTTATTTATTTATCCAACATGCTTATTGAGTGAGTACTATATGCCAAGGGTCCCCAACCCTTGGGCCACAGACCAGTCTGTGGCCTGTTAGGAACTGGGCCACACAGCAGGAGGAGAGCGGTGGGCAAGCAAGTGAAACTTCATCTGTATTTATAGCCACTCCCCATAGCTCGCATTACCACCTGAGCTCTGCCTCCTGTCGGATCACTGGTGGCATTAGATTCTCGTAGGAGCACAAACCCTATTTGAACTGCATGTGTGAGGGATCTCGGTAGCCCATTCCTTGTGAGAATCTAATGCCTGATGATCTGTCACTGTCTTCCATCACCCCAAGATGGGACCTTCTAGTTGCAGGAAAACAAGCTCAGGGCTCCCACTGATTCTATATTATGGTGAGTTATATAATTATTTCATTATATATTACAATGTAATAATAATACAAGAAATAAAATGCACAATATATGTAATGTGCTTGAATCATCCTGAAACTGTCCTCAGTCTATGGAAAAATTGTCTTCCATGAAACCAGTCCCTCGTGCCAAAAACGGGGACCACTGCTATATACCATCCACTCCTCTAAGTGATGGGAACACCTCATTGAACAAGACAGATCAAGTCCAGGGCCCTCTTGCAGCTAAAATTACAGTGGGAGAGACAGGCAAAAGCGAAATAAGTAAATACGATGTTGAGTAGTAACGAGTATTATGAACAAAAACAAAGCAGGGCATAGGGTGACCTGGAGGGGTGTGGGTATGTAACTTACATAAGGCGATCAGAGAGGTCTCACAGTGAAGGGACCCGTGGGCACAGCCACAGTGCCTGAGGGGAAGGGCATGTGAGCATCACAAGGCCATGTGGAGGGAAAGGCCCTGCGCTGGAGGCCTGTTTAGTGCCCTCTTGGGGAGAGGAGGCTGGTGGGGCTGAGAAGTGGGTGGGCATGGGTGCTAGAGAAGTGGCCCATGGCCAGATCTAGTAGGCCATTTTTTGGCCATTGCAAGGACGTGGAATTTAATTCCAATCATGAGAGAAAACCACTTGAGGGTTTTGGGCAAGGCATGACAAGGTCTGATGTGCCTTCCAAAAGGCTGCTTTGTGGGGAGGCAAAAGCAGAAGTGTGGAGGCAAAAGCAGAAGTGTGGAGGGAGATGCCTGGTAGTTTAAGCACTAGACACATTTTGAATTAGAAATAAAAGATTTTAAAAGGTTTACTGGGCCATAAAAAAGCTGTTATTCTCATAGAACTAGGGAAAAAATTCAATAACCCATATCTTACGAAAATTCAAATTTAAGTCATTTTTTTCTTACTATCTTACCACAACGGTCTTTATATCAACCAAATTCCTTTTGAGAATCAAATAAATCATCTCTCAGCTTTAGCTGCCTTTGCAGAACCAGTACTGGCTGCTTCCTTCTTGCCTGTCAGGCTTAATTGGATTATTACCAAAGCTCCCTGGGCACGTGTGGCCAGTGAGGAAGGGAGTGAGTCCCTAACATCACTGAAGTCTGTTCTTCCTGACTCTGGACTAGCTCCCAGCGCAGTCTTAAAAAAGCCACTTTAACTTATCTGAATACAGCTGACCCTTGAATTACACAGGTCTGCACCACAAGGGTCCACTGATACGTGAATTTTCTCCTGCATCTGCCACCCCTGAAACAGCAAAACTGGCTTCTACCCTTCCTCCTCCTCCTCAACCTACTCAAAGTGAAGAGGACAAAGATGAATACGTTTATGATAATCCACCTGTACTTAATAAATAGCAAATATATTTTCTTTTCCTTAAGATTTTCTTAATAACCTTTTCTTTTCTAGCTTACTTTATTGTAATAATCCAGTATATAATACATATAACATACTAAATAAGTGTTAATCGAATGTTTATGTTATTGGTAAGGCTTTTGGTCAACAGTAGGCTATTGGCAGTTACGTTTTTGGGGAGTCAAAAGTTGCATGTGGATTTTGCACTGCAAGGAGATTGATGCCCCAACCCCTGTGCTGCTCAAGGGTCAATTTTATTTCCTTCAGCTAAAATAAAATCTGTCACTTCCCAGTGGGACTTAAAAACCATGCACGGTCTTGAGCTCGTCAGAAAATGAATATCACCTGCGGGACTCTCCGGGCATGAAAGCCCTTCCTCACAGCCTGGGCATCAGCCCGGAAAAGCCCTCTGCTCCACCTTCCCAAGCAAGTCTCTTCTCTAACACTCAGTCCCTGGCATTCTGGGCTTTTTGACCTAGTCTCACATGATAAAAAGCCCCTTTTCAGCTGCTAATGGTTTGTACTGACCTCAGTTTAGGGACCGCTGCTTCTAAGAGCCCTTGTCTCAATGCAGCTTTTAGCTCTGTGGTGACACTGGCAAGGAGCTTGTGCTTTTTAAGTCTCAACTTCAATCCTCCCCACCCATTGTCAACTATTCTAAGCCACTCAAACCCACAGTGGGCAATGTCGCAGAGGTTCTATATTCTGTACAGAAGGCAGATGCTTGGTCCACTCTCCACAATTTTTATGTGTGATCCGCAGGTCCTGTGGATCAGAACCCCAGGGGAGTCAGGGGGTTAAATATAGATTTCCGGATCCTTCCTCAAACTGCTAAATAAGAATCTCACAGGGCAGGGCTCAGCAATCTATGCTTTTAATACGTTCCTTGGAAAATTTTTATGAATGCTAAACAGTGGGAACCCCTATCCTAAAGATATATTCTGAGGAATCAGAAAAGAAGAGTTATCAAGTTTCCCAGCATTTCCAAAGAAAGCAGGCCACAGCAATACACAGCTTTGTAGTAACTTCTAAATAGAAGAAAACTTTTCATGAGTTCCTGTTATTCTGTCCTCTGGGCTATAAAATTTGGAGTCTTGAGCTATTTATTTCATATTCTTTATATTTCAGACTCTATCATTTAACCTTTCAAAATTGCTCTTCAACTTGACAGTCTACATTTATTTTTTAAAGCCATATTTTCCCTGAGTTTTAGTTTAGGATTATGGAACTTACTGTAGACATTTATGAAAATTATATATATATATATATGCATGTACTAGGTGTATATATAATCTCTGTTATCTTTCTTGGTGTTTTTAGAATCAGACTGCATGTACAAGTTAGCATCCTGCTTTTATAATTCACTTTTTCATTCAATAAATATTTATTAAGGGCCTAATATGTGCTTCCAACTAGGTCTTGGACAGTGGTCTTTAAAATGAGGCCTGTGCACGTTAGGGGATGTTGCGAGACAGGGCACTGATGTACAGTGAGAAAGTATTAGAATTTCTCCTCTTATTTCACTTCTTGTAATTTTATTTTGTGTGTGTTTTTTAGTGGCAAAAATGTATGCTATAAAAAGAACTACATAGATAAATATCAATATATTAAGAGTGCATGGTAAAAATTATTTTCATTGATAAGGCTGGGCTATCAAAAAACCAGGCAATCTCTTGATTTAAGATGTGTCCAATTAGTCACACAAAAAATAAAATTTTGACAGTTTTAAATACATTCTCAGGAGTGAAATTACGGGTTAAAAGAACGTGGACCATTGCCAAATTGCCTTCAAGATCAGGTGGTGGAAAATTTATGTTCTCAGTGTATGAGAAAGCCTCTCTTTTGTATTATCCTTAAAATTTTTTTCTAACCTATTAGATGGAAAGTGGCATTTTATTAATGTTTTAATTTGCATCTCATTACCAAGGTTAAATTTTTCAAGTTTATTAGCTAATTAAGTTTCTTCTTTTATAAATTACTCACATCCTTTACCTGTCTTTCCACTGGGGGTCTAAGTATTTTTCTCATTGAACTTTATATAGATTTATAAAAGCAATAATTATAAAAATGTAATAACTGACATTTATTGTGTTGCACACTGCCTGGGCTATAAATACATACTTGATTTTGACACCTTGCAACAACAAAGACTGGTATTGTTATTTTCCCCATTTTATTGATGATGACATTGAGATTAGTGAAAATTAAAATGTAATTTAGCTGTAATTCTGATTCCAAATTGTATGCATCCCAAATATTTTTTCTAGAATTTGTTATTTCCGTTTGATTTTTATTAATGTTAGTTTTTAAAAAAGATTTTAAAATTTTTATCCAGTCATATTTAACCTTTATGTTTTATTTTATTACTTTTATGAAAAGAAATCACTTCCCTGTCCACAAAAAGACATGCATATACACCCATTTTTAAATTTCCTATTATTTTAGTTTAAAAATAATTCTATAGTCTCTGGAATTTGAATGGGTATATGGCATTAAATGCAAATCTCACGTCTTCCCAAATAATCAAATTTTAGAGCATAATTAGTTGAATAATCCATTGGCATATTATGCTTGCTTTTTTTTTTTTTTAGTCAAAGTAAGTTCTAATGAAATTCCAGGTCTATTTTTGAACCATATATAGTGTGATGATATATAATGCCATATATATGTGTGTATACGTTAAGTGTATATATATGCCATATACATAATATATACATTTTATATTTCTAAATATGATTTATAAATAAGTATATTAATATATGAATTATATACAATGCATATATATGATGATGTATAATGCATATATTTTAATGGTATATTTCTGTTATATTAATATGTTATAATAATATGATATTATATATTATATAATACACTATATATAATGCATAATATGCTACATATATTATATAACCTATATAATAGGGCAAAAATCATCTATATGCTATTCTTCTTTGTCAAAAACGTCTTAGATATTCTCAGCTCTTTATTTCCCAGATGAACTTTAGAATCATTTTGTCAAATTCTAAAATAAAAAGGGGGGGAATAAATGTCATCTTTATAATATTCAGTGTTACCATCAACACTTGCTTCTTCTATTTATTTAAATTTTATTTTATTATTATCAGGAAGATGTTGTCATTTCCTCCATACCTGCTACAGACATTTTTGTTTTAAAATTTCCAAATATTTTATGTGTTGTTTATATTGTGAATGAAATCAATTTCTTTTTCTATAATCAAGTTATATGTGGTCATTGCTCTTATATAGAAAAGCTATTGAGTTTTCGGTTGATTCTCTTAGGACTGTACACATATATATTCCTATTTTTATCAAATTAAAATAGATGTCCCCTTTTCACTATTTATGGCTATTTCATATCTCATAACACTAAGCAAAATAATACTTAACAATAGTGATATAAGGCATTCTTGTCTTAGCCTTGATTTTAATTGGAATGCTTCTTGCATTTCACTGAAGTAAGATATTTGAAGCATATTTGGTGTTGGTTTAAGAGAGATTAGCTTTGTCAGGTAAGAAACTTCCAATTCATCCAAAAAAATTAAACCAGAAATGGCTGTTGTATTTTATCAGTTGTTTTCTTTTTTTCTTTCGAGTTAACCTAAAGTATCGTGCAGATAAGTTTCCTAATAGTAAAGCATCTTCGGATCCAGGAATATTCTGAGTTAACTGTCAAGCCGAATTTGGGTTTCAGAATATCTTATTGAGTATTTTGCATTGATACCTTTATAAATAAAACTAGTTTACAAGTTTTTTCAATTGCTCTGTTGTGGGTTAATATCAAGACAATTGGCTTATAAAATTATTCCAGTCCTTTTCAATATTTTTTTATCTCTGGAATAATTTATGAAGCATAAGAATATGTGTCTTTTGAAAATTTGAGATTATTTACTAGTAAAATTATCTGTACTAGCAGCCACATATTTTCTTTCTTTTTCCTCTTGGAGGGATTTTTAAATAATTTTATAATTTTACTATAGTAGTACCCTACTTATTTATTGGTCAATTTGGATCATTCATCTTTTCTTATAAATTCATCTATATACAAGATTTTCAAGTATATCCGAATGGAATTGTATGTTATATTATTTTATCACTTTAACATCCTTCATATTCATTGTTAAATCTTCTATCTCACTCATGCTTTTTTTCCCCTATTTTATGTTGTTTAGATTTAGCAAATATTTATTTTATTGGCTTTCTTTTTCAAAGACCTGTTACAATTATCAACTTAAAGAATTTGATTTCTTCTTTTATTTTCATTATCTTTCTACCCAATGTCTTTAAGCTTCTTGATTTTCACACTTTTGTGAATTTATTTATCCGTTTAAAAAATAATGAGAGAATGTAAGGTTATGAGTTTGTTCTATCTTGTGAATTATCATATTCATGTTTTAATACTTTTAAAATTAATAAATAGCCCATCCTGTGATGTTATTTTATTCTTTGACCCAACAGTTATTTTGGAGATGTTTTAAATTTAGTGGAGGGTTTTTACAAATTTGTTCTCTATTATTAATTTTTAATTGTAACCGATTATGGAAGAGACTGTGTTTTTGAATTCTTTTTTGGGAGAATTTATTAAGGCTTGTTTTATGGTCAGCTTTTAAATGATCTACAGATACGTAAGATCAAAGTATCTTCTATGTTTATAAGGGAGCCTAATATATAAATTAAACATCTGAAATTATGGTTTTAATTCTTTAAGTTATTATTTACTTTGTGTCTCCTTGGTCTAGCTAAAGTTGACCGATGAGTTAATATTTCTCACAATGCTGGTTTTTAATCAACTTCGCATTGACTTTCTAAGAATTTCTGCTTTATGTATTTTTAAGTCTTGTTATTTGATGTGTAATGTTTCAATTAGATGTCAATTGCATCTTCCCATCAATAGAAATGGAATTTTTATCATTTAGTACTTTTTGTCCTGAATTCTACTTTGGGTTTTTTTGTTTGAGTTTTACTGACAAATATTTGCTTCTTCTCTGATTTTTACCAGTTTTATGTCTTATTTTAGGTGTGTCTCTTATAACTAAGATGTCTGCTGTCATATTTTTAATGCAAAGTTGCTATTCATATCTTACAGAGAAATTTAAAACATTCATGTTTATTGCCATAATTAATATATTTGATCTTATTTTGATTACCTCAGTTGTTTTTGTAGTTTTATTATTATTTTCAGTTTAATTTTTATTTTTATTTTCTGTCATTCTGCTTCATTTGTCATTTGGAGTTTTTGTTTCTTTATGCGTCTCATTTGTTTTTTTGTTTCATTTGTGCATGTTTGTATTAATCTTTGCCAAAAATTTGAAAGTTTTATATTCTGCTTTTAGCTCTTCAAGTGGTAACTACTATTTTAAATACACTTACTAGCTTTTCATTTTCAACTCTCATAGTTGAGAATATAATGATATCATTGAAGCACCCTTTCTCAATGAAATGTGTGTTAAGAAAATGGGTTTCTGTAGCTTTATACAACCACCAACACACATCTCATTCTAAGTCTTTAATACAGAATTTTATATCAAATTTACTATTATTATAAAAATATTTTATACTCTAAAATGTTTTCTTTCAATATTATTTTGTATTTGTATTCAATTTCTTAACTAAATTTCTAAGTTATTCAGTCTGCTTCATATCTAATTGGCTTCAAAGTTCAGCAGCAATCCATTTACTTCACGATGTTCCTTTCCCTTAGTTCATTTTGATTCATCTCATCTGTCTTTTAGCAATTTTTTAAAAGAGATTATGTGGGTGGTGTATCAGCCGAATCCTTGTTTATCTGATAATGTATTTCTGTTGCCTTCACACATTAAAGGCGTCTTCACTAACTAAATTTGTTATATTGCTACTTTTGGCTCAAAATTCTATTGAGATTATTTAAGTGTCTACTGAAATTTATTTCCAAATGGGGATGTTTTGAAACTAATCTGCTGCTTGTTCTTTTACAAATAATATTTTTTTTCCTTGCTTCATGTTTATAAAATTATTGTTTCTTTTTGTCATTTAAAAAAAATGACCAAGATATCTCTAGGGTGGGTCTCTTTTCATTGATTTTCTTAGAACTGAGAGAACCCTCTCAATCTTGATTTCTCAGGGATTCCCCACCTCCATTTAACATTGCTTTAAATTCTTTTCTTCTAGTCTTCCAGAAGTCTTGCATTGTTCTTCATTCTCTGTCCTTCATATCCATTGTCTCTCTCATCCGTTTAAGCTCCTGTGGCTTTGTCTCTGTTTTGCAAGAGTTTTACGTGTTTCATTACACATTGGTTTAATTTGCCAGTGGAAGCCTATACTTTCATCTTCTAATGTGAATTTCGATTTGTCACTGAAATGCTTTCTTTCCTCAAGGAACTCCTTTTTTTGCATCTCACTCTGCTGTCTTTCCTCTTAGCCCTATTTTCTGCTATAATTGTTGCCCAAGCTGATCTCGAACTCTCAGGCTCAAGTAATCCTCCTGCCTTGGCCTCCCAAGTGGTGGGATTACAGGCATGAGCTGCCACATCCGTTAAGTTCTTAAATACACATTTAAGGATGCCAAAGAATTTTCTAAAACCTTCTGATTTTTACCGTAAATCATATTTACAGGCTTGCTATTATAGAGCATTCATAATAATGTTTCTTTTTGTCTTGTAGCACCTTTATATGAGTCCAATATTCTTTTTTTCTGTGTATCTGTCCACCAGAAGAAAGCTATCCAGACTATCATTTACTTAGCTAATAAGTGACTTTGACCCCATTCCAGAAGCTCACTGAAGCTGATCGCCATGTCTGTTTCTCAGATCCACAGTGAACAGGAGTTTGTTAAAAATAATTCCTGATCTTATTCTCCCCACTCCTCCACCATCTCTTTTTTGGTAAAAAACAAACAAACAAACAAACAAACAAAAAACTCCTGGGCTCAAGCGATCCTCCTTCCTCGGCCTCCCAAAGTGCTGGGATTACAGGCATGAGTCAATGAACCCAGCCCCCCAGTATCTTCTAATATTTTTTCTTTGTCCCTTCTATGAGTGTTTCCCTCCAATGACCACTGTCACACTAATGATTATATATCTTTTAAGGTTTTATCTAGTATGGCTTTGCTGGACTAAAACTGGATCTTCTCCTCCCCTCTTCCTGACGCTCTGATGTTGCACATGACAAAGTACAATCACTAGTGTGCATTCTAGGGCTCTACTTGCAGCCAGGCCCACGAGGTGCTGTTGTGGCAACCTTCCTAGCTCAGGATGGAATGGGCAATTGCCTTCTACTCTCTACTTTCTATGTAGTCACTTTTGGCAATAACAAAGTCTAACTGTATATAAAAGGTAAGAAGTGGGTGGAAGGTAGATCGTGTTCAAACTGCCTAATATGATACCCCATGAGTATCATATTTTCTCATTCGACAGTTCTCAAAGCATGATTTTGCAAATCTCTAAGATCTCTGAGATACTCTGAGGAGGTCTGCAGGATAAAAATTATTTTCATGGTAATATAATATTATTGTAATAAGTATTTTTTTAACAGTACTGACACATTATTTGCCTTTTCACTGTGTTGACATTTGTATTCAGGATGCAAAACAATGGTGGACCAAATTGCTGGTATCTAGGTATAAATCCTAATAATGGCTTCAAGCTACACGTGTAGTATCCATGAACTCACACTAAGATTAAAAAGTAGAAGAGAAGACCAGTTTCACTTTAAAAAGTCCTTGATGTAATGGTGAAAATATTAATTTATAAAAAATTTTTAAATTGCACCCCTTGTGTACTTTTTCTTAATATTTTGTGTGATGAACTGGAAAGTGCACAAAAGCACCTCAGCTGCATACTGAAATATAATGATTGTTTCAAAGCGAGGCACCTTGCAATTGTTTAAGCTGCATTCTTGAGAAAAGAGCAACAAGCTGGTTTTTCAGTCTTTGGTATTTGACAGGCAGACTTTTTTGGGGAAAAATGAATGAAGCGAGCCTGTCACTTCAAAGAAAACAACTAAAAGTATTTGTTGCTGATGATAAAATTTAAGCTTTCAGAAAGAAAAAAATTAGAATTTTGGAAAACTTATATTCACCACCAAAAGTTTAACAACTTCCCAATACAAAAAGACTTTTCTGTTAAAATAAGTGGTGATATTAACAAACAAGATTTTTTATATTGTGTAATAAAATATGTCAACACTTGGAAGTGCTATAAAACACAGTGAACCAATAATTTCCAAATGACCAGTTGCATGATATTGCAAAATTATGAATTGGTAAAAGATTCATTTAAAGTGCAAAATAGGTCAATGGATGTTATTGTAAATGAGTTCAAACAGTTTATTAACATGGGTTTTTAATTCTACTTTGAAACTAAGCTTGAAAAAACTATCACTAGTCAGATTTTGATACTGTATCAAAGACTAGCCACGATTATCCTAAGAGGCTATCAAAATACTCCTTCCTTTTCCAACTACATATCTGCATGTTTCTTGCTTTCTTCATAAAACTCAACCAAATAAACATATCATAATAGAATAAACAAAGAAGTAGACATAAGACCACAACTGTCTCCTGTGAAATCCTATTAAAATGTCATTCTATTTTACATGTCAAATGTAAAATAATACCAGTCTTCTAAATTATTTTATTTGGAAAATATAATTTTTAATAAAAATATTTATGTTAACACATGAGTTTATTTTAACATGCATTAATATACAAATCTGGTAAGATTTCTTTGTATTTATAATTTAATAAATATCAATAGATATTACCCATGTAAATGAAAGCTCTTTGCAGTCTTCAATAAGTTTTTTTTTTTTTTAAGCTTAGTGATGGTGTCTATTTTGCCCAGGCTGGAATGGAGTGGCTATTCACAGGCACAATCATAGCACCCTACAGCCTTGAACTCCTGTGTTAAAGTGATCCTCCTGCCTCAGCCTCCAAAGCAACTGGGGCTACAGGCATGCGGCACCATACCCAACAGTCTTCAATAAGTTTGAAGAATGTAATGGAATCCTGAGATCAAACACTTTGAGAACCATCATTCTATTTGTGCAGAGTTTTTTGAGTTTCTGAACCAGCAACAGAAAGGGACAACTTTCTACTTTCTGCGTCTAGCTACACAGCATTGTTGGACTACCAGCTGCATTTTTCATCAACATTTTATCTGTCTTGAAGGTAGTGAACGTTTCTCTCATACTCGGACAATACATAGGTGGACTGTTAGACCTATCTGGGGATTTTGTAGATTTTCATATATTTAGTTACTTCATATTTTGTAGTGAAAATTGAGAACTTTTTTCTTTTAACTACATCACAAAATTCACCATTTTAAAGTGTATAATTCAGTTGTTTTTAGTATATTCACAATGTGTGCAGCCATCACCAGAATCAACATTTCAACACCTTAAAAATACCTTGAGTTATAACTCCATTATCTTCTCATACCCCAGCCCTAAGAAACTACTGATTTTCTGTCTCTACAGCTTTACCTATTCTGGACATCTCATATGAATGGAATCATATAATATATATGAGTTTATCTGTTTGGCTTCTTTTTTTTTTTTGAGACGGAATTTTGCTCTGTTGCCCAGGCGAGAGTGCAGTGGCACAATCTTGGCTCATTGCCACCTCTGCCTCCTGGGTTCAAGCGATTCTCCTGCCTCAGCCTCTCGAGTAGCTGGGATTACAGGCACCCGCCACCGCGCCCGGCTAATTTTTGTATTTTTAGTAGAGACGGGGTTTCACCATCTTGGCCAGGCTGGTCTCAAACTCCTAACCTCATGATCCACCACCTTGGCCTCCCAAAGTGTTGGGATTACAGGTCTGAGCCACCGCACCTGGCCCCTGTATGGCTTCTTTAACTTAGCACAATGTTTTCAAGGTTCATCCCTGTTGTAGCATGTATAAATACTTCATTCTTTCCTATGACTAAATAATATTTCATTGTATGACTATATCGCATTTTCTTTATCTGTTCATCAATAGATGGGTATTTGGGTTAGTTCCATGTTTGGCTATTATGAATAATGCTTCTGTGAAGATTTATATACAAGTTTTTATACAAACCTATGTTTTCACTTCTCTTAGAAATAGATTTAGGAATATCATTTCTTGATCATATGGTAACTATAGGTTTAACATTTTGAGGAACTGTCAAACTGTTTTCCACAGTAGCTGCAACATTTTACATTCCTACTAGCAGTGTATGAGGGTTTCAATTTCTCCACATCCTTGCTAGCACTTGTTATTTTCCTTTTTTTTTTTTTTTAATTACAGACATCTTAGTGGGTATGAAGTGGTATCTCGTTGTGGTTTTGGGAAACTGAGCATGTTTTAAGTATTACATTTGTGAATGAGATCCGGTCACTCACTTTAAATATCACATGCAAGTTTCTAAAGCTTTTCAATCAATCCTTTCCCCTTGATTCTTTTCTTTGTTCTCTTGAGTCTCCTAGAAGTATATATACATTTATCTAAGAACTTAATTTAAAAGATCTCAACATTACTTTCCTTTCCTAATTATCTTATCTCTAAACATAATATTTTAAAATTCTCTTCTTTGAAGCTTACGACTGAGTTCCTACATGAACACGTGAGCTGATAGGGCACACCTCTGAGAAGTCGTTATAAAAATGATTATACTGATTCATTATTTCCATGCTGTTTTGTCAGCTTTCCAAAAAGATATTGTATAAAAGCATTCCAAGAACCTTTATTTGCTATGACAGCATCTTTCTAAAAGGTGTTTATTTTTTACATTTTTATTTTCCCAAGTCTTTGAGACTATTTCTTACCTTGTTGAGAAATTAAACACTTGATCTTCATACAATCCAGGTTGTTTTCATAAATATAATTTTTTAAATGAAGATTCTGGGTGTTGGTTTGTAGTCAGCAGCTGTGAGTATGCAAATTAATAAAACTCCCTGCCCCTGTGTAAATCACCCACAATTTAGATTTTGTAGATGTTCCCTCCATCATTTGTATTACATAAAAATGTTAATGAACATTTCCAATACAAAACTGATAAATAAATAAACCCATTTACGTATCTAGTCATGTAAAGAATAATTTATTCTCCTAATACTTTGCAAATATTAGAATCATCTAAATTTACTACTTGTAATTCCATGTTTCCATGGTGATAGATTCTTCATCTCCAATGTCTAGTGAAAATAACCATTAAGAGATTGAAAATGACTAGACACTGGAAACAAGAATGCAGAGTGATGGAAAAAGATGATTTCCCAAATTCTAGCGGAAATGTATAACAATTGCAGTATCAGTGACTGGTAATGAATTAGGATCACTATGGAAATGTGTTCCCAAAATGGGACCCTCTGCACTGTGCAGGAGACTGATTGGTTCATACCTCTACCTAACTCTACTTCTGATATACAGGGGTTCATCATTTGGAATCTTTCCCTTCTTCCTTCCTAATCTCATCCCTAACCCCCATCAGGGTTCCTCTCACTCTCCAAATTCATCCGGGGGCATTGACTGGCTCCTAGTACAGAACTCACCAGGATGTTAGTGTATTGTTCCCCGGGAGACTGAGTCAATGACAGAACTGCAGATAACTTGGAGAAGAGGATACAAGCTGAAATATGCTGCTTTCAGATAGTACATTTAAACAAGGGGGGAGGAATTAGATGCTGTTTCTAGCTTTATGGAATGGTGAGAAAGTCTAAGAGCTGGAGCAGGAGAGACATTAACTTGAGTTTATCAGAACTTAACAGACTGGGTACCCGCAGGGCCCCAGAGGTGGACAGGTTCTGTTTGTTAACATTTCTGGTCATCCAGGAGCCTGGTGGACAGAAAGAGAGCAGGAGACAGTATTGAACTCCTTCTGGAGGAATAAACCAATACCCAATGTGAGGCCTCACTCTGTGAAGAATAGACTAGTAAAAACCACTTACTATAGAAATATCACAAATCACTGGAAACAGCAGAGATTTTCCAATTAATGATGTTAGGAGAAAATGATTACTTGGAGAACTGTCAACTGAAAAGCCTTACCTCACATTAAACACTAAAATATATCCAGGCAGAATAAAGAGGTAAACAAAAAAAGTAAAACTACAAAAATAGAATTAAAATGTGAAAATTAACTAGTGTTGGAATAGGAATGTAGTTTTTAAGCATACAGCAGTGGAAGAAATAAAAAAGGAAAATATTAATAATACAAAACTATTGAACTTTTACATGTTGAAAACATTATAAACAATTAGGAGGTAAATGAAAAGCTGACACTAATAACTGCAACAAACTAGACATACAACGATTTAACATCCTTTGCAAATTGAAAAAGACCAATAAAAGTGTGTGAAGATGAGAAACAAAAGACATAAAAAGAAATAGAAAAAGATTTCAAAAATAAACTGACTAGCATTAAAGGAAATGTAAATTAAACAGAAAAAAATGATGATCTACCACTTTTTCTTTTCAAATTTTAGAGAGAATTTTTTTAAAAATTGTTATATTTGGTTTAGAATGGTGGTATAAAAATGGCCTTTCCCAGTTACCATTTTTAAAAGCATGCAAAAGTAGTAAGGAGAATGAGAAACAGAAGCACAAATTCCATCTTCAACAAAACAAGAAGACATCTGAAGCCCTGAACCATAAAAGCAATGAAAGTTTAATGTGATAAGGAAAGACTTAAGAGAGAGGAAGCCACAACCTCAGAGCTCAGAAAATACTACCAACGCACCCTTCTCCAAGATGAAGGGCTCATTCTCAAGTCAAAACCAACAATCATTATTTTTTAACAATGGAACTGAGGGCAGCAGCTCATAGAGAAATGAATATTTTCTGAATCTCGTTTGATTCCAATGAGAAGAAAAGAAAGGGTCATACAGACAAGTTATGTTTTCAGGGAGCATTCCACTGATAAGACAGAGTAAAGAAGATAATTCTGTATTGTCAGCTTGTGAGCAACCTGGAAGTGCTGATCTCAGTTGACTTGGGAGTGGCAAAGTCTAAATAAATACCCACATACGCACAATTCTATTATTAAAAAATGTCCTACTGGCATAGAACATAGCATTGGCAACCCCATCCCCACCACCTACACACACACACACACACACACACACATACACACACACACACAGAGAGAGAGAGAGAAAAAGAGAAAGAGAGAGAAACAAGGAGAGAGCTTCTGTTGAGTTCTAATCCTGAATTCTGGGAAGTCCTGAGTTTTTAGAGTAATAATTTTTATAAAGAAGTCAACACTTTATCCATACAAAAATTATAAAAAAGATGGAGAAGGAGACAACAAAAGAAAATGCATCAAGAAAAGAACATTCACCAGAAAATGTTTGCCATAAGGCAATTTAAAGCATTATGTTCGAATATATTGTTATACATTTTTAAACTTAATGAAAGAAAGAATAACCTCTATAAAACAAGAATACAAAGCAAAGATTCAATAGCTCATGGAAGATAGTAAGACCACAGAGATAAAATAGGAGTTGACAGAGGGAAAAATTTAAAAAATTGTCACAAAAATAAAAACAAAATTGAAACAACATACAACATCTATCCTGGCTCTCTGATGCCTTCACAATAACCATGTTTTATCTCACTTTCTGGAATTGAGAAATAGAGAGTAAATAAAAATTTATACAGATGACAGCCCTGTATTCATATTTTATATGGGAAAATAAAAATTGCTGAAAATATTGAGAACTGGATTGAGGAAAATCAATCCAGTTATTAAATGCAAATAAAACAAAGCAAATACCAAATGGCTTTTTTTTTTAAAGATTAAAGAGATATTGATAGATGAGTCATCTAGACCAAAATAAAAAGATTCAACATGAAAAGAACAAAAAATTAGGAAATAATAAAGTATGCTTTAATAACATTTTCTAGAAATAAGACTTGAATCTAGAGTTTCAAAGCCTCACCCCATCCCAGAAAAAATTGAAACAGAATGCTCAACATCAAGACACAGTCATGTTATCAGATGAAAAAAAGAAAACTTTCTGTGCTATGTTTGTGTGTATCTAGAAGGAATCTACTATTTTCAGTTTCAGTATTTTCTTCTACCAACGTCTAGAACATTACTTACCTGCTTTGTACTTTTGTTCTTGCTCAAACATACAGACTCTGATCACAAAATGAAAAAAAACTAGACAAAAAAAGAATGAAAAGAACAAAGAAGTCATGATTGGAAGGAAGAAAATATTCCTATTTGCTTCTAATTGGAGAGCTTAAGGATAAACATCTTTAACAGGAAGTTAAAGTAACCTAATTAACATTATTTGTTTAATATTCTCACTCATAAAAGCAGATTTTTTAAAGTGCGGAATCTGCCCATTAGTATTCAGGCAAACAGGACTTATAAGATCAAGTCTGGCAGTGTTCTTAATCTAGTGGATTGCTGGAATACAATGATGAGCTATCTTAAATTACAATAATAAATTATCTGCCCTGAAAGAAGAAATCCCACCATTGCATCTTTTCTCATATCCAAAGAGAAAGTTGTAAAAGATGACATACAAATCATAGCATTGCTTAGCTCTTTTATTACTTTATCAAGAGTCACACACTGACATACCAGTTCCCCTTGCTCACCACCTGCACTTAATCTCCAAGGCTAATTAATTTATTTTCCTCACTATCTATCTTCTGACTTTGACGTCTACTTCGTTCCTACAATCCACTACTTCTAATCCAACTCACCTTCAGATAGCAGCTTTTGCCCCTTTCCAATCTATTCTCTCTGCACCCAAAGTGATCTTTTTAAATAGCAAACATGATCATGTAATTATCTCCCCCACCGGAGACTCCAACCCTGCTTATGACTCTTCAGTGGCTTTTTCTTATCTTGAGGGTAATGAGTAATCATTACATGATCTGGCCTTTTCCACCTGTTATCCTCAACTTCTGCAGCTTTTTTCATGTGCTCACACACGTATTCATACTCATTGAATAAGTGTGTGAGACATGGTTTTTTGTTTGTTTGCTTGCTCTTTTTTTTTTTTTTAAGTGTCTCCAAAAAGCTCTGATCTTTTCCCTGTGCTGTGGTAGGAGCATTCCTCCTTCTTCCCCCACCCCCACTGCAGCTGCAGCTCTCTCCTACTCAAATTTTGTGTGTCTGTTTAAGCAACCTTCCTCAAAGAAGCCTTTTCTGAGCCATTGTAACTCCTTCCTCTTAATATTTGTCTCTTTGAACTCTGTATTCATGCTTAGAGGGCCATTACCTGTATTCATTCACATTTACTTTCCATCCCTCAATTCCAGAAAATGAAATAAAACATGGCTATTTTAAAGGCATAAAAGATTAAGGATAAGCCAAACCCCTTTAGATTTCACTTATTTCATTTTATTTAATGTCACCCTAGTATGGGAGGTTTGAGTAAGTTGCTTAAATTTCCTGTGGCTTATTCGTCTTATCTATAAAATAGGAGCAATTACGCTGCCCATGACTGTTGTGAGGGTCAGGGTTGATAAGAAATGTTGTAACCTTTTATAAAGAACTGGATCATACTAATTAATAGGATAATAATAATTATTATTCTCAAAAGGTGTTATTGGTCTAATCATATATCTGAATGTAAGACACAGAAAGTACCTTGTGGTAGTTTTGATACTAAAAAATATATAAACATTTTAAAGTGTTTAGAGATTTTTTTAAATTTCTTTTTTCTTTTTTTCTTTTTTTTGGAGATGGAGTCTTGCTCTGTTGCCCAGGCTAGAGTGTAGAGGCATGATCTCGGCTCACTGCAACCTCCACCTCCAGGTTCAAGCAATTCTCCTGCCTCAGCCTCCCTAGTAGCTAGTACTACAGGCACGTGCCACCACGCCTGGCTAATTTTTGTATTTTTAGTAGAGACAGGGTTTCACTATGTTGACCAGCCTGGTCTCTAACTCCTGACCTCAAGTGATCTGCCCGCCTTTGCCTCCCAAAGTGCTCGGATTACATCCATAAGCCACCGTGGCTGGTCTTTTTTTTTAAATTTCATTTTGTTGTTCTATTTGCCAGTACTGATTTCTCTTAGGCCAGAGACATGTTAGTACTTCAAAGCGATTTTTTACAGCGTGACAGCCTGAGGAAAAGTTTCTAAAACCCCCAGAAGAGTGGTAAAACTGATGATAAAGAATAGAAAAAAAATGGGCAATTATCTGTAACATATGCTTGCAGATTATACATGCCAATGTGCATGTGAACACACAGATGAAATATTCATTTCATATGTTCAGAAAAAAAGAACATTTTATATTTTAAGTAACTCACTCTTTACCTCAGGGATCTTCTGGGGGGAAAAAAGTTGGTGGTGTTGGCAAATGTGTATACATATTTAATATATGTATGAAAAAAGAGAAAAGTAGGGAGAAGATAACAAAAAGGAAAGAGAGACAGAGAAGAAAGGAGGAAGGAAAAAGACAAGAATTATCAGGATTCTCTTTTAGAAAGTACCTTATTGGGCAAAATTACCAGGGATCCAATGAGAAAAGGCAATTTGACAGTGAATACACTGTAACTTTCCTAGTGAATGCTTACTTTCTGGAACAAACATAAATGGCCCATGTGATGCAAAAGCTGTGATGCAAAAATTTCTTGGATTTCCCTTCTTCATTTTGGGACCATTTCTGAAAAGGGAGCACTAAGTTCTTCTTCTTCCATCATCTTAAAGGGGTTTTCATCATAGATCAGCTCTACTAAGGCCTTTGAAAAAATGGAATGTATTCTACTTCTTCAATATACCCCACACCCCTGCCCAAGTTTCTAATTCAGTAGATCTGTGGCAGGCCTGATAATGTGCTTTCTAGTAAGTTCCCAAGTGATGCTGATGCTGCTAATCTGGGGATCCTGACCTTCAGGAAATTCTGAAAGCCAATAGAAAGAACAGAAAACCTTAGAAGTAGAATCATGATTTGAAAGAGCTAGGAGAATGGACAAAGCCAAGGTCCAGTGTGGTTCTGGCACACACTGAGCACCCCATAAATACTGAATTAACAAGTGGATGAATAAATAACAATGTTTTTATCTGAATGCTTCCGTGAATGGCCCAAGGAAGAAGAGCACCATAGTGACCAAAACATAGGCTTTGCCATTAGATATATCAAATTTCAAACCTTTCTTCTCCACTTACTGGCTGATACGGTTTGGCTCTGTGTCCCCATCCAAATATCACCTTAATCTGTAATCCCCATAATCCCCATGTGTCAAAGGTGGGACCAGGTGAAGGTAATTGGATCATGGGGGCCGTTTCTCCCATGCTGTTCTTGTGATAGTGAGTGAGTTCTCATGAGATCCGATGGTTTTATAAGTGTCTGGTATTTCCCCTGTTTGCATTCATTCTCTCTCCTGCTGCCCTGTGAAGAGGTGTCTTCTGCCATGATCATAAGCTTCCTGAGGCCTCTCCAGCCATGCAGAGCTGTGAGTCAATTAAATTTCAATTCTTAATAAATTACCCAGTCTCATGTATTTCTTCATAGCCATGTGAGAACGGACTAATACACTGGCCTTATGACATTTTACTATCATTTCATTTCTCTGGGCCCAAGTTTTTCTCATATTTATATTGCAGTCGCAGTATCTACTTTATGGAGTTGTTCTGAAGATTAAGAATAATGGTTGTTAAACTGGCTAGGTATGGCTCCTGTCACACTGGAAAGACACACTATGTGATGCTTATTCTCTGCTGTTGTTCCAAGGCTCTCCAAAGTTGCATAGGCTATGTGATAGGAAGGTGTTTCAGCACTGACACCCAAATAATCAGCAGTCAGCCCCCAACACCTGCCAGTGATCGGTAGAAGAGGGCCTAGCCAGTTCAGTGTTCATGAGTACGTGACAGGTGAATCGCCACACAAATGGTAAGTATAGTTACTTTACACGCCTCCCAACCACACAGTATTGTGCATGACAAGGACACCCTCAGCTTCAGTAAGCAGAGAATAAATGGATTCTAGAAAAATAAACACTCATGGATACACTATGTTTGAATAAGGATCTAGAGTCAAACACTTTTTCATAAACTTCCTGTCCACTTCTCCACCCACTAGATCCATATTGCTTCTGAGAACATGCTCTAGTAACTGTTTTAACAGAATAATCTATCTTTTTCAGGAGAGGATGGCAATCAAAATAAAAGGAATAGCTACACCTGAGTAAAAAACATCTTCTCTAAAAGTCTCAAAGAATATTACTAAATGCCTTATTCAAACATTGTTCAATTCCTACACCTAGAGCTTTGGCTTTTCATACTCAAGATTAATGTTTCTGTAGAGTATATGTGAAAAGCTTAAGTAGGGAAATGTAATCATTCCTCAAGTGTCCTGATGTTTTCCTATCACATACCTCAGTGCCCTGAATATTATGTACATAGAAAGTAACAAGTAGATTTTCGAGCATTAGCCCTCACCAGCAATTTCTACCCAAACCTACTCAAACATATACTGTAAAATAAAAGACACATGAAAACTAGCCAGCTCTACTACTTGCTCTTAAGCAAAAAATGGAATATGGGTTGTGTTCAGTGATGCCACTCTTGTGGATCAGCTTTGCCCCTTGGTGTCCTTTGCCTGTAGAACTTCTGCCTATCAGAGACTCACTCTAAGCAATGATCTGAGGTTCATTTGCATGAAAATTCAAAATAATAAAAATATTTAATTCTGTCTTCTCCTAGATGTCTAAGGCCCATTGCAGAGCACTGGGCTAGGCTATATGAGGTGTCCTGAAGCATAGGCTAGGCATGGTGGCCTGTGGGATCTAAGTGAATAATTCAAGATGCTGCAGCTTATGGGGAAACAAAAAAAGAGGCGAATGAATTGGTGGAATGAGCAAGTCACCAAATATTTTCTCCAAACAGTAATGATAAAACTAGACAAATGTATCAGAAACAACCATTACAGTGTCCTGGAAATTGACCAAACACTTACAGCAAACTGATAAGCACTTATTAAAGAAAAACTATCAAATTTTCATGAGAACTGTGGAAATCCATGGCATTTTTGCCTGGGCTGCTCCCCTTCTTGTCCCCCAGATTTTTCTTCATGGTAATTCTTAGATGGTAGGGCACATGGTGAATAGCAGCTTAAGTGTAGGAGGAAAATAACTTGATTTGGAGCAGTAGTTGGACAATCCCATCCCCAGCAGAGATGTCAACAATAAGCAACAATATCAAAGACAAGGGAATTAGGACAACAAATTTTGATACCTGAGGTTGAATCCTGGTTGAGGCCCTAATGGGCCAACCAGAAGTTTAGCAGGAAAATATGGGAAATGAGACAGTCATAGAGACACTTGATACCCTTGGTTGACTGGAGGTGATGTGTACACACAGGGGAGACTGGAAGAAGTCCAAGCTGTTCACATATCCCTGTCTTACCAGGAACCTCTGTGTTTTGCAGAGGAGATACCAGAAACTGCAAAACAGCCTGAACTAAAAACTGTCTGAACTATAAACTTTTTCCTGAATCCACATAGAGACCCATCAACTCAGCGGGAGATTTTGCTGGCTTGAAGTGTTTGGGCCCAATCTCTCACTAATCATTGGCTGACCATTAGGTTATGCAGAAACAGGACTCCTAAGAAGTCAGCCTTAAAAATATGAACAAGGTTGTGGCAAGGGGGTTGGGGGAAAAGGGGTGCTAAGCAGAGAGTAGTGTCCACACACTATAGATGAAAAAAACTTCAAAAATTTAGTCCAAACAAGTTACTAAACAAAGATATAAACACATTTTTAAAACAATATTGGTAATAACCTCCAGAACAAAAAAAATTGGAATCAAGAGCTGCTATAATATGGCATCTTAAAATAGTCCACATTCAATAAAAATTATGAGACATGCAAAGAAACAGGAAAGTGTTACTCATATTAAAGAAGGAAAATAGCAGTGAATAGACATTTCTCTGAGTGTCCTCAGATGCCAAATTTAGCAGATAACAACATCAACTCAGTTTTATATATATGTTCAAAGAACTAGAGTAAATTAACAGTAAATAATTAAGGGAAATTATTATGACAATAGTCCAAAAAATAAAGGACCTCAGTAAAGATATAGAAATTATTTTAAAAATCCAAATGGAAATTCTGGTGATAAAAGTACAATAACTAAAATAAAAATTCTACTTCAGGGGCACACTGCTAGATATAACAGAGCAGAATTAAGTTGGTATTATGATAAAGTAAATTGTAATTACTTAAGATGCATAACCACAAGCTATCATTTGCTGATCTCTATGCTAGGCTATAAAGCAAGCCTCAATAAATTTAAAGGATTGAAATAATATAAAGTGTGTTCTATGACTACAACGGAATTAAGTCAGAAATCAATGAAAGAAAGAGATCTGATGAATCCCCAAATATTTGGAAATTAAACAACACACTTCTAACACCCATGAGTGAGAGAAAATTGCAAAATATTTTGAGCTGAATTAAAAACAAAAAAATCAAAATATGTATATCATGCATTTAAAACAGTGCTTAAAAGGAAGTTTATAGTTTACAAAAAGAAAAATAGTCTCCAGTCAATAATTCAAGCTTCCTCTTTAGCTAACTAGAAAAATAAGAGCAACCTAAACCCAAAAACAAAAAGAAAAAGGAAATAATATGGATTTACATGAACATCAAGGAAATAGAAAAAAACATAGAAAATAACGAAACCAAAAGGTGATTATTTAAAAAGATCAACAAAATTGGTAAATCTTCAGCCAAACTAAGAATAAAAAGAAAGAAAGCACAAATTGCCAAAATAAAGAGCAAAAGAGGTAACATCAGTACCAACCCTACAGAAATTAAAAGGATTCTAAAGGGACATTAACAACTTTTTCCCCAAAATTTGACAAATTAGATGAAATGACAAATTTCTAGAAAGACAGAAATGAGCAAACTGACTCAAGAAGACATAGGAAATCTGTATAGATATGAGATACCATCTCACACCAGTCAGAATGGCTATTATTAAAAAGTCATAAAAATAGATGCTGGGAAGTTGTGGAAAAAAGGGACGGCTCATACACTGCTGGTGGGAATGTAAATTAGTTCAACCACTGTGGAAAGCAGTTTGGTAATTTCCCAAAGAACTTAGAACTACCATGAAACCCAGCAATCCCATTATTGGGTATATACACAAAGGAATATAAATTTTTCTATCAAAAAGACATGCACATGTATGTTCATTGCAGCACTATTCACAATAACAACGATATGGAATCAACCTAGATGCCCATCAACGGTAGACTGGATAAAGAAAACACGGTACATATACACCATGGACTATTAGGCAGCCATAAAAAAGAATGAGATCATGTCCATTGCAGCAATATGGAGCTGGAGGCCATTGTCCTTAGGACACTAACACAGGAACAGAAAACCAAATAATGCATTTTCTCACTTAGAACACATAGACACAAAGAGGGGAACAACAGACACTGGGGCCTACTTGAGGGTGCAGGGTGAGAGGTGGGTGAAGATAAAAAAAAAACTACCTATCAGGTAATATGCTTATTACCTGGGTGATGAAATAATCTGAACACCAAACCCCACAACATACAATTTAGCTATGTAACAAAACTGCACACATACCCCTGAAACTAAGATAAAAGCTTAAAAAAAGAGAGAAAATTTGTATAGACCTACAACCAATAAAGCAATGGAATTCGTAATTTAAAACTCTTACCACAAAGAAACTCCTAGTTCTAGATAGCTTCACTGATGAATTCTATCAACTATTTAAATACCAATCCTTCAATTGCTCTTTCAGAAAATAGAGAAAGAGTAAAGTCTTTCCAAATCATTCTACGAGGCCTATTTAACAAAGCCAGCCAAAGACATCATAAAAAAATAAAATTGCAGATTAATGTCCCTGAGAATACAGAGGCAAAAATTCTTTTAAAAAATTAGCAAACCAAACCAATCAGCAGTTTAAACATATTTTATACCACAACCAAGTGGGATTTACCTAAGAATACAAAGTTGATTTAACACCTAAAAATTACCTTACATGACCATTTTACAGATGTAGAAAAAGAAAAGGCAGTTGACAAAATTCCACATGCATTCATGATTTTTAAAAAATTTTAAATGGAATCAAACAGAATTTCCTCAATGTCTACAGAAAAAATATTAAGTGCATCTACACTGGAAAAGAAGAATGGTCAAAAACAATTTTTTTTGTTTGCAGATGACATAATCTTGTATGGAGAAAGTTCTAGGAATATACACATACACACCACACGCCTTCTACAAGGTTGCATGATAGAAGATCAATATACAAAAAATCTATTGTCGTTGCAAATACTAGTAATGAACAATCTGAAAATCAAATCAAGAATACAATTCCATTCACAATAGTAACATAAAACAAAATACTAATGATGAATCTAACAAAGTGTAAGATTTATACAATGAAAACTACAAGTGCTGAGTGAAAGAAATAAAGGGAGGTAAAGAAATAAGTGGAGACATATTCCCTTTTCATGGATTGGAAAACCTAATAGTGTTAAAATGGCAATTCTCCTCAATTTTATTTATACAGATTCATGGCAATTTCTATCAAAATTTCAATAGGCTTTTTTTGTGAAAAATGACAAATTGATCAATATATAAAATTTATACATAAATGCAGAGAGCCTGGAATAACCTGAATAATTTCCAAAAAGAAGAACAAAGTTGGAAGACTTGCACTAACTACCTGGTTTCAAAACTTACTATAAAGCTACAGTAATCAAGGCAGTGAGGCATTGCTGTAAGTGTATGTATATAGGTTAATGGAGCAAAATGAAATTCCAGAATTAAATGTTTACAATTTTGGTCAATTAATTTTTGACAAAAATGTGGAGACAATTTAATGGGGGGAATGACAGTCTGTTAACAAATGGTGCTGGGACAAGTGGATATTCATATGAAAGAAAAAAAGAACTTAGATCTTTATCTCATACCACATGCACAAATAAACTCAAAATAGACCATAACCCTAAATGCTAGTAGTTTAAACTATAAAACTTCTGGAACAGTGGTTCTCAATCAGGATGAATTTGCTTGCCAAGGGACATTTGATAATGTCTCGAGACATTTTCAGTTGTCATAACCAGTGAGAAGGGGTCAGGCAAGCGCTAATGGATCTAGTGCATAAAAGCCATGGATGCTGCTATGTATTCTGGAATGAAAAAGACAGGCTCCCATGACAAAGAATTATCTGGCTCAACATATCAAGAATGCTGCTATTGCAAAATCCTGATCGAGAAGAAAATAGCAAGAATGCTGTTATGCAAAATCCTGATCTAGAAGAAAAGCTCTGTGACTTGGGTTATATAAGGAATTCTTAATGTGACAATAAAAGCACAACCCATTTTTTAAAAAAGATTATTAAGATGAATAACTCTTGCACTTCAAATTAAACTATTAAGAAAATAAAAAGACAAGCCACAGACTGGGGGAAAATATTTGAAAATCAGATTTCCGACAAAGTGCTTGTATCCAGAATATATAACAAACTCTTCAGCTCAATAAGACAAACAACTCAATTTAAAAATGAGAAAAAAATTTAAATATACTTTCGCCAAATGAGATATACAAATAGCTAAAAGACACGGGAAAGGATGCTCACTTATTTAGTAATTTGAGAAACGCAAATTAAACCACAATGAGATACCACAATAAATCCATTACAATAGTTATAATAAAAAATATAGACAATATCAATTTTTGGCAAGAAGGTGGAGAAACCTGAGCTGTTATATCCTGCTGATGCTAATGTAAAATGGTACAGCCATTTGGAAAACTGTTTAACAGTTTTCTAAAAAGTGAACCATAAACATATCAATATGACCCACAAATCCCACTTCTAAGAATCTACCCAAGAAAAGTGAAAACATCTCTACACAAATACTTGTATCTGCCTGATCATAGCCACATTACTCTTAATAGCAAAAGACAGGAAACAATCCAAGTGTCTGTCAACTATGAATGGGTAAATAAAATGTGATAAAATTAAAGTAAAATGGAAAATAAAAATGGATTAGTAAAATGTCTGGAAAAGGCCAATTTGTAGTGACAGAAAGCAGACCTTTGGTTGCCTGGGGTAGGGGTAGGAGTGGAGACTGGCTGTAGAGGGGAATAAGGAAACATTTTGGAATGAAGACAGTGTTCTAAAACTGGTTGTAGTGATGGTTGTGAAACTTCACAAATTTAACAAAAATCATTACATTGTACATTTTGAATGAGTGAATGTACAGCATGTAAATTATGCCTCAATAAAGATTAAAAAAAAAAACAAGCTAAAGAGCCTCATCCCAATGTGAGAATACAAATAATACTAGAAGGGAAGTCAGAGAGATCAAGAAGGTTTATGGCAAACAGATACTGGAAAAATCCCATAAAGTCTACGAATGGCAATGTGCCTAGAATCTTGGCAGGGAGAGAGCATAAAGAGCTATAACTTGCTGGAAACCCCTCCCCTCACACCTCTGGAATGAATGAAGCTGGGTTAGCCACAGGCTTTTATATAGGAAGCTCTCATGCTTTGGGGCATGTAAAGGTAGGAGTGAAAATCCCACCCAGTGGGTCCTGAAGCTGACTAAGGTGCTGATAATTTCTCAGTTCGAGCTATAGGTACGGGATGCGAATTCGCGATGCTTATTGCTCTGAGGAATGGAAACTGATAGAGGAGTGTACTATATCATAACTACAGGGTTTACAGCCTTAAAGAATCTCAAGGAACATTACTGTAATGAGATGGATACCTGTGTACCCAGAGAAGTCACTACCTAGAAGGCCACAGACTCCTTATGCCAGTCTGTTTTCACAAGAAGCATTGCAAAATTGATCAAATAAGATTTGCATCTGGTGAGGGTTCAGAAAGGGACCAAACCATGCCCCTGGAATGACCACAGATAGGAATCACCTTTTGTGCCTTCAAAGAGGACTGATAATTGCCCTTTAATATGTTTCCCAGCTAAGCCAATCACCAGTTACAAAAAAAAATCACAGCCTTCTTATAAAACATCATATGGAAAAATATCTTTTCTTCTTTCTGCATGCTAACTTGAACATGTTTTTTCTGCAAAAAAATGCTCATATTTATCAACTTATTCATGGGCTCTGTCAGCAATTTTTAGCCTGTGAGAAACGACATCCTGTGCTAACCACAACAACCTGTAAGAACAGAAATGGATTTCTAATTTAATCCCATCACAGTATTGGTCAGTCTCAGAAAACATTTATTATTTCATGACGAAGGTGGCAATATTTTGAAAATCGCTTTATAAATCTATCAGTCTCAGAAAAACAACGTCTTTTAATTTTAAATCAAAATGCTACAGTATCTGCTCCTTCATTAAACACAATTGTCTCAAAATATCTCAAAACATTTTATTGTCAAAAATGGAATGGGTAAGCTCCAGAAAGAATCTTTACATAAAATATATCTATAATCCCTGTAGAAGTAGAAATATATGGACATGTATTCTTATGCACAACAAATCTTGAATGTAATGTGTCTTAAAGCATCATGAAAATCATTTGGAAAAAGGATGTAAACTTGGATTTTTTAGTTTCTCTGAATAAAGGTATTTCATAAATGGAAAACAAAATGATAATGAAAATCGACCCCATACGTTCTTTAAAATTTTCTAATGGGTCACAGCTTAAGTACATTCTTTCTTCACTTCCAGGTTCCTAGACTCTCCTGTGCGTAAGAATCCCCTAGGGTGTTTGTTCAAAATGCACTCTTTAAGTCCCTACGCCCAGGAGATTCTACTTCAATGCATCTGAGATAGGGCCTGGAAACCTGGTGATTCTGATGAAGGGGCATGAGAATCACTGCCTCTGAGGACTCTGGTGAATTGCTTAAAGACAGATGTATTTCCCAATAATTTTGTACTTGAGCCTGGGGTATGGCAGCCTTCATGCAACAGAGAGCATTATGGGATTCCTGAAAACCTGGACAATGGAGGACCAAGGGGGCAGAATGGATCAAGACTACACCAAGCTAGCAACTTGAGGATGTTTTCCTTTGGAGGATTTAAATAAGTATGCTAAAACCAAGTCCATGCCAGGTAACATCTGTTCTTTCTGTGACTATTCAAGCAAGACAACGGCTAATAACAACTCCTTGATTACTGAACAACCGTAAATGCTAGACAGCCTGAGGAATCTGTGTGGGCATTACATGTTCTTTACTGGTCATAAAATCCAGTTGGTGTGCAATTACTCCAGTGTGACACCTTATATAAGCCAGAAATCATGTCTTCACTTTAAACATTGTAAATCAATAAAATTACACTGTAGCCATTGACAACACATGCAATTTTGCCTGTTTGATGCCCCATTACTGCAACAGCACTTGCCTTGGTTTGGAAAGCAGTCCTTCACTTCCCTAAATGAGTATTACAGGGGAGTTTCCCCCTCCTTGGTCTTCTTGCATTGAGGACATATTTATAGACAGAGAATAATGTCACAAAAATTGCTCTCATAAATAGTCTTTGCTACTTTATAGTATTGGTGTCCATTCCTAGGTCAGATGGTGAAATTTCTAAGAGTTCCATTTTTTTTCCCAGTGTATTTTCTTACCATTTTTACATAAAAAGGTGGTGGAATTCAGAATTGCATGCTTGAATTAAATGTGTCATGTTAAACACAATAATGTGCAAAATATAGCATGTTAAAACTGTACTCCTATGATATAAATATAAAACTTCTACCAGAATAAAATTAAGGAGGATGTCTTTTGTGGGATGTTAGGAAGCCTAACACTCCCCCATTATCCTTTCTGGGATCCAACTTACAGAGAACATACACACACTCCAGAATCACTTGCCCAGTGAGGATCAAATTGCCAATGTTATTCATGTCCTGGCAGGTGTTTCCAAATCTTCCAAAGGCAAGGCCTCTGATTGGAGGATGCAGTGTAAGAGACAGCCTGAGACAAAGGAGAAGATTTCTATTCTCCCTGCCCCAGTTAAAAACAGGTCAGTGTGCCCTGAAGGCACGACTTAGCCAGCCACATAGAACTGAAAAGCTGAAACAAAGTACAAACAGGCATCTCAATGGGTCTCCAGCAGACTCTGATAAGATCCATTTACCACTTGGAGATTGACAGTGCAAGGTAAGCCCCTCTAAAGAGGCTGACATTAAAGGGAATACACCTGGGGTGAGGTCTACACTGTTTGTTGATGAATGTGACAGTCAGCATAGGCTAGGTCAGTCTGCAGTAACAAACAACTTCACTTCAAAATCTCAGCATCTTAAAACAGCATTTTTTTCTTGTTCATGCTACATGTCAAACATGGGTTGGCAGCAGGGCTCTGTTCACTCTCGTCACTCAGAGACCCTGCTGACAGAGGCATGGATCTCAGCACATCCTTCCATGATCACTGCAGCAGAAAGTCTCACCATCCCAATTGAATGTCCTGGCTATACAGTGACATACATCACTTTTCCACCACAGTCCAGTGGCCAGAACTCATTCAGTGGTTCCTCTTAACTTCTAAAGGGCAGAGAAGTACAATCCTCCCATGAACCAGGAAGCTGTAAACACTAGTATGTATGCCACAGTGGGGAGTAGCATTGCAGGAGTCACCATTCATTTAATTTGCTCTTTCTATTTTACAGCTTGGCCACTCACATTTTTAATTGATCATTTTCCTCTGATTCCTTTGATGTCTTATTTACATAGTCTCAGTGGGCATTGAAATGGAACCTCTATAAAAATGTAGGCATGGAAAACAACTTTCCCTCTGTTCCTCCCACATGCTCTCCTGCCCATTCTTCAGAGTATGTATCCAAGAAGACAAGAGGCTGTGTCATAGGAAACTATCAGTTTCAACACTCTGACCATAACGTTTGTAAATCCAGCCCAATAAATGCCTGTGATTCTTACCAGTCAAATTAGCCAATCCTCCTCGCATGGTGAAAAGTAAAGAAGTAGATGAGATCATTTCAATACTCCTTGGGTCTTTGGGTGGGAATGGAAGCCTCCTTTTCCATGAAAACATGTGGAAGAAAAGATATCATCTAATAATGTCCTAGTCTTAGATTAGAGAAGACTTTATAAGTCTGGCATGAAAGCTAGATATCATAAGGCAAAATTTTATCTCTTATAAGACAAAAGAAACCATCAATAAGATGGAAATAAAAAAGAATATATTGGAAGAAAATATTTACAACACATGTAACAAAAATGTAGTATCCATAATATAAAGGGTACCTATAAATAAATCAAAAAGACATTCAAATGACCAATAAACATAAAAAAGTGGTTAACCTTACAGATAATTAAAGTATACTTATCATTTTGCCTATAAAATTAGAAAATTTAGAAGATTGATTTCAATCAAAAGATCACCAGAAGATGGAGAATTGGTTGATGTATAAACTGGAACAATGATTTTGGAGAGCAATCTACCAATAGTAGTCAAACTTTAAATTTACATGTCTTTTGACCAACGAACCTCCACTTCTAAGAATCTGAACTTCAGAAAGACTTGCACAAATACCTCAATTATATAAGCATCATACTTCTTTACAGGATAACTTGTGAAGTGAAAAATTGGAAAATGCACAAAAGTTTATCCATAGAGAGATGGTTCCATCGATGCAACAGAAGATCACGCAACCATAAAAAAAATCAGATAAAGCTATATGTACTGACTTGGAACAAGGCCTGTGGTACATTACTAAGTGAAAAGCAAGCTGCTGAATAAAACATACAGTACACACCACTGGTGTGTTGGGATCCATCTCTCATTGAAGGAGGAAGCCTTGAGTAGTGTTTGCTGATGTCCATGAGGTGAACACTAACCATGGCTCGATTCAAGCACCAACCCTTTAATAATTGGCTTGAAAAATTCTACAGACCACTGTATGAGTATATTTTCATTTTTAAAAAAGTCTGTATGTGTTTGAGTATGTAAGTATGCGAAAGTGTATGCGTTTGTGTGAGTTTAGAGGCACAGAAAAGATGTCAGGAAGGGTAAACAGAAATTAGAACAGAATCATAGTGGGACAAGAGGCAAAGTACCATGTTGTAATTTACATACTTGAATATTTGAATTTGTTTCATTGAAGATTATTGCTTGAATACTTTTCTTAAATTATGATTTACATATTTTATCATTGAAAAATAATAAATGATTACTATAGGAAAAATACAAAATATAAAAAAGAACAGGGAAGAAAATTAAAATTACCCAGAATTCTATTTCAGAATAACCACTATTACTATTTTCTACATTTTTTTCCAGTTGTTTTCTTCTGGAAAACATAGCTTTGGGTTTTTTCAAAACCAAGTTTACATTTTATGGGTAATTTGTTAACTGTACAGAAAATTTTCATTCCATTTCTGACTATTTCCTTAGGAAATAATGTTGTTTATTATCTTAGAAGTGGCATTAATTACTGGCTAAAGGTAAGATCACAAAATATGTCTTAAAGATAGGATAACTACATTATATTAAATGTAATTCAGGTTAATTCTATGTAATGAAATTTTATGTCTCAGATTTTCTAAAAATATATAGATAGATTTTTATGGCAGTAGAAATAAAGAAATTAATGTTTTTTTGTACATTTTACTACCTATGCATTATTTTACATGCAAGAAAATTATTGGCCCTGTAAAGCTTGCTATAGAAGTAAAGTGCAGTTATCTGGATATCTGGATTAACTCAGTCAATCTGGGATTTATATATATATATATATAAATGTATATAATATATACATATATATAATACATATATATGTATATAATATATATAAACTTTAAAAGGAAAAATAAAGCAAGCCAGTGCAGACATTTAGGAAGTAATGAAAATCTTGTCAATACAGCTGCTGATAAAAAGCAGGTGAGGGAATTCAGTACAACCCACTTAAGCCCAGGATTCCAGACACCTGCATTCACCAGAGATTTGAAGTCATTGCATCAAGCTCTATACCTAATCCGATATCACACCAAGTTGAGCCCCAGTCAAACTTCTGGTTTCACAGTATGATTTCCAAATGCACTCTCCACCTAACCTTTGCCCATTACTCAAAAACTGAAAATCCAAATTTGTAGACATACCTTTCATGGGATACTAGATTCAGAAGTATCTCAGGACCAGAGTCCCGGATATTATGTGTGTCTCAAACCATTTGTTTTATTTGCGACTATCAACTCACATGCTGATGGTTCTTAATCCAACATACCTCCATTCCTAAGTTATTTAAGTAATTGATAGAGTTCCAATATCCATTGAAATAATTAGAATTACTTGGCATCATTATTTACCTTTCTTTTCTTTTTGCAATTATGGAGATTGTCTATAGTGAGAGAGTAAAGAAAAAAATATAGTCTCTTTTTTTCTTTAAGTGAATGCAATTAGTTGATGCGTCCATAAAGGAGCTCACCTGTACTTCATAAAATTAAAGATGTAGACATCTGAGGATGTAGATGACAAAAAAAGTCAGATTGCAATGGAAATTGACTAATAAGCCCTTTTTACCATTGATTCATTTTCTTTTAATAAATTACAGAGAACACAGTGAGTCTCCAAGAATGAAGGAAATTAAATGTGAAGCCAGCATTCTATAACCTCTTGTATCTGCCATTTCCAAACAGAACTTTTGACCATGGTAAAATAGCAAGAGAAATGTCGAGAAAATCAGATAGAGAGTAATGGAATCTTGGAACCAATAAACTACAAATTAGTAGAGAAAGGGACACCCTAGAGGCCCTAATCTGGACTTGAGTCAATATTGTGATACAATTGTCCAACAAAACTTATGTGAATTCAAACTGGCTTGAATCCATGCCCTAAATCCATGTATTTATATATCACCTATTCCCTGGGAACTAAGAGCACTTCATAAGCAGTTTTGTCTTCCCTCATTATTAAACACCCACAGTTTCCCCTTCTTTTGTCTCTGTGGTGACCTAATATTCCCTGTCGACAGAAGGAGATACTGGGGTAAGAAGAAGCTCTCTCATATGCCTGAGACAAATCACAAAGAAACAACTAAAGTCAGCCCAGGTACTGTTGCTTCCAATGGGACGTATTCTACACTAGCCAAGATTTAAATAGAGGAATGTAGGAGTTAATTAAGATATCAGCAAGAACTACAGTGGGTATGGATGATAAGGCAAGGGTTTCAGCAGTTTAACAGCATTACTAAAGAGGTTTTTAAAGGGATACACAAGAAAGAATAAACACCGCACTTAATTCCAAGGTTATAATAAAGTCAAGCCAGAATGAAAAATGAGGAGATATTTCCCCAAGATTCAAATTGCCTTAAGGCTAAATTTTCAGAGATCTGAGTGCTGTTTGTATGTGTGTTGTGGCGGGTGCTTGGGAAATGGTCTTTGCTATCAGTTATCTTCCTAAAACTAACTTAAACCTTTTGGGATTCAAATACATTTATTTTAGGCAAAATAAATTTACCATTTTATATTAAAAATAGAGGCCTTAAATGTTCATAGGAGTGTTTAAATTCCTTAGAAATAGTCAGCTTAATTTTCCCCTGAAACAAATGCAAATTTTAATATACAATGAAAACTAGGTGACATAAATGATGGAAAAGTATAGTATACCAAAGAAAAGGGTACGTCAAAAAAAATGTGATCTTGTATCCTCATCTTGGTGGGACAGAGTCAGTCCTCCAGACAGTTCTTACAAGTGGAAGAAACAATCCTATGACAAAAGAGAGAAACTCCAGAGTTGGCAAACCATTTTATTCCTTAATTTTTGAATGCTCAGTTAAGCTACAGCTTGAACAGGTCTGTGACCAACACACATTCATTCAACTGGTCCCTTGAGTAGATTACCTGTTTCCAGTGAGAACTCCTTTCTTTAAGACCATCAAAATAAACCTGCTATATATTTGAATTTGGAGAGATTTTTGGAAAATAGCTTATTGCATGTCTCTTGCTTGCTTAAACTAATATGGGGCGGTAAATGGTCGGGGGATGTTTTATTGACCCTTGGCCTTCAGAAAACTAGAAAGGTATCCTAACCTCTACTGATGGTAGTGCTAAACAATCAGGCCGATGGCACAAAGAACCTCTCCCAAGAGCAAATCAACCAAAACCTCTCTTCAGAACTAGACCTGTTTTTGAAAAATATCAACAAACATGATTTGGTCTGTGGTACTGGAAACGTGGACAGGGTGCCTCCAAATAAAAAAATGAAAACATAAATACAGAGTAAGATCCTGTATCTCTTTATTTGCCAAATACGTTGCTGGAGACACAAAGGAGAAAGCAAATGTTACTAGAAAGTGAGATTTTTCTCAGAATAGCCACAATAAATGCCTTTTCAAAAAAAATTAAGACAAAAAAGAAGACAACCTTCATCTCTGAAATCAAAGAAAAGCCAGTTTGGGTCTAAGATGTTGAAAAAATGGCTCATGAGCAGTTTGTCTGGGTAAAAATATGACCCCAGTGATGTTACCAAGGTCTCCGAGACCCAGGGTGCTGCTGAGTAAATGCTGGTTGCATAAGTTAGAGCAGCTAAGAGGACACTTTAATTTATGTGCTCAATTTTTCTGAGGTCTCAAAAAAGAAAATAAATGAAGGTTGGGGAAAGGGATAAATGAGGTTAATTTTCAGGGTGGCACATTCAGGGATGCTTTGGAGATTAAGGGTTTTTCCATTACCTCAGTATCCTCATCTGAGGGAAAAGTGATTTTGTAGGAAGAAGCATCTCACTGGAAGTCTTAATTCACCCTCCCCAAAAGGCCTCAGGGTCTTTAAACAGCAACTGAGTCTCTCAAATTCATTTTTCAAATGAGGATTATGTAAGAAAGATTTCAAAATCATAATCAGTAAGAGTATGCTTTGTATCAGGGTGATGAAATAGTCTGTATACAAAACCCCCATGACACGAAATTTACCTATATAACAAACCTGCACATGTACCCTTGAACCTAAAATAAAGGTTTAAAATAATAATAATAATAATAATAATAATAACAGGTACTCTTTCATTTCACCATGGACCTACAAGTTAAAATACTAGGACACTGTGAATTAAATGGAATAATAAATATAAGAGGCTCAAATTTCATGTGAAATATTGTCAAATATAAAATGACATATAAATTCATATGCATAAAATGTATTTTTCCATTTGCTGGGTATTCCTTCTTGGAGTATAAGACATAAGATTTTTTTTTTTAAATCTATGTCAGATAAAACTTAAGCATTGTATTCCTTTCACAAACAAACTTATTCTGAAAACTAAGAATCATAACTAAAAACTTGAAACTTCCCCTTCCTCTTATTTTTAAATGGCATATGTCTTATAGAGTCACTGGTAAAGCAAAGAAAAAAACATCC
This sequence comes from Homo sapiens, assembly GCF_000001405.40. NCBI lineage: Eukaryota > Metazoa > Chordata > Mammalia > Primates > Hominidae > Homo > Homo sapiens. Next base: position 39,036,506 of record NC_000007.14, on the reverse strand, counting down.
TGCCTTAAAAGTTAAATTTTGTATTTAGTATTATGTAGAATAAATGTAAATGGCATCATTCATGACAATTAATTATAATTAAATCATTCTTTCCATACTTTGCAGGTCTTTACATAGTATTTCTGATTCCTGAGATTGAAGGTGCTACCCAATGGAAGCATATTCTAAAAGACTATTTTCGGTAGCTTATTTCTGAGTTGTTTGGGGACTGTTACAATTAAATAAACAAACACAAAATGGTTTGGCTAAGAACTCTAATCATTCCTGCTGCACAAAAGTCTAGAGATGATTAAAAGAAGACTCAGGGATAAGGATGGTAATGTGAACCAAAGTGCTACATCTGGGCCCTACATAAAAAGACCCTTCATCACAGACAGAGAGACAGCCTGTACTCCTTGCAAATGAGCTGTATCCTGTAGGCAAAGGCTCCACCTGTTCTCAGCACGCCTCTCCTCTCCCGCACGCCTCATATTCTTTGGGCGGCATTTTTCCAGTTTGGGCAAATAAATTTAGATCTCTGTACAACTGTACTTGTGACTTATGTTATTACAAATATACTCAATTAGCTCTTTGTTTAAAAAAAAATGTTTATTTGAATGCAAAAGGCTGCCAGGACCTGTGGCGGACAGTGTGAACTTGGCCTTCTGCCACGGGTCACTGGTGATTTCAACTTATTTCCTCTCATCTTCTTTTAATAAATTAAAACCCTTGAAGTTCAAATTAAATTAAGTTTAAATTAAAAGCTAGGGAGCAATGTTATCTTTTAGAGTGGAGAAAAAAAAAAAGCACCAAGTAGCAATTCAGTGGCAAATGTGTTTCAACTTAATGGAAGGTTAATATTCCTTAATTTCTCCAGCTTCCTGGCCCTTTAATAACTGGGAATCCCATTCAGCTATTTTCCCCCGTAGGTTAGAAACCTGATTCGCAGGAAGAAGTGAAGTTTTACCCTAAGTAAAATGCAGAATCTGCCAGTTACTTTTGTCTTTGTCGCTGCCAGTTCCCCTGTGGGATACACCAAAAGAAGAGTCCTTCATAGACTTCCCCAGAATATTTTTATAAATCCCATTTTTTTCACTCGCCTTCTCCTCCAAACAGAAAACGCCAGTGCCTTCCCTCTGTAATGTTTCCCTAAATGACATACAGCATATCTCAGTGGCAATGTGACATGATGAAGAAAAACTCATAAAAGATCCTTCAGCAACTCCAGAACTTTTATTCTGGAGGGGAAACTGCATTTGTAATTTGTCCTTTTAAACAGGGATCTTCTTGCCCCTGCAGAGTGAGAGCTTGAGATATCAACACAAAATCGGAACTCTTCTAGCTTTGCAAATAATAAAAAATCTTACATTCACTTTCCAACCAGAGCAAACTTTAAAAAAAACTTTAAAAAATATAATTATTTAAAAATATTAAAAATATATATACACACATATATAATACATATGTGTGTGTCTGTGCATATAAACACACATTAGAGAATCCTTCTCTCTACCTTCCAATCAGAAAGACCTGAAGATGGATAGATGGATGAACAGACAGAATATAGAAAATATTTTAAAATATTCTATTTTTAATAACTATTTTTAAAAGAGTTTCCTTACTTTTGATTCATTAAAAATAGCAAAATAAACAGAGAACTCGGCATCCCCTCACAACCAAATGGCTATGAATGTGGCTGCCAAAATAACAGGGCGCCAAACTTGAAAGCAGCATTTGCAAACTGCCTCTCCTATTGTGCATTCACCACATCACCTCAATTATGATCATAAACAACCTATTTGTAATGCAATCTACTCTTGACCTGAAAAGCTGAGCCAACCCGCATTTGAAGCTCAAGATTCACACCCAGCAGTGTCCACTTTAAATAGAAAAATCGCATTGATTGCCTGAAACTCAGGACTCATTTTGGTCCATCGATTCCCCTAGTGACCTTCTGCAGCATCAAAGCCCAGAGCGAACCCAATCTGACCCCGACTTTATGTGCATTATTATATCAAGAGACAGGAGCTACTTACAGTCCATGCCATTGTCTCCATAGATATGTAATAAAGTATTCTAGAACTGCTCCTGCCGAGAACACTTCAGGTGCACGTCATTTTCTTCTCTATCTGCCTCCCCCCTCTCTCCTACTCTTGCATGCAAACACATACACACTCTCCTCCTACCAGTATAAAAATTCTTCCTTTACTGAACGTTTCTTCCTTCCCAGTTCAGAAGAACTCAAAAAGCAACTTCAGACTTTGACTAATACTCACGTAACTCCCAGTAAACAACATCCCTCACCCAAATCCATAACTAATCATAATGCTCTTTATGAAGCTCTTCTGTGAAACAATAGGTCTAACACAAAGCTCCTCTCCACACAGTTTTAATTATAATAAATCACCTTCATTATGATGCATACTTCAATATAACATGTCGGCTGCTTAGCTACCTAGGTTACTCCCATAATGAGAGCAGGGCAGACGTGTACGGCTTGAAGAAAGTTATTTACGCACACTGAAAAATTCTACGGCATCCCATGGCTTTGCAGCACGATTTTCAGCAACTTTTATCTTACCTTACTGTTCATAACATTACAGCTGAGAAGACAGGGAAGAAAAGAGTAAGAAAAAGCACCACATCTGAAAAATGCTGTTTACACAAATAACAGTACCCTGAATACATCCACTAGCGCGGAAAAATAAGTCCTTGCAGTACAATCATTTCTCTATAAATGTATGAAAGATTGTTACTGCCTGGTGCAACAAATCAGCGATGAGACACTAGGCTGTGGTGTGTAAGTTTCAAGGGACTGCACGTCAAAGTCAACTTCCCGGGCAGTCCCCTGAGAACTGCGCTGGGCACATTCTCATGAAAGGTGTGAAAATCTGATTTTCTAAAATGGATCAGTAATTCTCTATGAAGGGGGAAAGGATCGATAAATCTTTGCTAAGTAGATTGTAAAGGAAAAATTATTCTTTCAGTGACAGTACATTAGGATCCTCCAAACAATCTCAATAAACTAAAGACATAGCGTTTCTCCACCAGCTACTTTTGACTTCTGATATATTTTTGTAATCTCAGATCATTCGGCAATGCACATACATTTATATTTGCTAAGCAATGTTCCGTGTTGATGTTGATTTATGGTATGTGCCATTATAATGTTTGGCTGTGACTAGCAAAAGAAAATTATTAGTCGCTTGTAACCTGATAGATGTGATACAAGGAAATGTCATTATAGCCCAACGCACATATATGTTCCTAACTATATCAGTTCGCCGGGTAGCCACAAGATGTGTTGTTGGCATTCCTCAGCCTAATATATATGTGTTGTTTTTAGGCAACTGATCATTGATGTATAGTGTATATTCTCTTGATGCCTAAAAACACCTGGGGTGTGATATGCTTTGAATCGTGTGACGTTAATAGTCCTTGAAGGAAAGTTTCTTTTTGCTCCTGGGCAGAGACCAAGGAAATCTTTAGACACCGGTTTTATCACATACACTCGATGACACTGAACGGGAGTAACTACCAGCCCTGGCCACTAACACATTCGCCATTTGTTTCACAGCTAGGGAGTCCATACTCCTCACCACGCTGAGGCCTGAGAATCCTCGCTAAAGAATTTAGACAGAAGATGTGTGTCACGAGAAAACAAGCCTAGGAGTGGACCGACTGCTCCCAGGAGGCTCTCTGGTTATAGCATCCTGAGCTGTGTGTGGCTGAGATTTCCCCTGCTCTGTGTTAAAGTGGTTATTAAAAAATATGGCCTGTGTGGTAGCGAGGTATTTCAGGGGCCTCAGAGCATGCTGAACATCATGTGTCCTGCAATACGCAGATCAAACAAAGCAAATTCTCAGCATGGCAGGCTGAAATCTGCATTTCTCTCTACTTATGCAGGTTTATGTCAGAATTAACAATAGGATAGCTCCTTTGGTTAGAAAAAGCTCTTCCACAGGATGCGCTACTTTCATGTACAACATCCTTGGGCAAAAAAGGGAAACAAGATAACTGGCATGGCAAATTGTAGCAAACAGGTGTGATCAATGTGTGCAAACCTCATTCAACTGAATGTCTACATATATAGGAATTATATCCACTAGTATCTTATCAGGGATGGCGGCTGCATGCCAACAATTTTATAAAATGCCTCCTTTCCCTCTTTTTAATTGAATAATGCTAATAATGGACTCATTCAGGTACAAAAGAGAGTGGGCTGTAATTTCTTTTGGCATGAAGAAGGACTCACTGTGGTTATAGTCCCTCCCACCATTTGGTTTTTGTGATGTTTTCTGACCAGAAAATGTTAAGAATCCTAAGAAATAAGGTCAAATTTCTACAAAAAGTCCAACATCCAATGCCCACTGGTAAACAAAATGCAACAGGAAAGTCTATGTCGTATCAAATGAAATAAGACCTCTGGGTATCTGTAAACATTTTGGAGAAAGGTGCCATCCTTTAAGCATCCAAAGGAGACCATTGATCTAGAAATAATGAGTAGCATCCTTCCTGATTCACAAGTCGGATTCAGTGGGACGCAACTATTGACATACAAAAATTCAAATTTCTCCAAGTCAGAGCTTGTAAATCTCATGGAGTTCTGAGTCTTACCCATTATAAGGCACGTGCAATTTTTTTTTTTTGAGGCAGTCTCCCTCTGTTGCCCAGGCTGGAGTACAGTGGCATGATCTCAGCTCACTGCAGCCTCCACCTCCCGGGTTCATGATATCCTCCCACCTCAGCCTCCCAAGTAGCTGGGACTACAGATGTGCACCACCATGCCTGGCAAATTTTTTTATTTTTATTAGAGACGGGGTTTTGCCATGTTGACCAGGCTGCTCTCGAACTCCTTGTCAAATAATATGCCCACTTTGGCCTCCCAAAGTGCTGGGATTACAGGTGTGAGCCACTGTGCCCGGCTGGCAAGTGCAATGCTAAGAAAGCTAAATGATAGGAGGGAATTAAGTCAGCCACATTTCAAAAGAGAAATGAAGGCTGGTGGGTAAATAAAATACTGATGGATAGAAATATAGAGTAGGTGTTTTGTTACATATTCACATTCACATGGAACCTTAAAATGAAATGTATTCACTGACATTGTTTTAATTTGGATTCTAAATTTGAAAAGCATTAGTATCAAAAATTTATTTTTCTGATCCTAATAATTGTCCTGTACTAAACTTCCAACAAAATGGCTTACAGATCATTTTCCTAAAATCAATATAACAGTATATTAATGAGCTAAACATCCATCTTTACAGTTAGTATAAAAACAACAGAATGAACTAAAATACAGTAGGAAAGAGCTAATAAAAATAAAGTTGGCCAGGCGCGGTGGCTCACGCCTGTAATCCCAGCACTTTGGGAGGCCGAGGAGGGCGGATCACGAGGTCAGGATTTCGAGACCAGCCTGGCCAAGATGGTGAAACCCCGTTTCTACTAAAAATACAAAAATTAGCCAGACGCGGTGGTGGGCACCTGTAATCCCAGCTACTCATGAGGCTGAGGCAGGAGAATCGCTTGAACCCGGGAGGAGGAGGTTGCGGTGAGCCGAGATCACACCACTGCCCTCCAGCCCGGTGACAGAGCGGGACTCTGTCTCAAAAACTAAATAAATAAATAAATATTTTAAAAACAATAAAGTTTAGTTCAATTTTTTTTTGGGGGGGGCAGGAGGATATGAAGCAACAGTGCTCTCATGTATTGGTGGGAATGCAACATGGTACAGTCCCTTTGGGAAGACAGTTTGACATTTCTTTAAAAATTAAGCATAATCTTCTCATATGATCCAGCAGTCACACTCCTTGGCATTTCCCCCAAAGAGTTGAAAATGTATGTCCACACAACCAGCACAAAAACTAATGTTTATTGCAGCTTTATTCATAATTGCAAGAACTTGGAAGTATCAAATTGTCCTTCAGTAGGTGAATGGCTAAACTGTTACACATCCGGGCAATGGAATATATGTATGTGTGTGTATATATATATATATATATATATATATATATATATATATATATAGTATTTTTTGAAAGTTCAATACAGGAGATTAGCAAAAATTGTTCCTTTGAAAAAGCTAATAAATAATCAGATCTCAGGCAAGAGTGATCTAGACAAAAAGAGAGGATGCCCAAGTAAACTATATTAAAAACTGAAATGGAAATATAACTACAAATATAACAGATACTGAAAAGATAAAAGAATTCAATGAAAAATGTTTGCTACTGAGTGCAAAATATTGATCAAAATGGGCAATTTCCTAGAAAATAAAACTTTTCCAAAAAACACAGAAAGGGATAGAATGCATGAACATCTTTCTTCATTATTATATACATTTAATTCATGATTTTAGGACTTCACATACAAACACACACACCACACATTGACTCAGATAATTCTACAAGTGAAACTTTCAAAAAGTAATTTTAATTTTTAAAAAGCCTTTTAAAGAATAAAGAAGAAATACTTCCCCTAAGCTATGAAGACAGTAAAACCTTCATATCAAACCAGACTAGGACATAGGACAAAAGATACTTCTAGGCTAATGTCATTCATGAGCAAAGATGCAAAAGGTCCTATTAGCAAGCAGAATCTAGTAGTGTATATAAAAATGATAATGCATCATGACCAAGTCACTTTTAACCCAGAAATACAAGAGTGGCTTAATATTTTCAAATCTATAAATGCCATTTAATATATTAAATTTAAAGATGAACAATTATGTGATCATTTTAATGTATACAGAAAAAGCATTTGATAATAATTTCATGACAATTATAAAATATAAGATAAAATTTTCAACAAACTAGGAATAGAATATCCTTACCATTTTAAAGGAATTCTATAACGAACTTACATAAAACATAATTGTTCTTTCTTTTTATTTGTATACATTTTATAGGATACAAGTATAATTTTGTTACACGGGTAGAATGCATGGTGTTGTGAAGTCAGGGCTTTTAGGGTATCCATCACCCAAATAACAGGTATTGGATCCACTATATAATTTCTCATCATCCACCCCCCCCTCCCAGAAATGTTATTTTTGATAATGAAAAATGACAAGTACCTTTAAAATGAGGAACAAGTCAAATATGCTTAACCTCACTATCACTATTTTTATTAAATATTGGATTCAATATCTAAGTCACTGTAATAGGAAACAAAAGTAAAAGTACCAACAGTAGGAAAGAAAAATAAAAAATGTTATTTTTCAGATCACATAATTATCTTCATAGAAAAACCAAAAGAATATAAAACAAAATACTAGAAAGTTTGGCAAGATGGCTGGTATATGATCAATATATAAAAATCAATTCTATGTACTAGCAATGATAATTTTAAAAACTATTTTAATAATAATATGAAAAGTTGAAAAATTTGTGTTAAAAAGAAAATCTAGCCAGTTGCAGTGGCTCATACCTATAATCCCAGCACTTTGGGGAGCAGAGGCAGGCAGACCCTTTGAGCCCAGGAGTTCCAGAACAGCCTGGGCAACATAGTGAGACTCTACACATTTATTTATTAATAGCCAGGCCTGGTGGCTTGTGCCTATAGTCCCAGCTATAGGTATAGTGCCTATATCCCTACTCAGGAGGCTGAGGTGGGAGGATTGCTTGAGCCTGGGAGTTGAGGCTGCAATGAATTGTGATTGTGCCAGTACACTACAGCCTGGGTGGCAGAGTAAGACCCTGTTTCAAAAAAAAGAAAAAAATTTACAATATTCCAAGTTACATAGGAATAAGCCTGAAAAATATCTGTACAAAGAGAACTATACAAATTTTCTATGTATATGTATAAACTATTTTGGAAAGATATTAAAGAAAACCTGTAAAAATGAGAAGATATATCATGATTATGGATTAGAACGCTTAATAGCATACAGGTGTTAATTCTTCCCAAATTTATTAAAAAGATATAAAGGTACATCTAATATATATCAACAAATATAAGTAAATAAATAATTTTTAAAAGTTATAAGGACATTCAAAACAAAATTTCAACTAGATTTTTAGGTTACTTGTCCTACCAGATATCAGGACCTTTATGAGGCAGTAGTAATTAAGACAGCAAAGCAATATTTTTAAATGTTTAAAAAATATAAAAGAGTATGTCTTTTAAATGTTGAAATGGGTTAAGATTTCATAAGCAAGATAGTAAGAGAAACAAACATGAAATAGTTTTAAAATTAACTTCATCTGCATCAAAATTAAAAAATGTCCGCCCAGCAACAGACACCATAAAGAAAGTAAAAACATAAAGCATGAGTAGGGAGAATATTTTTAGAATGAACATAACTGACAAAAGACTGGTGTTCAGAATATATAATGAATATGTAATATGCAAAAACAATAGAAAATATGACATGAACAGGCTTTTCACAGAGATAAAATAGGAATGTCAAATAAATATATGAAAAAAATGATTAACCTCAATAATTAGGGAAATCCCATTAGAGAACTATGAGATACAATTTTACATTACTTAGTTTTGGAAAAATTAATAATTGGGTTATACCAAGTCTTGGAAAGTATATGGATCAATGGAGATTCCTAAATATTGCATTGTAGGAATATAAATTGGTATATGCATCTGAAATAAAAATTGGCATTTTCTTTTAAATTTGAGTATACTTGTACCCCAGGTAGAAAAGAATGTCATGGAATGCAAAAACAAATTTAAAAAAATCCAGAATGTACAAAGCAATGGAGGTATAATATAATAATGCACCTGCAGAATATTTCAGAGAACTGCACATTTTTCTAGATGGAGCACGAGGTGTATGTTTATGGGGGAAGAGAAGGAGATTTGATTAGCAACATTGGCAAACTGCCAACTCACAGTGGGTTGTTTTTGCAATGTTACGAAGTTTATACATTGTCCCACATGCCAAAATATTTCAAGAATTCTTAATCACGGAACTCCTTGAAATTGAAAGTCAAAAATATAAAACGACAGAAAAGCAGAGCTGCTCTGATTGGAATTGGAGGACCTTGGACCAAAAGGGAACAGCCCTTCCTCCCTTTCCATGGAGATCCCTGAGGACATACCACAGTGCTCCTAATGCTTGGACACAGGTTTTTAAAAGCCCTTGTGGGCAATAGGGTTTTGAGCACTGCAGTGCCACAACCTAATTTGCATTATAGAAGCACCGCATAACATCAGTGTGATTGGATGATGGCATAAGCCTAGTGAGTGTTTTTAAAGAACACCTGCTTGATGTACAGTAATGGTGAGGGTTTCCAGAAGGATATCCAGTTGCAATATCAAAGGTACCCAATGTATTTGAAAGAAGCTTCAAAGGTCTCAAGCATACAAATATATTTCCTATTACTCATTCAGATTGCTCAAAACACCCTGGGAGTACACTATAATCTTCATAAGTAGTTTACTTATATTGTTTTCTGGGCTGTCAGGAAAAATTGCTTATGTCTTTTACTAATCCTAAGCAAAACCTACTTGATACCACTTTCAATCATCAGAAAGTTGGACGGTCAAATAGAAAACAAAAATAAAAATAGAGGGAAAACCAGTCAATTGCCTAAATTCATCCCTGAGTATCAGAGGAGACACTTGACTTCTGTTATGTAGTTTGGCAATTTCTAAAGAGGAGATGAAAATATCCATCTTCTTACTGCCCTGCATTCCAACCTAGGTTACTCCATCATCATAGTACAAATGGAGCCTATCTTTTCTGGGACTATCAATATTTTTACATTAAAAGTAAAATTAAGTAATTTAAGTGATAATGCAAAGGTTTTTTTAAAAATTATTACACTTTAAGTTTTAGGGTACATGTGCACAATGTGCAGGTTAGTTACATATGTATACATGTGCCATGCTGGTGTGCTGCACCCATTAACTCGTCATTTAGCATTAGGTATATCTCCTAATGCTATCCCTCCCCACTCCTCCCACCCCACAACAGTCCCCAGAGTGTGTTGTTCCCCTTCCTGTGTCCATGTGTTCTCATTGTTCAATTCCCATCTATGACTGAGAACATGCGGTGTTTGGTTTTTTGTCCTTGCCATAGTTTACTGAGAATGATGATTTCCAATTTCATCCATGTCCCTACAAAGGACATGAACTCATCATTTTTTATGGCTGCATAGGATTCCATGGTGTATATGTGCCACATTTTCTTAATCCAGTCTATCATTGTTAGACATTTGGGTTGGTTCCAAGTCTTTGCTATTGTGAATAGTGCCGCAATAAACATACGTGTGCATGTGTCTTTATAGCAGCATGATTTATAGTCCTTTGGGTATATACCCAGTAATGGGATGGCTGGGTCAAATGGTATTTCTAGTTCTAGATCCCTGAGGAATCGCCACACTGACTTCCACAATGGTTGAACTAGTTTACAGTCCCACCAACAGTGTAAAAGTGTTCCTATTTCTCCACATCCTCTCCGGCACCTGTTGTTTCCTGACTTTTTAATGATTGCCATTCTAACTGGCATGAGATGGTATCTCATTGTGGTTTCGATTTGCATTTCTCTGATGGCCAGTGATGATGAGCATTGTTTCATGTGTCTTTTGGCTGCATAAATATCTTCTTTTGAGAAGTGTCTGTTCATATCCTTTGGCCACTGTTTGATGGGGTTGTTTGTTTTTTTCTTGTAAATTTGTTTGAGTTCATTGTAGATTCTGGATATTTGCCCTTTGTCAGATGAGTAGGTTGCGAAAATTTTCTCCCATTTTGTAGGTTGCCTGTTCACTCTGATGGTAGTTTCTTTTGCTGTGCAGAAGCTCTTTAGTTTAATTAGATCCGATTTGTCAATTTTGGCTTTTGTTGCCATTGCTTTTGGTGTTTTAGACATGAAGTCCTTGCCCATGCCTATGTCCTGAATGGTAATGCCTAGGTTTTCTTTTAGGGTTTTTATGGTTTTAGGTCTAACATTTAAGTCTTTAATCCATCTTGAACTAATTTTTGTATAAGGTGTAAGGAAGGGATCCAGTTTCAGCTTTCTACATATGGCTAGCCAGTTTTCCCAGCACCATTTATTAAATAGGGAATCCTTTCCCCATTGCCTGTTTTTCTCAGGTTTGTCAAAGAACAGATAGTTGTAGATATGCGGCTTTATTTCTGAGGGCTCTGTTCTGTTCCATTGATCTATATCTCTGTTTTGGTACCAGTACCATGCTGTTTTGGTTACTATAGCCTTGTAGTGTAGTCTGAAGTCAGGTAGCGTGATGCCTCCAGCTTTGTCCTTTTGGCTTAGGATTGATGCAAATAAACTAGAAAATCTAGAAGAAATGGATAAATTCCCTGACACATACACTCTCCCAAGACTAAACCAGGAAGAAGTTGAATCTCTGAATAGACCAATAACAGGATCTGAAATTGCAGCAATAATCAATAGCTTACCAACCAAAAACAGTCCAGGACCAGATGGATTCACAGCCAAATTCTACCAGAGGTACAAGGAGGAACTGGTACCATTCCTTCTGAAACTATTCCAATCAATAGAAAAAGAGGGAATCCTCCCTAACTCATTTTATGAGGCCAGCATCATCCTGATACCAAAGCTGGACAGAGACACAACCAAAAAAGAGAATTTTAGACTAATATCCTTGATAAACATTGATGCAAAAATCCTCAATAAAATACTGGCAAAACGAATCCAGCAGCACATCAAAAAGCTTATCCACCATGATCAAGTGGGCTTCATCCCTGGGATGCAAGGCTGGTTCAATATATGCAAATCAATAAATGTAATCCAGCATATAAACAGAACCAAAGACAAAAACCACATGATTATCTCAATAGATGCAGAAAATGCCTTTGACAAAATTCAACATCATTGGTGCTAAAAACTCTCAATAAATTAGGTATTGATGGGATGTATATCAAAATAATAAGAGCTGTCTATGACAAACCCACAGCCAATATCATACTGAATGGGCAAAAACTGGAAGCATTCCCTTTGAAAACTGGCACAAGACAGGGATGCCCTCTCTCACCACTCCTATTCGACATAGAGTTGGAAGTTCTGGCCAGGGCAATTAGGCAGGAGAAGGAAATAAAGGGTATTCAATTAGGAAAAGAGGAAGTCAAATTGTCCCTGTTTGCAGACGACATGATTGTATATCTAGAAAACCCCATCGTCTCAGCCCAAAATCTCCTTAAGCTGATAAGCAACTTCAGCAAAGTCTCAGCATACAAAATCAATGTACAAAAATCACAAGCATTCTTACACACCAATAACAGACAAACAGAGAGCCAAATCATGAGTGAACTCCCATTCACAATTGCTTCAAAGAGAATAAAATACTTAGGAATCCAACTTACAAGGGACGTGAAGGACCTCTTCAAGGAGAACTACAAACCACTGCTCAATGAAATAAAAGAGGATACAAACAAATGGAGGAACATTCCATGCTCATGGGTAGGAAGAATCAATATCGTGGAAATGGCCATACTGCCCAAGGTAATTTATAGATTCAATGCCATCCCCATCAAGCTACCAATGACTTTCTTCACAGAATTGGAAAAAATGACTTTAAAGTTCATATGGAACCAAAAAAGAGCCCACATCTCCAAGTCAATCCTAAGCAAAGGTTTTATATTAAAATAAACTCAAAAGAAGTTTTAGTGTTAGTAAACTATCACACTGACCTAAACAGGAATCCTGGCTCTTTCACCAACCATTGGGCCTTTTTCCTTTCTGGCTTCAGTTTCTCCATTTGTAAAGTGCAGAGAATGCCTACTTCTCAGGCTTAAGTGGAATAATATAGAAAATATATAAAATGGAACCTGTATCATAGTTACGTGTTCAATAAGCAGTAGCTATAATGTGACATAGGAGGACATTAGATTTTACAAATGTATAAATTAGATGGAAATGCTTTTCTGATAAGAACACTTCAACAAGAAAAATGGAAAATGTATTTGGACTTTTGTGTATCACTCTAAACCAAGATTTCTCAACCATGACTCTGTTGACATTTGGGGCTGGATAATTCTACATTGTAGGGAGACTGTCCTGTACATTATAGGATGCTTAGATGTATTCTTGGCCTCTACCTGCTAGGTCCTAGTCTTCTCTCTCCAAGTTGTGGCAAACAAAAATGTCTCTAGACGTTGCGACATTGCCACATGTTCACTGAGGGAATGGGGAAGCATCTTAGCCAAGATACTGAAAGCACAAACAACAAAAGAAAAATATAGCATATGAATGTTATCAAAATTAAAATTTCTTCTTTTAAAAGCCTTTGTGTAGAAAATGGAAAGGCAAGCTAAAGACTGGCAAACAATATCCACAATACATATATCCAATAAAGGCTAGTATACATATTTTTAAATTCCTGCAAAACAATTATTTTTAAAAAACTAATCTTAAAACTAGGCAAAAAACTTGAATAATACTTTTAAAACACAGATATACAAAGTATCAATGAATATATGAAAAAGTGGTCAACATCATTAGTCATCAAGGAAATGCAACATAAAGCCACAATGAAATACCACTACCCACCTACGAGAATGATTAAAGGTAAAAAGACTGACCATACTAAGTGCTGGTGAAGATATGGAGCAAGTAGACTCTCATACACTACTGTTGAGTGTGTAAAATGGTACAACTGCTTGGAAAACTGACAGTTTCTTATAATGTCAGACGTATACCTACTCTACCACTTAGCAACTCTGCTCTTGGTATTTACCCCAAAGAAATGAAACCATATGTCCATGCAAAAGAATGTTCATAGCAGCCTATTCATAATAGCTCAGAACTGGAAATAACTCAAATGTACAAGAGATGAATGGATGTACATGGTGGCTTATCTCTCCAGCAAAAAAGAAAAAAGATGGAAAAAGCGGGGGAAAGTCCCAATACATGTGAAAACAATGAATATCACAGATGTTACACTGAGTGAAGAATGAAGACATAAAAGAATATATATTGCATGATTCCACTTACAAGAAGCTTTAGAACAGGAAAATATAAATTATGATGACAAAATTTAAAAAGTCATTGCCTCTGAGGCACTAGGGAGCTTTCTGTGCCCATAGGAGTGTCCCATGTCTTGGCTAGAGTAGCTGTTACCCAGGTGCATACAAGTGTCAAAACTGATTGAAGCGCACATCTGTGTGTTTTATTGCAGAAAATGATGGGTGGGGGATAATCAGGTTGAGCAATCAGAATTAATAACACCTACAGATAAAAGTAAATATAGGAAACTGAAGAAAATTAAATAAGCATACATATATATATGTTTCATTTTAGTGAATTTTGAGAAGGCATTTTATCCAAAAAAAGAGATGCCAAGTATGAAAAATGAACAATTGACAAATAAGAAATAAGACAAACTAGTTAACTAGGCCAGAGAGAAGAATGCAGAAAGTAACAAATAGTGAATATCATAAAAGAAAAGAGAAGAAGAAGGAAAGCATTAATCAGAGATATAATAAAAGATATTTTCCCTGAGCCAAAGAAAGTCACAAGTCTCTGTATCCTAAAGTCTTCCTAAGAGCCAGATAAGATTATTTCTTAAGGCCTGTCCCTTGACATATCCTGACAAATTTCTGGATTCCAAGAATAAAGATAAAATTCTAAATATGTGTAGTAAAAAAGAAGGAAAATATTATCTTCAAAGAAAAATGCTAAAACTGTGGGCTAGCAGAATTAGATTTTAGGAACCAATACAAAAGACAAGAGTTTCTAAACAAACATTAAGGAATGAAGTACAAATTCTAGAAATCTTAAGCAAGATGAACTAATTCCCTGGAATTTTATTCCCATGTAAATCATCATTTTTTTATACATTTTAAAATGAAAGGATTGAATTAATATGATATCTATGTGCCTTTTGTAAAAATTATTTAAGAAAGATGTGAATCAACATAACTATAATGGAATAGAGGGAATTTGTAGTAAACATTTTGGGAAAAAAATAGTAAAATGAATATTAAGCTCAAGAAATTGTTAACAATATGGTTTTATAACTTAGATCAATTACAAAGAAAGAATTCTTGAAAGAAAAAATAGATAATTTTATTTTTTAATACATTATGGAACTAACATTTCAGATACTTTCAATAAAATATGGCAAATGGGGTGGAGTACATAAATACTAAATGCTTATCTTAGTCTGGGGTTATGGAGTAAGGCTATAAATAGAGTTTCGATCTTGCCATTAGAAAAAAAATTGGCCAAGTATGTTTGCTACAAAAATTAATATTATCTGCTAGTAGGAAAGAAATAACATGCAAAACTTTCAAAGCAGTAAGAATAAAAACTGATCATTCCAAAGAAAGATAGCAAAGGAAAGAAAATAACCACATAACATAAATTGAAATAGATAAGGTTTTAATCATTCCACATTGTAAGCATATACCAAACATTACAGTGTACCCCATAAATATATAATATTTATTCATCAATTAAAATATAACTTTTAATGGTAAAAATAAAACCAAGAGCAAGCAAATCATTTAACATAATTAACAGAAGGAATTACATTTCTCCATTAAAAGACAATGGATCCAAAATTGAGTTAAGAGAAGAAAAACAAAACCCAGCCAGAGACTGTTTAAAAGAACATTTTAAAAAAAATGATAAGGAAAAATTGAAAATGCTGGAAGATACAATAGGCAAATGGAAACAGAAGGAAAGCAGGTGGCAATATTACTATCAAAGTATAGCTTAAGCAAAATGCATTAAATGGGATATTTCATTTTTATAAAAGGTACATTCTGCCAAACAGATGTCAAAAACTCTGTACATTAAAAAAAAAAAATCTAACCTAGAAATACATTAGGCAAAGAACTTTTAGAAATACGATGAGAAATTGGCAGAAACTGCAATCTTAAGAGCAATAACACCTCTTTCAGAGTGTGACAGATCAAGTAGATAAAAAATAGACAGTAGCTGAATAACACAATTAAGGAGTTTGATTTATTGAGGAGAAAGAGTAAAAGAGGAAACATTGTATCTTACAGATGTAAAATTCATATTCTTTTCAAATTTCCACATAAAGTAATGAAAAGGACTCATGGATGAGACTGCAATGCAATGACCATCTCAAAAAATCCCCCAAAGAAGAAATACCATTTAGCCCATACTTTGTCCTCAATGCTGTAATTCTGGAAATAAATACTTCTGCATGAACTTTGGAAAGGAAAGAAATCACATCAGTGGTGGACTGAGAACACAATATGAATGATACAATTATTGTATAACAATATCTTGAAGTAGATATTTGAGTATCTTTAGTAGATAAAAATGATTTATCCCTTCCTGGACCATTCTAAATAGCTCATCATGCAGCATTATAAAGAGATGACATTATTTTATCAGGGCCTGCCTGAGGAAATCTTTGATCCTTGTCAACACTTTCTCACTACAAAGGCACTGGCTTCTAGAATGAAGGATAAGACCCCAGATTGGGAGCTAGCTTTTTTGGGGGGTCTGGGAGGGTGCACCCAACCTGCTCACTTGCTCCTGGTTCCACACTTCCTAGAATGAAGCCTGACATATGCAAGCTGCGAAGGAAATCCATGATGGCTGCATTTAATAATTATCTTACTTCTTCATTCATGCATATAAATGGACAACCAACAGTTACCAGATTCTGAGAAAAATTGTAACAAAACCCCAAAAGAATCAAAAGGAATACATTGATTCTCTGATGCTGGAGAAAACAGAAATAATTCAGGGAAGAGAATGGAATCATAAAATAATTTTAATTGGTGATGTGAAGAAGATTTGACAAAATATTTTATCCACAAAACAAGAACAGGTTGCAGTGATAAAAGGAGCAAAGGTTTTTGAAAATTCAAAATGTAATTGTTGACATTTGAAAGATTGATGAAACACTACATGGAAAAGTCAAGGAAACGTTCCAGAATCTTAAAAAAAAAAAAAAAGAAAAAAGAAAGAAAATGCAAAAGATTTCAGCACAATCAATCCAGGAAGGCCAACATCTGTCTCCTAGTAGCTCTAGAAAGAGGTAGCTAAGAAAAGGAATGTGAGCAATTTATCAAAGGAGTAGTGAATGAAATTTCCCAAAGCTTAAACAAGCCTACAAATGGAATACTGTAAGTCTTCATTTTGAAAGATTCCATATGGCGTTGAGCAGAAAAAAATGGAGGAAAAAAAATCTAAGAACATTCTTATAAAATTTCGGAACACAAGGATTCTAAAGAAGGTCCTAAAAGCTTCCAAAGAGATTACAATGTTTATCTTCAAAGGAAGAAGGACCAAATTGGTTTCAGACATTTCATAAGTGATGTTGGATGCCAGAAAACATCAGAGCAGTGCCTTCAAAAGTTCTGAGTGAGAATTATTTTGAACTTAAAATTCTAGCTATCAATCAAGAGTAGAGACAAAATAAAGTCATTTTCAGGCATGTGGGGACTCATAAAATTTACCATCTACAGATTTTTTCTTAAAGAATTACTTGAGGATGCCACCAAATAACAACAATAACAAAAATGGGATGTAGGAATGAGGAAAATATAAGGTTTAAGAAACCATGGACCAAATAAGGCTACAAAATGAAAGGAAATTCCAAGAAGTTGGTCATGCAATCGTCCTGGAAAACCAAGGCTGCAATACAAGAAGGAGGCAGGGAAATCAGAAGGAGTGTTTCCAAGAAGCAAATGAATTCTAGGTAGTAAGTTTCTAGGTAAAAGAACTGAACCTTCTTCATGAAAAGGGTAAACTATATTAAAATATGTAAAGTGAAAAATGCTCTGCTCCATTCCTCCCACTTTCAACTTTTACTCGTTGTATTTCTACTTTTAGTGGCACTGTTTTCATGATACAAGGTTATATGTCTTAACCTATGAGTTATTCTATTTTGTTTTATAGTGATTATTGGAAACATTGGATTTTTAAAATTTTTAGATTCAATTTACAGATACATATGGAAAATTTAATTATACAGGCTCACAATCCCCTATGTGATTCCACTGGAGCAAGACATAAATGAGAACTCAGAATTTTATAAATTTTACAATGATAATGCAGTACTTAGATTACATATTAACTAACACTCCCAGCACATTCTAGACTATTAAGCTGATTAATATTTCTGCACCAAAAAAAAAAAATGTAAATGGTTTACTTCATGTCAGTTCAGGTGAGGTTTTGTCACCAAATAAGTTCAGGTCATGGCTTCCGGCACAACCAATCTTCACACCTGACACAGTAACTAGAGGGTGGGCTTGTATGCTCTGCAAACCAATCAGAATCATTCCCTACTTCCTACTTCATGGAGAGAGCATTTCTGAGAATGATTGTATACAAAGGAAAATAATGGTGAGAGATGGAGACAGAGAGACATGGCCCTGATAGAAGTTTTGAACATCAAAAATCACCTCTGCCTGCAGACAGTTCTATCCCTAGATTTCTGTGAGCCATTACCATTGATCGATCTGGCTTTCTGTCATTTGCAACTAAAAGAGTTCAGACAAATTCTATATTTAACACAAATCCCAAGGACTTTTCAATAGGCTAGGAAGAAAACAAAGATACCTGCTATCACCGTAAGTTTGCTACATTTGACTTGAGGATGTTAGCCAATACAGCAAGGCCGGAAAAAGAAATGAGGTATAACTAATAGGAAAAGAATACAAATTAACATTATTTGGAGATAATATGATGAAAATGCAGAAGAATCAATAAATTAAGAAAACTAATAGGATAATTCTGAAAAAAATCCACTCAAATCACACACACACACACACACACACACACACGCATGCACAATCTGGGAATGAGCTTAATAAACATTTTGGAATGTTTTATATAAAGGAGTCATGCAAATAATTGGGTTAGAAAACAAAATTCAAAGCCTCTGAGATGACAGCATGCTTGGAATGTTTGAGGAACTGCAGGAACGCCCGGTATGGCTACCCCAGGGTGGATAAGGGGGCTTGTAGTAGATGAGGTAGGAGAGGCAGAGAGGTGGGGAAGTTCACTTAGAAGCAGCTCTACGGAGTGACTCCTACTCTGGGTGATATGGGGACCTCCTGATGCTTTCCAGCCAGGGATACAGTAATCTGCTTTAGGTTATCATAAGACGGCTGCTGGGTTGACAATAGGTCATGGGCAAACAAAGGAGAACAGTTAGAAGAATATTGTGATAATACACATAACAATAACAGCGACTAAAGATGGTGATTTAGCAGTAGAATTAGATTTAGCAGTACAAAGTAAACAGATCCCAGATAGATTACATAAATCACTAACAAATCTACATAACATGTTCACACGCAGCCCAGTGCACATATTTTGCTCATTGTTAGGTAAAACTGTATTTACTAATAGCTAAAGAAAAGTCAAGAAGAATAAGTAAATGATATAAAATCATTGACATAATATGTATTTATTGAGTACAGCATCCACCTATTAGGCACTAAGCTAGGCCATGGGATAGGGAAGAGGACACAGTTCTTGCCCCAAGGAACTCATAGTTACATAAGGGAGAAAAAACAACATGATAAAATAGAAGTTGTAAAACCTTATACATACAGGAGCATCTGAGGGCAACACCTCCAGCCTTCCCCTCCCAAAGGCATTTATGACATTCACGGGTTCCCTAGAGCTCCTTGGATCAAACCAAATTTTCGGCAAGGTCTCCACAGTCTGGCTTACTGCCACATTTACACTCCTCTTGCTCTCTGTGCTCTGCCACAGTGGCTGTCGGCCTTCTTCAAGTCCCTTAAACTGGACGTGCCACATTCCTTTCAGCTGCAGGGACTATGCATGCGCTGTTCCATCTGCAGAGAGCACGCTTAACGCCGTCTTGACCTACACAACTCCAGCTCCTCCTTCAATCTCACCTCCCTGATATACTCACTGATGATTTCCCTGATAGGGTCAAAGTCTCGTGTGATGAGCTTTCATACCATTCATCTCCCCATGGTAACACTTACTACTGTTTCATATTTATGTAAATATAAATATTTGACTTTGGTTAGCTAGAGTCTTTTCTACTGAACTGTAAGCGGGGGGGGAGCTATATTGTTTTTAACCTTTTAAAATGCTCCAGTGCTTATATGATTTTACAGCTTTTATTTTACCATCTTGTTTTTTCTCTCTAATGGGACTATGAGCTTTTTGGAGCAGAAACTGTGTCTTCCTTTCTGTCCCATGTCCTAGTTTAGTGATCAAACACATGGATGCTGTACTTAATAAATACATATTAAACCAATGAATTGGAATTACTATATCATATCCCAAATTACTAGAACCCTACTTGGCTCACAGTGGAAATTCAATAAATAGTTGTTATTATATAGTATATACTGTATTTTCTATATAGATAATCAGTATATATTGCATTATATATAGGTAATCTTATATACATCTATATATAATATAGATATAATGTATCTATACATAATATTATATCTATATATAATATAGATATAATGTATAATATAGATATAATATATAATATAGATATATAATGTATAATATAGATATAATATATATCTATATATTATATATAATATATATAATATATAATATATATCTATATATAATATATATAATATATAATATATATCTATATATTATATATATCTATATATAATATATATCAATATACAATATATAATATATATCTATATATTATATATATCTATATATAATATATAATATATATCTATATATAATATATAATATATATCTATATATAATATATTATATATATCTATATATAATATATTATATATCTATATATAATATATACCTATATAATATATATCTATATATAATATACCATATATAATATATATAATATATCTATATATAATATATAATATATATCTATATGTTATATATCTCTATATAACATAGATATATATAATATATAGATATATAACATAGATATAATATATCTATATATAATATATATCTATATATAACATAGATATATCTATAATGTAGATCTATATAAAACATAGATATATCTATATAAAACATAGATATATCTATAATGTAGATCTATATAAAACATAGATATATCTATATAAAACATAGATATATTATATATATAATAATATATAATATATCTATATAAAACATAGATATAATATATCTATATATAATAATATATATTAGATTATATATTATATATAATAGATATTATATCTAATTTACATATAATATATATCTATTATATATTATACATAATATATTATATAATATATATCTATTATTATATATTATAATATATATTATATCTATTATTATATATAGATATTTATAGATATATCTCTATATAATAGATACCATATCTCTAGATATAATATAGATATATATAATACAGATATATAATATATACATAAAATCAGACCTACACATACCATTAATAGCCATCTTTTTTTAAAAGAGGAAATAAATTCTAAGAATAAGAAATTGTTAGGCATTGATATATTTTTAAAATTCTGCTCCCGAACAAAACAGAATATTCTAACAGAGTTACTGACATAATTTTTTTAAATCCATAAGCAAGATGATAAATATTCTCAGTGGTCATCTGAATGGAGACCACGAGGAGGAAGACGATCATTTATGGTGTACCATCCTTCTGCCCAAAGGCTCTTGTCTCCAACTAATAGAGGAGTCAACAGCAGTAGCAAGAAGGAAGGCACAGCTTCATGGAAACGGTTCCACTTTTGCCAAAAGGAAACTAAGAAGTAGGAGGCGCCATCATTTATTACACCAAGGATGTATTTGTATAGTCAACTGTGAAAAAGAGCTCTCCAGCATTTGTGAGAGAATGATCTGCAGGACCTTTGACATTAGGAGGAAGTCTGGTGGGGAGAAAACAGGAAAAAAAAAATCTTGCAATTTTCTTTCCAGGTCTAAGCTGTCTAAGCTATAGCAACATGTGGAGGTGACAAAAGAAAAAAGATAAATTGACAAAGAATGAAAAAAAATTCAGCTTTTTCTGAATCCATAAGATTCCACACATATTTCACAAGGATTTATCAGGTGAATTAAGACTTGCCTTGCACATAGACGTTCTTAAAACTAACTCAACAATGTTGTCTTTGTATTACCCAAGGCGTAGGAGAAAGATTTAACATTAAAAATTGCTAAACAACATCTAACATGTTATCATTTCTGTAAAATTAATTTTATCCCCTTCTTTTTCAGTATGTTCACCTTCATTTTTATAGTTATAGCATCTGCTCTCCTGAAAACATGCTTTTCCAGTTAGCTGGAAGAGACCTTCATTCACCTGCCATTTCCACACCCTGTCTGAAACAATCTCCTGTGGGAAATGTTCATTTAAAGCTGCTTTCCTACACTGCCAGCATTGGGTTATGCCTCTCTGAAGGTTCTGCTGCTAAACATTGGCTTTTAAGTAACTACTCAAAGACACTCCCAAGAGATGTACAGTTCATTGTTTCATAATGAGTCGCTTCTCCTAGCCAGAAAAGATATTTCCGCCACATCCATATTTGATTTTCTGGAAAATCTATAGTAGGCTAAGCTTCACACATGAGCCAGTAAAAGCTTATTATAAGCCTATGGTTTTTCTTTTTGCAACTCATGAGGACTCTCTCATTCCTCTGAAGGGAAAAAATCTGGAAACAAAGTAACCTGACAAGCTGAGTACATAAATTAAGTGCATAAATTCTTTACGAATAGGGCTCTTGCTAGTATATTTAAAGTAAAATAGTGTTTCTACAGCACACCCAAGGAGTTCATTTTTAAAATGAATGAAATGATGTTGGAAAGATGACATATTACAACTATTTCCTCCACTCATTGACTTACAGCAGCTCCACTCCCTTGGTGTTTATAGACAAATGCCGTTAATAGAAAGGAAGGGACCATGTTTAACATAAATGCTGCCTTCTTTATGCTATGGAACACTGCAAAATATCATTATCATGCCGGAATCAATTGATTATATTATCTCCAGCATTCTAAAAGTCTAAAACTCTACAGAACAAGACATTCTGAATAGTCACCCCATTTTTAAAAAGTACCTATCTAGGGAGGAGCCAAGATGGCCGCATAGGAACAGCTCCAGTCCACAGCTCCCAGCGTGAGCGACGCAGAAGACGGGTGATTTCTGCATTTCCATCTGAGGTACCGGGTTCTTCTCACTAGGGAGTTCCAGACAGTGGGCGCAGGTCAGTGGGTGCGCGCACCGTGCGCGAGCCGAAGCAGGGCGAGGCATTGCCTCACTTGGGAAGCGCAAGGGGTCAGGGAGTTCCCTTTCCGAGTCAAAGAAAGGGGTGACAGACGCACCTGGAAAATCGGGTCACTCCCACCCGAATATTGCGCTTTTCGGACTGGCTTAAAAAACGTGGCACCACAAGATTATATCCCGCACCTGGCTCGGAGGGTCCTACGCCCACAGAGTCTCCCTGATTGCTAGCACAGCAGTCTGAGATCAAACTGCAAGGCGGCAGCGAGGCTGGGGGAGGGGCGCCCGCCATTGCCCAGGCTTGATTAGGTAAACAAAGCAGCCGGGAAGCTCGAACTGGGTGGAGCCCACCACAGCTCAAGGAGGCCTGCCTGCCTCTGTAGGCTCCACCTCTGGGGGCAGGGCACAGACAAACAAAAAGACAGCAGTAGTAACCTCTGCAGACTTAAATGTCCCTGTCTGACAGCTTTGAAGAGAGCAGTGGTTCTCCCAGCACGCAGCTGGAGATCTGAGAACCGGCAGACTGCCTCCTCAAGTGGGTCCCTGACCCCTGACCCCTGAGCAGCCTAACTGGGAGGCACCCCCCAGCAGGGGCACACTGACACCTCACACGGCAGGGTATTCCAACAGACCTGCAGCTGAGGGTCCTGTCTGTTAGAAGGAAAACTAACAAACAGAAAGGACATCCACACCAAAAACCCATCTGTACATCATCATCATCAAAGACCAAAAGTAGATAAAACCACAAAGATGGGGAAAAAAACAGAACAGAAAAACTGGAAACTCTAAAATGCAGAGCGCCTCTCCTCCTCTAAAGGAACACAGTTCCTCACCAGCAACGGAACAAAGCTGGATGGAGAATGACTTTGATGAGCTGAGAGAAGAAGGCTTCAGACGATCAAATTACTCTGAGCTACGGGAGGACATTCAAACCAAAGGCAAAGAAGTTGAAAACTTTGAAAAAAATTTAGAAGAATGTATAACTAGAATAACCAATACAGAGAAGTGCTTAAAGGAGCTGATGGAGCTGAAAACCAAGGCTCGAGAACTACGTGAAGAATGCAGAAGACTCAGGAGCCGATGTGATCAACTGGAAGAAAGGGTATCAGCAATGGAAGATGAAATGAATGAAATGAAGCGAGAAGAGAAGTCTAGAGAAAAAAGAATAAAAAGAAATGAGCAAAGACTCCAAGAAATATGGGACTATGTGAAAAGACCAAATCTACGTCTGATTGGTGTACCTGAAAGTGATGGGGAGAATGGAACCAAGTTGGAAAACACTCTGCAGGATATTATCCAGGAGAACTTCCCCAATCTAGCAAGGCAGGCCAACGTTCAGATTCAGGGAATACAGAGAACACCACAAAGATACTCCTCGAGAAGAGCAACTCCAAGACACATAATTGTCAGTTTCACCAAAGTTGAAATGAAGGAAAAAATGTTAAGGGCAGCCAGAGAGAAAGGTCGGGTTACCCTCAAAGGGAAGCCCATCAGACGAACAGCGGATCTCTCGGCAGAAACCCTACAAGCCAGAAGAGAGTGGGGGCCAATATTCAACATTCTTAAAGAAAAGAATTTTCAACCCAGAATTTCATATCCAGCCAAACTAAGCTTCATAAGTGAAGGAGAAATAAAATACTTTACAGACAAGCAAATGCTGAGAGATTTTGTCACCACCAGGCCTGCCCTACAAGAGCTCCTGAAGGAAGCACTAAACATGGAAAGGAACAACCGGTACCAGCCGCTGCAAAATCATGCCAAAATGTAAAGACCATCGAGACTAGGAAGAAACTGCATCAACTAATGAGCAAAATCACCAGCTAACATCATAATGACAGGATCAAATTCACACATAACAATATTAACTTTAAATGTAAATGGACTAAATGCTCCAATTAAAAGACACAGACTGGCAAATTGGATAAAGAGTCAAGACCCATCAGTGTGCTGTATTCAGGAAACCCATCTCACGTGCAGAGACACACATAGGCTCAAAATAAAAGGATGGAAGAAGATCTACCAAGCAAATGGAAAACAAAAAAAGGCAGGGGTTGCAATCCTAGTCTCTGATAAAACAGACTTTAACCAACAAAGATCAAAAGAGACAAAGAAGGCCATTACATAATGGTAAAGGGATCAATTCAACAAGAAGAGCTAACTATCCTAAATATATATGCACCCAATACAGGAGCACCCAGATTCATAAAGCAAGTCCTGAGTGACCTACAAAGAGACTTAGACTCCCACACATTAATAATGGGAGACTTCAACACCCCACTGTCAACATTAGACAGATCAATGAGACAGAAAGTCAACAAGGATACCCAGGAATTGAACTCAGCTCTGCACCAAGCGGACCTAATAGACATCTACAGAACTCTCCACCCCAAATCAACAGAATATACATTTTTTTCAGCACCACACCACACCTATTCCAAAATTGACCACATACTTGGAAGTAAAGATCTCCTCAGCAAATGTAAAAGAACAGAGATTATAACAAACTATCTCTCAGACCACAGTGCAATCAAACTAGCACTCAGGATTAAGAATCTCACTCAAAACCACTCAACTACATGGAAACTGAACAACCTGCTCCTGAATGACTACTGGGTACATAACGAAATGAAGGCAGAAATAAAGATGTTCTTTGAAACCAACGAGAACAAAGACACAACATACCAGAATCTCTGGGATGCATTCAAAGCAGTGTGTAGAGGGAAATTTATAGCACTAAATGCCCACAAGAGAAAGCAGGAAAGATCCAAAATTGACACCCTAACATCACAATTAAAAGAACTAGAAAAGCAAGAGCAAACACATTCAAAAGCTAGCAGAAGGCAAGAAATAACTAAAATCAGAGCACAACTGAAGGAAATAGAGACACAAAAAACCCTTCAAAAAATTAATGAATCCAGGAGCTGGTTTTTTGAAAGGATCAACAAAATTCATAGACCACTAGCAAGACTAATAAAGAAAAAAAGAGAGAAGAATCAAATAGATGCAATAAAAAATGATAAAGGGGATATCACCACCGATCCCACAGAAATACAAACTACCATCAGAGAATACTACAAACACCTCTACGCAAATAAACTAGAAAATCTAGAAGAAATGGATAAATTCCTCAACACATACACCCTCCCAAGACTAAACCAGGAAGAAGTTGAATCTCTGAATAGACCAATAACAGGATCTGAAATTGTGGCAATAATCAATAGCTTACCAACCAAAAACAGTCCAGGACCAGATGGATTCACAGCCGAATTCTACCAGAGGTAGAAGGAGGAACTGGTACCATTCCTTCTGAAACTATTCCAATCAATAGAAAAAGAGGGAATCCTCCCTAACTCATTTTATGAGGCCAGCATCATTCTGATACCAAAGCCTGGCAGAGACACAACCAAAAAAGAGAATTTTAGACCAGTATCCTTGATGAACATCGATGCAAAAATCCTCAATAAAATACTGGCAAACCGAATCCAGCAGCACATCAAAAAGCTTATCCACCATGATCAAGTGGGCTTCATCCCTGGGATGCAAGGCTGGTTCAATATATGCAAATCAATAAATGTAATCCAGCATATAAACAGAGCCAAAGACAAAAACCACATGATTATCTCAATAGATGCAGAAAAAGCCTTTGACAAAATTCAACAACCCTTCATGCTAAAAACTCTCAATAAATTAGGTATTGATGGGACGTATTTCAAAATAATAAGAGCTGTCTATGATAAACCCACAGCCAATATCATACTGAGTGGGCAAAAACTGGAAGCATTCCCTTTGAAAACTGGCACAAGACAGGGATGCCCTCTCTCACCACTCCTATTCAACATAGTGTTGGAAGTTTTGGCCAGGGCAATTAGGCAGGAGAAGGAAATAAAGGGTATTCAGTTAGGAAAAGAAGAAGTCAGATTGTCCCTGTTTGCAGATGACATGATTGTATATCTAGAAAACCCCATTGTCTCAGCCCAAAATCTCCTTCAGCTGATAAGCAACTTCAGCAAAGTCTCAGGATACAAAATCAATGTACAAAATCACAAGCATTCTTATACACCAACAACAGACAAACAGAGAGCCAAATCATGAGTGAATTCCCATTCACAATTGCTTCAAAGAGAATAAAATACTTAGGAATCCAACTTACAAGGGATGTGAAGGACCTCTTCAAGGAGAACTACAAACCACTGCTCAAGGAAATAAAAGAGGATACAAACAAATGGAAGAACATTCCATGCTCATGGGTAGGAAGAATCAATATCGTGAAAATGACCATACTGCCCAAGGTAATTTACAGATTCAATGCCATCCCCATCAAGCTACCAATGACTTTCTTCACTGAATTGGAAAAAACGACTTTAAAGTTCATATGGAACCAAAAAAGAGCCTGCATCGCCAAGTCAATCCTATGCCAAAAGAACAAAGCTGGAGGCATCATGCTACCTGACTTCAAACTATACTACAAGGCTACAGTAACCAAAACAGCATGGTACTGGTACCAAAACAGAGATATAGATCAATGGAACAGAACAGAGCCCTCAGAAATAACGCCGCATATCTACAACTATCTGATCTTTGACAAACCTGAGAAAAACAAGCAATGGGGAAAGGATTTCCTATTTAATAAATGGTGCTGGGAAAACTGGCTAGCCATATGTAGAAAGCTGAAACTGGATCCCTTCCTTACACCTTATACAAAAATCAATTCAAGATGGATTAAAGACTTAAACGTTAGACCTAAAACCATAAAAACCCTAGAAGAAAACCTAGGCATTACCATTCAGGACATAGGCATGGGCAAGGGCTTCATGTCTAAAACACCAAAAGCAATGGCAACAAAAGCCAAAATTGACAAATGGGATCTAATTAAACTAAAGAGCTTCTGCACAGCAAAAGAAACTACCATCAGAGTGAACAGGCAACCTACAAAATGGGAGAAAATTTTCGCAACCTACTCATCTGACAAAGGGCAAATATCCAGAATCTACAATGAACTCAAACAAATTTACAAGAAAAAACAACCCCATCAAAAAGTGGGCGAAGGACATGAACAGACACTTCTCAAAAGAAGATATTTATGCAGCCAAAAAACACATGAAAAAATGCTCATCATCACTGGCCATCAGAGAAATGCAAATCAAAACCACAATGAGATACCATCTCACGCCAGTTAGAATGGCAATCATTAAAAAGTCAGGAAACAACAGGTGCTGGAGAGGATGTGGAGAAATAGGAACACTTTTACACTGTTGGTGGGACTGTAAACTAGTTCAACCATTGTGGAAGTCAGTGTGGCGATTCCTCAGGGATCTAGAACTAGAAATACCATTTGACCCAGCCATCCCATTACTGGGTATATACCCAAAGGACTATAAATCATGCTGCTATAAAGACACATGCACACGTATGTTTATTGCGGCACTATTCACAATAGCAAAGACTTGGAACCAACTCAAATGTCCAACAATGATAGACTGGATTAAGAAAATGTGGCACATATACACGATGGAATACTATGCAGCCATAAAAAATGATGAGTTCATGTCCTTTGTAGGGACATGGATGAAATTGGAAAACATCATTCTCAGTAAACTATCGCAAGAACAAAAAACCAAACACCGCATATTCTCACTCATAGGTGGGAACTGAACAATGAGATCACATGGACACAGGAAGGGGAATATCACACTCTGGGGACTGTGGTGGGGTTGGGGGAGTGGGGAGGGATAGCATTGGGGTATATACCTAATGCTAGATGATGAGTTAGTGGGTGCAGCGCACCACCATGGCACATGTATACATATGTAACTAACCTGCACATTGTGCACATGTACCCTAAAACTTAAAGTATAATAAGAAAAAAAAGTACATATCTAATTTAAAAGAAGCAATTAGAAAACTGGAGATAAATTCTGTTCCTAGACCCATCATCAGTGACCTAGGTCTCCTTTCAAGTTTTCTGTTCCTTCAAGACAGAATACATTCCACTGAAATTTTCTTCCCACTTTCTTCATAAGGAAACTGTGGGTATTACTGACCCAACTTCCCCCCAAAATACTTTAAGCCTCCTAATTGCAGATATCTCGAAATAGAAGTGTCAAGTAATACTCAAAAATCTAGAGTATCTTTTCCCATAAAAGCCACATCTACCTTTTTAAAATGAAATATAAAAATAGCAAATAAAATTCCATAAAAGATTATTTATGTGCAGCTTGTATTTAGAATATAAACTCTAATGGTCAAATACGTAAACAGTAAGGAAAGAGATATATAGTCAATGTAGGTGTTCAGTAAAACAAACTGTAATGCCACCCATGGATACAGCTTATGAATTAAGGAATAATTCTGGCATAAAATAAATCTAACGTTTTGGAGAAGCAGCACATCAGAGCATAAGGGAATCTCACTCATTTGACTCAAGGAAACATGACAATTATTTCCCTCCGATTTTATACAATAAACTCACAGATTATAAATTTGTGGAAATTTCCTATTGGTAGGCATTCTGAAAAATCAACAAAATACCTGAAGAAGAGCACTCATTTGCCACTTCCTCTTGGATCATTATAAGAACATTCTTTCAGCATCTTGACAGTAAACAGCAAACAGGGTAACACAACCCAAGAGAGTTCATGCCTAGAAGAAAACCCCAACATTTTATTTAAATGATGACATTGCAAAGAAAACTCAGCTGAAATGACACACATGCTTTTTACAGGACTTGGCAGACAGAACACTAAACAACTAGGTTCTGACTCTGACTTAGCCACAGATCTTCCGTGGAGCTACATGGGAAAATAAGAAGCCCTAATGTCAGCTCTCTGACTTTATCTCTAAATAAAGAAGTAATTTTGAAGGTGTGGCTTGTAGGTACATTGTTCTATATTTTTAAAACAAATTCTAGGCTCTACATTTTTTTTTATTTTTTTGAGACTGAGTCTTGCTCTGTCACCCAGGCTGGAATGCAGTGGCACAATCTCAGCTCACTGCAACCTCCGCCTCCCAGGTTCAAGCAATTCTCCTGCCTCACCCTCCTGAGTAGCTGGGATTACAGGTGTGTGCCACCACACCTGGCTAATTTTTGTATTTTTAGTAGAGATGGGGTGTCACCATGTTGGCCAGGCTGGCCTCAAACTCCTGACCTCAGGTGATCTGCCTGCCTCGGCCTCCCAAAGTGCTGGGATTACAGGTGTGAGCCACCGCGCCCGGCCCAACTGTATTATTAACTAGAATGGGGACTTAAAAATGTGATCAGGTGTAAGATGCTTGTCCATGCCCCTGACTCCAACACTGTTAGACTGGGCCCCTTACCCCTTATCATGTCCCCCCAATACCACAATACACCACATACATGCTGGCACAGCATTCCTTTTCTTTAGAGAGATTACTTTTCAGGTGGAAAACTTGTTAGCTTAGATTCTACAATTAAATATTATCCTGGATCTCTGTCAGAGATTAAATACATATGAATTCGTGTGAGGATAGCTCCCTTTCATAATGTCCATTTTACTGCTGCATGCCACAATATGATGAAAAGGTCCAATTGTTTCTGGATATAAACATAAACTTGCAGAGATCTGTTAGATCCTTTAGAAGATAAAGCAACTCTTGGCATTATTATGAATTATTTGTCTAGGAAAGTCAGTGCCAAAACAAAGGAAATCTCAAAACTCAAACCCAAACCAGACAGTAGTCCATTCTCTTGCATTTATACCCTATCAACATTGGATCTTACTCACTTCAGGAGTGAAAAAAACAAAAACTAAAACAAAAACCTCTTTGACGGCAGGTCAAGATAGCGTGCGGCTATCAACCCAACCTACATACACGTGCACACATGCCTGCACGCACACACGCAAACACAACACACAACATAAACACACACACACACACACACACACACACACAGGTTTCTCCCTTTCCCCAGAAAGCATTTATAGTAAATATCCATCCAGACAAAAGCCTCCGTTTTCCTACTGCTTTTGTGTGCTGTGGCAGGAAGCAGTTGTCGGCTGCATTCGTGAAAAATAACAACTGTAGACACTGAGACACATGCCACAATGTTCCCGTGGAAATCAAACTCTGAGAAATTTTTTAAATGTTTTCAACACATCAGCATGAAGCATCGACCTAGTTGGAATCACTTAGATCTAAAGCAAATGCACTGATTGTTTTCACAGCAGGCTTTTCTTCTTGGAGCTGAAACAGGCGCACTGGCGAGGGTTGTGAGGAAAGGTTTGCAGCCCCCTGCCTTGGTCTGCTATAGCCAGTGACACGATCAATACCAGGGTGAGCAGCAGAGGAAGCTCAGGGAAGATTATGAAGATGAGGTGAGTGACAGAATTACCTTATAGGGTTTGTTCTTTCTCTCACCTTGAATCTCATCTGCCACAGATGAGATGGAAAACCATCAGGGCACAGACCAAAAACAAGAAAGGGTTGAAGGGCATTAGACATCATATGTGCTGAGAGCCTGGCCATTGTGTCTTTTCACATGTTAGAATCCTCAGGAAAGGGCAAGTCCTATAGCAAATCAGGGCGGCATCACATTAACGAGAAGACAAATGCCAGGATCTCTTGCAGGGCCCGGAGCACAGCAGGTGGACCAATAATTGGCAGCCCTGATTTTCAGTATATTTTTATTACTGTTAATACAACTACTTCTCCTATTTTACTTTTTAGTCCCAGACAAGTATCATTCATGTAAATAATATACATATATAAAGTACCAACTTTCCAGGTTAAACTGTGGGATGAAGTGCGGACAAGACTAAATGTGCCTTAGGTGCCCATCATTTATTTATTGAGGGCCTCCTCTGCACAGGCACTACTAGTCCACAGTTTTCTTCCTCTAACTCAGAGGTCCAAAGATGCCTAAACAATTGAGTCAGCTCATTCACTGGGCTTGTCCTGGAGCTTAACAGAGGCACCAATTTAGTGGAACAAATTCTCATTCAAAATGTCCAGAATGCAAGGAAACAGGAAAATCTTCTATTGTCTATCAATCTGATTGAACAGTTCTGACCAACTGAGTAGAGTTGACTGTATTGATAATCAAATGTGCCTAATACTCATATTGACAATAATATGTCCAAGCTATGGCTACTTTTATAATCCAACTCCCTAAAGCTTGAGATTTTTAAAAATATTTCTGTGAAGTTTAAACAGCATATAAGAAGTGTCCAAGAAATTGGAGGCTCTTATTTGTTATTTGTTTCCTTAAGGCACTGGGTGAACACAGTGAAAAGGAATATGTTCTAGGCCTTCCCAATTATTATTACCAAAACATCAAGATGAATTGTTATCAGAGATTTTATTCTGATTCTTTGAAAAATATATATAAACGTTTATATGTATATCTCATTTTAAACGGAATGTCTATTCATTGAAAAGTTAAAAAAAACATGATTCTCCAAACCTAAAAATTATCACTGCCGAAAGTTTGGTTATTTCTTTATGGTCTTTTTTTCTACACTTTTAAAATTTACATAATTAGAACCATACTACATAAGCTATTTTTTTTCACTTAACATTACACATTATATCATAAGCATATACCCAGGTCAATTTCTTTGAAAACAATTGTAACGTCACATGATTTATGGATTTAATATGCTTAATCACTCCCTTCTTTTTTTTTTTTTGAAACGGAGTCTCCCTCTGTCGCCCAGGCTGGAGTTCAGTGGCGCGATCTTGGCTCACTGCAAGCTCTGCCTCCCAGGTTCACACCATTCTCCTGCCTCAGCCTCCCGAGTAGCTGGGACTACAGGTGCCTGCCACCACGCCCAGCTAATTTTTTTTTTTTTTTTGTATTTTTAGTAGAGACGGGGTTTCACCATGTTAGACCCGATGGTCTCGATCTCCTGACCTCGTGATCGCCTGCCTCAGCGTCCCAAAGTGCTGGGATTACAGGCATGAGCCACCGTGACCAGCCCAATCACTTCCTTCTTTTAAGACATCAGATGCTTCCTTTTTGTGTGTGAGTGCTAATATAATTTCTTTATCCAGGTCGCTGAGTATTTCCTAAAAGTAGAATTACTAGATCAAAGGTGAAAACAACTTACTATTTTTGTGGTTTATTTCAAAAATCGTCTTTTTGCCTTTGAACTTTAGAATTTAAATTTTGAAGTTAGAAAAAGGAAAAAAAAAAGAAAATGTTTTCAAAATATCCTACAAGAGATTAACATTTTAGTATGTCCTTGATGGCTTTTTGTACACATCCATAAATATTTAGATATGCATCTCATCTTTCTGTATTATTTATAAAACAGAAGCATGTAGTACAAATGTACTACAATCTGCTTTGTCTGGTTAACTAAATAACTGAGATTCTTTCCATGTCATTAAAGTCTTCCAGATTCGGAAACGAAGATAACTAAATTGTGTTGGCTTTCCACAAGTGCTGTCCCACAGATTATGAATGAGTCTTAGTATAACTAACAGCAACTCAGCAAATTTTAAAACGCTCTTTTCATAGTCTAACATTAATACTAAATCATAAAGGAAACCTTCATATTTCTATGCAGAGGACATTTTGGCAGCAGAGGGAGGAAAAGGAAGAGAGGAAAGGGCAATGCCGGGAAGAAGATATGCATCAGAAAAAATTCAAAAATTCCCCGGAGGGGAAAAACAACTTGTAGTCACTTGAAGAAACTGATCAAATCAATAAATTACCAAAGCAGTAAGTCAGTAATCAGTTTATTGCTCTAAAATGTTATTTTTCTCCTTAATACTTTGTAAATCACTGGCCGGGTGTGGTGGCTCACACCCATAATCCCAGCACTTTGGGAGGCTGAGGTGGGTGGATCACATGAAGCCACAGATTCGAGACCAGCCTGGCCAACAAGGTGAAACCCATTTCTACTAAAAATATAAAAATTAGCCAGGCATAGCGGCACGTGCCTGTAGTCCCAGCCCCTTGGGAGGCTGAGGCACGAGAATTGCTTGAACCCTAGAGGCAAAGATTGCAGTGAACTGAGATTGTGCCACTGCACTCCAGCTTGGGCAACAGAGTGAGACCCTGTCTCGAAAACAACAACAACAACAACAACAACAAAACTTGTAAATCACTAACCTCAAGGCAAAATCAACCTTATATTAACAAACTGGTTTCAAAATCTCTGGATTTTGCCTAAGGAAGAGCAGAGTAATAGTAATCACTTTGTTTCTCCTAGAATTCATTACCTATCAAAGAAAATGCGTAAACTCTAGAAGTATTGCTTGCTCCTTTGCCACAAAGTGTACATTCAAGAGTAAATTGTTTAAAGCCAAAGGTAAGACTAAACAACTTATTTAATATCATCCTGTCTGTTATTTCTAGGTCTTCTTTGATAACATGTCAAGGAGTTACATTTGACATAGCCCTGTTATTTTTACCACAGGTTAGTTTTAAACCCCATTGTGGCTTATAATCAACATTACCATCAACATCACCAACAAATCACATCACCATGACTATCACCACCACATCATCACTATCACCAACATCATCATCACCATTCACATCATCATCCCCATCACCATCAGCAGCATCATCACATCACCATGACTATCATCACATCACCATGACTATCATCACATCACTACCATCACCATCATCATTACATCACCATCACTATCACCATCACATAACCACCATCACCAACATCACCATCACCATTACCATCACCATTATATCATCATCACATCACCATCAACATCATATCACCATCACCATCACCATCACCACCACCATTATCACCATTTCTCCCATGGCAGCACCAGCCGTGGTCAACAGGTTGACCATGCAACCTTTAGGAGAGAGCTCAGACATGGTCTTCCCACATATCCTCATCTAAAGTAGATTTCCCATCCTCAATCATAATTCACTAGCTTAGTAATAATTTTCATTTCCTTTCTGGTGCATACCACAAATTGAGATTCTCCTTTTATTTTTTACTTGTTTCTCATCTGTTTGCTTGTCTACAATGCAAGCTAGGTGAGAACAGGGACCACAGTTATCTTAGTAATCTTCTATCCCCAGGATAGATGCCTGACCCATAACAAGTACTCGATAAAAATCACATGAATTAAATAATATATCGCCTATTATCAACTCTTTGTTTATAAACTCTAACCCAATGCAAAAAAAAAAATCAAAATGGCCTGTGTCAAAGAATGATCTTTCTAGTATATTTCATCTCATTATGGAAATTTAATGCTGCTATACCCATAAGTCATTTTAAACTATTTACCAACTATGCAGGCACAATCAAGAACATCAAGGTAGAAAAGTAACCTGATAGGTCACACAGGTTAAAAGGTAAGGAACTATTCACTCAAAAACATCTCTCTCATCTTCCCAATATGAAATTTCCACCATTAAATTTATCTTTAAGGATAATATACTGTAATGCCATGAAACTCATTTTAAACGATAAATACTGCATGTTTACTCACATATTAATACCTAGGTATGAATTCAGTTACAGATTATTTGAACAAACAACACTGGGCAGGTCATTTTTTGCTTGCCAAGGACCAAGGTGTTGGGAGATCTAAGGAAAAGGAAAGGCCACGTGATTGATAAGGAAGGACCAACAGTGCACAGGAGACCCTCTGCATGGGGCAGAGAAGATACAAAAAGGACAGG
This sequence comes from Homo sapiens, assembly GCF_000001405.40. Classification (NCBI taxonomy): domain Eukaryota; kingdom Metazoa; phylum Chordata; class Mammalia; order Primates; family Hominidae; genus Homo; species Homo sapiens. The sequence continues at coordinate 39,000,761 of NC_000007.14, read as the reverse complement.
AGTGGGAAGTCAAGTCTCTGTTGACCCTGATCTTTTCTAGATACTCTATAAACAAAATGTCAGAGTGTTTTTGTTCCATTTCAACAAATATGTTTGAGTGACCCAATTTATAGCATTGGGAGAAACAAAAATTGGTCTTGAGGCCAGGGCTATGAATGCATATGAGAGATTAATATCTCATTGTAAGTTGGGAGGGTGTGTGTGTGTGTGTGTGTGTGTGTGTGTGTGTGTCTGTGGGTATGTTGAGAAAATGGAGAGGGTGGAGATGTAGAAGAAATGAAGAGAACATTTAGCAGAAGATAGACAGTGGAGAGCAGTCTGATATTAGTGGCTGTTGTGTAATAAACATTGGTAAAAATATTGTATTTGCTTCACTAGACAGTCCAAGTGATCGCTAGAAGTAAAAGCCTTATAAGTGAATCAGTGTTAAACAGTAAGAGGCTTCCCATTTAGAAAAGCACGCATATTCTGAGGATTTTCCCAAGAGTATATCTATAAGCTTCAAGTAACACAAACAGAAATCTGCTGGCTCAAGGCCAATCTGCTTAAACAGTGTGCTCCAATGTCCCCCCAAACATGCTTGCTGGCACCTGGAGAGGAGAAGCATTTAACTCCACTTGAGTTACCCTAACTGACCCCTGACTGTCCACTGTCCACTTTCCTTAGCTTGCCATTCACAAAGATGAATTACAAAACGAACTAAAATGAGGGCTGGTAATTTTTTCCAGGTTTCAAGAAGCTCCCTCTAAAAAATCTCTCATTATGAACAGAAAATAAAAAGTTTTAGTACCTACTTTAGGGAAAAAAGCAAGTACATTTCATCTTTGGTGGCATGAGACAGGATAAGACAACATATTTGTTCTGTGCCATCGTGCCTAGGAACATCTCATAACCAGACTGATTGTTGAATTGATCCCCTTTTCAAAATGTACATGTAATTAAATGGTACGCCCCAACAAAGCAATAATAAATCTAAAAGTGGGCTTTCAAAATATTAATGTCACAGCGTTACTAGCAAAAAAGACTATTAAGCACAGCATTGTCATTGCAAAAAGCACGTAAACCTGTCATTGGATATGTCGACCAAACAGGAGGCCTAGGGTCAGAGAGACGAGTTAGGCATGGAAAGATTGTACAGTTGTCACCTCTGCATAGACAAGGATGGCTAGCAAGGGCTTATTTTAGGTGGGAAAAAGCCTATGGTTCCCACAACAACAGTAACTTAACCAGTTACACATATAGTATATTATGACATGAAAGTTGACACCACATACAGAAATACTAAATACTACATATGCTTGAGGGGTACAAGTTATTGTTGCTATGGGAGCTGTAAGTTCTGAATGGCGATAAAAATGGAGTACCTGAACAGCCTTGGATCATGCCTTTATGAAAACCCTGTGCATTCATACACTTGACAAATCTTTATTGAGTGCCTACTATGTGTAAAGAATTGTGCTACAGGCTGCGGGAAAATATGGCCCCTGCCTCCAGTAGCTAATAAAAAAGTATCCAGTGGGACCTTACAGTTTTACAAGGACTGAGGGAATTTCTCCCTCTGTAGCCAAACAGTATATTCCACATTTTTCAAATGTCATGTAAAGAAGCCTGTATAGGGGAGATGCTATTAGGATCTATCCCAAAATGCCTTCTACTTAACTCCAGCATCTGACTCCTAAAGAACATAGCCCATTGCTATGTTCTCCACTGTTGAGTCATTAAGCATAATTGTTGGTCTACTCTTTCTTCCCTTGCCCTCTTCCAACTCACCCTTATATCAACTAATGTGATTAACAACAGCTGGGTGCAGTGGCTCACGCCTGTAATCCCAGCACTTTGTGAGGCCGAGGCGGGCGGATCATGAAGTTAGGAGATCGAGACCATCCTCGCTAACATGGTAAAACCTGGTCTCTACTGAAAATAAAAAAAAAAAAAAAAAAAAAAATTAGCCGGGTGTGGTGGCAGGCGCCTGTAGTCCCAGCTACTTGGGAGGCTTAGGCAGGAGAATTGCTTGAACTTGGAGGCGGAGCTTGCAGTGAGCCGAGATCATGCCACTGCACTCCATCCTGGGTGACAGAGCAAGATACTGTCTCAAAAAAAAAAAAAATGTGATTAACACCAAGAATATCTTTACTGCTTAAATTTTCCTAAAATTCTCCTTGCATTGAAAATACTTTACAGAACATGTCAATACTTATTTAAATTTGTTCAGATCTCCTAATGGCATTTATGTATCCCATGACATCTCAATAAATATCAAAATATTTGTACGTCTACATATAGGTATGATTTTTAAAAATGAGATCATATTGTATGTGATGTAAACTTCTCTCATTGGGAAACTCCTTTCATTGGGACCTGAGCACTGCAACCCTATCTTCCTGACTTGTTAAAATTCACTCAAGTACACTTTAATCGCATAGGACAGCTGAAACTAGAATGTACCTGATAGAGAACATGGGAGAAGATTCCCTCCACCACCCCAATCTTGGGAACTTGCAAGGTCTAGGAGATGTCACAGGTAATTTATTAACTGCAATGAGGAGTAAAGCAATAATTAAGTGCATATATTGTTCACATGACTGTTGAAAAGGGGCTTGAGGAGAGATAAATAGAGGAGGGAAAGATAAAAGACTTGATCATTTAAAAATTCTTCGGAGAAAATAAATGTACATATAAAAAGAATTTTGCAAAGAATATTCTCTGTTTTTCCCATTTTTCTAAACCAACAAGATCTTATGCTTAGAGACCAGTCAAAAGTGGCTTGAGAGTTGTGATGTAAGTGCCCAGAGAACAGGACTCAGGACTCTTCCAGGTTTGGCCACTGCCTTTGAACAAATCAGTTAATCTCTTTGAATTAAAACAAGGGTCTTGGGTCTGTTGGACTTGATAATCTCTTTCCTCTAAAAATTCTAAAACTATATAAAATTCATCCTTCTTCAGGGAAGGAGCAACTTATCACATTTGTTTACATATACCCATACGTGCCATCAGTCCATAACAGCTGGGACCTTGTTGTATCTGGAGGGCTAAGAAATTTGCTTAACAAATACTCAATAAGCATTTGTTGGGTGAATGAATTTTTTTCACCATCTGCCAATGTTTGTGTTTGGTGGGTCTAGGTTCAAGGCTGTGTGCTGAACACATATCTACATAGGGGGTAATCCCCTAGAGGTCATCATCAAGGGGAAATAGAACACAGGCTTATAATACCCCTAAAAGAAAACAGAATGTGGATGCCAAAAAGAGGCACGATGTGCTCTAAGGATTCAGATGAGGCCAGGCTGGTTCAGGCAGACAGGTAGAAGATTGCTGCAGGAGCTATTGCTTCAGAAGGATGGACAAGATTTAAGTAAACACAAATTGTTGTGGAAGTTCAGAGATAAGGAAGAAAGAAACTGCAGATGTTTGAGAAAAGTGAGTAGTCTAGTTCAATTAGACTAGAGTGTAGAGTCTGAACTGGAGGAGTGAAAGAAAAAAAACAAACCAGGAAAAGACAGGATGGGGCTTTGCATGACCTCATGTTTCAGAATAGGGAAGAATGCATTCCAAGCCATGTCTAAAGGAAATTATCCAGAATCTGGCTCAATAGTGAACAAAGTCAACACAGAGCAGGTGGAAATCTGGGTTCTTCTCCCAGTTTCAGTGAGAGCCCCACTGCCTTTCTCTGCTCTACATTTGGGGCTTCTGAAGTTAAATTTGTTTGAAAAAAAGAAATGTGTGAAGGTCACTGATGTACAGAAAACATAGGAACAGGAAGACTAGAGAGGAATTATGTCAATAATTCAGGCAAGAGGAACAAAAGTCTGGAAGGGAGGGTGGAGCAAGACTGGATAAAGAGATTTTTCAACCCAGGTAGATTCCATGTGCTCTGTCCATTCATTAAAGGTGGGGGGAGTCAAGGTGACTGAGGGCCCAAGATTCAGTGAATGGAAGGCTGTCAGCCTTTGCGGATATAAGCAAGTCAAGAGGTATAAACATAGAGTAAGCCTGCTTGAACTTGAACCTCAACTTTGCCACTTTTTCATGTTGAAATAGATATACAAGCAGAGTTGTTAGAACAGTCTGGCACACAGTAAAAGTAAAAAGTAAGTGCTGTTATTCTTTCAGGTGGAGTGGATTTGTAGGAAAGATGCCTTTAGCATCCAACATGATGCTTGTGAAGGGAAAGTCATGGATGTTTTCTAGGTAGATAATGCTCTAAAAAAGTGGTCAAGGCTGCAAGTGGATGAAAGAATAGATAGAAATAATAGTTGGAGTTACTAAAGCTGATGGGAATACTGAAGAAAGAGAAGAACCTGTGAGCAAACCTTGGGAATGACTCTTTCTGGAGAGAAGGAGGATGCAATAGCAAGTTAAATAAATAGAAGAGAGGTAAGAAAACTGGGAGTAGAAGGTTAGGGTCAAAAAAGCCAAGCCCCAGCTGGGTGCAGTGGCTCACATCTATAATCCCAGCACTGTGGGAGGCCGAGGCGGGCAGATCACCTCAAGTCGGGAGTTTGAGACCAGCCTGGCCAACATGGTGAAACCCCATCTTTACTAAAAATACCAAAAATTAGCCAGGCATAGTGGCAGCCACCTGTAATCCTAGCTACTCAGGAGGCTGAGACAGGAGAATCGCTTGAACCAGGGAGGTGGAGGTTGCAGTGAGCCGAGATCGCGCCATTCCACTCCAGCCTGGGTAACAAGAGCAAAATTCTGTCTAAAAAAAAAAAAAAAAAAAAAAGCCAAGCCCCTTACTAAGGAGCTTCAAGAAGCATGACCAGCAATATCTTGCACAAAAGGCAAAGATGGATGAGCACTTCCATTTCTTCCACAAGGAAAGTTTAAGTACTGAAGAAGCAAGAATGTGAGGATAGATACAAGAAGTAAATGGGTGGCAATAATCAGATTAACTCATGTACATGTAGTGTTTTCTGTGAGTCAAGCACTGTGCTTCATTCTCTACATGAATTATCTTATGTGTAATTCTCACAGCAACCCTCTGAGGTAGTGATTTTTATAACTCTTGCTTCACTGTTCAAGAACTGAAACACAGAGGAGCTAAGTTGTGCAAGGTATAAAAGCTATAAAAGGTGATGGGCCTGGTATTCAAATGCTCATAAAGAATTTTGCTAGAGACTGTGGGAAAATATGGCCCCTGCCTCAAGTAGCTAATAAAAAATTATTCATTGGGACCTTATAATTCTACAAGGACTGAGGGAATTTCTCCCTCTGTAGCCAAACAAATATTTTAGTCCTCTCTCTTTTTTTTCATCACAAAGGGAATTTTATTTTATTTATTTTTTGTATTATACTTTAAGTTTTAGGGTACATGTGCACAACGTGCAGATTTGTTACATTTGTATACATGTGTCATTTTCAGTCCTCTCTTAACCACTTAGCAATATTGCCTTGAAGATGCAGGAGAAACAAATGCCAGAGAGTGGGCCAGTGAGAAGGACAAGTTTCAGAGGTCAAATTCTTGGAAGACAGCTTCTTTAACAATATCTTTTCTAATTAAGTTGTCCTGATTTGTATAATTCTAATCATTCTCCAAGACACAGAATGGATAGATGTTCATGAATTCCCAAGGAATCTCTGGAAAGCAACTTAGTACTTTTGATCCCTTTTTAAAACACAAGTAATGGAGGAACATTGAGCTATGAAGAAGACACCTCTGAAATTAAGCATTGGGTTTCAAATTCTATGGTCAATATAATGAATATGCATGGCTTTCCAGGGATTTCTGCAATACATGGCTTTCCAGGGATTTCTTCTGGGGAAATGTTTGAAAAGCTTTCAATAAGAAGATCTGAGTTGATCAGTCTGTCAATGGGGATTCTTGGAAGTTAAGGACTGGGGAAGTAAGATGGCAGCAGGTTGTAGAAAGTTTAAATTCACCACATTAGTGGGTGGGTGAGCAGAATGACAAGATACAAAATGGCAGGTTTTTAGGTTTTATCTGGAATTGAGGGCATTGTGAATTGGAATGGGAACTGAAGGAGTGAGGAGAGCAAAGTAGAGCTCTGAAGTGAGGAGGGACTGAACCAGGGAACCAGGGAGGGGAAGAGTAGTGGTAAAGAAAACTGGGAAGTGGGGAAAACAAAACAGAGCCAGCTGGATTCTCTGACCACACAACTCTTCTTTATTCAGAGTGTCACTGATTAGCACCTCCAGACTCAACCCTCTCCCCAGCTCTGCTCACCAACCCTGTCACGGGCATGGTGAGGAGCATTCATGTATGTCAGCCTCTAGTCCTACTCTGCCCCCATGCCCTGGGTTCAACAAACTGGCAGACACTTTTTTTCTGTGCCCAAAGCCTCATTTGCACCTTTGTCCTGGCAAATGGATTTTCCTAGTTCTTCCATGCAGAATTATCCTTCCCTTCCTCCTCTGGGACCTGCAGAATCAATTCCCTGTTTCTCCCGCCTCCCTCCTATTCCTCTTACCTCCTCTGAAACCCACCGAGTACCAGTCATTATACCACCATGACACAACACTGTTTTGCAAAACCTCTGCCTGGCTTTCCTGACCAACTGAGTGACTCCTCACACCCATCCCATCCCACTCTGCTGTCTGTTTCCAATTTCCAGGTTGTTTATTCACTCAGGCACATCAGGTAGCACTCTTGCAGCTTGGAGTTCCCATGTTTTTTAGAAAGAGATGACATGATATTTATCCAAAGCTCAATGAATATAGGAAAATTGAGAATAACAAAGAAGAGTTGGCACTAACAAAATTGACGGGTTCGCCTTTTTATTAGCCTCAGACTTTTTGAATTCTAGGTGGACAAAAGGTTTGTTCAACCAAGTGGAAAAATCACTTCTAGGAGAGATAAGAAAATGAATATTACCCACAGCTGTGAAAGGTACTAAGGAATGACTGAGCTAAATTTTGCCTCCAAAGGGAGAAACTCAAGCCCCTGAGAACATGTTACTCCTTTGGACCAGCAAGAGGCCAGTGCTCCGAAATACGCACTCAGAACACCAGGCATGTTCTTCTTCCACGGAATGCTACGTTGATGCATTAAACTTGGAGTACTTTACACATTTCACAAGTTTTGACTTCTTGTGAAAAGACCAAAAAAAAAGGTTTCCATATACTATTAAAAAAACAAATATGAACCACTGATGTGTGTGTGTGTGTGTGTGTGTGTGTGTGTGTGTGTTTAAAATCCTGCAATTCAAATATCAGTGTTGATCAGTGTCAGTTCAAGTGCTAGACAGATTTTCCCTTAGGTTATTTCTGGAATCATAAACTTAAACCTGCAACCCCTGAGAAATCCCGATTTCAGTCTCAGACATTATTTCTGACATTTTAAGATACCATTTTATACTTTATAATGTTACACAATCCTAATTTAAAACTTGAAAATTATAACCGTTATGCATGACACTCATTCAAATAAATGAAACCAATCAACACTGCATTTTTTACTGATCTAGTCTAAAATCTTATTTTCTTTTTACCTTTGCCTATATTCCTTTTTCCTTAATTTCTTATACAGAAGAGCAATACTTATTTCATTAAAAAGAATATATATAGGAATATATGTATATGTATAAATAAGCTTCACTACTATGTTGAAAACTGAGCTGAAAAACCAAGAAAAAATTAAATGTCAAGTGATCAAATATTACTATTTGCTTATCTTTATACACAGAAATAAAAAATAGTCCATTAACATAACTTTACTTACACATTATTTTGAGAAAATATTATTCAAGAACCAACTAGAGTAGATCCTAACCTCAAGTCACTGTTTCCAAGTACTACCAAAATAATCTCTTTATTCATTATATTTTATTATTCATTAACTTTGTCAATTTGTAAGTACGCATGAAGCTGCCAATTAACATACTCTTCTGTGGCCTTTTGTATTAAAAGTTTTAAAACTTGATTTGAATAATCCATTTCCCAGACTGTAGAAAAATGAAAATTATTCACAGTCACTTGTACTGCATAAAACATTGCTAAAGTGAATAGTAACACAATATTTCCACCCGGAGTAATATTTCAGAGACTATGTTTTAAAGGTGGCAAAGCGTTAGTTCAGATTTGTTTTTGCCGCAAAAAAATAGAAGAATATTTTCATGAAATCCCTGAAGACAATGATATTGACTTTATAAGCTGTTTTTCAGTCATGCTCCTTTGGTCATGCCTTGTTTATCTGGTCCCCATGTAACTTAAAATCTAGTCAGTGTAAACTCCTGAAACACAAACTCTGTGTCCTCATTCTCCACTCCCCTTTGTCTTTTAAGATCTGTTACAAAGAACCTCGTGTCCCCTCTTCACGTTTTAAGATTCAACATTATGACTTCCTAAAAATAAGCATCTGCTGGATACCATGGTGGTGGCTGCTTAAATTAAACGTGTTATGCAGTATGAATAAGGAACCATGGCTGAGAAGCCCTTTCCTTTTAGACATCATATGAAAATAGAAAATGACTGTTTTCAAGGATAGCCTCATTTATACACTCTGAAATGAAGCTAGGAGCAGAGCGCAAAAAACAAATTCCCAGACAAGGAATGTTGAGAGGGAACAAATGGAGCAAAGGCAACTTGAGGCTTCAAAACCACTTGAGACGAGCATTCTACTGAGGTATAAATTAGGAGAGTGATAGTTGTAACGAAGCAGTCATTCCATAGTGCCCACTGAGCTCCCGCTACAGGCCAGGACATACCTCTAGAGAGACTTAGGAGTTGTATGGGAAGTAGGAGATAAGGGGAAGGAGTAAGATGCTGAGTGTGAAGAGAAAACAACAACCTGTGTGGTCTCTAGCAATGCTTTCAACTCTTCACCTGTTCTGAGATGATTATGGGCCAATTCCATTGTAGAGAAGGGAAGGAGGGGGTATGGAGAGAGAAGAGAAAATGTTATACAGTTAAAGACAGATAAAGATAGAGATGTGAGAGAGAGGGAGAGAGAGAGAGAGAGAGAAGTGAAAGGAAAAGAAACATCTCTGCACCAGTCTAAACTGAAAATACAAAGAGCCGTTAATTCTATTCTATTCAAGCCCCTTTGCTTGGATTTTCAGTCTGGCAATGGCCTCAATAATACACCAATATCACTCTTTCCTGAAAAAAATTGGCTGGAAGGAATTGTCCAGATAAAGAAAGGTGGGAGGAGGCACTCTGTTCCCCTGGGCTCAGGTTTTCATGTGAACATACTTTTCACCCATGCGAGGAGCAATTCTGTATTACATTGGTGCATGACAAGAGTATGACATTCATGGCCTCTAGTCCTATATGTGAATTTGATCTTTTTCCTCTTTGTCCCACTCCCAGTAGGAAGCAGAAACCCTGGGTAAATGGGTCTCTTCCTCAGACCCAAACTTTCCACTGGTAGACTGTACCAAGATCAAAATGCAGGGCACAAGATGCTAGCAAACCAATTTGGTTGCAGGTCTAAAGCCACGGTTTTCAATGAGATTTATAAGTATTAAATGAAAACAAACTAAGAAATTAAAGAAAGGGTCTTATTTATTGTCCCTTGAAACTCTAATAGAATAAAATGAGTGCATGAGGCATGTATTTATCTTTTTATTATTGTATAATGGTAATTGTTCCTAAACATAAATAATAATTGGTTAAGTTAGGGACATACTCTTCTGCTCATTTGTTCATAAACATATTAATAATTTGAGCCCATAATTTGTGCTATGGTATCAAGTTAATGTGCTGACTTTAAGCAAATAACCAGGGGGCAGCATAGTCTCTTGTCTTCAATATTTCCTTCAAATCTCTATTTCTTATAAAGATTTGGTCCAACTAGAAAGAAAGAAAACCACCAAGAAATATTGAAGGAAGGGAGATGTGAATAGACGAGAAAACCTACCAAGATCTTAATGCACAAAATCTCCAACTCGTATCCTTGTCTACTGTGTTGGATTCTAGCACACGTCTCTCTTTTACTCCCTCTCAAAAGATTCAACCCAATTTCCCGCATTGCTGGGCTCTTGCAGGAGATGGTATCAAGGCTCAGCTTATCTGTTTGAACAATGACCATGTCCCCTCCCTGTGATTCAGAGTGATCACTGAAAGGAGGGATGCAGGTGTGGAGAGGTGGCGGTACAAGATATAAGATATATTATATTACAGGCTCCAGACAAAAAAAGAAAAAGAACAACGCTGTCTCTACCAAGCATTATGTTCCCTTCTGATGTTCCAAAGCAGTAAGTGCTTTGTTGAAGATCATGTTGATTTATTTCACCAAATCAGCATTTTGTTTTCTAACCATATATCCATGAGGTCTGGCATGGCTGAATCATTTGTAAAAGCGAAAGGAGATATTTAGGAGTACACTCTATTTGGCCTTACACTCATAACACATAAATGTAAATAAGATAACATTTTGTGAACATTTCAAACTACTAAGTAGAAAGAAAGTTCTCTTTTTCAGCCCCACTCCATCTCCAGGGCCACAATGTTTAAAATGCCATTTGACAGGAAAAAGGTTAGTTGAAAACAGCCAGATAAAAGATGCCCTTTATTGAATTCAAAATATGAGAAATACCACAGGATTTTTTTTAAGTTT